>NC_000007.14:130006779-130631779 GCF_000001405.40 Homo sapiens | reverse complement strand
TAATTTTAAAAGTTAATTGACTGCTTAAAGAAAAGAATTTAGTATGGAGTTTATAACATATGTAAAATAAAATCTGTGACAAAAATAGCATGAGGCAAAGAAGAGAAATGGTACTTTATTACTATAAAGTTTGTATCCTCTTTATGAAGTGTTTTAGCACTTGAAGAAAATCTAATAGGTTAAAGATTTACTGTATAAAGCCACCACTAAAATAACAATGCAGAATTATAGCTAATAAGCCAACAAAAGAGTTAAATAGAATCATAACATATATTCCACCCAAAAGAAGGTTGGGGAGGAAAAGAAAAGGGAACAAAATTCAGGCCAGGTGCAGTGGCTCACACCTGTAATCCCAGCACACTGGGAGACCGAGGCAGGTGGATCGCCTGAGGTCAGGAGTTGGAGACCAGCCTGGCCAACATGGCGAAACCCCATCTCTACTAAGAATACAAAAATTAGCCAGGTGTGATGGCACGTGCCTGTAATCCCAGTTACTCGGAGAATCATTTGAACCTGGGAGGCGGAGGTTGCAGTGAGCCCAGATGATGCCACTGCACTCCAGCCTGGGTGACAGAGCAAGTCTCCATCTCAAAAAAAAAAAAAAAAAGAAAAGAAAAAGAAAAGGGAACAAAAACCAGATGAGATGAATGGAAAAGAAATAGCAAGATGACAGACTCCAACCCAACCATATCAATAATTACATTAAAGGCACCTATTCTAAACACTTCAATTAAAAGGGAAAGATGGCTAGATTGGATTTTTTTTAAGAGATGGGGTCACTCAGTGCAGTGACATGATCATAGCTCACTGCATCTTTAAACCCCTGGGCTCAAGCGGTCCTCCCAAGTAGTTGGAACTACAGGCATTAGCCACTGTGCCCAGCTCAGATTGGATTTCTTAAAAAAGCCAAATCCAACTTTATGCTGCCTATAAAAACATACCTTAAATATAAAGAAACAAATAGATTAGAAGTAAAAAGATGAAGCAAGATATACCATGCTAACTGTAATCACAAGAAGCTGTATGTCTTCAGATAATGTAGACTCCAGAATAAATAATATTACTAGGGATAAAGGGGTCAGCTTACCAAGAGGACAAAGTAATATTGTTTATGGAGCTAATAACAGAGTTTCACAGTGCTTGAAACAAAAATTGGTAGAATTGAAAGGAGAAATCAACAGATCCACAATTAAAGCTGGAAATTTCAGTACTCATCTCTCAAAAACATAGAGCAAGTATACAGAAAAATTATTAAGGAAAAACAATTTGAACAAGAAAACTGAGACTCTTTGCTGATGACATTGTCTATGTAGAAAATTTGTGGAATCCAACAAAAGCTACAGGAAGTAATAAGTGAGCTTAGCAAATTTGCAGAATACAAGATCAATATGCAAAAATCAATTATGTTGTATATACTTGCCAAGAGCAGTTGTAAGTTGCAATTAATCCTGTTTACAGTAGCATCAAAATATGAAATACTTTGGGGTGAATCTGATGAAAGATGTATAAGATATATAGACTAAAAACTACAAAACATTGGTGATAGAAATTAAATAAGACCTAAATAGGGGCCGGGTGCGGTGGCTCAAACCTGTAATCCCAGCACTTTGGGAGGCCAAGGCAGGTGGATCATGAAGTCAAGAGATCGAGACCATCCTGGCCAACATGGTGAAACCCCATCTCTACTAAAAATACAAAAATTAGGTATGGTGGCGCGTGTCTGTAATCCCAGTACTTGGGAGGCTGAGGCGAGAGAATCACTTGAACCCGGGAGGCAGAGGTTGCAGTGAGCCGAGATTGCGCCATTGCACTACAGCCTGGGCGACAAGAGCGAAACTCTGTCTGAAAAAAAAAAAAGGAAAGGAAAGAAAGAAACAAAATGCTAGTAATTAAAAACAGTAGCAGAGATGAAGATTGCTTTCAGATTCATTCGTAGACTTAACACAGCCAAAGAAAGAATAAATGTACCTGAAGATAGGTCTATAAAAATGCCTAAACTGACACACAAGAAGACTTCCTAAAAAAGAATTTCAAGAGCTGAGAGAATATCAAACAGACTAGCATATGTAGAATTCCAGGAGAAGGGCTAGGCGTGGTGGCGCAAACTTGTAATCCCAGCACTTTGGGAGGCCGAGGTGGGTGGATCACCTGAGGTCAGGAGTTTGAGACCAGCCTGGCCAACTTGGCAAAACCCCCTCTCTATTAAAGATACAAAAAATTAGCCAGGCATGGTGGCATGTGCCTGTAGTCCCAGCTACTCGGGAGGCTGAGGCAGGAGAATTGCTTGAACCCGGGAGGCAGAGGTTGCAGTGAGCCGAGATCACACCACTGCATTCCAGCCTGTATGACAGAGTGAAACTCTGTCTCAAAAAAAAAAAAATGATAATAATAATAAAATTCCAGAAGGAGAAAGGAGAGAGAAAGCATTTGAGGTAATAATGGCCATTTTTTTCCCCAAAATTAATTACAGACAACAAAATGCATGTCCAGAAAGCTCAAAGAACACCACATGGGACACATACACATACCTCTAGGCATATCAGTGAAACTGCCAAAAAGAAAATTTAAATAGAAAATTTTAAAGGTACCCCCCCCAAAAAAGGACAAAACATTATACAAATAGAAACAGATTATAGTAGACTGTTTTTTTCAGAAAACATGCAAGCTAGAAGACAATGTTGTGTCAACTGATAATTTTATACCCAGTGAGACTATCTTTAAAAGGTGATAGAAAAGTAAAGACTTACTAATTTATGAGACAGCATCTTGCTCTGTTGTCCAGGTTGGAGTGCAGTGGCATGACTCCTGTGCTCAAGCAGTCTTCCTATCTCAGCCTCCTGAGTAGCTAGGACTACAGGCGAACACTACTATGCCTGACTAATTTTTTATTTTTGTTTTTGTAGAAAGAGGTCTCATTACGATGCTCAGACTGGTCTTGAACTTCTGGCATCAAGTGATCCTCCTGCCTCGGCCTCCCAAAGTGCTGGGATTACTGGGATGAGCCACTGTGCCCAGCCTAAAGACTTTCTTACACAACAAAAACTGATAATTTATTGGTAGCTGTCTTACTCTGCAAGAAATGTTAAAGGATATTCTTCAGATAGAAGGAATATGATACCAAGCAGAAACTTGGAGCTACACAAAAAGAACACTGGAAACAAGCCAGGGCAAAATCACATTCACTTTTTTCTTTTTGAAAAATTATTCTGGACAATAGCTGTATGTCTAAAACAAAAAATAGTAGTGTAATGTGTTTAAAGCATATATAAAAATATATTAGAACAATTGCACAAAGAATAGAAGGAAAGTATTGGGAATATACCCTTGAGAGGTTCTTATTCTAGCCATGAAGTGATACTCTTAGTTATTAAGTAAAGATATAAACCCTGGGGCAACAACTAAAAAAAATTTAAAGAAGTATAAACAATAAACTAGTAAAGGAAGTAAAATGGAATAATAAAAATAGTTGGTACCAAAGTTATTAAAGGAAAAAAGTGTTCAGTTAACCCAAACTCAGGCAGAAAGGGGGCGGGGGTAGAGGAGATGGGCAGAGAAACAAAGACCAGATGGAACAAATATAAAACTAGCCAGACCACAGACTGATTTGAGGAATAATAAAACTGTAGTCTCCTGCAAAACAACAACAAAAACAAAAACAGAAAACAAACTAACAAGACCACAGATTTCAATCCAGTCATAATCAGTAATTATATTAATAATGGATTGTCTAAACACACCAGTTGAATGACATGTATGGACTTCTCGTTAGTTGAAGACAATGAAGGCTGTATACTAATCAATGACTCAAAATCTCCCTAAATGATAAGAAACAATTTTACAACTACAGTTGTTCTTGGTAAAACTACATCCTCAGAGTTATTTCAGTTCAGAGAATACTGAAAAGTATGAAACCACTTTGAGTAAAAAGAAAAACTGCCAAATGCCAGTATGGTAATTCCTCATCCCTCCCCTGAACCGCACCCCGCCCCCCGAACCACACCCCCCACCCCCCGCATCCCCAAAGTCTTTGGGGCAAGCAGTGGCCAACCACTAAGGTTGTAGATAGATAGAAGAGGGAGGTTAGCAACCACCAGGCAGGAACAACAACTAGAAAGATTAAAGTTGTTGCTGTGGGTAGTGACTATCTGGGGCTGGTGTCATGAAGACGGTAAAAAGAATTGCCCAAGATGGGTGTAGGTAAAGAAAGACGGATTCTTTAAAAAAGTGGAAACATGTTGCTAGGGTGCAATGGCCCAGTCAGCAAGAGTGGAGCTGACTTCAGGGAGACAAAGGCTTGCCTGGGATTTTATAGGATGGTGCTCTTGCTGTGCTGAAGAGGGCTTTGTGCAGTACTGATAACACCAAGGTTGCAGTTAGCTAACTTGCATTTTTCTATTAGCTGATGGTCTAGTGATAAGTTGGGCATAGGAAGATTGTGAATTATTTGTGCAGGAGGGCTATGTGTCCTAGACCATGAAGAAAGGCCGACTTACAGCTTATCTGCGTTCTCTTTTTGCTTTTCCTTGGTCCTGCCAGCCTGACTTCTTTTCCCTGATTAGGACTCCACAGTTGTAATTCAGAAAATACTAAAAAGTTAGTGGGGAAGATAAGAGCATTTACTATAGGAAACGGATTTCAAAGTGTACTTGATTTAAAGATTTAAGCACAATAGAAAAGCCTGGGCAACATGGTGAAACCTCATCTCTACCAAATAAGGAAAATACGTAAATTACGTGGGCATGGTGGGCATGCTTGTGGTCCCAGCTACTCAGGAGGCTGAGATGAGAGAATTGCTTGAGCCTGGGAGGTGGAGGTTTGCCATGAGCCAGTATCGTGCTACTGCACTCCAGCCTTGGCAACAGAGCGACCCTGTCTCAGAGGCTAGACATACAATTTAAAGAGAAATACTCAACATAAAAGGGCAAATGTAATTTAAAAGGACCACCACAACATAAAGGGACAGTGTTCCAAACATACACTTCTCCAGGAGAAAAAAGGCAAAAAGGAAAAAAGAAGTGCCTTTTGGCAATCAGGTGTCAATGGGAAAAGGAAGGAAAGGTGGATATTTAGGGTCTTTCAAGGTCTAAGTGTAAGAGTTAAAGAAAGAGGAAAGAAACATGAAAAGCAGCTCAACAGTCAAAGATAGGTTTATTTTGGAGAATAAACATGAGAGGGACTTCTGGCCGATTTCGTTCAGGAGCGCTCTCTCTTATAGACTAAGAGTATTCATTAGCCAGGCATGGTGGCTCACGCCTGTAATCCCAGCACTTTGGGAGGCCGAGTTGGGTGGATCATGAGGTCAGGTGTTCGAGACCAGCCTGGCTAACAAAGTGAAATCCTGTCTCTACTAAAAAATAGAAAAAAAAAAAAAAAAAAAAATTAGCCTGGTGTGGTGGCAGGCACTCGGGAGGCTGACATCTCTCTGGCCCGAGGGGAAGTTGTCTCGGGGCTGGCATGTCTCTGGTCAGGGAGGGGTTTATTTTATGGTTGGAATGTTTCTGGTTGGAGATGTCATTTGTGATTTATGGTCATGCTGAATTTGGGGGAAAAAAGGCAAATCACTACATAACTACATATCAGAATCTATAGACTATATAGCACTGCAAGATGACTGTAGTTAACAGTTATTTATTATGTATTTTCAAATAGCTCAGAGAGGATTTTGAATGTTCCCAGTAAAAGAAATGATAAATGTTTGAGGAGATGGATGTGCTAATTACCCTGATGTGATAACTATGCATTCTATGTATCAAAACATCACTGTGTACCCCATCAGTATATACAATTATTATGTGTCAGTTAAAAATAAATTATTAAATCTATATGGTGAATTAAAGGAGTGATCAAAGAAAAACTCATTGCAGTAAATACCTTTTATCAATGAAAAGGAAGGAATAAAAAGTGAATTAAATTCTTAGCTCAAAAAAACTAGGTAAAGAACAACAAAGTAATTCAAAAGAAAGCATATGATAGGAATTAGTATAGATAAAAACAGAAATTAATGAGGAAAAAATAGAAAAACATATCTAATTATTAAATCAAAATCCTATTTTTGAAAAAATTAACAATATAAATAAACCCGTAAGCTAAGTTGGTAAAAAAAAAAACGGAGAAAGCATAAATATGCAAAATAAATGACAAGGGAGAAACAGAAGAAATGTAAAAATCAAAAGACAAATTTGTAGTCTTTGAAATAAATTTGAAACCTAGATTTAATGGATAATTTTTTAGGCAAATACAGCTTGTCAAAAATGACCCCCTTTTTTTTTTAATGGGGAAACACTAGAGGCATTTCCACTAAGATCAGGAACCACAGCAAGGATGTTCATTATCTTCACTGCTATTCAACATTGTGCTGGAGGTATTTAGCAATGCAGTTAGGCAAGAGAAACCAAGTTGAAACATAAGAATGAGTTAACAAAGAAGTAAAGCTATCTGTTTTTAGATGATGTGATTGAATACCTAGGAACCCCAGATAATCAGTAATAAAATGAACTCAATAATTTAGTGGGACAGCAGGATATAAAATTCATATATAATAATCAATAGTCTTCTTATTTCTCAAAAGAAGATATACAGACAGCCAACAAACATATGAAAAAATGCCCAACATCACTAATCATCTAGGAAAAGCAAATTAAAACCACAATGAGATACCACTTTATTTCTGCCAGAATGGCCGTAATTAAAAAGTCAAAAAACAATAGATGTTGGCATAGATGTGATAAAAAGGGAACATTATTACACTGCTGATGGGAATGTAAATTAGTACAACCACTATGGAAAACAGTATAGAGATTCTTTAAAGAGTTAAAAGTAGAACTGCCATTCGACCCAGCAATCCCACTACTGGGTATCTACTCGAAGGAAAAGAAGTCATTATATGAAAAAGACACATGCACATGCATGTTTATAACAGCACAGTTCACAATTGCAAAGACGTGGAACCAACCTAAGTGCCCATCAGTCAACAAGTAGATTAAGAAAATGTAGTATGTATATACACCATGGAATACAGCCATAAAAAGGAACAAAAGAATGTCTTTTGCAGCAACTTGGATGGAACTGGAGGCCATTATTCTAAGTCAAGTAACTTGAATGGAAAACCAAGTATCGTATGTTTAACTTACAGGTGGGAGCTAAGCTACAAGGACACAAAGGCAAAAGAATGACATAATGGACTTTGGGGCTTGGAAGAGGGGAAGGTTAGGAGGGGGTGAGGGATAAAAGACTACATATTGGGTACCGTGTACACTGCTTGGGTGATGGGTGCACTAAAATCTCAGAAATCACCACTAAAGAACTTATCTATGTAACCAAAAACCACCTGTACCCCTAAAACTATTGAAATAAAAAAGTAAAAAAAATCAATAGTCTTCATAGAAACAGCACATAGAGGACATAATAGTAGATAGAACCCCATTTACAACAACAACCAAAAAGATTAAACACTCAGGAATACATTTGACAATAAATGTACAAAACTTAGAAAAAATATTAAGCCCCTTACTCTTGTCTGAATGTTTGTGTCCCCCCAAGTATGTATTTTCAATTCCTAACCTCCAAGTTCATGGTGTTGGGAAGTGAGGCCTTTGGGGGTGATTAGATTATGAGGATGGAGCCCTTGGGATTGGAATTAGTGCCCTTATGAAAAGACTGCAGAGAGCTAGCTAGTCTCTTCTACCATGTGAAGACACAGCTAGAAGAGATGCCATCTGAACCAGGAAACAGGACCTTGCCAGTCACCAGATTTGCCAGTATCTTGATCTGGGACTTCCTAGACTCCAGAATTATGAAAAATAAATGTTTATTGTTTATAAGAAACCTAGTCTGTAATATTTTGTTATAGCAGCCCAAATAGACTAAGATATTCCTGAAAGACTCAAAGTATACTTAAACAAATATAAAGATACCTTGTTTTTTGAAAAAAAAAATTGTTTTATTTTTCAATTTTTTTCCTTGAGACAAGGTCTCATTATGTTGCCCAGGCTGTCCTCAAACTCCTGGCTCAAGCAATCCTCCCACCTCAGCCTTCTGAGTAGCTGGGGCCGTAGCATGCACCACCATGCCCAGAGTTATTGCCTGTTTTTTAATAGGCCAACTCAATGTTATAAAAATTTTATTCCTCCCTAAACTAATTTATAAATTCAATGGAATCCCAATGAAAATACCAACAGGAGTTAGGCAGGTTGGTACTAAAGTTCACGTGGAAAATATAATGTAAGAATAGCTGGGAAGTCACTGAAAAAGGAAAACCATGAGGGATTGGGTAGAGGGGAGAGGAAGCTAGCTCTACTAGTCAGTAAATCTAAGGCGTGTACAATTAAAACAGCATGGTACTGGCACATGAACAGACTAACAGACCGTGGAATAAAATTGTGTGGTGACTCTATAATGTGGTCACCTTGGTCAGACTGATCTATGTTTTTCAGATACAATCTGATACAAATGGAAAGTACAGAATTAGACCCATGGAATAGACTAAGACAGCATCCCATCTGTACCCCAAATGTGAATTAGAGACCCTGGTTCCTGGGGCCAGTGTTTTTCAGGTGTGAAAAGACAGAAGCATTTAACTCATTGGCCCTTGATTCCTGTTGGTTGAGGATTATCTTTAGCACAGAAATACCCCACACTTCAGGATTATATATTTCTGAGTGACACGTTGGCAACCACAGGCAGCTGACACTCCCATGTCAGAGAAGTCAGGGCCACAAACTGAGCCAGTTTGCATATTTGGAATGATGATCACTGTTAGGTCACTTTGGATTCTTCATTCTAGTGAAGGTAAGGAAAGTGCTACCGTACTCATAGAGGTCATTGACCTTGATTCCTGTCAGGAGCTAGGATCATTTCTGTATAATGGTGGCAGAAAGGACTCTGTCTAGAATTCATGGTATTCCCTTGAGTATATTTTGGTGCTTTCTTGCCTCTGACAGTGGTGGTAGGGGTAGAGAACAATCAGTGGTTCAATCAGGGTGCACCCAACACAGGGCTTACATCCTTTGGGATAAAGGTTTGAGTCAACTATTGGAGAAGTAGCCAAAACCAGGTAAAGTGCTGGCCAGTGGGGAAGGAAATGTAGAATGGGTGGTTTTAGGAAGGAGATGATGAATATCAATTATGGCCTTGGAATTAGTTGTAGCAGCAAGGATTGAACTATGTTCCACTCACCTTCCTTTATTTAGTCTTTTGTAGAAATAGTGATTGCTACCGTCTTGAAGCCTCCATGATAGATTAGACTTAATGGAGGACATGAACAAATTTGAGGGATGGAAAGGGTAGACTGTATTGGACACCTCTTTTGAGCCACTTCACATGGTCTCAGGCCTTATCTGTGATTCCAGCTGTGGCATCATGAGCAAGTCTTTTGGGGCTCAGCTCACTGGCATTGTTACTGCCTTACTTCAGGTATGCACTGAGTGTTTTTTGCCTACTCAGATTCACTTGCAGCTCACGTGTATACTCCCCAGAAGTATGGGGGAATTAATACTCTGGGGTTAACGTTCAGCCAGGGGCTAACAGTTAGTGGTTCTGAGATGTATTTCATAAGGCTCCTCGGAAGATTGCTCATTAAATAACCAGTGGCCAGCATCAGTGACCCACTCAAGGAAAGGTCTTTATATTGTTTTTACCTCCTTCCCTGTTCATTTCCCTGTCATTCACTTCACCGTCTGAACACCTTCCTAAATAAACTACCTTTATGCAAGCCTTTGCTGTCAGGACAGCCAAAGCTATGACAGAGGTATAGAACATGGGTTGACAAGCTATGGTACATGGCCAAAACCATGTAAATAAAGTTTTTTTGTTGTCTTTTTTTTTTTTTTTTTTTTTTTGAGATGGAGTCTCGCTCTGTCTCCCAGGGTGGAGTACAGTGGCATGATCTTGGCTCACTGCAACCTCCATCTCCTGGGTTCCAGTGACTCTCCCACCTCAGCCTCCCGAGTAGCTGGGATTATAGGTGTGGGCTGCCACACCCAGCTAATTTTTTGTGTTTTTAGTAGAGACGGGGTTTCACTATGTTGGCCAGGCTGGTCGCGAACTCCTGACCTTGTTATTCACCCGCTTCGGCCTCCCAAAGTGCTGGGATTACAGGTGTGAGCCACCGCGTCTGGCCAGTTTTTTATATTTTTAGTAGAGACGAGGTTTCACCACGTTGGTCAGGCTGGTCTTGAACCCCTGACCTCAAGTGATCCACCCGCCTTGGCCTCCCAAAATGCTGGGATTACAGGCGTGAGCACCGTGCCCAGCTGTAAATAAAGTTTTGTTGGAACACAGCCACACTATTTCTTAATGTATTGTGTATAACTGCCTTTGTGCTGCAGCTACAGAATTGAGTAGTTGTGAGGAGATCATATAACCTGTAAAGTCTAAAATATTTACAGAATAAATGTGCCATTCCTGTGCATTGATTTCCCAGTGCTGCTGGAACAAGTTACCACAAACTTAGTAACTTAAAAAATCTGGTGGCTTAAAACAACACAAATTCTTTTACAGTTCTGGAGGCTAGAAGTCTAAAATCAGTTTCACCGGTTTGATGTCAGAAGTATAGGCAGAGCAGGTTCCTTCTGCAGGCTCTAGGGCAAAATCTGTTTTCTTGCCTTTTCTAGCTTCTGGAGGCTACTTGCATTCCTCGAATCCTAGCTCCCCTTTCCCATCATTCCAGTCTCTTGATTCGTTGTCACATATGCTTCCTGTGTCAAATCTCCCTCTGCCTTGCTCTTATGGGGACACTTGTGATTACATTTAGGACTCACCCAAATAATTCAATATAATTTCCCCATCTCAGTGTCTTTAACTTAATCACATCTGCAAAGTACCTTTTGCCATATAAAGTGCATTTAAGGATCTAGGGAGTAGGACTTTGATGTCTTTGGGGGCTGTTGTTTAGCTTACCACAGGCTTCTGTCTGGTCCCTAAAGATTTACATCCATCCTACATGCAAAACACATTCACCATATTGTAAAAATCTTCCAAAATCTAAACCCATTGCATTAACTCAGGTCTAAAATCTCGTTAAATATTATAACTCAAAAGTCCCAAATCTCATAATCTAATCATCTAACTCCAGTATAGGTGAGTTTCTGGGTATGATTCATCCCAAGACAGAATTCCTCTTTATCTATGGACCTGTGAAACTAGCAAACAAGTTATGTGCTGCTAAAATACTGTGGTGGGACAGGCATAGAATAACAATTATATACATTCCCATTCAGAAAGGGAGACAATGAGAGGAAAGAAAAGAGTCACTAGCACCAGACAATTTTTAAATTTAATCAGGTAAACTTTTAGGTTTCAAGGGTTGGGAATAGTCCCTGTGGCACCCAGCTCCACTCTATGGGCCAGAGGGTTGTGTATGTATTGTGTATGGCTGTTTTTATGTTACAGCAACCAAATCAAGTGGTTATGGGGTAGTCATATAGCCTGCAAAGCCTGAAATATTTACTAGATTGTTCCCTGTCAGAATGTATGCTTGTTGAGGGCAGGAGTCTTTGTGTCTTTTGCTTGCTAAAGTATCCTAAGTGTCTGGAACAGTGTCTGACACTTAACAGACACTCATTGAAATGCTGAACTAAAAGAAAAAAATTTAAGCAATTTAATAGAGATGAGAGGGCAAAACTTTTGACATTGCTGAAGTAGTAACCCTATTTATAGATAAAACATTAAAAAAGAGAACTTTTAAAAACATAGCTACGTATTAAAATAAATCTACATATTAAAATAGCATACTGTATTCCAATAAAAATTGTAACAGAATGACTGACACCAACATGCATCTTGGTTAACTTGTACTGTGGAGAGAAACAAGTAATTTTTAAGACTTCTGGCAGAAAAAGCTAGTCATTTAAAAGTGAGAAAAACTAAGTCCGACTTCAGCCATTCATGGCAGTTTTCAGTGTCAGAAAAGAATGGGGACAGTATCTGCAAAGTTTTAAGAAACAGAACATGTGATACAAGAATAATACAGCTAAGCGAATTGTCATTCAAGTACAGGGACAACAAGCAGACTTCCACACTGGAAAGAATTCAGGGACCATAACACCTGTGAGCTTTTCTTGAAAAATAAAATTAAGCATTGAAGTTATATTAAATCAAAAGAGTGAATTCTGTAATAGAGGGGCTACAGGAAATGAATTACCAGTGAGCATTGAATGTATTCAATTATAGAAGTAGGGTTAAACTACTGTAGAAATTATGATTAAAGATAGAATGTAAATGTTATAATCCATGATAATACAAAAAGAATAATACTAACAAAAATTTGGAGATACACGGGAGGGCAGATGAGAGAGGAGAAAGCTTACGTGCATTAATTTTTTTGCTTTCATAGCTTAACTCTTTTATCTAAAGTTTTATGGCAGCGACAAAAAGAACTAGAATGTAAATCTCCCATATTTCAGAGAGAAAACACATTCACTTAGGAAAACAAAAGACACTCTTACATCTGTATTGTCCAATAAGATAGCCATTAGATACATATGGCTATTATAGTGAACATTAATTGAACTTTTGTAAAATTGAAAATTCAGTTCATTAGTCACACTAGCTATATTTCAAGTGCTCATTAGACACATTTAGCTTGTGGCTACTATGCTGAATGATGGAACATTTTCCATCATTGAAAAAAGTTCTGTTGGATAACACTGCCTTATAGGAAACAAAGAAAGTACTAAAAATAGAGATGTAACACAAAACAAATTCATAGAATTAACACCAGACATTGCCTATTAAAAGAAATACAGATTAGTTTAAAAATAAAATACAGCTAACTATATGCTACATATTGTGATGTATATAAAACAAGGCAAAGCAAAATTTGAATATAAAAGGAGGGGTGAAAGCATATAAGGCAAACACTACTGAAAGGAAGCTTGGGTGAAGGTATTAATAATTAGAAAATTGAATTAAATGCAAAAAGTTTTGAAGGAGACAAGAATGAGGTACTTTATCCAAAATGAGGAGGAACTGTCATGAATTATTTATTAATGTAACACCAAAGTACATAAGCCAAAAATCACAAAAAATGTAAATAGAAACAAAATAGTATCAGCCTTTGTTTTAAAAAGAAGGAAAAACCTAAGGGTAAAAAAGATATGAATAATATACTTGATACAGATTGATTAATACTTATGAAAACCTTACCTTTATAATAGAAAAGTCACCTTTATAAGTATTCATGGAACACTTACAAATTATTCAGCATTCAGCCCCTGAAAACCTGTTAATTCTAGAATGTGGAAATATAGTAGAGACTTATTCTGTCATTACAATGCAATCAAATGATACATTTATTTTGAGAAGAAAATGAACAGATAGTACCCAGATATGTCAAAATGGAAAAATAAAAAGAAAACCTCAACTTTTGGGACAGTATATAAGTAAAAATTGAAATTACAGAATATTTTTAAAATCTAATGATGAAAACCTATGAGTTCAACTAAAGCTATGGTCAGAGGAAAATTCATAGTCCTTGGCACTTAAATTACTGAACGAGTGTATTGTTCAGGGCTCCCCATTGCTGGCAGTAGAATCTAGTTCATAGATCCTCTTGGAAATCCGGAAAACCAAGCTTGCATCTGACAGAGCCAGAAAGAGTGCATCAGGGAAAAATGCCCACGCTACAAAATTTTTTAAGTGCAGGACACTTCCAAAAAAAGTCTTTTTTTTTTTTTTTTTTTGAGACAGGGTCTCACTCTGTCACCCAGGTTGGAGTACAGTGGTGCCATCTCAGCTCACTGCAACCTCTGCCTCCTGGGTTCAAGCAGTCCTCCCACCTCAACCTCCCAAGTAGCTGAGACTACAGGCACACCCCACAACACCAGTCTAATTTTTGTATTATCTGTAGAGATGGGGTTTAGTCATGTTTCCCAGGCTGGTCTTGCACTCCTGAGCTCAAGTAATCCTCCCACCTTGACCTCCCAAAGTGCTGGGATTACAGACATGAGCCACCACACCTGGCCAAATTGCTTTCCTAATTGAAAAAGAAATGAAGGACTATCAGTCAAAACTTCTTCCTCTTGGTTTCCTAATGGAGGGAGTCAGAGTTGTAGACCATTTTGGATTATGTGAGAGGAGTTGAGGAAGTGGAGAGATTGATAGCAGTAGTATAAATGCATGGGGAGCTAAAGAAGGGAGGGTAAAAGGTTAAAAACCTCTTTAAAGCATGGACATGGAATTTTGTAGCTAGTTCACACCTCTGCCTGTTTTTGAAGCTCAGCAGAAAGGTCTGAAGCCATTGATAATTTTAGAAAGCCATGCCAAAGAGAGATACCTCTTGAGTTAATTATTTTTGTTAATTTATTTTTAAAAGTTATGTCTAGTCTGATGGGATTTTAGGATTTGGGGGTATGTCAGACTAGGACGCTTTATACCATTGTCCTTAGTTTATCTTTTATGCTAATTATCAGTATCTAAAATTATGGGGAAGGGGTTGTTTTGTTTACGTGATTATCTTTCTTCCTCCCAGAATGATAAGTTCCATGAAGGCAAAGGACTTTTTGCTTTTTACTAATTTTGCTCATTGCTTTATTCTTGAATTAGAACAGTCTTCTACGCAGTAGTCTTAGCACATATACAAAGAATATGCTCCATAAATATTTGTTGAATTAGTAGCTGCATTAAGATAATTATGGGACAATTGGAAATTGGCTAGGGGTGAACTCCATGGGAGAGATTTTAATTGATCTTATGTTAACCAATTTGATTTTTCTTAGTCTGACTAAAGACATGACTGGAAAAGAAGATGTATACCGAGGCCCGGCCATCAGAGCTCTCTGCAGGATCACCGATGTAAGTTATCTGTTTCACTGAGTTACCAAATGGAACACTATGTTTATCTGCAGGTGGCCATGTAGATTTAGTAGGATTTCCTAGTCTGACTTTGTGAATTTTCAGTATAAGAGAAACATGATCACCAGAAAGGCTTTTGTGGCTCCAGGCTTTCTTTTGTCTTCAGATTTTTTTCCTTTATTTATGTTAGTCCATTTTCTCTCTTTATTTGCCCCCTTGAACTGTTGTAGTGAGGGTACATTGCTTGCAGGAAACAAAAACCCATTCAAATTTATCTTAAAAAGCTTTATTATAGGACACAAATCTCAGAATTTGAGGTGAAGCTTATAGGTAGACACCAGGGCAAGAAATTGGGCAGCTTTAAGAATTCAACAGCAGATTTTTTTTCTTTTTCTTTTTTGAGTCGGAGTCTCGTGCTTTCGCCCAGGCTGGAGTGCAGTGGCACGATCTTGGCTCACTGCAACCTCCGCCTCCCGGGTTCAAGTAATTCTCCTGCCTCAGCCTCCTGAGTAGCTGGGATTTGAGGCACCCACCACCACACCTGGCTAATTTTTTTTTTTGTAGCAGTTTGAACAAACTGAAAACTTTATTCTTCTGTGTGAGCTGAACTCAAGTTTCAGAATAATCATCGCCATGTGGGAGGCTTTTTGTTAAAATGCAGAAGAAATCTCAAAATACTGTATTTATATCTGCCTTCCACTGCTGCCAATATAGTAAGCATCTCCTACACAATCAACAATAAACAGCAAATGATGCAGTTCATAGAGTATTTTGCACTTGGAAAAAAATATATATCTGAATTGTAAAAAGAAGTGTTTGGATTTTGTATGTCTTTTTTATTATTGTTAAAATACTAAATGAAACTTCTCAGCCTGGCATCTTTTCCTCTATCTCAATAGCTTATCCTAGAGCCAGAAAAAGCCTTGAGGAGACAATGTCTTCTGGCTTCCAGATAAAACTTATCCAAATTTTTTGGCAACTCATCCCTAATGATTTTAAAATTTGAAAAGGCTTGTCTTTTTGTCTATCCTTAAAAGCAATATCAAGTATTATGTCCTAAGGGGGATCTAAGGAGTGGGGGAAATTTATTGTTCCTCCTCACCACAGTACAGTCCACAACCACTGGCTGGCCCACAGGTGGCTCAGCACTTCCCTAGTCAGGGTGTCCCACCTCTAGGAAAGCGCCAGCACTGAAGGTCACCCAGTGTCATTCTTTGTATGCAGTACACTCTTGGCCACCAAACAGTATTGTGAAATACAGATCATTCAGCCGCTACCACCATCACTACTCCTACAGGGCACAAGAAAGCAATCTCCAATCTCTTTTATAAATAAACAGTCCTAACTTCTAGGCTCAGAGATGATAGATAAAACTTAGCTGTTGCAATTATATAATTCCCTGACATGAAATTTTATTGGATTTAATATCTACATGATATAGCCATTTAAGAGTATAACTTGAGGAAAAAGGAAAGATCTACCTGATCAAAAAACTTGTTGGGGTGGCCTATCAGAATCTTAAACTTCCCCTTTAGCATCTATAACGAAGACATAGATGAAGTGCATTCATTCCATAATTACTGAGCTCCTATTATATGCCAGGCACTGAGCACCTGCTCATCAGCTCATTGACAATAGCCATGCTCAAGATCCACACTCCTCATATAACTTTCTGATTATAATTGATCTTCCCAGATAAGATTTCCCCAACAGGAGCGATAATCCAGTTCACTTGGTGGCTATAAGTATAAAAGAATGCACTGGCATTCTGTTATGTACATAACTTCCTATGAGTTTGATTTAATGTGACAAAACATGAATACCTTTGTGTGAACTGACAAAATCCACTTCTAGAACTGCAAAGCCAAGGACCGTATCCATGACCTTCATGCTACACCAACTTGGAGCCATCCTTTTTGACTTCTCTCATAACTCACTTCTATTCCAAGAACAACAAGTCTTCCTCCTTACTTCCTAGGACATTTGCTTTGGTGTCTCAAAATAATGGATAGTCAGGGACATTGGAGTTTGGATATGCCTATATTAAGAAGTCTTCCAAGTGGGGTAAATGAAGATTTTCCTAGGGTATGGTAAGACTGCAAGGAATACCCAGGCAATATCCTCAAATCTGTCTGAGGAGAGTTTTAAAGGAATAAATTTCCAGATCTTCAACTTCCCTATGAAATATTTTCTAAAACCAGGCCGATGCCCAGCTAATTTTTGTATTTTTAGTAGAAACAGGGTTTCACCATGTTGGCCAGGCTATTCACTGTGGTGATCCATCATGTACTAGACACAGGCCCTCTTATTGAAACATTTAAGAGAGAGAATCTGATTAGTCAGCAATAGGCCAGTAGCTTATATCCACCTGTGTCTGAGTCAGGTGTTTAACATTGATCCAGTTCATTATATCTGGAGGGATGAGATCATGTAGTATGTTAGGCTGTCTCTTTCTGGGAACTCTGAGTAGGAAGGGTAGGCCAGGCATTACCAAGCAAATTGAATAATAGCTATATACCCATGCTTGGGTATATTTTAGGTGTATGTTTGTAACCTTCTTAAGTTGTAAAGGTTGAGCAGGACCAAATTATACATCTGATAAATCTGGATTCTAGAAGGAGTAATAGAAATGCTTTAATATTTTTTGGTGCACTGTTGTTCTGTTGTGATTGTTTTTTATTTTTTGCATTACATTGGTAGCAGCGTGAGACTTGACCATGCTAGTGCTAGCAATAAAACTCTTTTTTTCATCTGAATATTGCTCTCAGTCTTTTTACTCATCTTTATCTGCCACCACCTTCCCAGTGCTTTTTCCCAGTTAAAGTTAAAAAGAACTGTATTTCCAGAGGATTTTATGTTGAGGGCTCACTATAGTAGTACACTACACATTTAATTCTTTATGTATCTCAGATAATCAGGGATTACGTTTGATTTCTAGGACTCTCTGGGATCTGTATATAATATGTGCCCTTCACATAGAGGAATCTTCATAACTTCAAAAGCAGGCTCCATCTCCATATAGGAATTTCTTTATGACTTTCCTGATGGGTTCAGCCTCTGCTTGTGTATTTCTTCCAAACTGAGATTCTCCATTTTGAGACAGTTTATTTCATTGTTGAACAGTTATTCTTCTTTATATATAATCTTAAATGTTCTTTCTTAAAGCTTCAACTTCGTTGTTTGGGTTCTGCCCTTTGGGATATTATTACTATATTATCATCCTTTTAGTGCATTCTGAATATTTGCACAGAAACAAATATAAGATTGGTTTTTGAAAATTATTTTGAAGCATAAGAGTAATTTTGCATAAGCATGTTTTTCCTTAACAATTTTTTCTTTTTGAATGTTATTAGGGAACAATGTTGCAAGCCATTGAAAGATACATGAAGCAGGCCATTGTGGATAAAGTTTCCAGTGTATCCAGTTCAGCACTGGTATCTTCCCTGGTAAGTGAACAAGCAGCTTCCTAGTTCTTAAGCATGGTACAGTTTTGAGTTGCGAAAACAAAGTATCACTATGATTGTCTCACAAATGAAACAGTTAAAAATATGTATACACCTCTATTACTTTATCCAAGTGTGTTTTATCTAGAGCAGGGGTCCCCACCCCAGGGCTTCAGACCAGTACTGGTCTGTGACCTGTCAGGAACTGGGCTGCACAGCAGGTGGTGAGTGGCAGGCAAGCGAGCATTGCTGCCTGAGCTCCGCCTCCTGCCAGACCAGCAGCAGTGTGAGATTCTCATAGGAGCTCGAACCCTATTGTGAGCTGCGCATGCAGGGATCTAGGTTGCCGGCCTCATATGAGAATCTAATGCCTAATGATCTGAGGTGGAACAGTTTCATCCAAAAACTATCCCTCTGCCCTCTGTCCATGGGAAAATTGTCTTCCATAAAACCAATCCCTGGTGCCAAAAAGGTTGGAGATTGCTGATCTATAGGATCATTGAGCAATTAAAAACATAAAATGTTCGTATGTTTGAAAGGTTTTGGAAATCTGAAAGTTATGTTGTACACATAATAAAAGAGGGGTAAGTGTGGGGTATGGGACAGGAAAGAAACCTAGGACCCTTTTCTTTCATTTAAAATCTTCTTTATGACCTGCCTTTATGACTTCTACTACTTGTCTCTTTGTCCTCTGCTTTTTCTGGTGCCCTTTGTCTACGTGTATCCTTCAATCCAAAGTTTCCTGTCCCACTTCTGAATTTCCTCCCAGGAAGTGGTCTTTTTTTTAGTAATACATTTTTCTTTCCGTTTTTCAGCAGAACACAATTTATACATTAAAACCTATCACATTGCATTTGATTAACGTCAGTTACCTATATGTGAATGTGTAAGACATCTAAATACAAGAGTTCCTGATTCTGGAATATAATTGGCTGAGTTTTATAGCAGAGAATATACTAGTACTCTCTTTCTTCCAGGGGAGTTTCCTGGAAGTAAAGCTTGTTATGATAACGTTATTTAAGCACCGTTCTGTTGACTGTCCATCCCTATCCTGTTCTTCCTCTTTCATTACTTCCTTTTACACACCTCTCCCAGCTTACATATACTCACCTTTGTAACAGGTATGGGAGAAAATACTTCTGGTTTATCAGTTGCTCCAGGAGTAAAGACACAAAATAGACTTATAAGAGCTACATAGTTTTCTTCCTCTTGGGAAATGTCTGTGATTTTCAAAGAAAACTAACTCATGTTTCTAAGCTTCTAGTGACCAAGCATTATTTATTCTCATTTTTTTTTTTCTGTATTTAGCACATGATGAAGATAAGCTATGATGTGGTTAAGCGCTGGATCAATGAAGCCCAAGAAGCTGCATCAAGTGATAATATTATGGTCCAGGTATTGTCATTGAATCACATTAGCTTGTCTCAGGATCAGCATTCTTTAAACCTGTATTGTAGGGGCAGTGTATCGATTCCCTAGATAAACATTAACTAAAGGCAAATTAAGCAGCTACTAGTACGTATTCTGAAGTAGGAATCTCACTAATTATGATTACTGCCATTTGAATACTGCCCTTCAGGTGTTTCATAGAAGCTAGATGACCCTTTGTAGGAATATTTGGGAAAGATTGTTATATTCAGTAGTAGATTGAGATGCTCGTGGCAGTCTTTTATTTGAAAAATAATTTGTGTAAAAAGATAATTCCAAGTTCTGAGGCCTTGATTATAGGCATTATAAAAATCATACGGAGCAGCTTTTACTTTATGAAACTTTGAAACCATTTTGTCAAAAAGAGCTCTTTTGATATTTATTAGGTTATTCTTAAGAGGAATAAGATTAAATTCTTCACTGGAAATTGTGTGTAAAGTACCCCATTTTATTTGAGAGGGCGTTTATGCCCTCTTGATGTTTATAACTTCTATGGTAACATATTCAGTTATTAGGAAACAGAGTAGTCATTTTTCCCTTGGGAAACACTCTCATTCTCCTGACTCTGATCATGTGTTTTTATACAAAGTGTCAAGATGATGACACTCTTGTAGCCTGCTTTAGGAGATTAATCCTTTAATTACTAAGATGGCCACAGATGATGTAAAGCCACTCGTAGAGACAGATAGCACCAGTAAAGCCCTGGACCCGAGAGCGTGTGTACTGAGGATGTGTGAGCCAGTGTTGAGCCTGCTAGAGCCATCTTCAGGTTGTATGTCACCTCCTTTATGCCTGCCAGTCTGAATTGACAGCTTCTAGGGGTAAATTAGAAACGTTTAATCTTTTCAGTCTTGCCTGTGTTTAGTTCAGTGTGAAAAAAATATTTGTGTACATGTGACCTGGGTATTTTAAAGAAATCTTTAATCTAGTTCCGTGTAATTCTATTTTTGTGTAAATATTTTGACATCTTTCTAATCCATGTGCTACCTTCTTTTTCATGTTCTTTAGTACCATGCATTGGGAGTCCTGTATCACCTTAGAAAGAATGATCGACTTGCTGTTTCCAAGATGTTGAATAAGTTTACTAAATCTGGTCTCAAGTCACAGTTTGCTTACTGCATGCTGATCCGAATTGCCAGTCGCTTACTAAAAGAAACTGAGGATGGGTAAGTGTCTTCACCTAAACCTGGGTTATTTTCCATTTGCGAAGTTAATATACCTTAGAGTTTATTTCCTTTTTGAATTTTTTTTGGGGCAGTGCTAACTTTACAGATGAGTTCAATGTTTTTCAATTTTTTAAAAAAATTATGGAATTTCAAGTCACACTTTTTTTAACCTTACTGTATGCTCTTGTATATGTACTTAATTATTAATAGCACATTAACAAACTGATATTGAACAAAAAATATATGCATTGATCATAAGATATATAGATAATTAAATATGAAAGTTGGCAGGGACATTAAGAATTATCCTATCCCTTTTATTTTTATAAAAGAGAATGTTGAAGTACTGCATTTAGTGATTTGCCTAAGATCATTCCACAAGTCTGAGGCACATAAGATGTGACCAAATATACTTTAGCAGTCTTTCGAAGGCTAGGGAAGGGCAGGAATGAGAAATCTTTTGAGGTATAGTAAGCTGGGCATGGATCTAGGGAGCAAAGAAGACCCCTTCCCCAGCCTGAAGGCTTATGGCTGAGCTCTAAAACAAAGATTTCTTATGTGGCCTGGCAAACTGAGGTGTAACACAGAGAAAGATCTCTAGAATCTGCCACTACTACTAATGCCCTGCTGAAAGGGGAAACCTGATCTGTTCCTCAGATCATTTGTAAACAGCAGATAACTGAATTTAATTAAAGCTGCAGCAAAGTCCTGACCCAGATCAACTATTAGCTGCTAAAAATGAAAAAGGACCTGCACTTTTCTAATGATAAGTATTAGTTACATCAGTGTCTACTGCACCTTTATAAGCAGTGTCTAGCAAACAATCAAAAAATACAGAGGCAGTGACATGTAACCCATAAACAAGAGGGAAAAAAATAGTCAGTAGAAGCTGACTTACAGATGACCCACATATAGAAATTAGGAGGCAGTGACTTTAGAAATTACTAGGCAGTGACTTTTAAACAACTTCTCTAAAGTGAACACCAAAGGAGTTTTGTAAAGTGAACTTTTGTAACTTTTGTAAATTACATCTTTCCACTAAAGAGTGGAAAAGATGGACAAAATGTGTAAATGGGTAAGGAATTCAATAGATAAATAGAAACTAGAAAAAAAATCTTGAACCAAAAAATACAATATCAAAAATAAAAATTTATTTGAAGCACTTAATAGCAGATTGGACACAGTGGAAAAAAGATTAGAGAACTTAAAGACAAGTCAATAGAAATTGTCCAAACTGAAGCATAGGGAGAAAAATAAGAAAAGAAAATAAAAGAATAGAACATCTGAAGCCTAGGGAATATATCAAAAAGTCTAATACTTGTGTAATGAGTCTCAGAAGGAAAGGAAACAGAATGGAATAGAATAAATCTTTGAAGAGATAATGGATATGTTAGTCCATTTTCATGCTGCTGATAAAGACATACCCGAGACTGGGCAATTTACAAAAGGAAGAAGTTTAATGGACTTACAATTCCACGTGGCTGGGGAAGCCTCACAATCATGGTGGAAGGCAAGGAGGAACAAGTCACGTCTTGAATGGATGGCAGCAGGCAAAGAGAGAGAGCGCTTGTGCAGGGAAACTCCCATTTTTAAAACCATCAGATCTCATGAGACTTACTGTCATGAGAACAGCATGGGAAACACTTGCCCCCATGATTCAATTACCTCCCACTTGGTCCCTCCCATAACACATGGAAATTCAAGATGAGATTTGGGTGGGGACACAGGCAAACCATATCAATGGATGAGAATTTTCCAAAATGAATGAAAGGGGCTGGGTGCGGTGGCTCATGGCTGTAATCCTAGCACTTTGGGAGGCTGAGGCAGGTGAATCGCTTGAGCTCAGGAGTTCAAGACAAGCCTGGGCAACATGACAAAACCCCATCTCTATCAGAAGAAAATACAAAAATTAGCCAGGCATGGTGACGCAGGCCTGTGGTCCCAGCTACTCAGGAGGCTGAGGTGGGAGGATCGGTTGAGCATGGGAGGCTGGGAGGCAGAGGTTACAGTGACCTGAGATGACACCACTGCACTCCAACCCGGGTGACAGAGTGAGATCCCCATCTCAAAAAATAACAACAACAAACCCAAAATGAATCCAAGATGGCCAGTGACACTCAAGTAGGATAAATAAAAACCACACCTAATCATAACCTAGTCATATATATTACAAGTAAAAAGTTGAAAACCAAAAGAGAAAGAATGAAAGAAAAGCTTGAAAGTCGCCTTTTTTTAAAAAAAAGACAAATTAGATTCATTAGATTCAGGGAAACAAAAATAAGAATCGTTGACTTCTCATTAGAAAAATGGATACGAGAGGATAATGGACATCTTAAAATTGTTGAAACAAATAACTGAAAATCTGGAGTTCTATACTCTAAAAGTATTCTTCCAAATGAAGGTGAAATTAAAACATTTTCAACCAGGAAAAAACAAAAACCCGAAAGGATTTGTGTCTGCATACCTGCATCATGAAGGATGCTAAAAGGAGTTTTTCCAGCTAAAAAGAAATGATAGTAGATGGATGCCAGGATCTTCAGGAGGAATGAAGGACAAGAGAAAGGGTAAATGTGTAGGTAAATTAAAAGGTAAATATGTAGGTAAATTATAAATATATACAATTTTTACTAAAACCAGCAGCAAATTATGGGGCTTATATATATGTAGAAGTGAAATATATGAAAATAGTAGTATAAAGGGCATGAGGGAGAAAAATGGACATTTGTAAAGTTTTTGTATCATGCAGTAGTATATTATTTGATGATACACTGTGATAAGGATGAATATTGTAATCTCTTGAGGATGAATATTATAACTAACAAAAAAATCTTTGTAAAACATATAGATCTTAAATGTCAACAGAGAAGATAAAATGGAATATTTAAAAATATTCAGTTGAGCTTCCTCCTTCCAATAATGGTGTAGCTTGGCCAGCTTAATCCTCCTGCAAATAATAATTGACATTAGTACAAAGCTATACCTTCCCAAAATGAAGATAACCCACAACAGTATGAAAATATTGGGGAGTGGTGAAAAGCAAGCAAAAACTGGAGGGAAGCAGTTGATGCCTGAAAGACAAAAGCTATACTGGGTGAAATTTGTGGGGTTTTTTTGCTATTCTCCTGAGGGCATTCTGTAATTCCTCAGTGTAGGATGACAGAAAGCTACAGTATTTCTGGACAGAGTGGTCAAAACAGTTTGAGGTTGGAAGAGTAACTGAAAACTTAGAGTGGAAAACCTGGAAAAGAGGGAGCCATAAAAGGAATGAGTCTCAAAATGAATTTTAAACTCTACAAAAATCACTGGCTGACCAACTGAACTACATATATACAGGAGAATACTCTAGGAGACCTGCCAAAAGCAGTAGTTGTAAGATAAAAGAATTGAATGGAGAATTCAGCTGCAACTCACTATGGAGGAAATAAAGTTTGGAGTTTGATCCCAGCCAAGCTTCTTGCTAAAGAAACTCCATGAGTTCTAGAGTCTTTACAGTATATCATTACAATGTTTAATAGATGGTAAAAATTGCCAGAAGTACAAAGAATTTGGAAAATGTGACTAGTAGCCAAGAGAAAAAGCAATCAATAGAAACTAACCCTGATATGATCCAGACATTGGAATTAGCAAACAAAAACTTTGTAGCATCTATTATAAATTTGTCCATGACTTTATTTATTTATTTATTTATTTATTTATTTATTTATTTATTTATGACAGTCTCTCTCACTCTGTTGTGAAGCCTGGACTGCAGTGGCGTGATCCTGGCTCACTGCAACCTCTGCCTTCCACGTTCAAGCAATCCTCTCACCTCAGCCTCCCAAGTAGCTGGGACTACAGGGATGCACCACCACACCTGGCTAATTTTTGTACTTTTTGTAGAGATGGGGTTCCGCAGTGTTGCCCAGGCCGGTCTCAAACTCCTGAGCTCAAGCAATCAATCTGCCTCAGCCTCCCAAAGTGCTGGTATTATAGGTGTGCACCACCACAGCCAGCCTTGTCCATGACTTTAATGGAAAATAGTTACCATGAATGAACAGGGGAAATGGAAACGACAAAAAGAGCTAAGTAGAAATTCTAGAGCTTAAAAATACTCTGTCAGGATTCAACCAGAGAAGTAGAACCTGGAGGATATAAATATGTAGAGATTTGTTTATTGATTATGTAATTCGGGGGCCAGCTAAGCAAATCTAAAATTCATAGGATAGGCTGTCAGGAAGGGAAGATTGCAGGGAGGCTGGAACTCAGGGGCACAGGCCAAAGTTGCTCTCCGTAGGTGAAATTTGTCATTTCACATTTTACTGTAAACAGCAAGATAAAACTGGGTCACATCTTCATTTTTGGAATTTTCCTCAAGTAAATATCCAACTTCATCGTTTACAAGTTCTGCTTCACAAATAACTACAGGGCACAAATTCACTAAGCTCTCTGCCAATACATAATAACAAGGATCTACCTTACTCAAGTTTACATTAATGTGTTTTTTACTTCCTTCTGAGCCCTCACTACAGCATCTTTTAAGTCCAAATTTCTGTAGGCAGTTCATAAGCCCTGACCAGCAGTGTCCTTAAGAACCAGATCGATTGATCTTTCTTTCTCCTTCCTTCCTTCCTTCTTCCTTCCTTCTTTCTCTTTCTTTTCTCTTTCTTTCTTTTCTTTCTCTCTCTCTTTCTTTTTCTTTCTCTTTCTCTTTCTTTCTCTCTCTCTCTCTCTCTTTCTTTTTTTTATTTATTTTAAAGTCTTGCTCTGCTGCCCAGGCTGGAGTACAGTGGCACAGTCTCAGCTCACTACAACCTCCGCTTCCTGGGTTCAAGCCATTCATATGCCTCAGCCTCTTGAGTAGCTGGAACTATAGGCATCCCAGCACTTTGGGAAGCTGAGGTGGGTGGATCATTTAAGATCAGATTTCTTATAAGTCTCTTCAAAACTAGGCTTCCTCCATCATGCTCCTCAAAATTCTTCCAAGCTTCCACCCAGTGCCTAATTCCAGTCAGTTCTACAATTTGAGGTATTTGTCGCAGTAACACTTCACTTACAGGTACCAAAATCTGTTAGTTTTTTTTATTGTTGCCATAACAAATTACCATTAAATGTAATGGCTTACAACAAGATCCATTTATTATCTCAGATCTGTAGATTAGAAGTCTGACACAGGCCTCATGGGGCTAAAGTGAAGATGTTGGTGGAGTGCTGTTGCTTACTGGAGGCTTTGAGGAAGAATCCACTTCCAATCTCATTTAAGTCGTTGGCCAAATTCATTTCCTTGAGACTGTAGGTTGTAGGTCTCTGTTTCCTTGCTGGCTTTCAGCTGGAGGTTAGTCTGTGCCTCTAGAGGTTGCCTGTATTCCTTCTCATGCTTTCAATGAGCAACTAAAGGCCTCTCTTTGAGTCCCTTGCATGTTGATTCATACGTGTCAGAGCCAGCAATAGTGTGTTGAGCTGCACTTTGAATCTCTCTGATTTGCCTTTCTGCCACATTTCTTCTGCCTCCTCTTTCAGCACATCTGCTTTAAAGTGCTCATGTGATTAGATTGCACCTACCTGGGTAATTTAGGTGACAATCTTAATTATATCAGCACAGTTCCTTTGCCATGTTGTAACGTAACATATTCATCAGTTCTAGGAATGAAGACATAGACATCTTTGGGGAGCCATTCTGCCCCAGCAAGTGCAATAACTGAATCAGATAATTTGCTGAATGGACTTAACAGCAGATTAGAGATGGCTGATGAGAGAGTCAAAGAGAGTTAGTGAATTTGAAGATAGAGCAGGAGAAAGTAGCTAGTTTGAAGAACAGAGAGAAAACAGATTAAAGAAAATAAAGAGCCTCGAAGAACTGTGGGATAAGATCAAGTGGCCTAACACATATGTAATTGGAATCTGGAAGCAAAGGTGATAGAATGGAGCAAAAAAGATATATGAAGAAATAATGACCAAATATTTCCCAGTATGGGTTTATTCTAGTAGTATAAGGTTGATCTAACAGTAAAACATAGCATAATATACCTCATTTTAAAAATACAGAAGAGTCTTAATGCCTTAATGGGTGCAGAAAAAAGCGGTTGATAAAATTTAATGGCAATTCATGATTGAAATCTCTGCCACCAGGACTGGAAGGGAACATGATTATTCTGACAACAGTACAAAAAAACTCCACTAAACTTTATACTTATTGGTGGACTATTAAAAGCTTTCCCCTAGAGATTGTGAATGAGACAGACAAAAATGCCTGCTATTTTTATTTTTTAAATAGTATTTTGCTAGAAGGCTTACTTTGTGCAATAAGTGAAGAAAATAAAATACCTAAAAATTTGAAAGGAGGACGTAACACTATATTTGGAGATAATATGGCTATATATATAGGAAATGCAAAATAAACTGTACATTATCTATTAGAGCTCATATGTAAATTTACCAGTGTTGCTGGTCAATATCCGAAGTCATTTTATTTCTTATTCCAGCAACCCATCAAAAAGATAAAATTTTGTAAAAATGGTACAATTTATAATTATATTGAAATCAAATCCTTGGGAATGTATCTACTAAAATTTGTGTATATCTCTACACAGAAAATTACACAATATTAAAGTATGACCTAAGTAAATGAGGCATATAACATTTATGGAATATTCAATATTGTAAAGATACATCTTCTTAAATTGACCTATGGATTCCACAAACCCCTAATTACAATCCCAATTGGCTTCTTATAAATAACCAAACAGAAATGCCTACATTTGTGTGTTAAAAGACATACAGTTGATCCTTGAACAACATGGGTTTGAACTGCATGGGTCCACTTACACATGGATTTTCTTCCACCTCTGCCACCCTTGAGACATCAAGACCTCCTCTTCCACCCCAGCCTACTCAATGTAAGATGATGAGGATGAAGACCTTTATGATGATCCACTTTCACTTAATGAATAGTTATATCTTCTCTTCCTTATGATTTTCTTAATATTTTCTTTTCTCTAGCTTACTTTATTGTAAGAATACAATATATATTACATATAACATAAAACGTGTTAATGAACTATTTTTGTTATCAACAAGATGATTAATAGTAGGTTATTAGTGATATTTTGGGGGAGTCAAAAGTTACATGTGAATTTGCAGCTACATGGGGGTTGGCACTGTTAACCCCATGTTGTTCGAGGATCAACTGTACAAGATGCCTATAGTACTGTTATTCATAATTGCCGCAAATTTTTTTTTTTTTTTTTTTTTTTTTGAGACTGAGTTTTGCTCCTGTTGCCCAGGCCAGAGTGTAATGGTGCCATCTTGGCTCACTGCAACCTCTGCCTCCCGGGTTCAATTGATTCTCCTGCCTCAGCCTCCCCAGTAGCTGAGATTGCAGGCACGCACCACCACACCCTGCTAATTTTTTGTATTTTTAGTAGAGACGGAGTGTGACCATGTTCGCCAGGCTGGTCTTGAACTTCTGACCTCAGGTGATCCACCTGCCTCGGCCTCCCAAAGTGCTGGGATTACAGGCATGAGCCACCATGCCCAAATTGCCACAAAATGGAAGCAGTCCAAATGTCTATCAGTGCCAGAATCAAAAAATAAATTGTGGTATATTCATATAGTCAGATAGTATACAATAATGGAAATGAACAATTACTGTTAAATACAATCACATAAATACATCTCACCAAGAAGTCATACACAAATGAATACATTTTATATAGTTCCATTTATGTTTATTTTAGACTTAACATAGGCACAACTAACCTGTGGTATTGAAAGTTAGTATAGTGATTATCTCTGAGGTAGGAGCACATTAATTTTGTAGTAATTCACGTATGATTTTCATACTGTCATGTGTAACACCAGATTAAAGGGATAGTAAATATTTATTTTTCCATATAATTTTTGCAGGTCAGGGGTTTGGGAATGTCTTAGCTGGATGGTTCTTATTTGGGGTAGAAAAGTTGATAATTCTGAATTGATGTTTACAAATAATTTTTTTTTAATTAGAAGCTCTAAAATTCCAGAGGATGACAACATGAGAAATAATGGTGTAGAAGGTGGTATTAGTTTATGGCCATACCACCTTAAACAAGCCAGGTCTCATCTGATCTTGGAAGCTAAGCAAGGTTGGGCCTGGTTAGTACTTGGATGCGAGACAATCTGGTAATACCGGATGCTGTAGGCTTTAAAAAAAAAGGAAAGTGGTTGGCCGGGTGTGGTGGCTCATGCCTGTAGTCCCAGCACTTTGGGAGGCCGAGGCAGGAGGATCACTTGAGGTCAGGAGTTCGAGACCAGCCTGGCCAATATGGTGAAACCCCCGTCTCTACTAAAAATACAAAAATTAGCTGGGTGTGATGGTGTGTGCCTGTAATCCCAGCTATTCAGGAGGCTGAGCAGGAGAATTGCTTGAACCCAGGAGGCAGAGGTTGCAGTGACCTGAGACTGTGCCACTATACTCCAACCTGGGCAACAGAGTGAGACTTTGTCTCAAAAAAAGTAAAAAAAGGAAGGTGGTATTAGATGGAAGTAAAAGTATGCTGTGTATGTGTGTTGTCATCTTGTATGGGAGGAAAATATGGTAATAATATAAAACTTTATTGTAATATTATAGATATAGCTAATATAATATTTAATTATATAAAGAATGTAAATTGAATGTAAAGCTTTCAAAATGTCGAAGAAAATGGAGTGAGGAAAAGTTGATTGAAAATTGATAAGGAAAAAATTGATTGAGGTAAAGCCTTCAAATAGACAACAGGAAAGAAATCGGTTAGAAGTAAGTGTAACTGTATGTGTTATCTCTTGCTATGTGGTATATTGGACCAAAAATTCACAGCTTATAAGTAATACTTACTATTCCCTAGTTGCTATGGTCAGGGATCTGAGAGAATCTGTCCAGTTTGATTCAAGGTCCCTCCCTCGTATGAGTTTATAATCAAGTCGTTGGCCTAGCCTGCAGTCATCTGGGCCTGGAGGATCCACGTAATTTTACTTATATAGTTGTTGACAAGCCTCAGTTTCTCCCTGGCTGTTGGCCAGATGCTTTAGTTTCTCACTTTGAGAGCCTTCCCTCCTTCCTTCCTTCCTTCCTTCTTTGCTTCCTTCCTTCCTTCTTTGCTTCCTTCCTTCCTTCCCTCCTTCCTTCCTTCCTTTTTTTATTATACTTTAAGTTCTGGGGTACATGTGCAGAATGTGTAGAACGTGCAGTTTTGTTGCATAGGTATACATGTGCCATGGTGGTTTGCTGCACCCATCAACCTGTCATCTACATTAGGTATTTCTCCTAACGCTATCCCTCCCCTGGCTTCCCACCCGCGACAGGCCCCGGTGTGTGATGTTCCTCTCCTTGTGTCCATGGGTTCTCATTGTTCAACTCCCACTTATGAGTGAGAACATGTGCGGTATTTGGTTTTCTGTTCTTGTGTTAGTTTGTTGAGAATGATGGTTTCCAGTTTCATCCGTGTCCCTGCAAAGGACATGAACTCATCCTTTTTTATGGCTGCATAGTATTACATGGTGTATATGTGCCACATTATCTTTACCCAGTCTATCATTGATGGGCATTTGGGTTGGTTCCAAGTCTTTGCTATTGTGAATAGTGCCACAATAAACATACGTGTGCATGTGTCTTTAGAGTAGAATGATTTATAATCCTTTGGGTATATACCCAGTAATGGGATTGCTGGGTCAAATGGTATTTCTGGTTTAAATCCTTGAGGAATTGCCACACTGTCTTCCACAATGGTTGAACTAATTTACACTCCCAACAGTGTAAAAGAGTTCCTATTTCTCCACATCCTCTCCAGCATCTGTTGTTTCCTGACTTTTTAATGATTGCCATTCTGAGTGCCGTGAGATGGTATCTCATTGTGGTTTTGATTTGCGTTTCTCTAATGACCAGTGATGATGAGCTTTTTTCCTGCCTGAATGTTCTCACAGCATGGCAGCTGGCTTCTCCCAAAGCAAGGGAATTGAGAGAAAGAGTGAGCCTGATATGGAAGTTGCAGTGTTTTATAACCGAATCTCAAAAGTGACAGGCCATCACCTCTCATGTATTCCTTTGGTCACACAGACAAACTCTGGTGTATATAATGTCTACACAAGGATGTGGAATTGTAGAAGTGGATATTTTGGGGGGCCATCTTGGAGGCTGGCTAGAACACAAAATATAACATTTATCATAATGAATGTAATTGAATTTACATATTAAAAGAGGCTCAGATTGGGTAAACAAAATGAAACAAGAGACCTTTATGCCTTTAGAAAAGACACAAACAAAATGACAGGAAACATTGAAAATAAATATATAAAAAATGTATACTAACTATACACTCACACACATAAAAAATGCCATGTAGCAATATTAATATAAGCCAAAATAGGAATCAGTGTGTAGTGCACTAAAAATGACAAAATGGGCCAGGCATAGTGGCTCACGCCTGTAATCCTAGCACTTTGGGAGGCCAAGGTGAGTGGATTGCCTGAGCCCAGGAGTTCGAGACCAGCCTGGGCAACATGGAAAAACCCTGTCTCTACTAAAAATACAAAAAAATTAGCCAGGCGTGGTGGCACGTTCCTGTAGTCCCAGCTACTTGGGAGGTTAAGGCACGAGAATCTCTTGAACCCAGGAGGCGGAGGTTGCGGTGAGCCAAGATTGTGCCACAACACTCCAGCCTGGGTGACAGCGTCTCTGTCTCAAAAAATAAATAAATAAATAAAAATGACAAAATGGAATTTTGTATTTTGACAAAAGTAATGGTCTAAAAAAATATAACAGGAATGAACTTGTATATGCTTAATATTAACAATATATAGTTTCAAAATATGCACATCAAAATCTTAATACAGGAAACTAAGTCCTCTTGATCTCTTCATGGAGACTTTAACACAACTGTCTCAGAAACTGAGAAATCAAGTATAAAAATGTAAGACTGTAACTGATTTGTATGTTACTGATAACAAAATTGACCTCCTATTTAGAACCCTGCATCTAAGAGAGAATATACAGTATTAATTCTTTCTAAAATTTTAAAGTGAAAACTGTACTTATAGAAAACTGCATAAAACATAATAGTTGTGTGTCCAATATATACAGTTGCTATGAAACACCCTTATAATGACCACATGTATTAGGAAGTAGCACATTTCTTTGTACCCCAGAAATGCTTTATATATCCTCCTTGATCATGATTATTTACCCCCAGAGCAAATTACTATCCTAATTTCATATCAAATTTTTCCTGGGTATGCATCCCTAAACAGTAAAGTTTAGTTTTGCCTTGTTTTGAATGCTCTGTCAATAGAATCATGTTATATTTTGTGTCTTCTTTTTTTTTTCTTCTAGTGAAAGTATAGAGATTTACTGCAAAGAGAAATGTACAAACTCAAGAAAGGGGAGTGTGGGCATACTCAAGAGAGAGTTCCATACAAGGGGGGTTTGGGGCTGCTACCTTTATGGGTTGCTTTAACTAAGGGGTAGAATATTTATGAAAATCTCTAGGAAAAGGTGGCGATGTCTCTGAACTGTAGTGCCACCCACTCATACCCAATGCGGGTGTTCTTGGAACTGTCATGGCACCAATGGGTGTGTGACTTAGTATGTTAATGAGCATATAATGAGGTCCTAGGTGAAATCTAGGTCAAATCCAGTGCCATATTGGGTCTGGTTGGTCTTAGCCAGCTCTGTTCACATGTTGTTCACTTACCAGCCCATAGCCTCTAGTCATGTGAAACTGCTGCCTGGAGTTTTCTATACTCAGGTGACCACCCAGTATTATTCCTGTCTCATTTTATCCCCCTCAGAGACTTCCATCCCTTATTCTTAAGGGTTGATGAGGGAGGAGGACAGTTTTCTATATCTGCTTCCTGCTGATTTAGGGGCATTGGCCCTGCCTGGCACCAGCATGGAAACCTCTGGCTGCCTGCTCTAAGGGTCCCAAGGGTGGGTCATCAGAAGAGTCTGCATCTGAGGCAGGGATTGCTTGGAATCCTTGCATGACCATCATTTTGACGTGGAACTTTGCAACCTAGAAGACATAACTTTACAAAGAGGTTAAACAAGCAAGGACTAAAAACCAATAATAAGAGGATAGCTACTAGAAGTCCTAGGGAAGGTAGGAACCATGTCACACTAGGTAGGTAGCCTTTGATGGGGTCCCAGATGGCTTGCATGATAGAGTTATTGAAATTATTTAGCTGGATAGCCCGTTGGTAAATCTTTTGAACTTGTAGTTCAGCTAATACTGAACTGTTAGTATAAGAACAGAAGATGGGGCTTATTGCAGCGCAAGCCCCTCCGAGCAGTTGATGCTTTGGCCCAGTTAGGGCCTCATGCAGTGGCTTAGTAATGAGCTGAAATCCTGGGATCCAAATCGTGCCATACCTAGGAAAGTTATGAGTTGCTTCTTCATTTGTGAAGGTCTCGTCTTTAAGATAGCCTCCTATTGTTTGACAGACAAGATCCGGTTTCCTGGGCTTAGGATGTATCCCAGATATTTTATTTCCATTTTAGAAATCTGGGCCTTAGATGGAGAGACCTGATAATCTTCTTTCTCCCAGGAAGTTTAGGACTTGAATGGTATTCTTATCTGAGTTCTCTTTAGTGGAACTATATACAAGGATGTCATCCACATCTTGGAGTACGGCTTCCCTTTCTACCTCTAGCTCCCTTAATTCTCATGCCGAGGCATTGCTGAACAAGTAAGGGCTATCCCTAAAGCCCTGAGGCAGTACTGTGCAGGTGTACTGCTGGGTAATAATAGTTTCAGGATTAGTCCACTCAAAAGCAAACAAATATTGAGAGTCAGTGTGCAGAGGGATACAAAAAAAAAAGCATCCTTGAGATCTTATACCATGAACCAGCCCTTGCTCTAATGTCCCAGCTTCCTACACTAGAAGCGGCAACCATTTCCTACAGGTTTGCTGTTAGGGCTGTTTGGTCCTTGGGCGAAGAATCCCCCTGGGTGTCATTTGGGCCTGCTGTCTGTCCCATTGTTTGCCATGCTGAGTCCTTTCAGCCTCTTCAGCCCTATCCCTATTATTGAATAACCTAAAAGCTACATGAAACATGTGAGTAATAGGCATTTGGGATCCCAAAGCCAATTTCTGCACTTTCCTCCTCATGTTCCTCCTGATGTCAGATGCTGATAGACTAATAAAGTATGTCCTTAGAAAAATTTGGCCAGCATCAATATTGGGTTCAATGTTAGCATATATTTTTTAGGGCCTTCACAAGGCTCCCCTGGAACACAGCAGGGTTTTCATCTTTTCTTTGAGTTATTTCCCTTATTTTATTATAGCTCACAGGCTTAGTGGTACCTTTTTTTCATTCCTTTCACTAAACAAGTCATCATGTGATTTTTTTTTTTCTTAGATAAGCCTGGCCCTGTTGATAATTCCAATTAGGGCCACTGTTAGGCACAGACATGGCCTTTACAGTATATTGTTCGGGGTCCCAAGCCAACAAGGTGTCAGCATAAGCCTGGGCCTGTGCCCAAATACACTGCTTTTCCTCAGGGGTACAACACATGGACAAGATAATATGAATATGTCCCCAGGTTAACTCAGATGAGAGTGAGAGAGCCCAGAACCCCTCCATAACTTTAGTTAGGTCCTCTGAAAATTGGCCCAACCTCTGTCTGCAGTAGGCTAGATCAGACATCGAAAAAGATACACCCAGATAGTCCCAGCACCCCCACTGGCCACCTCCCTAAGTGGGCATAACTTAGAATGGTCAAGAATGTAGGAAATGCACTGTGGGCAACCCTAGCAGGGCTCTGCTCCTTCTGTAGAGAAGGGTGTGAAGGTTGGTAAGGAGATGGACTAGCAGGAGTCTGGGGGTACATTTCCCAAAAGGGGGATCGTGCAGGGTATCTGGTGTCCCATTTGGTTCCCCTAAAGGGCTGTGAGCCTAACAAAGGCAGCAGTTCCCGCGAGGGTCAAGGTTCTGATAAAGAGCCGTGAAGGCTTGTATTAATACATATGCTACTTCAGTCCACTTCTTCTGATGTTTACAAAAAAGATTTAATTCCAAGATGGTATTGCATTTTACGGTCCTAGACTCTGGCCATTGCACCCCATTTTCTAAAAGAGAGTTACCCATAGCCTTGACTTGTCCTCGGCACGACCTGAAAGAGAAAAGAACAGTATAGTTTCCTCTTCGGAGGGACTAGTTCCAGCATTTACAAAATGCCAGGTGAATGAGCTGGTGGTTCTAATGTGGCTGTGGATGCTCTGGGCTAGGTGGCCATAAAGATGATACTGGTGGACTGCAGTGGAGTCCCCAGATGCCAATGGGACCTCAGCCCCAGCCAGTGTCCAGGCTCTTGACACCAGCTCCATGGTCAGGCCGGGGAGACAGTTGTCCATGTTCCCTTGGCTGGCTGCCTTGGTGTCCAGGTGTCCCTGGAGCCCTAGTGTTGCCCAGGCGTCCATGGCCCCTGGGGCTTTGCTTTCAAGGTTGAGTAGGATGAGTGTGGACCTAGTTTGAAAGCAGCAAGCCTGCCAAAATCCATCTGAATATTTATTACCAAGTAAAACTTCGTAGTAGAGATAATTCAGCATGGCCAAATAATAGCCACCTTGAAGGGCCCCCTTAAAACAATAGGCCTAGATTTGGCATTCCAGCGGACCTATTTTGCTGTGTCCAGAGTTCACTAAACTTTTGTGTGAAGTATGAGGAAGAAGCATGAGAAGAGAAAACCACAAAAGCAGGGTTTAAAGAGAGATGGGAAAGGGAAAACAGTTCCCAACCAAGGTCAGTGTCTTAGCGCAGCTGGTCCCTTGGGAGAACAGAAGACTTCCCAGGAATAAGTCATAATGCTCCTTGGCAGCTGTCCAGCCACTGGGACATGGGATTTTACCCTACTCACCCTCATTAGCCTCTTGCCCAGGAGGCCCATGGCACCTCAGAGCTCAGGTGTAGGTCAAAGCCTTCCCACCTCCATTTGTCACTGTCAGGGCGAACTGCGTTTTCCAGCTGGAGGAAGCAGAGGCACTACGGCTGAGGGGAGTCAGGCTGTAGGAACAAGGAAGAAAGTAGCAGTAACTCCAGAGAACGAGAAGACTCCAATTAAGGCCCCAATGGGACTTACCAACTGCTGGTGGTTCTGATGTGGCTGATGATGCTCTGGGCTGGATGGCCATAAAGATGATACTGGTAGGCTGGAGGGGGGGGGTCCCCAAATGCCGATGGGACCTCAGCGCCAGCCGGTGTCCAGACTCTTGACACCATCATGAGAAGGAATTCAAGGATGAGTCAGAAAATAGTGAAAGTACAGAGATTTTATTTCAAAGCAAAAAGTGCACACTCAAGGGAGTGTGGGGGTACTCAAGAGAGTTGCATCTTGTTTTGTTCATTTAGTATTTTCTTCTAAGATTTCACCCTTGTTTTTGCTTATAGCTTTTGTTCACTTAAATTCTATTTTATATTTCCTTGATAATTTCCCAGCTTATAACTTTTGAGATGTAACTCATAAACCATAAAACTCACCTTTTAAAAGTATATAGTTAATTTTTAGTATATTCACAAAACTATGTAACCACCACCACTAATTCCAGACCATTTGCATCACCTCACAAAGAAAGCACCCAACCCATTAACAGTCACTCTGCATTCTCCTTTTCCCTCTCGCCCTGGAAAATACAAATCCATTTTTTTGTCTCTGGATTTGCCTGTTCTGGACATCTCATATAAATGGAATCACACAATATGTGGCCTTTTGTTTCTGGCTTCTTTCATTTAGTATAATGTTTTCAAGATTCGTTTATATTGTAGAAGTTATCAGTACTTCTCTTTATGGCTGAATAATATTACATTGTATAAATATACCGTATTTTATTTATCCATTCATCTGTTGATGGACATTTGGCTCGTATTCATTTTTTGGCTATTAATGAATAATGCTGCTATAAATGGTCATGTGTAATTTTTTATGTGACAATACATTTCAGTTCTTTGGGGTACATACCTAGGATCAGAACTGCTAGGTCATAATATAACTCTGTGTCTAGCTTTTTGAGGAACTGCCAAACTGTTTTCCAAGGGGGCTGCACCATTTTCCATTTTATCAGTAGTGTTTGAGAGCCCAATTTCTCCACATCCTCACCAACACTTGTCATTGTCTGTCTTTTTTATTATACCCACCCCAGTAGGTGTAAAGAGGTTGTGTGAATCTAGTTGTGGTTTTGATTTGCATTACCCTAGTGATCAGTGATGTTGAACATCTTTTCATGTGTTTATTGCCAATCTCCATATCTTCTTTGGAGAGATGCCTATTTAAAATCTTTGCCCATTTAAAAAATTAGGTTGTCTTTTATTGTTGAATTGTATTAGTTCTTTGTATATGTTGGATACTAAACCCTTATCAGATACATAATTTATAAATGTTTCCTCCAATTCTTTGGGTCATCTCTTCACTTTCTTGATATAGTGTTCTTTCAAACACAGAAGTTTTACATTTTGATAAAGTCTAATTTTTCTGTGTTTTGTTTGCTTGTGCTTTTGGTATTACCCCTAAGAAACCATTGCCTAATTCAAGGTCACAAAGATTTACACCTGTTTTCTTCAAAGAGTTTATTATAGTTTTACATTTTACATTTGGGTCTTTGATCCATTTTGAGATCATTTTTGTGTATGCTGTGGGATAGAGATTCAACTTAATTCTTTGCATGTGGCTATCCAGTTGTCTCAGCACCGTTTCATGAAAAACGATTTGTTCTCCATTGAATTGTCTTGGTGTGCTTGTCAAAGAATTGTGATTTTAATTTCTAATTTCCTAATTACTAATGAGTTTGACAACTTTTTTCTGTGTTTACTATCCATTTGGATATCCTTTCTATTGAAATATTTGTTTGAGTTTTACCCAGTTTTTAACTTGGTTTTCTGCTTTGTTCCCATTGATTTTCTAGGAGTTCTTTATGTCTTCTAAATGTGAGTCCGATGTTGATTGTATGTGTTGCAAGTAGCTTTTCCCATACTCTAGCTTGTCTCTTCCCTTTCTTGGTGTCTTTTGATGAACAGAGCTCCGTAAGTGTAAGGTAGTCACATTTATCAGTCTTTTACTTTAGAAATAATGTGTTTGGTGTCTTGCATAAGAAACATTTTCTTACCCCAAATTCACAAATATATCCTCTGTACTATTTTCCATAAGCATTATAGCTTCAACTTTCATATTTTAGGTTTGTAATCTACCTGGAATTGTTTCATTTTTTTTTTCTTTTTTGGATATAGTATAAGGTAGCAATTTAATTTCTTTCTTCTCCATATGAAAACCCAATAATCTCAGCACCATTAGTTGAAATATGTGTCTATACCCACTACTGTGCAATATTAGCTTTGTTATAAATCAGGTGTCTTTATGTGGATTGGTCTATTTCTGGACTCATATTCACCACTGCTTTTTATTTCTGTTTATGTGCCAGCAACACTCCACCTTATTATAATAGCTTTCTTTATGTTAGTGTAGATGTATGCTAGAGAAAATCTTCCTCCCTTACTTTTCTGTAAGAGTATTTTCCAGCTCTTGTTTTGCATCATTACTTCTCTGTGTGTGTCTATATAATTTCATCAGGGATTACTTAACCTTCCCTTCAGTGGAGTTTGCCTCTTCCTAGGAGATTCTCACCAAGGCCATTAATAACAACCAAGGAGTTCCAACCTGGCCAGTCTTATTTTCCAGATATTTTATTCATTGGGACTTTAGGGCTATTTCCCAGTTGCAGTTAGTGATTAGCCATCCTGATGACTGGGCATGCTGCCAAAATGCCAAAATGAGTCTTTCACCTCTGGTCCTTTGCTTTACTTCCAGAAAACTGCAGTAGAAACCTGACCTGATGTCCAGTTTTCTGTGACAGTTTTTATGTAATTAAGCGCAAATGGCCAAGTAGAATTCATACAAAGCCTACTAGAGTAATATTCATTGGAGGAAAACTTATAAAGCCTGGAGTAATACCAGATGCACTTGTCCCCACATTGCCCATTCTTTCTATGTCAGTGTATAGAAGTCTAATGACATTTTCATACTATGAGATAGGGCTTACAACCTTGGGCTTTATAGTTTTTAAACTGCATTAAGTACAGAAGCTGAAGCTACTCACTGTTGTGATCAGGTGGGATACAAGAGCAGCATAATGTGGCATAGTTTTGGTGTAAGCCCAATTTTGACAACCTAGCATAAATTTTGAGGGGAAGTATCCCTTCCCTGGTATAATCAGAGGCTGTGACCCAGATCTTACAGGTATATGACATGGCATGCCAGTAGCAGGAATCTTTGTCAGCATTCACGGTTAGGGAAGTATTTAATATCAGCCTTCCCTTGGCATGATGAAAAGTCTGGCGTGTTTGCTATATTTTTTAAAAAAGATACCCCTTATCAAATCATAAAAGTTCTTTTTATTCCTAGTTTATTGATTTTTTATGATGAATAGATTTGTTTTTAATTTTACCATGCTTTTCCTGCCATTAGGGAAAGAATCATTTGATTTTTCTTTGTTATTATTATAATATTGTTTAATTTTAATCTGTTCATATTATTTTCTAGTTTTGTACTACCTTGAGAAATTTGGACTCTTTTTTTTTTTTTTTTGATCATTCTTGGGTGTTTCTCGCAGAGGGGGATTTGGCAGGGTCATAGGACAATAGTGGAGGGAAGGTCAGCAGATAAACAAGTAAACAAAGGTCTCTGGTTTTCCTAGGCAGAGGACCCTGTGGCCTTCCACAGTGTTTGTGTCCCTGGGTACTTGAGATTAGGGAGTGGCGATGACTCTTAACGAGCATGCTGCCTTCAAGCATCTGTTTAACAAAGCACATCTTGCACCACCCTTAATCCATTCAACCCTGAGTGGACACAGCACATGTTTCAGAGAGCACAGGGTTGGGGGTAAGGTCACAGATCAACAGGATCCCAAGGCAGAAGAATTTTTTGTTAGTACAGAACAAAATGAAAAGTCTCCCATGTCTACCTCTTTCTACACAGACACGGCAACCATCCGATTTCTCAATCTTTTCCCCGCCTTTCCCCCCTTTCTATTCCACAAAACCGCCATTGTCATCATGGCCTGTTCTCAATGAGCTGTTGAGTACACCTCCCAGACGGGGTGGTGGCCGGGCAGAGGGGCTCCTCACTTCCCAGTAGGGGTGGCCGGACAGAGGCGCCCCTCACCTCCCGGATGGGGCGGCTGGCCGGGCGGGGGGCTGACCCCTCCACTTCCCTCCCGGACGGGGTGGCTGGCCGGGCGGGGGGCTGACCCCCCCACCTCCTTCCCGGACTGGGCGGCTGGCTGGGCAGAGGGGCTCCTCACTTCCCAGTAGGGGCGGCCGGGCAGAGGCGCCCCTCACCAACCGGACGGGGCGGCTGGCCGGGTGCGGGGCTGACCCCCCCACCTCCTTCCCGGACGGGGCGGCTGGCCGGGCAGAGGGGCTCCTCACTTCCCAGTAGGGGCGGCCGGGCAGAGGCACCCCTCACCTCCCGGATGGGGCGGCTGGCCGGGCGGGGGGGCTGACCCCCCCACCTCCCTCCCGGACGGGCGGCTGACCCCCCCACCTCCCTCCGGACGGGCGGCTGGCCGGGCGGGGGGCTGACCCCCCCACCTCCTCCCAGACAGGGCGGCTGGCTGGGCAGAGGGGCTCCTCACTTCGCAGTAGGGGCGGCCGGGCAGAGGCGCCCCTCACCTCCCGGACGGGGCGGCTGGCCGGGCGGGGGGCTGACGCCCCCACCTCCCTCCCGGACGGAGCGGCTGGCCAGGCAGAGGGGTCCTCACTTCCCAGTAGGGGCGGCCGGGCAGAGGCGCCCCTCACCTCCCGGACGGGGCGGCTGGCCGGGCGGGGGGCTGACCCCCCCCACCTCCCTTCCGGACGGGGCAGCTGGCCGGGCGGGGGGCTGACCCCCCCACCTCCCTTCTGGACGGGGCGGCTGGCCGGGCGGGGGGCTGACCCCCACCTCCCTCCTGGAGGGGGTGGCTGCCGGGCAGAGACGCTCCTCACTTCCCAGACGGGGTGGCTGCCGGGCGGAGGGGCTCCTCACTTCTCAGATGGTGTGGCTGCCGGGCAGAGGGGCTTCTCACTTCTCAGACGGGGCGGTTGCCAGGCAGAGGGTCTCCTCACTTCTCAGACGGGGCGGCTGGGCAGAGACGCTCCTCACATCCCAGACGGGGGGGCAGGGCAGAGGTGCTCCCCACATCTCAGATGATGGGCGGCCAGGCAGAGACGCTCCTCACTTTCCAGACTGGGCAGCCAGGCAGAGAGGCTCCTCACATCCCAGACGATGGGCGGCCAGGCAGAGACGCTCCTCACTTCCCAGACGGGGTGGTGGCCGGGCAGAGGCTGCAATCTCAGCACTTTGGGGGGCCAAGGCAGGCAGCTGGGAGGTGGAGGTTGTAGCGAGCCGAGATCATGCCACTGCACTCCAGCCTGGGCACCATTGAGCACTGAGTGAACGCAACTCCGTCTGCCATCCCGGCACCTCGGGAGGCCGAGGCTGGCGGATCACTCGCGGTTAGGAGCTGGAGACCAGCCCGGCCAACACAGCGAAACCCCGTCTCCACCAAAAAAATACGAAAACCAGTCAGGCGTGGCGGCGCGCACCTGCAGTCGCAGGCACTCGGCAGGCTGAGGCAGGAGAATCAGGCAGGGAGGTTGCAGTGAGCCGAGATGGCAGCAGCACAGTCCAGCTTCGGCTCGGCATGAGAGGGAGACCGTGGAAAGAGAGGGAGAGGGAGACCGTGGGGAGAGGGAGAGGGAGACCGTGGGGAGAGGGAGAGAGAGACCGTGGGGAGAGGGAGAGGGAGAGGGAGAGCTCTCCTGAACATTTAAAGAAGTAGAGAAATTTGGACTCTTACATTCATAAAAATAGGTTATAGATGGGGTAAAGGCTTAAATAAACAGAACCTCAAATTTTCATCTAGTTAAAACTAAACATAAGAAAAATACAATCTTTTGATAGGAAAAATAAAATATTGATAGTTTTTACAACAAAAATTTAACGTCTTTTACGATTAAAAAATACATAAAGTTAGACAAAAATAGACTGGGAGAAAAATATTTGCTACACATACATTTGCTACTCATGGAGGACTAGTATCCAAATATATAAAGAACTCTTACAAATCAGGAGAAAAGATATCCTGATGGAGAAATTTGGGATTAACGCGCAGCTCCAGATGAGGAAATGCACCTGCCAATAAACAAAAATAAGCATCACCTCACTATTGATTAGAGAAATGCAGACTAAAACAAGGTGACATTATTTTTTCATCTATCAGGTTGAACAAATTTAAAGTGTTTTGTAGTATCTAGTGTTGGCTAGAACATGGGTATTCTCATACCACATTGCTGAGAATATAAATTGGTAGAAATACTTTGTAAGGTAATTTGGTAGTGTCTATTAAAAAGTAAACATGGCCAGGTGCGGTGGCACACACCTGTAGTTCCAGCTACTGGGGAGGCTGAAGTGGAAGGATTGCATGAGGCCAGGAGTTCAAGACTAGCCCCGCCAACATAGCAAGACCCTGTCTCTAAATTTTTTTTTTTAAGTTAGCCAGGTGTGGTGGTGAGCACCTATAGTACCAGCTACTTGGGAGGCTAAGGTGGGAGGATCACAGAAGGCCTTCAAGGTTGCATTGAGCTGTGATCACACCTGTAAATTGCTACTGCACTGTAGCCTAGGTGACACAGTGAGACCCGACTCTTAAAAAAAAAAAAAGTAAACCTGTACAGTGTTTGGAATCCAGCAGTTTCTCCCTTGCATATCTGCTGCAGAGAAACACTTGTACACTTTCACAAGGAAACATATACAAATATTTCAATTCCAGTATTACTTGTAATATCAAAATATTGAGAGATGTCTTTAACATCCTTTGAATTAACGATTGGACAAAATGTTTAGTTGTATTATGGGATGTTATAAAATGTTTAATCAGGAATTAATTATTGTTTCATGAAAAAAAAAACTGTGTGAAGTAAATATACAGCCAATGCCATTTCTGTAAAAGAAAAAACTACACACTGAATATAGTTTCTCCTTGTGTGTATATGTGTGTGGCGGGGGGTAAATATTTTTTTATATTGGGAAAGATAAATAACAAATTATCATTATAGTCATTATCTTTAGGGAGCTGGGAGAAGAGGACTGCATTGGGGAAGATTGTCAAAGAGGACTGTCTCCATGTTCTAAGCTTTTTTTTTATTATTATACTTTAAGTTTTAGGGTACATGTGCACAACGTGCAGGTTTGTTACATATGTATACATGTGCCATGCTGGTGTGCTGCACCCATTAACTTGTCATTTAGCATTAGATATATCTCCTAATGCTATCCCTTCCCCCTCCCCCTGCCCCACAACAGTCCTCAGTGTGTGATGATCCCCTTCCTGTGTCCATGTGTTCTCATTGTTCAATTCCCACCTATGAGCAAGAACATGCGGTGTTTGGTTTTTTGTCCTTGTGATATTTTGCTGAGAATGATGATTTCCAATTTCATCCATGTCCCTACAAAGAACATGAACTCATCATTTTTTATGGCTGCATAGTATTCCATGGTGTATATGGGCCACATTTTCTTAATCCGGTCTATCATTGTTGGACATTTGGGTTGGTTCCAAGTCTTTGCTATTGTGAATAATGCTGCAATAAACATACGTGTGCATGTGTCTTTATAGCAGCATGATTTGTAGTCCTTTGGATATATACCCAGTAATGGGATGGCTGGGTCAAATGGTATTTCTAATTCTAGATCCCTGAGGAATCGCCACACTGACTTCCACAATGGTTGAACTAGTTTACAGTCCCACCAACAGTGTAAAAGTGTTCCTATTTCTCCACATCCTCTCCAGCACCTGTTGTTTCCTGACTTTTTAATGATTGCCATTCTAACTGTTGTGAGATGGTATCTCATTGTGGTTTTGATTTGCATTTCTCTGATGGCCAGTGATGGTGAGCATTTTTTCATGTGTTTTTTGGTTGCATAAATGTCTTCTTTTGAGAAGTGTCTGTTCATATACTTCGCCCACTTTTTGATGGGGTTGTTTGTTTTTTTTTCTTGTAAATTTGTTTGAGTTCATTGTAGATTCTGGATATTAGCCCTTTGTCAGATGAGTAGGTTGCAAAAATTTTCTCCCATTCTGTAGGTTGCCTATTCACTCTGATGGTGGTTTCTTTTGCTGTGCTGAAGCTCTTTAGTTTAATTAGATCCCATTTGTCAATTTTGGCTTTTGTTGCCATTGCTTTTGGTGTTTTAGACATGAAGTCCTTGCCCATGCCTATGTCCTGAATGGTATTGCCTAGGTTTTCTTCTAGGGTTTTTATGGTTTTAGGTCTAACATGTAAGTCTTTAATCCCTCTTGAATTAATTTTTGTATAAGGTGCAAGGAAGGGATCCAGTTTCAGCTTTCTACATATGGCTAGCCAGTTTTCCCAGCACCGTTTATTAAATAGGGAATCCATGTTCTAAGTTTTAAAAGAGGAATTTAAATTTAAAAATTTAAAGGTGAATATTGTACAATTAAAATTTTTATTCAAAAGCAAGTATTATATTTTCATTTGCATTTAACATTAACAGAATGATTTTTGTAGTAACAATATCCAACTGGATATTGGAAAGCATTTTAGGACTATAGAGAATAGAGCCTTCTGTTAGTTTCTTGAATAGTATTTTTCTTTTCTTTTCTTTTCTTTTTTTTGAGATGGAGTCTCACTCTATCGCCCAGGCTGGAGTGCAGTGGTGCCATCTCGGCTCACTGTAGCGTCCACCTTCTGTGTTCCAGCGATTCTCCTTCCTTAGCCTCCCGGGTAGCTGGGATTACAGGCATGCGCCACCATGCCTGGCTAATTTTTGTATTTTCAGTAGAGACGGGGTTTCATCATGCTGGCCAGGCTGTTCTCAAACTCCTGACCTCAGGCGATCTGCCTGCCTCCGCCTCCTAAAGTGCTAGGATTACAAGCGTGAGCCACCACGCCCAGCTGAATGGTATTTTTTAATATAATAGAATTTATGATGGGTTAATATTAAAGGATAGGAATTATATGTAATTTATAAACTGCTTTTAAAATGCAAGAGTTTTTTATTACTGTTGAGTGTTGGCTAATAGCTATGGTTCTAATCAATCATAGTTTGTTGATTGGAATTGAAAGAAGTTACTTTTGGTGCCACTTATAGATAGGAAGGAAAAGATTCACATTTAGGATGCTGTAAATACTTATTTTTTAGAAAATTTTTCCATAAGTTGGCTGGGCACGGTGGCTCACGCCTGTAATCCCAGCACTTTGGGAGGCCGAGGTGGGCAGATGACGACGTCAGGAGATCAAGACCATCCTGGCTAACATGGTAAAATGCTGTCTCTACTAAAAATCCAAAAAATTAGCCCGGCGTGGTGGCGGGTGCCTGTAGTCCCAGCTACTCGGGAGGCTGAGGCAGGAGAGTGGCATGAACCCGGAAGGCAGAGCTTGCAGTGAGCCGAGATAGCGCCACTGCATTCCTGCCTGGGCAACACAGCGAGACTCTGTCTCAAAAAAAAATTTTTTTTTCCATAAGTTATTGGGGTACAGGTGGTATTTGGTTACACAAGTAAGTTCTTTAGTGGTGATTTGTGAGATGTTGGTGCACCCATCACCTGAGCAGTATACACTCCACCATATTTGAAGCCTTTAACCCTTGCCTGCTTCCCACTCTCCCCCCAAGTCCCAAAAGTCCATTGTATGATTTGTATGCCTTTGAGTCCTCATAGCTTAGCTCCTAATTTAAGTGAGAACATACAATGTTTGGTTTTCAATTCCTGAGTTACTTCACTTAGAATAATAGTCTCCAATCTCATCCAGGTTGTTGTGAGTGCCATTAATTCATTCCTTTTTTATGGCTGAGTAGTATTCCATCATATAAATATACCACAGTTTCCTTATCCACTTGTTGATTGATGGGCATTTGGGTTGGTTCCATGATTTTGCAGTTGCAAATTGTACTGCTATAAACATGTGTGTGAAGTATCTTTTTTATATAATGACTTCTTTTCCTCGAGTAGATACTGCGTAGTGGGATTGCTGGATCAAATGGTAGTTCTACTTTTAGTTCTTTAAGGAATCTCCACACTGTTTTTCTATAGTGGTTGTACTAGTTTACATTCCCACCAGCAGTGTAGAAGTATTCCCTGTTCACCGCATCCATGCCAACATGTACTGTTTTTTGATTTTTTTGATTGTGGCCATTCTTGCAGGAGTAAGGTGGTATCACATTGTGGTTTTGATTTGCATTTCCCTGATCATTAGTGATGTTGAGCATTTTTTTATATGTTCGTTGCTCATTTGTATATCTTCTTTTGAGAATTGTCTATTCAGTTCCTTAGCCCACTTTTTGATGGAATTGTTTTTTTCTTACTGATTTGTTAGAGTTTGTTGTAGATTCTGGATATTAGTCCTTTGTCAGATGTATAGATTATGAAGATTTTCTCCCACTCTGCGGGGTTGTCTCTTTACTCTGCTGACTGTTCCTTTTGCCGTGCAAAAGCTCTTTAGTTTAATAAAGTCCCAACTATTTAATCTCTGTTTTTATTGCATTTGCTTTTGGGTTCTTGATCATTAAATGCTTGCCTAAGCCAATGTGTAGAAGGGTTTTTCCAATGTTATCTTCTAGGATTTTTATAGTTTCAGGTCTTAGATTTTAGTCCTTAATCCTTCTTGAGTTGATTTTTGTATAAGGTAAGCGATGAGGATCCAGTTTCATTCTGCTACATGTGGCTAGCCAGTTATCCCAGCAACATTAGTTGAAAAGGGTGTCCTTTCTCAACTTTATAGTTTTGCTTGCTTTGTCAAAGATCAGTTGGCTGTAAGTATTTGGGTATATTTCTGGGTTCTCTATTCTGTTACATTGGCCTATGTGCCTGTTTTTATACCAGTACCTTGCTGTTTTGGTGACTCTGGCCTTATAGTATAATTTGAAATCAGGTAATGTGATGCCTCCAGATTTGTTCTTTTAGCTTAGTCTTGTTTTGGCTATGGGCTCTTTTTTGGTTCCATATGAATTTTAGAATTTTTTTTTCTAATTCTGTGAAGAATGATGGTGGTATTTTGATGGTTTTGATGGGGATTGCATTGAATTTGTAGATTGCTTTTGGCAGTATGGTCATTTTCACAGTATTGATTCTACCCATCCATGAGCATGGGATGTGTTTCCATTTGTTTGTGTCATGTATGATTTCTTTCAGCAGTGTTTTGTAGTTTTCCTTGTAGAGGCCTTTCACCTCCTTGGTTAGATATATTCCTAAGTATTTTATTTTTTTTGCAGCTATTGTAAAAGGGGTTGAGTTCTTGATTTGATTCTCCGCTTAGTTGCTATTGGTGTATAGAAGAGCTACTGATTTGTGAACATTAATCTTGTATTCAGAAACTTTGCTGAATTCTTGTATCAGTTCTAAGAGATTTCTGGAGGAGTCTTTAGGGTTTTCAAGGTAAATGATCCTATCGTCAGCAAACAGTGACAGTTTGACTTCCTCTTTATCGATTTGGATGCCCTTTATTTCTTGGGCATCCTTGTCTGATTGCTCTGGCTACAACTTCTATGTTGAAGAGGCGTGGTGAGAGTGGGCATCGTTATCTTGTTTCAGTTCTCAGAGGGAATGCTTTCAACTTTTCCCCATTCAATATTATGTTGGCTGTGGGTTTGTCATAGATGGCTTTTGTTACATTGAGGTATGTCCCTTGTATACCAATTTTGCTGAGAGTTTTAATCATAAAGGGATGCTGGATTTTGTCAAATGCTTTTTCTGCATCTATTGCGATGATCATGTGATTTTTGTTTTTAATTTTGTTTATGTGATGTATCACATTTATTGACTTGTGTATGTTAAACCATCCCTGCATCCCTGGTATGAAACCCACTTGGTCATGGTGGATTATCCTTGATATATTGTTGGATTCAGTTAGCTAGTATTTTGTTAAGGATTTTAGCATCTGTGTTCATCAAGGATATCAGTCTGTAGTTTTCTTTTTTTGTTATGTCCTTTCATGGTTTTGGTATTAGGGCAATACTGGCTTCATAGAATGAGTTCGGGAGGGTTGCTTCTTTCTCTGTCTTGTGGAATAGTTTCAAAAGGATTGGTACCAATTCTTCTTTGAATGTCTGGTAGAATTCTGTGAATTCTGTGAAAAGTCTGGTCCTGGACTTTTTTTTTTTTTTTTTTTTTTTTTTTTTTGAGATGGAGTCTCGCTCTGTTGCCAGTCTGGAGTGCAGTGGCGCGATCTTGGCTCACTGCAACCTCCGCCTCCCAGGGATTCAAGCGATTCCCCTGCCTCAGCCTCCCAAGTAGCTGGGACTACAGGCATGCGCCACCATGCCTGGCTAATTTTTTGTATTTTAGTAGAAACAAGGCTTCACCATGTTGGCCAGGTTGGTCTCAATCTCCTGAACTCATGATCCACCCGCCTCAGCCTCCCAAAGTGCTGGGATTACAGGCGTGAGCCACTGCACCAGGCCTGGGCTTTTTTTTTTTTTTTTTTTTTTTTTTATACTTTATGTTTTAGGGTACATGTGCACATTGTGCAGGTTAGTTACATATGTATACATGTGCCATGCTGGTGCACTGCACCCACTAACTCGTCATCTAGCATTAGGTATATCTCCCAATGCTATCCCTCCCCACTCCCCCCACCCCCCACAGTCCCCAGAGTGTGATATTCTCCTTCCTGTGTCCATGTGATCTCATTGTTCAATTCCCACCTATGAGTGAGAATCTGCGGTGTTTGGTTTTTTGTTCTTGCGATAGTTTACTGAGAATGATGATTTCCAATTTCATCCATGTCCCTACAAAGAACATGAACTCATCATTTTTTATGGCTGCATAGTATTCCATGGTGTATATGGGCCACATTTTCTTAATCCGGTCTATCATTGTTGGACATTTGGGTTGGTTCCAAGTCTTTGCTATTGTGAATAATGCTGCAATAAACATACGTGTGCATGTGTCTTTATAGCAGCATGATTTGTAGTCCTTTGGATATATACCCAGTAATGGGATGGCTGGGTCAAATGGTATTTCTAATTCTAGATCCCTGAGGAATCGCCACACTGACTTCCACAATGGTTGAACTAGTTTACAGTCCCACCAACGTGTAAAAGTGTTCCTATTTCTCCACATCCTCTCCAGCACCTGTTGTTTCCTGACTTTTTAATGATTGCCATTCTAACTGTTGTGAGATGGTATCTCATTGTGGTTTTGATTTGCATTTCTCTGATGGCCAGTGATGGTGAGCATTTTTTCATGTGTTTTTTGGCTGCATAAATGTCTTCTTTTGAGAAGTGTCTGTTCATGTCCTTCGCCCACTTTTTGATGGGGTTGTTTGTTTTTTTCTTGTAAATTTGTTTGAGTTCATTGTAGATTCTGGATATTAGCCCTTTGTCAGATGAGTAGGTTGCAAAAATTTTCTCCCATTTTGTAGGTTGCCTGTTCACTCTGATGGTAGTTTCTTTTGCTGTGCTGAAGCTCTTTAGTTTAATTAGATCCCATTTGTCAATTTTGTCTTTTGTTGCCATTGCTTTTGGTGTTTTGGACATGAAATCCTTGCCCATGCCTATGTCCTGAATGGTAATGCCTAGGTTTTCTTCTAGGGTTTTTATGGTTTTAGGTCTAACGTTTAAGTCTTTAATCCATCTTGAATTGATTTTTGTATAAGGTGTAAGGAAGGGATCCAGTTTCAGCTTTCTACATATGGCTAGCCAGTTTTCCCAGCACCATTTATTAAATAGGGAATCCTTTCCCCATTTCTTGTTTTTCTCAGGTTTGTCAAAGATCAGATAGTTGTAGATATGCGGCGTTATTTCTGAGGGCTCTGTTCTGTTCCATTGATCTATATCTCTGTTTTGGTACCAGTACCATGCTGTTTTGGTTACTGTAGCCTTGTAGTATAGTTTGAAGTCAGGTAGTGTGATGCCTCCAGCTTTGTTCTTTTGGCTTAGGATTGCCTTGGTGATGTGGGCCCTTTTTGGTTCCATATGAACTTTAAAGTAGTTTTTTCCAATTCTGTGAAGAAAGTCATTGGTAGCTTTATGGGGATGGCATTGAATCTGTAAATTACCTTGGGCAGTATGGCCATTTTCATGATATTGATTCTTCCTACCCATGAGCATGGAATGTTCTTCCATTTGTTTGTATCCTCTTTTATTTCCTTGAGCAGTGGTTTGTAGTTCTCCTTGAAGAGGTCCTTCACATCCCTTGTAAGTTGGATTCCTAGGTATTTTATTCTCTTTGAAGCAGTTGTGAATGGGAGTTCACTCATGATTTGGCTCTCTGTTTGTCTGTTGTTGGTGTATAAGAATGCTTGTGATTTTTGTACATTGATTTTGTATCCTGAGACTTTGCTGAAGTTGCTTATCAGCTTAAGGAGATTTTGGGCTGAGACAATGGGGTTTTCTAGATATACAATCATGTCATCTGCAAACAGGGACAATTTGACTTCCTCTTTTCCTAATTGAATACCCTTTATTTCCTTCTCCTGCCCAATTGCCCTGGCCAGAACTTCCAACACTATGTTGAATAGGAGTGGTGAGAGAGGGCATCCCTGTCTTGTGCCAGTTTTCAAAGAGAATGCTTCCAGTTTTTGCCCATTCAGTATGATATTGGCTGTGGGTTTGTCATAGATAGCTCTTATTATTTTGAAATACGTCCCATCAATACCTAATTTATTGAGAGTTTTTAGCATGAAGGGTTGTTGAATTTTGTCAAAGGCTTTTTCTGCATCTATTGAGATAATCATGTGGTTTTTGTCTTTGGCTCTGTTTATATGCTGGATTACATTTATTGATTTGCGTATATTGAACCAGCCTTGCATCCCAGGGATGAAGCCCACTTGATCATGGTGGATAAGCTTTTTGATGTGCTGCTGGATTCGTTTTGCCAGTATTTTATTGAGAATTTTTGCATCAATGTTCATCAAGGATATTGGTCTAAAATTCTCTTTTTTGGTTGTGTCTCTGCCCGGCTTTGGTATCAGGATGATGCTGGCCTCATAAAATGAGTTAGGGAGGATTCCCTCTTTTTCTATTGATTGGAATAGTTTCAGAAGGAATGGTACCAGTTCCTCCTTGTACCTCTGGTAGAATTCGGCTGTGAATCCATCTGGTCCTGGACTCTTTTTGGTTGGTAAACTATTGATTATTGCCACAATTTCAGCTCCTGTTATTGGTCTATTCAGAGATGCAACTTCTTCCTGGTTTAGTCTTGGGAGAGTGTATGTGTCGAGGAATTTATCCATTTCTTCTAGATTTTCTAGTTTATTTGCGTAGAGGTGTTTGTAGTATTCTCTGATGGTAGTTTGTATTTCTGTGGGATTGGTGGTGATATCCCCTTTATCATTTTTTATTGTGTCTATTTGATTCTTCTCTCTTTTTTTCTTTATTAGTCTTGCTAGCGGTCTATCAATTTTGTTGATCCTTTCAAAAAACCAGCTCCTGGATTCATTAATTTTTTCAAGGGTTTTTTGTGTCTCTATTTCCTTCAGTTCTGCTCTGATTTTAGTTATTTCTTGCCTTCTGCTAGCTTTTGAATGTGTTTGCTCTTGCTTTTCTAGTTCTTTTAATTGTGATGTTAGGGTGTCAATTTTGGATCTTTCCTGCTTTCTCTTGTGGGCATTTAGTGCTATAAATTTCCCTCTACACACTGCTTTGAATGCGTCCCAGAGATTCTGGTATGTTGTGTCTTTGTTCTCGTTGGTTTCAAAGAACATCTTTATTTCTGCCTTCATTTCGTTATGTATCCAGTAGTCATTCAGGAGCAGGTTGTTCAGTTTCTATGTAGTTGAGTGGTTTTGAGTGAGTTTCTTAATCCTGAGTTCTAGTTTGATTGCACTGTGGTCTGAGAGATAGTTTGTTATAATCTCTGTTCTTTTACATTTGCTGAGGAGTGCTTTACTTCCAAGTATGTGGTCAATTTTGGAATAGGTGTGGTGTGGTGCTGAAAAAAATGTATATTCTGTTGATTTGGGGTGGAGAGTTCTGTAGATGTCTATTAGGTCCACTTGGTGCAGAGCTGAGTTCAATTCCTGGGTATCCTTGTTGACTTTCTGTCTCGTTGATCTGTCTAATGTTGACAGTGGGGTGTTAAAGTCTCCCATTATTAATGTATGGGAGTCTAAGTCTCTTTTTAGGTTACTCAGGACTTGCTTTATGAATCTGGGTGCTCCTGTATTGGGTGCATATATATTTAGGATAGTTAGCTCTTCTTGTTGAATTGATCCCTTTACCATTATGTAATGGCCTTGTCTCTTTTGATCTTTGTTGGTTTAAAGTCTGTTTTATCAGAGACTAGGATTGCAACCCCTGCCTTTTTTTGTTTTCCATTTGCTTGGTAGATCTTCCTCCATCCTTTTATTTTGAGCCTGTGTGTGTCTCTGCACATGAGATGGGTTTCCTGAATACAGCACACTGATGGGTCGTGACTCTTTATCCAATTTGCCAGTCTGTGTCTTTTAATTGGAGCATTTAGTCCATTTACATTTAAAGTTAATATTGTTATGTGTGAATTTGATCCTGTCATTATGATGTTAGCTGGTGATTTTGCTTGTTAGTTGATGCAGTTTCTTCCTAGTCTCGATGGTCTTTACATTTTGGCATGATTTTGCAGTGGCTGGTACCGGTTGTTCCTTTCCATGTTTAGCGCTTCCTTCAGGAGCTCTTTTAGGGCAGGCCTGGTGGTGACAAAATCTCTCAGCATTTGCTTGTCTGTAAAGTATTTTATTTCTTCTTCACTTATGAAGCTTAGTTTGGCTGGATATGAAATTCTGGGTTGAAAATTCTTTTCTTTAAGAATGTTGAATATTGGCCCCCACTCTCTTCTGGCTTGTAGGGTTTCTGCCGAGAGATCCGCTGTTAGTCTGATGGGCTTCCCTTTGAGGGTAACCCGACCTTTCTCTCTGGCTGCCCTTAACATTTTTTCCTTCATTTCAACTTTGGTGAATCTGACAATTATGTGTCTTGGAGTTGCTCTTCTCGAGGAGTATCTTTGTGGCGTTCTCTGTATTTCCTGAATCTGAACGTTGGCCTGCCTTGCTAGATTGGGGAAGTTCTGCTGGATAATATCCTGCAGAGTGTTTTCCAACTTGGTTCCATTCTCCCCATCACTTTCAGGTACACCAATCAGATGTAGATTTGGTCTTTTCACATAGTCCCATATTTCTTGGAGGCTTTGCTCATTTCTTTTTATTCTTTTTTCTCTAAACTTCCCTTCTCGCTTCATTTCATTCATTTAATCTTCCATTGCTGATACCCTTTCTTCCAGTTGATCGCATTGGCTCCTGAGGCTTCTGCATTCTTCATATAGTTCTCGGGCCTTGGTTTTCAGCTCCATCACCTCCTTTAAGCACTTCTCTGTATTGGTTATTCTAGTTATACATTCTTCTAAATTTTTTTCAAAGCTTTCAACTTCTTTGCCTTTGGTTTGAATGTCCTCCCGTAGCTCAGAGTAATTTGATCGTCTGAAGCCTTCTTCTCTCAGCTCGTCAAAGTCATTCTCCATCCAGCTTTGTTCCGTTGCTGGTGAGGAACTGCATTCCTTTGGAGGAGGAGAGGCGCTCTGCGTTTTAGAGTTTCCAGTTTTTCTGTTCTGTTTTTTCCCCATCTTTGTGGTTTTATCTACTTTTGGTCTTTGATGATGGTGATGTACAGATGGGTTTTTGGTGTGGATGTCCTTTCTGTTTGTTAGTTTTCCTTCTAACAGACAGGACCCTCAGCTGCAGGTCTGTTGGAATACCCTGCTGTGTGAGGTGTCAGTGTGCCCCTGCTGGGGGGTGCCTCCCAGTTAGGCTGCTCGGGGGTCAGGGGTCAGGGACCCACTTGAGGAGGCAGTCTGCCCGTTCTCAGATCTCCAGCTGCGTGCTGGGAGAACCACTGCTCTCTTCAAAGCTGTCAGACAGGGACATTTAAGTCTGCAGAGGTTACTGCTGTCTTTTGGTTCGTCTGTGCTCTGCCCCCAGAGGTGGAGCCTACAGAGGCAGGCAGGCCTCCTTGAGCTGTGGTGGGCTCCACCCAGTTGGAGCTTCCCTGCTGCTTTGTTTACCTAAGCAAGCCTGGGCAATGGCGGGCGCCCCTCCCCCAGCCTCGCTGCCGCCTTGCAGTTTGATCTCAGACTGCTGTGCTAGCAATCAGCGAGATTCCGTGGGCGTAGGACCCTCCGAGCCAGGTGCGGGATGTAATCTCGTGGTGGGCTGTTTTTTTTTTTTGTTTTTTTTTTTTTTTTTTTTTGAGACGGAGTCTCGCTCTGTCGCCCAGGCCAGACTGCGGACTGCAGTGGCGCAATCTCGGCTCACTGCAAGCTCCGCTTCCCGGGTTCACGCCATTCTCCTGCCTCAGCCTCCCGAGTAGCTGGGACTACAGGCGCCCGCCACCGCGCCCGGCTAATTTTTTGTATTTTTAGTAGAGACGGGGTTTCACCTTGTTAGCCAGGATGGTCTCGATCTCCTGACCTCATGATCCACCCGCCTCGGCCTCCCAAAGTGCTGGGATTACAGGCGTGAGCCACCGCGCCTGGCCTGGGCTGTTTTTTAAGCCGGTCGGAAAAGCTCAATATTCGGGTGGGAGTGACCCGATTTTCCAGGTGCGTCCATCACCCCTTTCTTTGACTCGGAAAGGGAACTCCCTGACCCTTGCGCTTCCCAAGTGAGGCAATGCCTCGCCCTGGTTCGGCTTGCGCACGGTGCGTGCACCCACTGACCTGCGCCCACTGTCTGGCACTCCCTAGTGAGATGAACCCAGTACCTCAGATGGAAATGCAGAAATCACCGGTCTTCTGCGTCGCTCACACTGGGAGCTGTAGACGGGAGCTGTTCCTATTCGGCCATCTTGGCTCCTCCTTCTCAATCATTCTGGACTTTTTTTTGTTGGTAATTTTTAAATTACCATTTCAATCTCGCTGCTTGTTATTGGTCTGTTCAGGGGATCTAATTCTTCCTGATTTAAGCTAGGAGAGTTGTATTTTTCCAGCAGTTTATTCATTTCTTCCAGGTTTTCTAGTTTATGTGTGTAAAGATGTTCATTGTAGGTTTGAATGATCATTTGTATTTCAGTGGTGTCAGTTGTAATATCTTCTGTTTCGTTTCTTAATGAAGTTATTTGGATTTTCTCTCTTCTTGGTTGATCTTGCTAATGGTCTATCAATTTTATTTATCTTTTTGAAGAACCAGCTTTTTGTTTTATTTACCTTTGGTATTTTTTTGTTTGTTTGTTTGTTTCAATTTCATTTAGTTTTGCTCTGATCTTAGTTATTTCCTTTCTTCTGCTAGGTTTAGGTTTGGGTTTGGTTTGTTCTTGTTTTTCTAGTTCCTTGAGGTGTATCCTTATAATGTCAGTTTGTGCTCTTTCAGTCTTTTTGATGTAGGCACTTGAACTTTTTGAGCTTTTGAACTTTTGAGCTTTTGATGGAGGGCTATGAACTTTCCTCTTAGCACTGCCTTTGCTGTATTCCAGAGGTTCTGATAGGTTGTGTCATTATTGTTCAGTTCGAAGAATTCTTTGATTTCCATCTTGATTTCATGTTGACCCAATGCTTACTCAGGAGCAGGTTATTTAATTTCCATGTATTTGCACGGTTTTGAAGGTTCCTTTTGGAGTTGATTTCCAGTTTTATTTAACTGTGGTCTCAGAGAGTTCTTGATATAATTTCAATTTTCTTAAATTTATTGAGGCTCGTTTTATGGCCTATCATATGGCCTGTCTTGGAGAAAGTTCCATACACTGTTGAATAGAATGTGTATTCAGTGGTTGTTGGATAAGATGTTCTATATATTTGTTAAGTCCATTTGTTCGAAGGTATAGTTTAAATCCATTATTTCTTTGTTGACTTTCTGTCTTGATGACCTGTCTAGTGCTGTCAGTGGAGTATTGAAGTCCCCCACTATTATTGTGTTGCCATCTATCTCATTTCTTAGGTCTAGTAATACTTGTTTTATAAATTTGGGAGCTCAAGTTTTGGGTGGATATATGTTTAGGATTGTGATATTTTCCTGTTGGACAAGGGCTTTTACCATTATCTAATGTACCCCTTTGTCTCTTTTAACTGCTGTTGCTTTAAAGTTTGTTTTGTCTGATATAAGAATAGCTACCCCTCCTTGCTTTTGGTGTCCATTTGCATGAGGTATTTCATAAAGGCACCCCTGTACTTTATGAGAGTATGTGTTAGGTGAGTCTCCTGAAGGCAGCAGATGGTTGGTGAGTTGTTATCCATTTTGCAGTTCTGTATCTTTTAAGTGGAGCATTTAAGCTATTTACACTCAGTGTTAGTATTGAGATGTGAGGTACTGTTGCATTCATCATGCTATTTGTTGCCTGTGTACTTTGGTTTTTTTGTTTTTTGTTTTTGCCTTTTAACTTATATTTTTGTTTTATAGGTCCTTTGTGATTTATGCTTTTTAAAGAGGTTCTGTTTTGATGTGTTTCCAGGATTTGTTTCAGGATATAGGGCTCCTTTTAGTAGTCCTTGTGGTGGTGGCTTGGTAGTGGCAAATTCTCTCAGCATTTGTTTGTCTGAAAAAGACTGTATCTTTCCTTTATATATGATGCTTAGTTTCGCTGGATACCAAGTTCTTGGCTGGTAATTGTCTTGTTTGAGGAGACTGAAGATAGGACCCAATCCCTTCTAGCTTGTAGGGTTTCTGCTGAGAAATCTGCTGTTAATCTGATAAGTTTTCCTTGATAGGTTATCTGGTGCGTCTGTCTCACAACTCTTAAGATTCTTTCCTTTGTCTTAACTTTAGGTAACCTGATGACAGTGTGCCTAAGTGATGATCCTTTTGCAATGAATTTCCCAGGTGTTCTTTGTGCTTCTTGTATTTGGATGTCTAGGTCTCTTGCAAGGCCGGGGAAATTTTCCTTAGTTATTCCCCCAAATACATTTTCCAAACTTTCAGATTTCTCTTCTTCCTTAGGAACATCGATTATTCTTAGGTTTGGTCGTTTAACATAATCCCAGACTTCTTGGAGTCTTTGTTCATATTTTCTTATTCCTTTTTCTGTCTTTATTGGATTGGGTTAATTTGAAGGCCTTGTCTTTGAGCTCTGAATTTCTTTCTTCTACTTGTTCAATTCTATTGCTGAGACTTTCCAGAGCATTTTGCATTTCTGTGAGTGTGTCCAGTGCTTCCTGAATTTTTGATTGTTTTTTTTCTTTAAGCAATCTATTTCCTTGAATATTTCTCCCTTCACTTCTTGTATCATTTTTTGGATTTCCTTGCATTGGGCTTTGCCTTTCTCTGGTGCCTCTCTGATTAGCTTAATACCTAACCTCCTGAATTCTTTTACAGGTAAATCAAGGATTTCTTCTTGGCTTAGATCCATTGCTGGTGAACTAGTGTAATTTTTTTGGGGGGGGAGGTGTTAAAGAGCCTTGTTTTGTCATATTACCAGAGTTGGTTTTCTGGTTCCTTCTCATTTGGGTAGGCTCTGTCAGAGGGAAGGTCTAGGCGGAAGTCTGTTGTTCTGATTCTTTTGTCTCATGGGGTGTTGCTTGGATGTAGTACTCTCCCCCTTTTCCTATGGACGTGGCTTCCTATGAGCCAAACTGCAGTGATTGTTGTCTCTCTTCTGGGTCTAGCCACCCAGCAAGTCTACCCAGCTCCAAGCTGGTACCAGGGATTGTCTGCAGAGTCCTGTGATGTGAACTCCTGATCTCAGGTGATCCACCTGCCTCAGCCATCCAAAGTGCTGGGATTACAGGCATGAGCCACTGCACCTGGCCTCAGTTCTTTAACTTTATGCTCTTTCACTTAATATAATATTTTTGAGGTTCACTGTGTTGTAGCATGCATCAGTACTTCATTCCTTTTTATGACTGAATACTCTTCCATGGTACGGCTAGACCAAATTTTGTTTACTTGTTCATTAATTGATGGGCACTTGGTTTTTTCATTAGTTGATGGGCACTTGTTTTTCTTTCCCATTTTCATCTATTATGAATAATGTGGCTCTGAACATTCATATATAAAGCTTTGTGTGTACATATATTTTTCCATTTTCTTGCAAAGATTTCTATAAATAGAATAACTGGGTCATATGATGAGTTTATGTTTAACTTTTAAAGAAATTGCCAAACTATTTTCCAAAATAACCATACCATTTCTATTATGTATGAGAATTTCAGTTTTCTATGTCTTTATCAACACACTTATACATTGTTGGTGTGAGTGTAAATTAGTTCAACCATTGTGGTTGAACTTACCTATGTAACATGTACCATTAGCTATGAACAAACCTTCACATGTACCCCTGAACCTAAAATTAAAAGTTTTTTAAAAATCACGCATGGGTGTTAGATTTTGTCAATTGACTTTTGTTCATCTATGAAGATAATTATGTGGTTTTTATTCTTTATATTATTAATGTGTGTTAGATTTTTGTCAATGGATTTTTATTCATCTGTGAAGATGATTATGTGGTTTTTGTCCTTTATATTATTAATGTAATATATAATGTGATTTTCTGGTGTTAAACCACTTTTACGTTCCTGTGATTAATGCCACTTAATTATGTATATAATTCTTTTTACATATTACTGGATTCAGTTTGCTGATATTTGTTAAGAATTTTTGTTTTTGGTAGAAGGGAGATTGTACTGTAATTTTCTTGTGAAATATTTGTCATGCTTTTTTATCTGAATAGTACTAGCTTCATAGAATTAGTTGGTTAGTAAATGTTCTTTTCTCATTTATTTTCTGAAAGAGTTGTGAAGAATTGGTATTATTATTATTTTAAATATCTGATAGAATTAACTGGTGAGACCATCTGGATCTGTGGTTTTTTTTTTTTGAGGTGTGATTTTTAATAACTAACTCATTAGAAATTATTTAGATTTTCTGTTTCTTTTTGAGTCATCTTTAGTAGTTTGGTATTTCTAGGAATTTTTCCATTTCATCTAAGTTATCTAATTTGTTGTCATACAATTGTTCATAATAGTTCCTCATAATTATTTTCATTTCTTTAGTGTCAGTAGTGATGTGTTCCCTTTTTCATCCCTGGTTTTGGTAATTTGTGTCTTTCCTCTTTTTTTCTTGGTTAGTTTAGATGAAGGTTTGTGAATTTTGTTGATCTTTTCAAAGAACCAACTTTGGGTGTCACTGATTTTTTTTATTATTATTTTTCTGTGTTCTAGTCAATTAACCTGTGCTCTAATATTTATTATTTCCTTTCTTCTGCTTGCTGCAGGCTTACTCTTCCTAATTTCTTCATGTGGAAGCCTAGGTTATTGATTTGAGACCCTTTTTTGTTTTTGATACAGGTTTCTAAAATAAATTTTTCTCCAAGCATTGCTTTAGTTGAGCCCTATACATTTTGATTTGTTGTGTTTTCATTTTCATTCAACTTCAAATATTTTCTCATTTCCCATTTGATTTCTTCTTGATCCCTGAGTTACTTGGAAGTGTGGTGTTTAATTTTGAAATATTTAAGGATTTCCCTGGTTTCTTTTCTGTTGTTGATTTATAATTTAATTCAGTTCTGGTTGAACAACATACTTTGTATGATTTCTGTCATTTTAAATGTATTGAGATTTGTTTTGTGACTTGGTATTTAATTCGTTCTTGGAAATGATTAGCACTGAGAAAGAATTTGTATTTTTACAGTTACTGGGTTGAATGTTTTCTATAATCAGTTAGCTTGAGTTGGTTGATCATGTTGTTCAAGTCTTCTGTATCCTTGATGATTTTCTGCTTAGTTGTTCTATCAGTTATTGGGTGGGACTAGACATCTCCAACTATTATTTTTATTTTTATTTATTTTATTTCAATAGGCTTTTGGGGAACAGGTGGTGTTTGGTTACATGGATAAGTTCTTCAGAGGTGATTTCTGAGATTTTGGTGTACCCATCACCCAAGTAGTGTACACTATACCCAATGTGTAGTCTTTTATCCCTTACTCCCCTCCCTCTCTTCCCCCCAAGTCCCCAAAATCCATTGTATCATTCTCATGCCTTTGCGTCCTCATAGCTTAGCTCCCACCTTTAAGTGAGAACATGTGATGTTTGGGTTTCCTTTCCTGAGTTACTTCACTTAGAATAATGGTCTCCAACTGCACCCTGGTTGCTGCAAATGCTATTATTTCATTCCTTTTAATGGCTGAGTAGTATTCCATGGTGTATATATGTGTGTGTGCGCGCGTTTGTGTATATATATATATATAGAGAGAGAGAGGGCGCATTTTCTTTATTTACTTATTGATTGATGGGCATTTGGGCTGGTTCCATATTTCTGCAATTGTGAATTGTGCTGCTATAAACATGAGTGTGCAAGTGCCTTTTTCATATAATGACTTCTTTTCCTCTGGGTAGATACCCAGTAGTGGGTTTGCTGGATAATGGTAGATCTACTTTTTAGTTCTTTAAGTAATCTCCACACTGTTTTCCATAGTGGTTGTCCTAGTTCACATTCCCACCATCAGTGTAGAAGTGTTCCCTTTTCACCATATCCACACCAACATCTATCTTTTTATTTTTTAATTATGGCCATTCTTGCAGGAGTAAGGTGGTACCACATTGTGGTTTTAATTTTGCATTTCCCTGATCATTAGTGATGTTGAGCATTTTTTTCATATGTTTGTTGGCCATTTGTATATCTTCTTTTGAGAATTGTCTATTCATGTCCTTAACCCACTTTTTGATGGGATTATTTGTTTTTTTCTTGCTGATTTGTTTGAGGTCCTTGTAGTTTCTGGATATCAGTCCTTTATCAGATGCACCATTTGCAAAGCTTTTCTCCCACTCTGTGGGTTGTCTGTTTACTATGCTGATTATTTCTTTCGCTGTACAGAAGCTTTTTAGTTTAATTAAGTCCCATCTATTTATCTTTGCTTTTCTCGCATTTGCTTTTGGGTTCTTGGTCATGAAGTCTTTGCCTAAGCAAATGTGTAGAAGGGTTTTTCCAGTGTTCTAGGATTTTAATGGTTTCAGGTCTTAGATTTAAGTCTTTGATCCATCTTGAGTTGATTTTTATATAAGGTGAGAGATGAGGATCCAGTTTCATTCTCCTACGCATGGCTAGCCAATTAGCCCAGCATCATTTGTTGAATAGGATGTCCTTTCCCCGCTTTATGTTTTGCTTTCTTTGTTCAAGATCAGTTGGCTATAAGTAGTTGGGTTTATTTCTGGGTTCTCTATTCTGTTACATTGGTCTCTTTGCCTATTTTTATACCAGTGCCATGCTGTTTTGGTGACTGTGGCCTTATAGTATAGTTTGAAGTCAGGTAATGTGATGCCTCCAGATTTGTTCTTTTTGCTTAGTCTTGCTTTGGCTATGTGGGCTCTTTTTTTGGTTCCATATGAATTTTAAGATTTGTGTGTGTGTGTGGTTCTGTGAAGAATGATGGTGGTATTTTGATGGGAATTATGTTGAATTTGTAGATTGCTTTTGGCAGTGTGATCATTTCACAATATTGATTCTACTCATCCATGAGCATGGGAGGTGTTTCCATTTGTTTGTGTATGATTTCTTTCAGCAGTGTTTTGCAGTTTTCCTTGTAGAAATCTTTCACCTCCTTGGTTAGATATATTCCTAAGTATTTTATTTTATTGCAGCTATTGTAAAAGGGGTTGAGTTCTTGATTTGATTCTCTGCTGGCTCACTGTTGCTGTATAGCAGTGCTACTGATTTGTGTACATTGATTTTGTAACCTGAAACTACTGAATTCATTTATCAGATCTAGGAGCTTTTTGGATGAGTTTTTAGGGTTTTCTAGGTAGACAGTCATATCATCAGTGAACAGCAACAGTTTAACTTCCTCTTTACCAATTTGGATGTCCTTTATTTCTTTCTCTTGTTTGATTGCTCTGGCTAGGACTTCCAGCACTATGTTGAATAGAAGTGATGAAAGTGGGCATCCTTGTCTTGTTCCAGTTCTTGGGGAATGCTTTCAACTTTTTCCTGTTCAGTATAATGCCAACTGTGGGTTTCTCCTAGATGGCTTTTATTACTTTAAGGCACATCCCCTCTGTGCCGATTTTGCTGAGGGTTTTAATCATAAAGGGATGCTGGATTTTGTCAAATGCTTTTTTGGCATCCATTGAAATGATGAAGTGATTTTTGTTTTTAATTCTGTTTATGTGGTGTATCACATTTATTGACTTGCGTATGTTAAACCATCCCTGCATCACTGGTATGAAACCCACTTGGTCATGGTGGATATCTTTTTGATATGCTGTTGAATTTGGTTAGTTATATTTTGTTGAGGATTTCTGTGTCTGTGTTCATCAGGGATATTGGTCTGTAGTTTTCTTTTTTTGTTATGTCGTTTCCTGGTTTTGGTATTAGGGTTATACTGGCTTCTTATAATGATTTAAGGAGGATTCACTCTTTCTCTATCTTTTGGAATAGTTTCAATAAGATTAGTACCAATTATTCTTTGAATGTCTGATATAATTCAGCTGTGAGTTTATCTGGTCTTGGACTTTTTTTTGTTGGAAACTTTTTATTACCATTTCAATCTTGCTGCTTGTTATTGGTCTGTTCAGAGTTTCTATTTCCTCCTGGTTTGATCTAGGAGGGTTTGTATATTTCCAGGAATTTATCCATCACCTCTAGATTTTCTGGTTTGTGTGTATAAAGGTGTTCATAGTGGCCTTGAATGATCTTTTGTATTTCTCTAGTATTTTGGTTTTAATATCTCCCGATTCCTTTTTAATTGAGCTTACTTGGATCTTCTCTCTTCTTGGTTAGTCTTGGTAATGGTCTGTCAATTTTGTTTATCTTCAAAGAACTAGCTTTTTGTTTCATTTATCTTTTGTATTTTTTGTTGTTGTTGTTGTTTCAGTTTCATTTAATTGTGCTCTGATCTTGGTTATTTCTTTTCTCTTGCTGAGTTTAGGTTTGGTTTGTTCTTGTTTCTCTAGTTCCTGGAGGTTTGACCTTAGATCATCTATTTATGCTCTTTCAGACTTTTTGGTGTAGGCATTTAGTAGTATGAACTTTCCTCTTAGCACCTTTTTTGCTGTATCTCAGAGGTCTGTATATACTATTATTGTTCAGTTCAAAGAATTTTTTAATTTCCATCTTGATTTCATTGATGACCTGACAATCATTCAGGAGCAGATTATTTAATTTCCATGTATTTGCCTGGTTTTCAAGGTTCCTTTTGGAGTTGATTTCCAGTTTTATTCTACTGTGGTCTGAGAGTGTACTTGGTATAATTTTAATTTTCTTAAATTTATTGAGACTTGTTTTGTGGCCTGTCATATGGTTTATTTTGGAGAATGTTCCATGTGCTGATGAATAGAATGTATATTCTGCAGTTGTTGGGTAGAACGTTCTGTAAATATCTGTTAAGTCCATGTGTTGTAGGGTATAGTTTAAGTCCGTTGTTTCTTTGTTGACTTTCTGTCTTGATGACCTGTCTCGTGCTGTCAGTGGAGTATTGAAGTACACCACTATTATTGCGTTGCCGTCTATCTCATTTCTTAGGTCTAGTAGTAATTGTTTTATAAATTTGGGAGCTCCAGTGTTAGGTGCATATATATTTAGGATTGTGATATTTTCCTGTTGGACTAGTGCTTTTATCATTATATAATGTCCGTCTTTGCTTTTTAAACTATTGTTGCTTTAAAGTCCGTTTTGTCTGATATAATAGCTACTCCTGCTCACTTTTGGTGTCCATTTGCATGGAATACCTTTTTCCGCCCCTTTACCTTAAGTTTATGTGAGTCCTTATGTGTTAGATGAGTCTCTTTAAGACAGCGGACTTGGTTGGTGGATTCTTTTTTTTGAGACAGAGTTTCGCTCCTGTTGCCCAGGCTGGAGTGCAATGGCGCGATCTTGGCTCACCGCAACGTCCGTCTCCCAGGTTCAAGTGATTCTCCTGTGTCAGCCTCCCGAGTAGCTGGGACTACAGGCATCCACCACCATGCCCAGCTAATTTTTGTATTTTTAGTAGAGACAGGGTCACCATGTTGGCCAGGCTGGTCTCAAACTCCTGACCTCGTGATCTGCCTGCCTCGGCCTCCCAAAGTGCTGAGATTACAGGTGTGAGTCACCGCACCTAGCCCTCTTACATTCAGTGTTATTACTGAGATGTGAGTGAGGTACTATTCTATTCATCATGCTAGTTGTAGCCTGAATACCTTGTTTTTTATTTTTCATTGTGTTATTGTTTTATAGGCCCTGTGAGATTTTTTTCTTTAAGGAGGTTCTATTTTGGTGTATTTCAAGGTTTTGTTTCAAGATTTAGGACTCCTTCTACAGTTATTGTAGTGCTGGCTTGGTGGTGGCGAATTCTCTCAGCATCTGTTTATCTGAAAAGAACTTTATCTTTCCTTCATTTATGAAGCTTAGTTTCACTGGATACAAAATTCTTGGCTGATAATTATTTTTTTTAAGGAGGCTATCGATAGGACCCCAGTCCCTTCTAGTTTGTAGGGTTTCTGCTGAGAAATCTGCTGTTAATCTGGTAGGTTTTCCTTTATAGCTTACCTGATGCTTGTGCCTCACAGCTCTTAAGATTCTTTCCTTCATCTTGACTTTAGATAATCTGATGACTAAATGCATAGGTGATGATCTTTTTGTGATGAATTTTCTGGCTGTTCTTTGAGCTTCTTGTATTTGGATGTCTAGGTCTCTTGCAAGGCCGGGGAAGTTTTCCTTGATTATTCCTTCAAATAAGTTTTCCAAACTTTTAGATTTATCTTCTTCCTTGGGAACACCAGTTATTCTTAGGTTTGGTCATTTAGCATAATCTCAAACTTCTTGGTACCACCCAGTTGGTAGTTTTTTTATCCTCATCCTCTCCCACCCTACACCCTCAAGTAGGCTCCAGTGCCTATTGTTCCCTTCTTTGTGACCATGTGCACTCAATGTTTAGCTTCCCTTATAAGTGAAAACATGCAGTATTTGGTTTTCTGTCCCTGTGTTAATTTGCTTAGGATAATGGCCTCCAGCTCTATCGATGTTGCTGCAATGGACATAATCTCATTCATTTTTATGGCTGCATAGTATTCCATGGTGTATATGTACTACGTTTTCTTCATCCAGTCCACTGTTGTTGGGTATCTAGGTTGATTCCATGTCTTTGCTATTGTGTGTAGTGGTGCAGTGAACATAGGAGGGCCTGTGTCTTTATGGTAGAACTGTTAGTCCAAACTGTACCATTTTGTAAGCCCCTTGTCATTTCATAGACCTTGATCAAAGTGAAACATTCCTTGGGGGACTGGGCCGTGAGAAACATCCTGCCCGACTGCCTGACTTTCTTATCACATTCTGCTGGGAAAAAGTCCAAGGAACATCACTGTCACATCCTGCCAGAACAAGGGCCAAACCACCTCATCATGGGAACATCTTATCAACATCCTCCCGGGCAGCAAGCCATAACCCTCAGACCCCTCCCTCCCAGGCCTAAAATTGCCCCAGCCTGTAAGCAGAGGTGGGCCCTGGCATTAAGCTGGTGCCCCGCCTCTGCAGGTCTTATGCTGGACATAAAACCTGCATTGCTGTAGAGCCGCCAACTCTCTCTCAGTCTTTCTTTAATCCTCGCCTTCTCATCAAAACCTAAGAAGAACAATTCATATTCCTTCGGGTTCGTATTTAGTAATGGGATTGCTGGATTGAATGGTAGTTCTGAGGTCTTTGAGAAATCTCCAAACTGCTTTCCACAGTGGCTGAACTAATTTGCATTCCCAACAGCAGTGTGTAAGCATTCCCTTTTCTCTGCAACCTCACCAGCATCTGTTACTTTTTGACTTTTTAATAATAGCTATTCTGACTGGTACAAGATGGTACCAAGCATATGAAAAAATGGTCAACATCACTAATCATTAGAGAAATGCAAATCGAAACCACAATGAGATACAATTTCACACCAGTCAGAATGACTATTTTTATGCTTTCAACAGTTTCACTCTGATGTGTATATATTTGAATATTTTTGTATTTATTCTGCTTGAGACTTTTTGAGCCTCTTGGGTACATAAATTAATGTTTTTTCTAAATCAAACTTATGAGGTTTTCAGCCATGGTTTCTTCTTATGTTCTTTTTCCCCTTTGTGTCTCTCTTTTCCTATGAAAACTCCTATCATCCAAAATGTTGGTACCCTTGGTCATGTTACACAGGTCTCCAAAGCACTGTTCATTTTTCTTCCTTCTTTTTTTATTTTCATCAGCTGGTTTATCTCAGTAGATCTACAAGTTTTCTTATTCTTTCATCTGCCTGTGCAAGTCTGCTATTGAACTTTTTCTGGTGAATTTTTCATTCCAGTCATTGCACTTTGCAAATCTAGAATTTCTATTTGGTTTCTTAAAAAAAAAAATCATTTCTGTCACTTTATTGGTAGTCTCATAAGACATCTTGTTGTACTTCCCTTTAAATTAAATATTTTAGTTTCCTTTAGTTCTTTGAACATATTTATATTAGCTGACTTAAAGTTTTTGCCAGTAAGTTCAACATCTGGGCTTCCTCAGGAATAAATTCTATTGACTACTTTTTTTCCCCCATAGATGGGTCATAGTTAAGTATTTCTTTGTGTGTCTCATAATTATTTTGTCAGAAACATTATATTTTAAATATTATAATGTGACAACACTGGTAATCAGACCTTCCCTTTCCCTATCCCTGGGGTTTGTTGTTTTTGTTGTTGTTTGTGACCTTCCTGGACTATTTCTGTAGTCTTTATTCTGTATCTTGTATAGACACTGAAGTCTTTGTTTGATTAGCTGAGTCACAAATAATAATTTGACAGATTTTCTTAAATGCTTTAAACCAGTATGTCTCCCATCATTTTCCAACGGGTGCTGTGTATGTTGGGGCGTGCTTTCCATGCCCCGGGAGTTCACAGCTCTGCCTTAGCCTTCACTTCCTGCTTTGTGCAGAGCCTCAGAGTCAAGCAAAGGTTAGAGAGCGGAGCTCTGTCAGGTCTTTAGTGGCTGTTTGCTTAGCCCTGCACATGCACATGACCTTCTGTATCCCCAGAAATATTTTAGAAATTTTCAAAGCCCCCTAAGGACATCTCATTTCTCAAATTTTCCTTTTAAGTTTTTTGGCCAGCCTCTTGTTTGCCCCTGCTAAAATTGCTGCTTCTGGCAGCTGCAAGATTAACCAAATACTACTGATTTTTTTGGACAAACTCCCTGGGCATAGGGCTTTTCATGCTGAATGAGCTCTTGAGTCAGGTGAAGTAAAGATTAGCCTGTGAATAGGGCTTTTCTAGGAGCACCAGACAGGTCACATAGTGACAGTTCTCTGGGGATGAGATTTTGGCCCAGAGCTGCTTTTGTAGCTAGGCTGCTGGCATTCACAGTTACTGTGGTTCTGAGGCTGCTGGTTTCCAAGACTGCTATGGAACTGGGAAGAGGTGCATGGAAATTGAGAATGAGTAGGTTAAAACACCAGAAACTTCACCATTTTTACTAAGATTCAGCTACTTTTCTTAAATAGATGTTCAGGATTGTTGCAAATCTTTGATTAATTTTTTAGAGTTCTGCAAAAGTTGATTTTGACAATTTTGCCAGTGTTCTAATTGCTTTGTGATGAAATGAATTTTTAGAAATCCCTCATCCACCATTCCAGAAGTGCCTCTCAATCTGCCTGTGCTTTTAATCCCTATGCATATTGCCTCTCTATTTGATATCTAAATAATGGCCTATAAATATTTATTGGCAGCCATGAAAGTCCACTGTTTGATTTCATTGAGAGCTGCTTGCGAAATAAACATGAAATGGTTATTTATGAAGCTGCTTCAGCTATCATCCATCTTCCTAACTGCACTGCAAGAGAGTTGGCACCTGCTGTTTCAGGTTTGTTTTATATTTGATGGCTGGCTTTTATGTTCCTAAGTTTTTGCTTTAAGTTTCATAGGTCTACAGAATAGGTATTAAGAATGTTTTCTGAACACTAGCTCTGTGTATATATAGCCTTTGCATTCTGATAGCTTATATGTAGATAGTTTATTTTAGTTGTTCCTTACTTTATTACTTTTTTTAATGTTTCTATTTCTCCATATAAAACTTTTGAAAGAATTTTATTTATATGTACATAGTTTATTAATAATAGTTCTTTATTGCTTTTTTTTAAAGTTTCTGTTTCCTCGTATGAAACTTTTGAAAACATTTTACAGTTTTCCTTGGTGTTTAAAAAGCCCATTTGTTTTCAGAACTGTCAATATTTCTACCATTTAGTTCAGGTATTAATGGGTATTCTAATTTTTTTTTAAAAAGAGCAAACTTTGTTTCTTATTTAAGTTTTTATAACTGACCAAAAGTGCTTTTTCTTTTTTTTTTTTCTTTTTTTTTTTTTTTTTTGAGACGGAGTCTCACTCTGTCACTGAGGCAGGAGTGCAGTGGCACGATAGCTCGGCTCACTGCAAGCTCTGCCTCCTGGGTTCACGCCATGCTTCTGCCTCAGCCTCCCGAGTAGCTGGGACTACAGGCGCCCCAAAAGTGCTTTTTCTATTTTGATGTTACATTTTTCATGTAAATTTTTGATGCTGTGATAAAATGTATGCATATTTTGAATGTGATTCATTATGTACTATATTTTCAGCTATATGGTATATGATGAGATAAGGAATATTCACAGCATATATAGGTAATAGTCACTGTATCTATATCTGTATTTTACTTCTTCAACTTTTCTATAGTTCTCTTAAGCCAGGAGTATTCACGGTATGTATATGTAATATTACTTAATGTTACATATTATTATTATTATTTTTTTTTAGTTCTTCAACTTTTCTGTAGTTCTCCTAAGCCAGCCTTGAGATATGCAGCTGTGAGGACCTTGAACAAGGTAGGTGTTTCTTTGCTAATTATTGACTTATATCAGTATTTAATTGAGAAACATTAAATGTGAAGCATTTGGTTTTCTCTCCAAGGTTAGTATATGTGATTTATGGGCTTCACCTCTACAACACTTCACTTGTATTTGTGGCCTTGAGTATGCTCATTTTTATTATTATTTAGCTGAAGATTATAACTCATTTCTGACTTCTAAGCATTTTATATTCAAGAGCCACACTGTCCAATATGGTGGCCATTAGCCACCAGTGGCTATTTCAATTTAAATTAATTAAAATAAAAAATTCAACCCTCAGTCACATGAGTCACACTTCTTGTACTCACAGCCACATGTGGTCAGTGGCTGTTGGACAGTGCAGATCTTGAACATTTCTGTCATTGAAGAAAGTTCTCTTGCACAGTGCTGGTCTACAGCAGCCCTGTCCAGTAGAAACCCACTGTGAATCACATATGTAATATTAAATTTCATAATAACCACATTAAAATTTTTAAGGTAAAATTAATTTTAATAGTATATTTTATCATAATACATATAATATGTCATCTCAACATGTAATAGATATTTTTACATATCTCAAGTTTTTGACATCCAGTATATTTACATTTACAGCATACTCAGTTTGGATTAGCCACCTTTCAAATGCCTGGTAGTCACATGTTGCTGTTGGCTATGTTATTAGACAGTATAGATTTAGAGGATATAATACAGAAACACAGAATAAATTAAATAAGCATAGAAAATGTAAATGAAAGTTAAATGTAATAGAAGACTTGTCATAGGCAATACATAATTATAAATTAATTGTGTAAACAGTCGAAGAAAAGAGAAGTTTAGAGCAGCCATGGAAGAAACCTTTATAGAACAACAATTTAAATGGTTTTTTATTTATTTATTTTTTTTGGAGACAGAGTCTCACTTTGTCTCCCAGGCTAGAGTGCAGTGGCACGATCTTGGCACACTGCAACCTCCGCCTCCCAGGTTCAAGCGATTCTCATGCCTCAGCCTCCCAAATAGCAGGGATCACAGGCACCTGCCACCACGTCCGGCTAATTTTTGTATTTTTAGTAGAGACAGGGTTTCGCCATGTTGGCCAGGCTGCTCTCAAACTCGTGACCTCAGGTGATCTGCCCACCTCGGCCTCCCAGAGTGCTGGGATTGCAGGTATGAGCCACCAAGCCTGGCCTAAATTGTTTTTAAAGAGTTGATACAGGTCTACAATCCCTCATCTCTAATCTTGGGGCCAGATGTGTCTCAGAATTTGCTTTTAGTTAAATTTTAGAAAGGTTATATGGTGTTATCTCTTATTTACTAACCCCAGTGGGCCTGGGGCAGCATCCCACCATTAAAAAACATTAATATTTTTGCACAAAACATATGACTATCCTTGTCAAGTGGTATAAATTAAGAATTAAAGAGTTTCGCATTAGTTTGGGTCATGTTTTGCTGTTAAATGGATTTTCATCCCAGTGCTCTGCTTTCCAGAGTGTTTTCAGATTTTCCAAATTGTGGGTAAGGGATTCCATACCAATATTGGGATAGACAAAGAGGTGGGACAACATCAACAAAAACAAGGATGCAGGAGAATGGCAGACCATGTAGTAACCATAGATAATGCAGTTTGGCTGGAGTTTGCGTCTTGAAATGCAGCAGTATTTTTTAACTGATAAGATATTAACAGTCTTTGTCGAGCACTGACTACTATGCTAGATCCTGTTGTCAGTACTCCTAACATCTAATAGAATAGACGTATATGAACACACGTACTATAAGGAAATACAGGCCAATTATAATTTTTTAAAAATGGTAATGTTAGAAAGGTTAGAGGAACCTAACAAAAGAGAGTACGATGCTATACTCTGGCCGTTGATCATTTATTAAAAGATATACCTTGTTAACTGGAGCCATTCTTTTTGTTTTTGAAGCAATTACTTTTAACTTATCCTGTCCTCTTTGGATTGCCACTTACCTCAATTAAAATTTAAGTTCTGGCCTTTATCAAAAGCAATTTGCTTAATTTTTTTTCTTGCCCTTCCACAAGGTGGCAATGAAGCACCCCTCTGCTGTTACTGCCTGCAATCTGGACTTAGAAAACTTAATCACAGACTCAAACAGAAGCATTGCTACCTTAGCCATTACTACACTCCTCAAAACAGGAAGTGAGAGCAGTGTGGACCGGCTCATGAAGCAGATATCTTCTTTTGTGTCTGAAATCTCAGATGAGTTCAAGGTAAGAGTTTAAACATGATCATATTTTCTCCCAGTCTGTTGGCTGCCTATTTATTTTCTTAACGGTATCATTTGAGAAGCAGAAGTTTTAAATTTTTATGAAGTCTAATTTATCAATTTTTTTCTTTCATAGTTATTACTGTTCCCTAAGAAACCTTTATCTACTTGTTTTCTCATGCTTTAGGCTAAATGCTTTATGGTTTTAGATTTTACATTTTAGGCAATGATCCAACTTGAATTACTGTTTGTTTGGTAAGTTCAGTATTTTTTCCATACCTATATCTACTGTATTCCACCATAATTTGTTGGAAAGACTTCCTTTTCCCTGTTGGAGTGCTTTGGCACCTTTGTCTACAAAGCAAATACCCATATATTTTAGGTATATTTTTGGGCTTTGTATTATGTTACTGAACTGTTTGTCAATCCAGTACCAGTACCACACTAATATTGATTAATGTAGCATTATGGTACCTCTTAAGTAGTGCGGTCTTCCAACTTTTTCTTTTTTAATATTCTGGTTCCTTTGCATTTCCTATGAAATTTAGGACCAATTTATCAATTTCTACTAAACAAGCCTGCTAGGATTATGACTGGGATTGTGTTGAATCTATAAATCAATTTGGGGAGAACTGACATCTTAACATTATTTTTCTATTTCATGAATATGGTATATCTCTCCCTTTAGATCTTCTTTAATTTCTCTGAGCAGTGTTTTGTAGTGTTTACTCTAGAGGTCTTGCAAATCTGTTGTTAAATTTATATCTAAATATTTTATGCTTTTGATATTTTATTAAAATTTTTATTTTATTGTTTACTATTAATGAAAAACTTTTAAAAAATACTTCTCCATATTAACTTGGTATCCTGTAACCTTGCTGAGTACTTTTACTGGTTCTAGTCATCATTATACGTATTCCTTGAGATTATCTATATAAATAATTGTGCCATTTGTGAATAGAGGCAGTTTTACTTCTTTATATCCAATCCAAATGCCTTTCCTTTGTTTTTCTTGCCTAATTAAAAAAGTACTTCCAGAACAGGGTTGAATAGAACTGGTGAGAGTATGTCAGAGATGATTTTAAAAAAATAAATAAATAAATTTCAGTTAAAAGAATAAAAGTAGAAACATTTTATTGCTTCATTCTTTTTTTATACTCAGTCAAGTAATATAACTAACCCTATTTACTCTCTACTTAGTATGCATCCAGACTTTTAAAAAACAAACTTTACCCATGTATTCAAGCAGACAGTTTTGTGCATCTGGTGTAGCAGTTGCTGTTCTAGTTTTTTCAAATTGCATTTGTAGGAGTGAGTTTTTTGCTAAAGACGTGTATTTGTTATTAAGATACCTTGGCTTTGATTTTGAGTGCCTGTGGTAGTGGGATCTTCGTATGACCTCTTGAGCAGTACACAGGGTCAGTGGTCTCTATGATTCCTCAGTGACTTAGGGTACAGGCATTAGTTGAGGTTGTGGTGAAGTTTAGCTGGGGATCTGGACACATAGTCAGTCAGTCTTTGGGCTCCAGTAGTGGCAGCAGTACACCAAATGTGCCTATTTTTAGGCCCAGCTTACACTGGCTCCAGTGTTTGTGGGTACTAGAGGGCTATCCTTGGGCCTCAAGGTGGCTTGCTAGAAAGAGATACTGAGAGCAGTGAGCTCAGTGTGTGAGTGGGTTCTCCGGCCCCTGGCAGCTGGGGTGGTGTGGGTGATGGGCAGTAGTGATGTTGGAGCAACCTACAGGGACACAAGCAGTCTTATGTTGGTGTTGGCAGAAGCTGCAATGGGTTGGGTAGGCTGCATTTTCCGCATTTTCTTTAGGATTTTTAGTCTTTTGTTTCCTTAATTTTTTTGTATATTCAGGATATTAGCTCTTTATCTGTGAAAGATGTTATGAATATCTTCTCCCGGTTTGTCATTTGTCTTTTGACTTTTCTTATGATGTCTTTGGACATGCAAAAGTGTTATTTTTTTTAGGTAGTCATATTTGCCAACCTTTTATTTTATTTGACTTTGAATTCATAATTAAAAATTATATTCCCTTCAAATTTTAGAGTAATTCACTCATGTTCTCTTCTAATACATTTATAGTTTCATATTTTACATTTAGATCTCTGGTCCATTGAATTTTTTTATTATATATGCTATAAACAGATTCAATCTTATCCTTTTCCATTGACTACACAGTTAGTTGCCCCCCAAAATTCTATTTAAAGCCAGGTGTGGTAGCTCACACCTTTAATCCCAGCACTTTGGGAGGCCAAGGCAGGGGCATCGCTTGAGTCCAGGAGTTCAAGACCAGCCTGGGCAACATAGTGAGACCCTGTCTCTACAAAAAAATACAAAAATTAGTCAGACATGGTGGTGCACACCTATAATCCCAGTTACTTGGGAGGCTGAGGTGGGAGGATCACTTGAGCCTGGGAGGTTGGGGCTGCAGTGAGCTGTGATCATATTGCACTCTGTCCTGGGCAACAGAGCAAGATCTTCTGTATTAGTATGTTGTCACACTACTATAAAGAAACACCTGAGACTGTGTAATTTATAAAGAAAAGAGGTTTAATTGGCTCACAGTTCTGCAGGCTGAACAGGAAGCATGGCAGCATCTGCTTCTGGGGCAGCCTCAGGGAGCTTTTACTCACAGTGGAAGGCAAAACAGGAGCAGACGTCTTACATGGCAGGAGCATGACCAAGGGGGGTGTGGAGGAGTGTTACACACTTTTAAATGACCAGATCTCACAAGAACTTACTATCACAAGAACAGCACCAGCAGGGAAATCCGCCCCCATGATCCAGTCACCTCCCACCAGGCCCCACCTCCAACACTGGCGATTACAATTCAACATGAGATTTGGTTGGGGGCACAGATCCAAACCACATTACCTTATCTAAAAAAAAATTATTTTAATTTTTTCTGTAGACGGGAAAGCTGAAAGAAAATTTTTAAGACCGTCTTTGCCCCAGTAATTTCAGACATCATCTTTATCATATGTACTTGAGTTTGTATGTTCATACAAACTCAAAAAAGTTGCGTATGTACTTGAGTCTGTTTCTGGAGTGTCTTTTCTACTTATATATTGGTCTGTTTATTCATATACTACTGCTATACTCTGTTCTAAATATAGAAGCTTTGTAGGATGCTTAGCCCTCCATCATAGTTCTTTATTTTCATTGTTTTCCTGGCTATTCTTGCATGATTTTTTTTTTTTTTTTTTTTTGAGATGGAGTTTCATTCTTGCTGCCCAGGCTGGAGTGCAACGGCGTGATCTCTGCTCACTCTGCAACCTCCCCCTCCCAGGTTCAAGCGATTCTCCTGCCTCAGCCTCCCAAGTAGCTGGGATTACAGGCACCCGCCACCCGCCACCATGCCCAGCTAATTTTTTATATCTTTAGTGGAGACGAGGTTTCACCACGTTGGCCAGGCTGTTCTCGAGCTCCTGACCTCAGGTGATCCACCCGCCTCGACCTCCCAAAGTGCTGGAATTACAGGCATGAGCCACCATGCCCAGCCACATGTTTATTTTTCTAATGAACTTTAGTATCAAGTTGTCTAGCTTCATAAAAAACCCTGTTGACATTTTCTGTTGGGATCACGTTAAATTCATAAGTTAGGGGAGAATACATATCCTGATGATGTTGGAACATCCTAAGAACAAGGATGTCTTTTAATTTGTTCAAATCTGCTTTTATGCCTTTCAAGAATGTTTTATAAAAAATATTTTTATATTAGTTTTGAATGGTTTTAAAATGCTTATTTCTAAATAACTTACCTTTTTCATTGCTATTATAAATGTTTTTTATTCCATTTTATCTTCTACCTGGTTATCATTTATGTATATGAATATTACTGGTTTTGCATGTTAATTTTATATCCTGCTACCTTGGTGAATTATCGAGTTAGTTTTATTATTCATTCTCTAGGGTTTTCATATATACCATCATGTCATCTAAAAATAAAGATATTTTTGTTTGTTTTGTCTTCTCCGATTCTTGTTTCTTTGTTTTCCCTTATCTAATTGCATTGGCTAATATCTCCAGAATAATGCTAAATAATTGTGGAGATAGTGGCATCCTTGCATCACTTCTGACCTCAATGGGAATGCCTTTCAGGGTTCCATATTAAGTAATATGCTGTCATTAGGATTGAAGTATATATGTTTATGTTATGGACATATCCATCTGTTCCTTTTTTTTTCAAGAATGTTTATTAGGAATGGATGTTGGATTTTATCAAAGCCTTTTCAGCATTTTGGATATAATCCTTTGACTCATGAATGTGATGTTATTTTATCAATTTTCTAATGCTGAACCATCTTTACATTCTTGATAAAACCCATTTCATCATGGTGCATTATTTCTTTAAGGTAGTGTTAGAATCTATTAACTAATATATTTCTTAGAATTTTTACATCGGTATTTATAAATGATTTTAGTCTGTAATTTTTCTTTCTGTACATATATACCATCTTTATTAGGCTTAAGTATCATTGCTTCATACAAACATTATGGAGATTTTCTTTCATTTTCTATGCTCTGAAACTGTATATATGGATTTGGGGTTATCCGATTGTTGGTAGACAATTCTAAATTCTCCATGAGTCTCTTCTCATTTCTGCACATCTTGCAAGTTAGGCGCTAACTGCCCTCTGTTTCCTGCTACCATAACTGTATTCCCTTTCTATAATACAAGACATCTTCTAGCCTTAGAAGATAGAGATCATGTCTCCCTCTAAAGGAAAGGGAAGATTTCCTTGCAGCCCCAGGAAATACTAATAGTATTTAGAGCAAAAAGCCCTCTGGAGCAAAAAGTAAACATGTTTATGGTCCAATATAATAATGTTTTCCTTCGGAAAAAAGGACAGGCATACTTACTCCCCACTGTAAAATGTTCAGGTTCCATCCTTAGGGTTCTTATTCAGTAATGCAGCCTACTGCAAGACCAGGTATTATCTGGCTCTCTTTGCATTGCACTTTGGGAATTGGGGCTCAGGAGACCCACCCCAAAATGCTCACACTCTGGCTACTGCTACTGCTGTGAGTAGTTAACTGTCTTTCATCGCTGAGCCAGGAGTCTCTTGTTTTCTACCAGCATCCATGAAATTGTGACAGGTTAACTTGTTAGCCACAAGCAGGGTAAAATCTCACGTTCTTCACACATCTTGACACTGGTCTTTATTTTTATTTTATTTTATTTTATTTATTTTTTGAGACAGAGTCTCTCTCTGTCACCCAGGCTGGAGTGCAGTGGTGCGATCTCAACTGACTGCAACCTCCGCCTCCCAGGTTCAACCAATTCTCATGTCTCAGGCTCTCCGAGTAGCTGGGACTGCAGGCCCACGCCACCACACCTGGCTAATATTTGTATTTTTTTAGTAGAAACGGTATTTCACCATATTGGTCAGGCTGGTCTCGAACTCCTGACCTTTGGTGATCCACCCACCTTAGCCTCCCACAGTGCTGGGATTACAGGCATTAGCCACCGTGCCTGGCTGACACTGGTCTTTAAAATTGTGGTAAAATTCCCCTAGAAACCATTTTGTGAAGTAGTTCCTTGATAGCTTTCTCTATTCTTCTATGGAAGTCAGTCTGTTCAAGCTTTTTATCTTTATGGTTCACTTTAAAATCTTTGATGTGATCATTTGTCTGAGACAGAGGGAAGGGATCTGTTGAATGAACTTTATTTTTACATTGCTTTGTATTTTCCTTTGTGGTCTCCTTGGTTATCTTCCATGAAGAACAATTATTGTCATTTTAGGCAACTACAGGATCTTCTTAGCTTGTAGTAAGTAGGAAAGTATGTTTAGTAGCCATAATTATAAAGATGAATGTCTTTTCTCTGTTTGCTTTTTATAGGTGGTAGTTGTACAGTCATAAAAATGAATATTCTTTTTGTTTTTCTACAGGTGGTGGTTGTACAGGCAATTAGTGCTCTCTGTCAGAAATACCCTCGAAAGCACAGTGTCATGATGACTTTCCTCTCCAACATGCTCCGAGATGATGTAGGTAGACTACTTTTTAATCATAGGAAGTTGCTGTCTTAAATTCTTAGGATTGCCATGAAATACCATAGTGTTTTAAGATTTCCTTATCATCTCAGTATGCCTCTCAAGTAGTACACTAAGTCTGGTTACTGTCTTATTACTAAACATGCCATTGCTTTGCTTTCCCCACTTGGAGAAAAAACACTTTTGCTTCTTTCATAAAAGGTGGGAAATGAAATTTGAATATTATAAGCATAAACCTTGGAGTGTAAGCATTTCTCCAAAATGTGTCCCTAGAATGAATGGCAGTTTTATCTTCTTTTTTGCCAGGGAGGCTTTGAGTACAAGCGGGCCATTGTGGACTGTATAATCAGCATTGTGGAAGAGAACCCTGAGAGTAAAGAAGCAGGCCTAGCCCACCTTTGTGAATTCATTGAGGACTGTGAACACACTGTTCTGGCTACTAAGATTCTACACTTGTTGGGCAAAGAGGGCCCTAGAACGCCTGTCCCCTCCAAATATATCCGTTTTATTTTTAATAGGGTTGTCCTGGAGAATGAGGCTGTCAGAGCTGGTGAGTCATTGGGACACTGATATTGACGATGCTGATCTTTTGAAATACTTAAGAGAGTGATAATGAAATTGGAAAATGAAGTTGCAGGATTTATTGGATGGTGGGATTTTAGAGCATGCTTAGGGCCCAGATATCTTTCTTTGTACTCAATTTCCACCCTCATTTTTGCCTTAGATTAGACAAATAACCCTTCGCTTTCAGTAAGATAGGAATACTATGATGGCTCATCCGTTTTTTCAGTTATAGCCGTAAGCATGAATGTTTGTAGAATTTGTTTATGTGTTTCTATATATATATTTTTAAGCGACTTTTCCTCCCTAATCTTTCTTTCCCTTAGCATATGAATAGATCCAAATCTCTCCCATTAAAGATGTAAACTGTCTATGAGCTTTTCACTAGCTACTGACTCTATACTTTCCTTCCCCTCGGAGATAAACTTGAAGTAGCCGTTATTAGCTGCCTGCATGAATTCATTATCCATTTTTCTCTTTAACTCAGAATAATGTAGCTCTCCCTTAAAAATCCTCAAGTAATTTTATTGAAAATTACTTATAAACTAGTTGTAAAATCAAGTTAGATACTTTAATGTTCTTACCTTTGTTTACACTCAGTCCACTTGATGTGCTATTGACTGAACACTTCGTGAAACCCCATAGCCTTGGTTTCCACAATAGCCTACATGTTTCCATCACTCCTCACTCTTATTTACAGAGCTCCTCTTTCCAGCACCATTCCTTAAAATATTAGTTCTCTGTAAGATTTTGACTTCTCAACATCTACATTCCTCTTGGTGATCATTTTCAGAGCTCTGCTAATAGGCTGTGACATTCCAGTCATGTCTCTTTCCTGAACTTGTTTGTCCAAATAACTTAAAGCACTTCAAACTCAACCTGAAATTCAAACTAACCTCACATTCATCATCCACTCAGTTATCAAGATAGAATCTTGTTCTGCTGCCTTACAGCCCCTATCTGTTCTTTAGCAAAGCGCTTTCAATTGTGTCTCCTTAATATTTCTTCATTCTCTTCTATTTTCTTGGTGCTGATTGAGGCTGTCATCCGTTTCAGATCCCTAGCTATCTGACTGCTTCTAGACTCACATATATCCTGCCTATTCTTTACACTCTGCTAAAAAAAAAAGAAAAGGCGGGGGGGACTTTCAAATGTACAAATTTATCTCATATTTAATATCCTTTAATAATAATGTTGAGATTAAACCATACCCTAATTTTGTTTTATTGCCAGTCTCTCCCTTGTCTCTTCTTGCTCTCCAACATGGGTCCTTTGCTCAGCCTTGCCCAACTGTCCAGTAATACACCACACTTTCTTCTCTGGGCAGGGGCCATTCGAACGTGTTATTTTCTCTGCCTCTAATACTCTTATCCTGCCTTTTTCCTCTGGCTAACAGTACTTGGTCTTCAGATTTTAGCTCAAGTAATATGTATTAACTCTTTGTCTTAGTTTTCCACCACCAATTCGGATTTAGTTCCTTTCTGTGTATTCACATAGCATCCTGGATATATTTCTTCCATGGACTTACCTATGATGTCTTGTAATTGTCTCTCTACATACCTATCTTTCCCACTAGAGTGTAGCTCCTTGAGATCAGGGACATGTCTTTTATCTGTCCCAGTACCTAGCACAATTCCTGACAAAAGTTTGGTGAACAATGAATCTTTGTTGAATGAGAGGAATTTTAATAATAGAATTTCTTTTTATGCTTGGGGCTGGTTGTTTGAGATTAGAGCTTAATGACATCAGTGTGATATATAAGGGGTTGTGGTGGGGTGGAGATATAGCTCCTACAGAAAATCTATATGAATCTTTTTCCTCAATTTTTGGAAGATTTTCCTATTCAGAGCTCTCTTGGGCTTGCAGAATTCTATTTATGCTTAACAGTATCAAAGAAATAAGATCAAGAAACACTCAATAAAACAAGGGAGTTTATCTCCACTGAACATGGGGACACTTTTCTAATTTTTTTTCAAATGGTTATTGGTTAACTCTGAGAAACCAATATTTATGTACCATAATTGTATGCTTCATTATAGCTGCTGTGAGTGCTTTGGCTAAATTTGGGGCTCAGAATGAGAGTCTTCTCCCAAGCATCCTTGTACTCTTACAGAGGTAAGTTAAATAATGTCTTTTCTAAAAAAAAATAAGAATTCTATATGGTTAAACAGTGAAATCCTCATTCTACCATAGGGCGGATGCACTCTAAGCCCTAAGAGTAGAGTTATTGGAGCAAGTCAGGGGCAAATGGCAATTCCTTTCTCTTTTTAGTAATTATGTATACCTCCCAATCAATTTGATGTGCTATTGACTGATCACTTCATGAAAGCCCCTAGCCTTGGTTTACACAATAGCCTACATGTTTCCATCACTCCTCACTCTTATTTATAGAGCTTCTCTTCCCAGCCCCATTCCCTAAAATATTAGTTCTCCATAGGGTTTTATTTGCTAGGTACATGTCACATTTGATTTTGGCTTTCTCTCACATGATTTTGAGAAAGTGACTTAAATACATTTGCCTCAATTTGTACAACAGGGGCTTACTTAAAAAAACTGTTAGGTAATTCACTATGCAGAGTTAAAAATAATAGTTTTTCATTGTCTTCATGACTCTATTTGATGAGGAAAAGACTTGCTTTAGCAAACTGTGATTGCATCTTATAATTGAAGCAGATAAATTACAAGCCAAAGGTTGGCTAGTTTACGTAAAACAAATTGTCATTTGAGCAAAAACAGTGGCTGGATTTTGAATTTATCTTTTCAGTATCCTTGGAGAGTATAATACTCCCATTTCCTAATTACAGAGAAGTCTAAGTCTTCAACAGGGTCATGTAGTTACAGATGGAAGAAAAGACTCCAGACTGCTATTTCATGTTCTTGTGCTCCTCGTTATTTTAATGCCTACTTATGTAGTGCTTGTGATTCACAGTAGCAGTATTTCTTTAGTAATTCAGAGCAGTACCCAAGATTTGTGAAGACTTTAGGAGCCACTGTTGGCTATTGTTGAGCACTTTTTTAAAGGTAGTATCAGATGACGACCTGAGCTGTGTCCTTTAGATTTGGTAGTAGAGCTATTGGAAGTCTTTGGGGTACTGTGACATGACTATTCTGTTTCCCCTGGACAGGTGTATGATGGATACTGATGACGAGGTACGAGACAGAGCTACCTTCTATCTGAATGTGCTGCAGCAGAGGCAGATGGCACTAAATGCCACATATATCTTTAATGGTCAGTGAAAGCCAAGGATGTACACTTTTGTTCCTCAAATGGTGTCTTGGAAGCATATTTTATGATTTGCATATGAGCTAACTTCACTAGGCAAATGCTTGGTTTTTGTCTTTGAGTGCACTTCCATTTCTAGAGAAACCTGTGTTTATAGGATATTTTCTAATTTGGTAATGATAATTCCTATGCAGCAATCTATAAGAATATAGATTGGGCCCTTACATTTTTTAGGAACGTTGCTCACTTATTCCTGGTTCTCCTTGAACTCCCTCTTGGATGGGTTTACATTTTTCCCGTTTTCTTATGCTATCATTGTTCCCATATAGCTAAGTTGCTTTCTTTTCTGGGAGGTACATACATTTTGTTGAAAATGTGTATGCTATGCTCCCATGTTTCCTTGAATGAAATAAGTCAGTTTATAAGTTTATAAGGTAATTTCAAGAATATCCTTTATTTTTATATTTAGGTTATAAAGCTTTTGGTTATATTTTTCTCTTCCTTCAGAAAGCTTAGATAAATATTACAAACCTGGGCCTATTTGGATTCGAGGATTGGCAAGAGGTTATAATGCTGAGATTTCTCTATGTTTCACAGGTTTGACGGTCTCTGTACCAGGGATGGAAAAAGCCTTACACCAGTACACGTTGGAGCCTTCAGAAAAACCGTTTGACATGAAATCAATTCCTCTTGCTATGGCTCCTGTCTTTGAACAGAAAGCAGGTTCACTCTATTCATTTTTCTGTGTATAAGTAGTTTTGCAAAACTAAAAAATATTAGCATATTTTCTCTAATACTCATTTAATTGTCACTCTTTTTTTTTTTTTTTTTTTTTGAGATAGAGTCTCACTCCCGTCGCACAGGCTGGAGCACAGTGGCGCGATCTCTAGTCACTGCAACCTCTACCTCCCGGGTTCAAGCGAGTCTCCTTCCTCAGCCTTCCGAGTAGCTGGGATTACAGGCATGCGCCACCACACCTGGCTAATTTTTCTATTTTTAGTAGAGACTGGATTTCACCATGTTGGCCAGGTTGGTCTTGAACTCCTGACCTCAGGTGATCCACCCACCTCGGCCTCCCACAGTGCTAGGATTACAGGCGGGAGCCACCGTGCTCAGCCGATTGTCACCCCTTCTAAATCTTTTAGATTTAAGACATATTTTTATTAGAGTTTAAAAAAAACTCCTGGTTTTTACATAAAAGCAGTAAGATGAAATGCACTCCAAAATGAAGGGTTTTTTTTAATGCAAAGCATTACAGTATCTGAAGTCAGTTGCCACTGTGCATCTCAGAGCAGTAATAGTGCTGTCGCCTCCTATTTTTATTTTCTGAAGTTGATAATCTCTAAGTTAATTGATTTTGTTATTGGAGGTTCGTCTTAAAAGAATTTATGGGCGACAATCATAAAAAATATTCCCAAAGAATATCTAATCTTAAAACTTAAAAACAAAAACAAAAGAAGTCATAAATGTTTAGTGGTTAGAACACAAAACTGGGAAGAAACAATTTTATGCTTATTTTCAACATTTTCAGTTTTTCTGTTGATATAAGTAATTTTTCCTATTTTGATCATGAGAAGATTTTTAAAATAAATTGTTTTTCCTTTTCTGAGTAATTTTTGTACATTCCAGTCCATTTAAAGCAAACTCTATATTTTTAGGGCTTACTTTATGATTCCACAATATATGTTCACTAAATACATTTTAATTTGAGTGTCCCCCCACCAGAAGTGATAGATAACCTATAAGTATGATCTAGTAATAGCTCATTATATATCTGCTAGAAATGTCTGCTCTCCTCTCTTTCTGTCTGCATTGCTAGCTTGATAGTAGTGGGAGAAGTTCACTTACTTGCTCATATCTGTCTTTATAGAAATCACACTTGTGGCTACTAAGCCAGAGAAGTTGGCTCCTTCCAGGCAAGACATTTTCCAAGGTATGATGATTTGATGGTTAGACGTAATAATCTTTCCCCTAGGCATTGTAAATATAAAAAGTCTACCAGTCTTACTCAAATTGATCGGTTCTCAATATAGGAAATCTTCGTGTGGCTGAACACCATAGGGTATAGTTGCTGAGGCTACCTGGAGTCCATGAACTTTCCAGTTTGTAATTGCTAATTGGGAATGTTTTTCTTTTCTGTATCTCGTTGGTTAACAGGGAACTCATTGTAAAATAAGTATTTACTTTCTTTTTTTTTTTTTTTGCTTTTTGCTTTCATTAATATATAAGCTTACTTACTTGAAAGATGACTTCACTAAAACTTGGGGACATATTAGTTGAATGTTCAACTATTAGTAAGGCTATGGAAACTAAAGCATTTTTTTTTTTTGAGACAGAGTCTCGCTCTGTCACCCAGGCTGGAGTGCAGTGGCACAATACCGGCTCGCTGCAAGCTCTGCCTCCTAGGTTCACGCCATTCTCCTGCCTCAGCCTCCCGAGTAGCTGGGACTACAGGCGCCTGCCACCACGCCTGACTAATTTTTTTGTATTTTTAGTAGAGACGGGGTTTCACCATGTTAGCCAGGATGGTCTTAGCCAGGATGGTCTCGATCTCCTGACCTCGTGATCCGCCTGCCTCGGCCTCCCAAAGTGCTGGGATTACAGGCGTGAGCCACTGCTCCTGGCCAACTAAAGCATTTTTTAAGCATCCAGACTGAAGTCTTTCCCTGTCTTCTTCATAGCCTACGTTCTTTTTTCTTGATAGAACAATTGGCTGCCATTCCTGAGTTTCTGAATATAGGACCCTTGTTCAAGTCTTCTGAGCCTGTTCAACTTACAGAAGCAGAGACAGAATATTTTGTTCGATGTATCAAGCACATGTTTACCAATCACATCGTGTTCCAGGTAAGATAATGCCCTTGGCTGCTGTAGAGATTTAGTATAAACTGGTATGCTTTGAGACAAATATCCTTTACCTATAATTCTAGTTTCTATTATAGAGAATTAATTTGGCAGAATTTCTGGTTTTCTTGCTTAACACCAGAGCTATAGAGATCCCTTCATGTGATGGGTAACTTTTGATGGTTAAAATCTAAAGGACATAAAACTGAAATGTGTGATGAAGTTGGACAACATAAAGTATAACCAATTTTCTAAAATCAGCATTTAACATCAGGGTAGATTAAGTGGGCTATTCTGAGAACTTAGATTTGACAGCCATCAGACTTCTGCCATCTTGTTTGAGACAGCAGTCTCAGGAAAGAGAAAAAACTGATGAATAATATAAACAAAAGACCTCAAGAATAAGGCTCTCCCTGTTGCCAAAAGAAGAATCTTAGGAGGAGACCTACCCTGCTCTGTAGAGATAGAAGGTATAGTGGGTTCCAGAGCTGAGTAGTGGGTTATGAGTAGGAAGGATAACTTGTTATCCTTCACAGCTTTTCCATTTACTGACTTTTCAGTTTGACTGCACCAACACTCTCAATGACCAGCTGCTGGAAAAAGTGACAGTGCAGATGGAGCCATCAGATTCCTATGAAGTGCTGTCTTGTATCCCAGCCCCCAGCCTTCCTTATAACCAACCAGGAATATGTTACACTCTTGTTCGTTTGCCTGATGATGACCCTACAGCAGGTACTAACCCTCAGAAGGGAGGAGATACGTGATTCAGAATGCATTTCCTTGTGAGCTCTTCAACTCTTCAAATGCTCAGTTTAAGAATGTGATGCTTTTCTAGAATTTAATGATGAGTGTTTGTGTGTGTGTGTTTGTGTGTGTGTGAATATATATATTTATAAAATGGTTTACTGCTGCAGAAATATTAATTTTAAAACTAAATCTCTGAGTAAAATTTGCTGAACACTTAATCTTAAAAGAGAAACTGAGTGTGTATAGCAGTAGCACAAAAAGGAACTCAAGCTTTCTGTTGGAATAATGTGACCACTTGTGAGAGTTCATATACCTGGTCTCCTGTGAAGAATCTTGACCCTCTTCTCCTCAAAGTTTCTATCTAGTTAGATAGAACTTGGTTATGTAGTAGATTGTTGGCATTTTAAAATACATCATTTTTGAAGGTCCTGTAGCATAAGGCTGGTGTCTGAGAGCATGTCTCAGCCTAGTGAGTAGCTTAGCCAACCATGTGTGTCCACATTAAGAAGGGCTTTTAATTCCCTCCTTGACCCATATGCAGTCTTTGCAGGGTGGAGAAATAGCCCCTAAAAGACAGCCAACTAGTGCCAATAGTAGTATTTACTTATTTGGAGACTTGGGAAGGTGAATGTCAAGTATTTATTCTACTTGATTCCCCCCATCATCATTTTCCTCCTTGATTTCTTCTCTTCTCATGTTCAGTGCACAATATTCGTAACTGTTACCCAGTTTTCACAGAAATAAGCACACACATCACATTTATGTTTTGAACAACTTTTACTGCTCGTAAGTACAGGAGAAACAGAAGTTAAAAAATTAACAAATACTGGGAAAGTTACAGAGTTACAATAAATCATAAAAGCACTAGTAAATAGTTATCCCTGGTCATCATTCAGTTACATTTGGGGCTTAACCTGCTTTCTTTTAGCCCCTCTCCAAACTCCCTTCTTAGATGTTGGTTCCTGGGAGCCCCTGTCCAGTCTTATCTGTGTTGGGTGATAGACTAGGCTACTCAGACTCTAGCACGAGGTAGATTCACGTTGGCACCACTGCTGTGTCTGAATCCCAGATTGTTCCCTCTGGCCCTGGGTGGAACTCTACTTCTATTCTTTAGCCACCCTGGATCCATAACCCCCTGAGTAGGAAGGCACTTTCCTATCTGGCCTCCAATATTTCTCCTTTGAGCTCGAGGCTATCTGGCTTTAACCTTTAATTACCTCCTTTATCCCTTTGTGAGGTTTCTCTAGTTCCATTTCCTTGTAACTTCGCTTTCTCTCCTGGTCTGTTTTTCTCTCCAGTTAGATTTGTCTGAAATATGTCCACTAGCCAGTAATTAAGCTGGCTGTACTCTTAAGTAAAGCTAGTTTTATTTACCTTTTTCTAAACTAGTATTTGGGCCCAATCTTAATGTAGTCCTGTGGTTTCTACCATTGTCTGGAGAGACTCTGCACTTCATCAGTTCTTTTCCAGTAGCCATCCCTCCATGTTTCAAAATTCCTCCTGCTATTCTACCTCTCACCAATGTCCTGTTTTTTAAGGGATGCTATTACTTTGCCACTTAATTTCAGAGGGAAGTGAAATGCTGAACCCATTGAAGAATCAATCCCTTGCCAATTGAGAATACTAGCTCTTCCCACTTCCCCAGGTTCATTTTGCTAACTAATAACTCAGGTGGCTCACACCCCAGAAAGTATTCTTAACGGAATCTAAGAAGTATAATTTTATAATACCAAAATACACAAAACAACAATATAGAAATTACATATAGTATAGGAAAAAACCAACAACAACAACAAAACATTTCCACCAAGAGAGGAAAAAGAGGAGAGGTTTTCTTGCCCCTCTTCACTAAGGAGTTTTAAAACATAGATCTTACAAATTAGCCCAGAGATTTCAACATTTGGTCTGCTGGCTATGGACTCTTTTGCTTGATGGTTTGTTTGATTTTTGTTTATAAAAGTTTGGCATTTAGGGAATTGTTTAAAGTTTTGTTAGTAGTAAGTTTATATTTGACCCATCATATACCTACTTAAAAAACAAACTCCTTTCTATTTAGTTTTTTGTCAGAATTCTCAAATTTTTAATCCATGGCCAATCTAAAGTCTATGCTGTGCAATGGAAGAAGTGAAATACCAGGGCATAGATGGTAATAGGTATCTTTCACCCATTCCTTCCTTTTTGCATTTTCCCATCACAGATATTCCAAATTTTACCTGTCACCTCAAGGTCTTAAACATCAATATGTCTCATTTCAGAAAAATAATATTTTTCCTTATAATCGCAGTGAAAAAACAGAAATTCTTGGTTTGATTTCCTTCAACTTGAAAACAGTATAGCATAATAGAAGGGAATATGGGTTTGATAGACAGATGAGGATTTGAATGCTGGCCCTGCTACATACTGACTGTGTAATCGTGGACAAATTATTTGATCTCTTAGGACTGTTATAGGATGAAATGAAATGAAATGAAATGAAATGAAATGAAATAATAGGTAAGTTGCTTCACATGGTGCCAGACACATAGAACCTTTTGGTGTTTAATTCTAGAATTATCCACTTTCTTCCTTTATCCTCTCTAAAATCAAGTCTTCCAGAGTTCAAAAGACACATACCCTCTAATCTCTTCCAGAAAGTTGTTCCATCAATTATTCCTTTCTTTGATCTATCTTTAATCTTTCCTACTCCCCTTTACTTTATAAATGTATAAAAATCTACCCTATCTGAAAAAATTTGCTTTAACCCAACATCAATATATTACCATAACACCTTCTCGCAAAGGTTGGGCAATTTCTTGAAAGACTATGGACATCCTAAGTCTCTATGTAACTAGTCCTACTTATTATCTTTCGTCCTCCCAGAATTTGTCCTTTACCTAAAAAGTTTTAGAAAAGCCTTTAAGGCAACATTCCTTCTAAGCATTCATTCTCTTTCAGCAGCTCTGTTTCCCCTGAATATTTATTGCACCCGTAACAATATATATTATATACACAACATTCTACCAATTATTCCCCATGTTTGACCTTTTTAATGCAACTACCAACTTAACTTTTTATTCCACTACCTATTCAAAACCATTCTAATCTTTATATTGCTTTTATTTATCAGGTTTTATTGCATCATATTTCTTGTTATCTGGAACCATTTCAACAAATATTAATAACTTATTTTAAAACAGTCTTTAATAGAAAATATTCATACTAAGATCAGCTGTAACAGTACATGTATGTGAGTTTATTTTCTCTGATTTTCATTGGAAATATTGCCTGCCATATAATGATTCATAATTATTTTAATTTCTTGACTTTCTGCCTACACTTCCTTAAAGTGCCATCTTAAGCTACTGTAGTTGCCCTTCCATTATTTTTTGTTCAGTATTAACCATATTAACTTGGCATTCTGTACTAAAAACACAACTTCAGTTAAGTAAGATTTGCCTCAGAGTTTTTTACTTTAACTCACCTCCACTCACCCACTGGGATCCATATTATTAGGCTCAGTGAAGCTTTGCATTCTTCTAAGCCAAGCATTTAATCTGAATTTTAACTCAAATACTAAAAAAAGCAGTATTGGTAGAACATTTGATTCAGCCACCCTTTCCCCTTCCTTTATCACTAGAATTTGCTTCAGTCTGGCTTTAAAATCAATATTCCTGCAGTCTAACCCATTGAAAGATCTGCCAGGATTCTCAGTCTGAGATTTCCTTATTTACCCACTCATTTGTCACATACCCAGTCTGCCATTCCTCAAACTCACTGAAATTTCCCTCATTTCCTTTCAAGCCATCTTTCTAACCTATTTGATACCCCTTTTCTACCCCATCATCTTCAATGTCTCTAATTTTTGTTGCTGACTTGACTTAAATGATCCTATCTCTACAGAATGCAACTTAATCATGGTGTACCCACTCATTTCTGCCTTTTGCCTTAGGGGAAAAACAAAACAAAACCCTGCTCTATTGGTAACGCCCAGTCTTTGTTCATCTGTCCTTGAAATTGATTCACAATGTGAATATGTATAAGCTTCCTCATGACCCACCTCCAGTGTTCAAAACACTTCCTTCCTGTTCTCTTGGTGTCCAACATACTTACCTGCATCCTTAGCTAGTAGAACTGACATTCTGAGGATTGCTGATGAAGCTCATCCTTCAGACTCCGCTTCATAAACCTATCTCTATATGGGACCGTTTATTCTCCTGACTCTAAGCATTCATCAAGTGTTTCCCTCAAGGAGCTTTAAGGAAGCCACCAAATTCCCTAATGACAAGTTCTTTCTATATAGTTTTCCTCTTTGCCATTATTCCATACTGTGGATCAAGGGGCAACAATACCCACCCTACCAACTCTGACATTCCTAAATCCCAAAGTGGTTTAAACTGTATACTGTCCCCTTAATTTCAATCTTGTTAAACAGAGTAATACTTCCTTCTCATTTTGGCTCTGCTAATTTTGTTGGAGACCACATTAAACACATAGTAACCTATGTCCAACCCCCACACTTGCAAATTTTACATTGTTAATTGTTTGCTTTCAAAATCCTGACCTTCAGTGATTGCCAACACTGCCTTCCATATCAGTTGGGGTTGCTTTACCATCACCCTCTATAAGGTTTCTTCTTTTTCTGTTTTCCTATTCAATGAAGTAGTTACCATGACAGGTAAAGTGTTGTTACCCCACTCGCTTGTCGTCTAGGATTTAACTTCTATTCCCTAAAATGCTCCTACACTCAGCCATGATACCGAACATACCACTGACTTGCCCCTGAGATTTGCCAGTGCCCCCACTTTGGGAACTCTGCATTCCACCTTCCCCTATTCCATGTCAGCCCTTTTACTGATGCTAAGCCCTGCACAAATTCATAAGGTTATCTCCCCTCCTACCTGCCTCCTGTCCCTTCTTTTACCATAAACTTCCGTCATCAAATTTACATCCCAATAACTGCCTTAGAATGGCTGCCAGACTCTCTCATTCCATGTGGTATGCCAGTGTAAATTTGCACAGTCTACACACAGTGTTGCCTCCCACTGTCATCTTCCAGAAACTCCTTTTCATCTTCAACATCCAGTCCTGCATGCCCTGCCACCTCCAAGTCAATCCACAGACTCAGGAATCTGTCCTGAACTCTGACCCCTTCCTGCCCTGCCCCCCACTGATGACACCACTGCCAGCTTCCATGTCCTCAACCTGCTGTACTGAGTCCATCTGCTGTCTCAGTTCACCCCTAACCGTCCTGTATTCTCAGTTCTGCCTCTAAGGAACAGTGGTTTCCTCTCTCTGTTGTGTCCTCTGGCCTTCCATCGTCTCGCCATGCCCTTTATTGACACACGGTCCTCAATGTTTCCAAGGTGCCAACACCTCTACACCCTGTTTCTGTGGCCTCATCTCACCTCTCCTTCATTCCTTCCGTGTCTTACCCACACCATGCTTTCTCCTCCATGACCTGCATCAAACACTTCACCCCTTTGGGGCAAAAAGGAGGATTCTCTACGTTCACACCCACACTCTTGCTCTTGGCATGCCTCCCTTGCTGCAGTACATTCCCTGATCCTCTCAACAAGCTCACCTCCGTAAGCTGCTGGCCTCCATAACCTGCTCCAACTCATTCTTCTTGCCCATTGGGGAACACCTCTCCTCTGTCCTGCTCTCCCATATGCTGCAAACTCACCCTCTGCTCTCCCAGCTCCCAGCTCCTGGGCCCAGGTTGGTCGTTTCTCCTGCTTTCCTCCTCTACTGCATAGCACGGTACTGTCCCACCTGCACCATGCTGCGTTCTCTCAGCACCACCTGCGATTCTGCCACTGGCCTAATTCGTGTTCTCAGGTGTGTCCTCCCTTCTTGACCTGGCCCCGCACCCACTGCTCCACCAGATGCAGTCCTCTCTGTGTCACACGTACTGCACTGAATCCACACGCTCTGCTGTCCAAGCTCACGTCCCAGTGGCCCAGGCTATGAGTCCTTTCCAGGGCCCCACAACCCTGACTCCCCTAAACCTTCCTGATTCTTTTCTCATCCTTTCTTTCACACTGTGTAAAAACACTCTGGGGAACATCTGCCTCTGAATCTCCTACCTTGTTCCTATCACCATAGCAATTTTGTCTTTGTCACTCACTCGTGTCTCGCTCTCTGCCCGTCCTCATCTCCCACCCCATACACACCCAGTCTCAACCTGACTCTCCTGCCCTGCCTGAGACTCAGCTCCTCTGCTCCTCCTGGGTGCTGCTGTCAGTCCCACCCTCCTCCCACCTCCTCCCTCCTTAAGGCCCGTGTCTTCAAGACGCTCTCCTTCCACACTGTCTCCATTTCCCTTTGCACCTTCCCTCCCCGTGACAACAGATCCCCTGCTCTCTGCTCTCACCCGCACAGCCCACTTCCTCTGTGTCACTAGGCCCTTCTCTAGGCCTCACTCCTCCACCTTGAGTCTGGGACCGAGGCATTGGAAAACCCAGTTCCACCACCAGGGTACCCGGTGCCTTTTCGGCTACATCCATCTGCTCGCTGTCATCTTTGTCCTGATCTGTCGGGAACTGTGTTCCCACACCTGACAGTCTTGACCCTGATGCCTCCATCAGCCCCACTGCACGTGCGTCTTCCCCTCACACTCCACGTGTCTGCCCGGCTCTCCATCCTCCCGCATCCACCAGTGATTCTCACCCGAGAATGCAGGACCCCAAGGCGGCCTATCAGAAGCATCTTTTGGGCTTGGTTTCTTCTTTTGCTATTGTCTATGTTCCTTTTAGAGACTGCTATTTTTTTTCCCTTACTTTTACTGAGCTGAACACTGCTCACCCCTCAGATGATTGGATAGCCCTGCCTGGGGGTCCATGTCCAGAGACCTCCCTCCACGTGAAATTCACCCCCTACCCCAGATAAGAATCACTGCTATGGATGGCCACCTTGACTCCCTGACATTACTCCCTCATTTCACACCTAGACCATTCTAGTGCTTGCCATAGGTGGCATTCTAGTACTTGCCATTTAACTTCCCACTTAACACATCTCATCTTTTGTCTGCCCACCCCCATTAGGCCTGGAACTCTCTGCTTGGAACCACTTCATTCCTTCCCTATTTGCCCTTTAACACACCTCTGACCCCAAACACCAGTCTGCATTGGAAACTTGTTCTTTTAATGCCTCCCCACCCGATACGTCTTGTCCTCCCACCTGATAGGACTCTTAGGCCCTGTGTCAGTATCTTCGGCCTCAACCTGTTTCTTATGGGTGCTTACTATTGTCAGTTTTCCTTAATCCCCACCCCTTTTTTCAGATCCCTTACAAGATCGGCCTGCAGAAACTTCCCCCTTTGTTTCCCGAGTTCTCAGTTGTTTCCTAAAAACCAGCCATTTACCTTGACCTTTCGACCTACAAGAAACCACTTTCATTTACTTCTTTCGGTGGATTTAGACGGCTACCCCAGCCTGTATTCATCACCTGCAACATTAGATATGTAACCCACCAGCTCAGTTAAATAAGAAAGTTTCCTCCAACCCAGAACTTGGCTCGATTCTCCCCATCTGGTTCCCTACCTCCTCTCCCACTCACACCCCACTGCTCCCAATCCTTCCCTCCTTTCCAACCCAGTCAGTCCCAACCCAAATCCCATCCCAAACCCCATCCCCTTCACCCAACCCACCCTTCCCCACTGCATCCATAGCAAAGACCCTGGCCCAAGATTCACACTTCTGCAACAAAGTTCAAGGCTTTAAGAGCAGCCATTCCTTCCTGCCCATTGCTGTCCACCCCTTTCACACTTTCCCTTCCCCTGCCGAACCTTGCAGGCTGCCCTGAGCACTCCACATTCCTTTGTTCCTACTCTGGGACCTCCCCGTTCACCTCGCTCCAACTATGGCTGTCCTGCCTGTGGCTGTCCTGCCCAGCTCCCTTCCACCATGCTTTCTGCCCTCCATCCTTCCCTGGGGGCCCCTCCACCCTGTCTGTCTTCTGTAGGTGACTCCCCTGTTGGCGCTGCCTCATCGTCCCACTTCCACATTCTTTCTTGAAGCCTTTCCCCTTGCATCCACATTTCTTCTCTTTGCTTCCTTGGCCAAGGGAAGGTACCTGCCTGTCTGTGGCCAGTATTTCTCTCAGCCACCCAGGGCCTGTCGCTTCATCTGACTCAGTCATCTCTTCTCCATAGGGATGTGCTCACTACTTTGACCTGCTTTCACCGCTCAAACTTTTCCATCCTCTCTCTATCCCACCTTCTCTTCAAGAACTGTTTTCTGTTGCTCCTCCAGATCTTCCACTGATTGAGGCCAGTGCCTTCCCTTAGGCTGCCTTTTCCTTCCCCTCTTCCACTCCAGCCTTGTTTCCTCTTTTCTCTTTCTGTTCCATGAAGTGAGTTCCTACAAAACTCTACAGCCAGTCCCGCCACTTCCTCCTCTTCCTCCTTTCTTCATCTCCATTATTTCCATTTACCTTGGATAGGGTCCCAGTGAGCCCATGCACCCCTGCCCATCACACCTGATCTTGCAGTACCCATTGAAGCTATCTGGATCCACCATTTCTTCTTTCCCTCTTGGCCACACTACCTTTACTATACCCTTGTTTAGAATTTAAGACCTTCTTCTTACACAGGTCCTGCCATCCATCCTGTTCTGCCTTTCCTCCTCTCTGCCCTCTGGAAAAAGTTTCCAAAAATGAAGCCCCCGTATCAGCACCCAAACCTTCATCCTATCCAAACTCTGGGCATGCCCACTGTGCCCATTTACTACTGACCTAATCTCCCACTAAATCTAAGATGCTACCTGTGTTTGAAGGCCCCCGCTTCCTACTTCACTGCACCTCTGTAGTGAAGTGTGGTGTAGTGCATATTTTCAGTTGCAAGCTACACCTCCATCCTCTCAGGCTCCCTTGACAACAGAGGTTCAGACTCAGTGGTCACTAGGAATTGTCTTCTCTCCATTAGTTCCCTCTAACACTTGCAAGTATCTTTCTGCCCACATACTAGACTCAAAACACATGAGTCCATCCCCTCCCAGGCCCCCAGCCCCCAAGGTTTACCTGCCAGTACGTTCCATGCAGGTGCTGTCTGAATGTGCAGTGATGCCCCATTTCCTCCATTTACCCTGAGTGACTTAGGCACCTTCCCCCTACTTTCCTTTCCTAAGGATCCACTTCTGAAAAGCCTGGGATTTTGCCTCCCTACCGTAATCCTATGGGTTGGCCTTGATAAGAAGCATGATACCAACTTCCCTGAGATCTGATAAAACCCCATTTGGGGAACTCTGATTTCCTCCTTCCCCTTTTCTGCATCGGACCCTGTACGGACACTAAGCTCCCCACAACTTCATGATGTTCTTTCCCCTCCTGCACCACAAATCTCTTTCTTTTCCCATCAACTTCCCTGACCCCACTCACATCACACCACCTCCATGTGGCTGCTCCACTCCAATGTCTCACTTTTTCCACACAAGGTTCACATTTAATTCCTGCACCACTGTTTCCTCCCACTTTCATCTTCCAGACATGCTCCACCTCCTCTTCAACATCCAGTCCTGCGTGCCCTGTCTCCGCCAGGTCAATCCACAGACTCAGGAATCTTTCCTGAACTCTGACCCCTTCCTGCCCTGCCCCCACTGATGACACCACTGCCAGCTTCCATGTCCTCAACTTGCTGTACTGAGTCCATCTGCTGTCTCAGTTCACCCCTAACCGTCCTGTATTCTCAGTTCTGCCTCTAAGGAACAGTGGTTTCCTCTCTCTGTTGTGTCCTCTGGCCTTTCATCGTCTCGCCATGCCCTTTATTGACACACGGTCCTCAATGTTTCCAAGGTGCCAACACCTCTACACCCTGTTTCTGTGGCCTCATCTCACCTCTCCTTCATTCCTTCCGTGTCTTACCCACACCATGCTTTCTCCTCCATGACCTGCATCAAACACTTCGCCCCTTTTGGGCAAAAAGGAGGATTCTCTACGTTCACACCCACACTCTTGCTCTTGGCATGCCTCCCTTGCTGCAGTACATTCCCTGATCCTCTCAACAAGCTCACCTCTGTAAGCTGCTGGCCTCCATAACCTGCTCCAACTCATTCTTCTTGCCCATTGGGGAACACCTCTCCTCTGTCCTGCTCTCCCATATGCTGCAAACTCACCCTCTGCTCTCCCAGCTCCCAGCTCCTGGGCCCAGGTTGGTCGTTTCTCCTGCTTTCCTCCTCTACTGCATAGCACGGTACTGTCCCACCTGCACCATGCTGCGTTCTCTCAGCACCACCTGCGATTCTGCCACTGGCCTAATTCGTGTTCTCAGGTGTGTCCTCCCTTCTTGACCTGGCCCCGCACCCACTGCTCCACCAGATGCAGTCCTCTCTGTGTCACACGTACTGCACTGAATCCACACGCTCTGCTGTCCAAGCTCACGTCCCAGTGGCCCAGGCTATGAGTCCTTTCCAGGGCCCCACAACCCTGACTCCCCTAAACCTTCCTGATTCTTTTCTCATCCTTTCTTTCACACTGTGGAAAAACACTCTGGGGAGCCTCTGCCTCTGAATCTCCTACCTTCTTCCTGTCACCAGAGTAGTTTTGTCTTTGTCACTCATTCGTGTCCCACTTTCTGCCCATCCTCGTCCCCCCGGTACGAATGCACCCAGTCTCAACCTGACTCTCCTGCCCTGCCTGAGACCCAGCTCCTCTGCTCCTCCTGGGTGCTCCTGTCAGTCCCACCCTCCTCCCACCTCCTCCCTCCTCCTTAAGGCCCATGTCTTCAAGACGCTCTCCTTCCACACTGTCTCCATTTCCCTTTGCACCTTCCCTCCCCGTGACAACAGATCCCCTGCTCTCTGCTCTCACCCGCACAGCCCACTTCCTCTGTGTCACTGGGCCCCTATCTTGGCCTCACTCCTCCACCTGAGTCCTCGAGTCTCGGACCGAGGCGCTGGAAATCCCAGCTCCACCACCATGGTCCCGGTGCCTTTTCGGCTACATCCATTTGCTCGCTGTCATCCTTGTCCTGGTCTGTCGGGAACTGTGTTCCCACACCTGACAGTCTTGACCCTGATGCCTCCATCAGCCCCGCTGCACGTGCATCTTCCCCTCACATTGTACATGTCTGTCCGGCTCTCCATCCTCCCGCGTCCACCAGTGATTCTCACCCGAGGATGCAGGACCCCGAGGAAGCCTATCAGAAGCATCTTTTGGGCTGGGTTTCTTCTTTTGCTGTTATCTGTGTTCCTTTTAGAGATTGTTTTTTTCCCTTACTTTTTCTGAGCTGAACACTGCTCACCCCTCTGATGATTGGATAGGCCTGCCTGGGGGTCCATGTCCCCAGCCCTCCCTCGGGTGAAACCCACCCCTCAACCCCAGATAAGAATCACTGCTGTGGACGGCCACCTTGACTCCCTGGCCTTTACTCTCCTATTTCTAGCATTTAGTATTTTGGTATTTCCAGGTACACTTCCTACTCATAAGACCAGCATTTCCCTCCCCCTGCCCAACAGTCCTGGCACTCTCCACTTGGAACCACCTCATTGTCTGCCCCATTTACCCCTTAACACACATCGTGCCCAAAAGCCCAGTCTGCATGAGAGAGTTGCGCTTCTGACACCTCCACACCCCACCCTTTATGCCCTGACCCATCTAATATGACTCCCAGGCACTCAGTTAATACCTTTGGCCTCAATCTAATTTTCGTAGGCCCTTACTACTGACATTTTTCCTTCATCATCCCTCCTCTTTTCATATCACTGACCAGGTGCCCCCAGAGAGACTTCCCATTTGGTGGTCATCATCCTGTTTGTTTCCCAGAAACCAGCCCTTTACCTTAACCTTTTACCCTTCCTGAGCTACTCTGTTTTTTCTTCTTTTGCCGGACTCAGATGTCTTCTCTAGCCTGTATTCATCAACCTCAACACTCAACATGTAATTGTCCACCAGCTCAGATGAATGAGATGGTGTTCTCAATGCCTACAGCTTGGCCCACTTCACCCCACCCCAACCCCTCCCCCAGTCCCAGTCCCACTGCCCCTAACCCTGCCCCACCCATTCATCCCATACCCAAACCCCACCCCAAACCCCATCCCCTCCACCCAGCCCACCCTTCCCTGCCGGATCCGTAGTAAAGAGCCTGGCCCAAGATTCACACCTGTGCAACAAAGTTCAAGGCTTTAAGAGCAGCCATTCCTTCCTGCCCATTGCTGTCCACCCCTTTCACACTTTCCCTTCCCCATGCCGAACCTTGCAGGCTGCCCTGAGCACTCCACATTCCTTGGTTCCTACTCTGGGACCTCCCCCTTCACCTCGCTTCACCTGTGGCTGTCCTGCTTATGGCTGTCCTGCCCAGCTCCCTTCCACCACGCTTTCTGCCCTCCATCCTTCCCTGGAGGCCCCTCCACCCTGTCTGTCTTCTGTAGGTGACTCCCCTGTCGGCGCTGCCTCATTGTCCCACTTCCACATTCTTTCTTGAAGCCTTTCCCCTTGCATCCACATTTCTTCTCTTTGCTTCCTTGGCCAAGGGAAGGTACCTGCCTGTCTGTGGCCAATATTTCTCTCAGCCACCCAGGGCCTGTCGCTTCATCTGACTCAGTCATCTCTTCTCCATAGGGATGTGCTCACTACTTTGACCTGCTCTCCTCACCGCTCAAACTTTTCCATCCTCTCTCTATCCCACCTTCTTTTCAAGAACTGTTTTCTATTGCTCCTCCGGATCTTCCACTGATTCAGGCCAGCGCCTTCCCTTACGGCTGCCTTTTCCTTCCCCTCTTCCACTCCAGCCTTGTTTCCTCTTTTCTCTTTCTGTTCCATGAAGTGAGTTCCTACAAAACTCTATAGCCAGTCCCGCTACTTCCTCCTCTTCCTCCTTTCTTCATCTCCATTATTTCCATTTACCTTGGATAGGGCCCCAGTGAGCCCATGCACCCCTGCCCATATTGCTTGCTATTGTGGCTGTCCAGATCCACCGTTTCCTCTTTCCCTCTTGGCCACACTACCTTTACTACACCTGTGTTTAGGATTTAAGACCTTCTTACACAGGTTCTGGCCTCCGTCCTGTTCTACCTTTCCTCCACTCTTGCCTCCAAGAAAGAATTACCCTTGCCTCTACCCATCTCTGCCACCCTGACTACCACTGGATTTACTCTGTATTGCTGCATCCCCATTTGCTACCGACCTACTTTTCCCACTAATCCTATGATGCTCCACTAGGTATGAAGCCTGTGCCCCCCACCCCCATTGGAGCCTCATGACATCTGTGGATATTTTGCTTCGAAAGCTGCACCTCCATATCTTTCTCCCACTCTTGGATAGCAAAACCAAGGATTAAGTGATTACTGCAAATTGTCTTCTGTGCATTGCTTAGCAGTCCCTCCTCTGCCATTTTATAAGCATCTTTCTCCCCACATGCTGGACTCAAACGATATGAGTCCATCACCAAGTCCCTGAGTTCCCTGCCGGTGGTTTCTGTGGAGGTGCTGTCTTCATGTGCAGTGATTCCTGATGCCCTCTCTGTAACCCCAGTTACTTTGGCCCTTTCCCCCATTTTCTCCTAAGGGCCTCAATTTGCAAAAATGCCCAGGCTCTTGCTTCTTCGATCTGCTCTGCTCTTATGATCTGGCTTTAATACTGCTTATTTCAACAATTTGCACCATGAGGTCTGGCGCACCCCCATTTTGGGAATTCTTTGTTCCATCTTCCTGTTTTCCATGTTGGTTCCTCTATCAAAGCTCAACTCTGCTCCACCCCCCCCACCCCACCCCAATAAATTCATGAGGTTATTTCTCCTCTTACGCCCCTCCTGTCCCTTTCTTTTTCCATCAACATCACTGACCCATCTCACGACCCACATAGTGCCTTCTGACTCCAGACTGGATAAAGTGTGGACCCTTTCACCAGCCATCCTCTGCCTTTTCTTACACTGTTGTCTTTATGAAACCCTCTGATTGGTCTTCAGCATCTAGTCCATGTTCCCTACCACCTCAGGGTCAGTCAGTGCACTCAGGAGTCTTTTCCTTAATGTCTGCTCCCAGCCTGACCTGCCCTCACTGTTGTTGCCACTGCCAGCTTCTTTGTCCCTAACATGCTGTATTCATTCATCTACTGTCTGATTTGAGCTCTGATCATTCTACCTTCTCCGTTCTGCCACTAGGGAGACACTGGTTTCCTCTCTAGATGGCATCCCCCCGACCTTCCTTCCTCTCACCTTCTCCCTCACTGATACATTGTCCCAACATTTCTGAGGTGCCAAACCGCTGCACCCTCCTTCCACTTTGGTCTCCTCCCACCTCTCCCTCATTCTTTGCTTGTCTTACCTGTACCATGATTTCTCCTCCATGGGCTTCTTCATAGACTTTGTAAAGTCTCTGGATTCCCCATGTCTCTCCCTCCTTATTGGTCCTTGGCATAGGACCTCCCACCCCCACCCTTGTGCCCCAACCCCTACACCTTAGAGCTTCAGGCTGTCTCTTTCTCCTTGTGAATATTTTGCTTCACAAGCTACACCTCCATTCATTTCTGCCATTCCTGAACAGCAAAACCAAGGATTTTGATGCAAATTCTCCCTTGCTGGAACATATTCCCTGATCCTCTCAACAAGCTCACCTCTCTAAGCTGCTCGGCTCCATAACCTGCTCCAACTCATTCTTCTTGCCCATTGGGAAACACCTCTCCTCTGTCCTGCTTTTCCACGTGCTGCAAACTCACCCTCTGCTCTCCAAGCTCCCAGCTCCTGGGCCTAGGTTGGTCATTTCTCCTGCTTTCCTCCTCTACTGCATAGCATGGTACTGTCCCACCTGCACCATCCTGCATTCTCTCAGCACGATCTGTGATTCTGCCACTGGCCTAATTCATGTTCTCAGGTGTGTCCTCCTTTCTTGACCAGGCCCCGCACCCACTGCTCCACCAGATGCAGTCATCTCTGCGTCACACGTACTGCACCGAATCCACCTCCTCTGCTGTCCATGCTCACGATCCAGTGGCCAAGGCTATGGGACTTTTCCAGCACACCACAACCCTGACTCCCAGAAGCCTTCCCGATACCTTTCACACCCTTCTCTCTCACACCATGTGGAAACATTCTGGGGAGCCTCTGCCTCTGAATCCCCTGCCTTCTTCCTGTCACCACAGCAGTTTTGTCATCAGCACTCACTCTTATCTCCCCCCACCCTCCTCCTCACATCCACACAAATGCACCCAGTCTCAACCTGACTCTCCTGCCCTGCCTGAGACCCGGCTCCTCCGCTCCACCTGGGTGCTCCTGTCAGTCCCACCCTCCTCCTGCCTCCTCCCTCCTTAGCGCCCATATCTTCAAGACGCTCTCCTTCCACGCTGTCTCCATTCCCCTTTGCGCCTTCCCTCCCCATGACAACAGATCCCCTGCTGTCTGCTCTCACCCGCACAGCCCACATCCTCTGTGTCACTGGACCCTTCTCTGGGCCTCACTCCTCCACCTGAGTCCTCCAGTCTGGGACCGAGGCGTTGGAAACCCCAGCTGCACCACCGTGGTCCCATTGCCTTTGCAGCTACATCCATTTGTTTGCTGTCATCCTTGTCCTGGTCTGTCGGGAACTATGTTCCCACACCTGACAGTCTTGACCCTGATGCCTCCATCAACCCTGCTGCACGTGCGTCTTCCCCTCTCACTCTACATGTCTGCCCGGCTCTCCATCCTCCCGTGTCCACCAGTGATTCTCACCCGAGGATGCAGGACCCCAAGGCGGCCTATCAGAGGCATCTTTTGGGCTCGGTTTTCTCTTTCGCTATTGTCTGCGTTCATTTTAGAGATTGATTTTTTCCCTTACTTTTTCTGAGCTGAACACTGCTTACCCCTCAGATGATTGGATAGGCCTGCCTGGGGGTCCGTGCCCCCAGCCCTCCCTCGGGTGAAACCCACCCCCCCATCCCAGATAAGAATCACTGCTGTGGACGGCCACCTTGACTCCCTGCGACCACCTTGGTTCCCTGCACTTCAGTCTCTCCAGTTTCAGGCCTGGAGCATTCTAGTGCTTTCCTTTAACTTCTTAATCAAATATCTCAGCATTTCCTCCTCTGCCCCTCTCAAATAGGCCTGGCACTCTCCACGTGGAACTACCGCATTCCCTTCCTTATTTTCTCTCTGAAATACAACATAGGTGGAATCCCACTCTTTGTGAGAGTTGTTCTTTCAGTGCCTCCCACCCCACCCTTTGTGCCCCTCCCTGCCACCTGATAGGACTCTCAGGTACTCTGTCCTTACCTTTGGCCTCCACCTGTTCTTCTGGGTGTTGACTATTGTCCCTTTTCCTTAATCACCACTTTTGTGGTAAGGTGCCCCCCTCTAAGAGACTTCCCTTTTGATCCACATAATCCTTTTTGTTTGTAAGAATCCAGCCCCTTACCTTGACCTTGCACCCTACGTGAGGCTACTTTCTTTTTTCCCTGGATTCAGGGTCTTCCCTAGCCTGAATTCATCACCCTCAACCCTGAACATATATAATCTATCAGTTAAATACAGTGGTGTTCTCAATGCTGGGGGCTTGGCTCAACATACCCCACTCCCCACCCCCCACCCACCCTGATTCCCTCTCCCCATGCCCTGCCCCACTCCCACCATTCCCAACCCTGCCCTCCCATGCAACCCCCACCCAAACCCCATCCCCAACCCAGACCCAAACCCCACCCCGAACCCCATCCCCACCACCCACCCTTCCCCACCGGATCCGTAGTAAAGAGCCTGGCCCAAGATTCACACCTTTGCAACAAAGTTCAAGGCTTTAAAAACAGCCATTCCTTCCTGTCTATTGCTGTCCACCCCTTTTACACTTTCCGTTCCCTATGCCGAACCTTGCAGGCTGCTCTGAGCACTCCAAATTCCTTTGTTCCTACTCTGGGACCTGCCCCTTCACCTCACTCCACCTGTGGCTGTCCTGCCCAGCTCCCTTCCACCACTCTTTCTGCCCTCCATCCTTCCCTGGGGGCCCCTCCACCCTGTCTGTCTTCTGTAGGTGACTCCCCTGTTGCACTGCCTCATCGTCCCACTTCCACATTCTTTCTTGAAGCCTTTCCCCTTGCGTCCACATTTCTTCTCCTTGCTTCCTTGGCCAGGGGAAGGTACCTGCCTGTCTGTGGCCCATATTTCTCTCAACCACCCAGGGCCTATTGCTTCATCGGGCTCAGTCATCTCTTCTCCATAGGGATGTGCTCACTACTTTGACCTGCTCTCACTGCTCAAACTTTTCCATCCTCTCTCTATCCCACCTTCTCTTCAAGAACTGTTTTCTGTTGCTCCTCCAGATCTTCCACTGATTCAGGCTAGCGCCTTCCCTTAGGCTGCCTTTTCCTTCCCTTCTTCCACTCAAGCCTTTTCTCCTCTTCTTTCTTTCTGTTCCATCAAGAAGGCTCCCACAAAACTCCACAGCCAGTCCCGCCACTTCCTTCTCTTCCTCATTTCCTCACCTCCTTTATTTCCATTTACCTCAGATGCAGCCCCAGTGAGCCGATGCACCCCTGCCATCGTGCCTGCCCATCTGCTCCCCATCAAGCCCATCTGGATCCATTTCCTCTTAGCCACACTACCCTCACTACACCCATGTTTACAGTTTAAGACTTCTTCTTACACAGGTCTTGCCCTCCATCCTGTTCTACCTTTCCTCCTCTCTTGCTCTCTACCTTGCGTCTTCCAAACATGAAGCCCTCATCCCAGCACCCGACACCCTGACCCTCTCCAAACTCTGGGCATACTCTCTCCCACTGGGCCCATTTGCTACTGACCTAAACATCTCCCACTTAACTTTTGAAGGCCCTCCTCCTCAGCTTCACTATGAACCTCTGCGTATATTTTGCATTACAAGCTATACCTCCATCCTTTCAGCCACCCTTAAACAGCAGAAACGTGGATTCAGTGATTGTTGCAAATTGTCTCCATCGCATTATGTCCTAACAGCTCCTCTGGCCTTTGCAAACACACTTCTACCTACAATCTGGGATCAGTCTGCTTGAGTCCACTGTGAAGTCCCTAAAGTTACCTGTCTGTGGTTTTTATGCAGGTGCCATGTTAGTGTGCAGTGCTGACCAGCTTCCTTTGTTTAACCAATCACTTTGGCCCTTAACCCACTTTCTCCTAAAGGCTGCTGGAGCTATTGCTTCATTCTGCCTCTGTGGTCTGGTCTTAATACCAGGCATACCACCAACGTATCCTGAGATCTGCGGACACCTCAGTTTGGGACTCTGAATTCTGCCTCCCCTCTATTCACTTGGCCCCTTTACCAATGTTGAGACCCTCAAATTCATGAGATTCTCCCCCTATCATGCACCTTCTGTCCTTTTTTATGTCCATCAACTTCCTGGACCCATCTTGAGTCTGACATCATGCCTTGAGGACTTTAGAGCAGTTTCTGTTTTTCTAGTTAAGATGTACTGCACATCCCCCTACTGTTATTTTCCAGAGACCCTCAGCTTCATCTTCAGCATCCACTCCCTCCTCTGCCACTTTCTAAGTCAATGACTGCACTCTGCAGTCATTTCCTTGATGTCAGCTCCCTTCCTGCCCTGCCCTTGCTGCTGCCAACATTGCCATCCTTTTTATCCACAATATGCAGCATTGGATCCATCTGCTATCTTAAGGCACCCTTAACCGTCCTACATTTTTGGTTCTACTATGCTGGAGACAATTGTTTCCTGTCTCAAAGTCAATCCACCTGACATTTCATCAGTTCCCATGCCCTTCATTGACACTGTGGTGCCCAGCTTTTCCAAGGTGCCAGCATCTTCTACATCCTCCTTGTCTATTGCCATCCTCCCTCCTGTCCTTCATTCCTTGCTTATCTTACCCACACTATGCTTTGTCATCCATGAACTGCGTCACACACTTTGCCCCATCTGGGGTAAAGTCCCTGGATTCTCTGCATCCGCTCCCTCCCTCTTGGCGCCTGGCATGCCTCCTTTACTGCAGCGCATCCCTCCTGCTCTCAACAAGCTCTCCTCTCTTAGCTGCTGGGCTCCATTGCCTGCTCCGACTCATTCTTCTTGCCCATTAGGGAACACCTCTCCTCTGTCCTCCTCTCCCATGTGTTGCAAACTCATCCCCTGATGTCCCAGCAGTCAGCCCCTGGGGCGCAGGTTGGTCGTCTCTCCTGCTTTCCTCCTCTACTGCATAGCACGGTACTGTCCCACCTGCACCCTCCTGCATTCTCTCAGCACGATCTGTGATTCTCCCACTGGCCTAATTCGTGATCTCAGGTACCTCCTCCCTTCTTGACCTGGCCCCGCACCCGCTGCTCCGCCAGATGCAGTCATCTCTGCATCACACGTACTGCACTGAATCCACCTGCTCTGCCCAGCTATCAGTGTCCACATCCCAGTGGTCCAGGCTATGGGTACCTTCCAGCACCCCACAACCCTGACTCCCCAAAACCTTCTCAATTCCCTTTGCATCCTTTCTTTCACATTCTTGTGAAAACACTCTGGGGAACATGCGCCTGTGAATTTCCTACCTTCTTCCTGTCACCACAGCACTTTTGTCATCAGCGCTCACTGCTGTCCCCACTCCACCTGCCCACCCTCTTCCCCCACATCCCACGGGTACAAACGCACCCAGTCTCAACCTGACTCTCCCGCCCTGCCTGAAACCCGGCTCCTCCGCTCCTCCTGGGTCCTCCTGTCAGTCCCACCCTCCTCCTGCCTCCTCCCTCCTTAGCACCGATGTCTTCAAGACGCTCTTCTTCCACGCTGTCTCCATTCCCCTTTGCGCCTTTCCTCCCCGTGACAACAGATCCCCTGCTCTCTGCTCTCACCCGCACAGCCCACTTCCTCTGAGTCACTGGGCCCTTCTCTGGGCCTCACTCCTCCACCTGAGTCCTTGAGTCTGGGACCGAGGCGTTGGAAACCCCAGCTGCACCACCGTGGTCCCATTGCCTTTTCAGCTACATCCATTTGTTCGCTGTCATCCTTGTCCTGGTCTGTCAGGAACTGTGTTCTAACACCTGACAGTCTTGACCCTGATGCCTCCATCAGCCCTGCCACACATGCATCTTCCCCTCGCACTCCACGTATCTGCCCGGCTCTCCATCCTCCCGTGTCCACCAGTGATTCTCACCCGAGGATGCAGGACCCCAAGGCGGCCTATCAGAAGCATCTTTTGGGCTCGGTTTCTTCTTTTGCTATTGTCTATGTTCCTTTTAGAGATTGCTTTTTTTTCCCCTTACTTTTTCTGAGCTGAACACTGCTCACCCTTCAGATGATTGGATAGGCCTGCCTGGGGGTCCATGCCCCCAGCCCTCCCTCGGGTGAAACCCACCCCCCACCCCAGATAAGAATCACTGCTGTGGACAGCCACCTTGACTCCCTGGCCTTTACTCTGCCATTTCCAGCATTTATTACTTTGCAGTTCCAGCTACACTTCCTACTCAAAGACCTTAGCATTTCCCTCCCTTACCCCCATGTATGCCAGGCACTCTCTGCTTGAAATCACCTTGTTCTCCTCCCTGTCTACTCACTGAAACACACATGTCTCAAAATCCACTCTGTATGAGAGATTTGTTCTTTAAAATCCCTACAGACACACTTGTGGCCCCACCTACCCATATGACTGTCAGGTGTTATGGACACCCATCAGGTCCTTCCAGGGGCTTCCTGTTTGCCTCAGTCTCTTTACTTTGAACTTCCACCCTACCTGAAGCTACTCTACTGGATTCAGAGGTCTTCTCCAGCCAGTATCCATCACCCCCAGTAGTCAACATGTAATAGTCCACCAGCTCAATTAAGTAAGATGGTTTTTCAAATGCCTAGAGTTTGGTTTGCCTCCCCCCACCCCCATTCCCACCCCCACCCATATCCCCACCCCTTTCCCACTTGCAATCCCACTGCTCCCAACCCCCACCCAAACCCCATCCCAAACCCAATCCCAAATCCCACCCCGAACCCCATCCCCACCACCCACCCTTTCCCGCCGGATCCGTAGTAAAGAGCCTGGCCCAAGATTCACACCTTTGCAACAAAGTTCAAGGCTTTAAGAGCAGTCATTCCTTCCTGCCCATTGCTGTCCACCCCTCTTATACTTTCCCTTCCCCATGCTGAACCTTGCAGGCTGCTCTGAGCACTCCAAATTCCTTTGTTCCTACTCTGGGACCTGCCCCTTCACCTCACTCCACCTATGGCTGTCCTGCCTGTGGCTGTCCTGCCCAGCTCCCTTCCACCACGCTTTCTGCCCTCCATCCTTCCCTGGGGGCCCCTCCACCCTGTCTTCTGTAGGTGACTCCCCCGTTGCGCTGCCTTATCGTCCCACTTCCACATTCTTTCTTGAAGCCTTTCCCCTTGCGTCCACATTTCTTCTCCTTGCTTCCTTGGCCAAGGGAAGGTACCTGCCTGTCTGTGGCCCATATTTCTCTCAACCACCCAGGGCCTATTGCTTCATCGGGCTCAGTCATCTCTTCTCCATAGGGATGTGCTCACTACTTTGACCTGCTCTCCTCACCGCTCAAACTTTTCCTTCCTCTCTCTATCCCACCTTCTCTTCAAGAACTGTTTTCTGTTGCTCCTCCAGATCTTCCACTGATTCAGGCCAGCGCCTTCCCTTAGGCTGCCTTTTCCTTCCCCTCTTACACTCCAGCCTTTTCTCCTCTTTTTTCTTTCTGTCCCATCAAGAAGGCTCCCACAAAACTCCACAGCCAGTCCCGCCACTTCCTTCTCTTCCTCCTTTCCTCACCTCCTTTATTTCCATTTACCTCAGGTGCGGCCCCAGTGAGCTGATGCATCCCTGCCCATCACATCTACCCTTTCGTTACCCATTCAGGCTGTCCAGGTCACTCATTTCTTCTTTCCCTCTTGGTTGCACTACCTTCACAACACCCGTGTGTAGAATTTAAGACCTTCTTACATAGGTCCCACTCTCTGTCCTCCTCTGCTTTTCCTCCTGTTTTCCTCTAGATGAAGTTTTCCATAAATGAAGTCCACACTCCAGCACCAAACACCCCAGCTCTCTCCAGTCCTTGGCCATACTCTGTCCCATGTACCCAGCTGATACTGATCTAAACTCCCATTACAACTACGAGACCCACTGTGTTTGAGACTCTCCCTTGCCTACTTTATTTCATCTCTATGTACATACTTTCAGCTGTAAGCTATATCTCTATCCTTTTAGCCTTCCGTGACAGCAGAAGCTCAGATTCAGTGATCATTCTGAATTGCTTCCTCTGCATTGGTTCCTAACTACTCCTCCACTATTTGCAAGCATCTTTCTACCCACACAATAGACTCAAACCACGAGTCCATTGCCAAGTCCCTGAGGTTACCATGCCCAGTGCCATCTTACCATGCAGTGATGCTATTTCCTTCATTTAACCTGAGTCATTTGTCCCCATCCCCCACATTCTCCTGTGGACCTAGTTCCGCATATTCCTGGGCTCTTGCATCTGCTCTGATCCTACAGTCTGGCCTTGATGACGGTCATGAAACCAACTTTTCACATGAGATCTGTCAGTGCCCCAGTTTGAGAACTCTGCATTCCCCTCACTTTTCCACCTTGGCCCCTTGACCAGCATTCATCACCCCCACAGATTTGTGAGGTTGTCTCCTGTTAAATGCTTTCAGTCCCTTTCTTTTCCTATTCACTTACGTGACCCAACATGCATCCCATATGCCACCTCAAATGGCTGCCCCACTCCCACGTCTCTCTTTTTCTCCTCAGGATTCACATTAAAACCTTGCATCACTCATCCACCCATTTTCTCCCACTGTTCTCTTCCAGACACCCTCCACTTCGTCTTCAGCATCCAATTCTTCCTTCCCTACCCTCACTGCTGCCACCATTGCCACAGCCTCTTTATCCCCAGCATGCTGTACTGAGTCCATCTGCTGTTTGAAACCATCCTACCTTGTCTGTTCCACCATGGCGGACACAGTCCTTTCCTCTGTCGAACTCAATCCACCTGACCTTTCATCATCTCACCACACCCTTCATTGACACGTGGTCCCCTGTGTTTCCAAGGTAGCAGCACTTCTATGCCCTGCTTCTCCCTTGGCCTCCTCCCACCTCTCTTTCATTCCTTGCTTATCTTACCCACACTATGCTTTGTCATCCATGAACTGCGTCACACACTTTGCCCCATCTGGGGTAAAGTCCCTGGATTCTCTGCATCCGCTCCCTCCCTCTTGGCGCCTGGCATGCCTCCTTTACTGCAGCGCATCCCTCCTGCTCTCAACAGGCTCTCCTCTCTTAGCTGCTGGGCTCCATTGCCTGCTCCGACTCATTCTTCTTGCCCATTAGGGAACACCTCTCCTCTGTCCTCCTCTCCCATGTGTTGCAAACTCATCCCCTGATGTCCCAGCAGTCAGCCCCTGGGGCGCAGGTTGGTCGTTTCTCCTGCTTTCCTCCTCTACTGCATAGCACGGTACTGTCCCACCTGCACCCTCCTGCATTTTTTCAGCACAATCTGTGATTCTCCCACTGGCCTAAGTCGTGAACTCAGGTACCTCCTCCCTTCTTGACCTGGCCCCGCACCCGCTGCTCCACCAGATGCAGTCATCTCTGCATCACACGTACTGCACTGAATCCACCTGCTCTGCCCAGCTATCAGTGTCCACATCCCAGTGGTCCAGGCTATGGGTACCTTCCAGCACCCCACAACCCTGACTCCCCAAAACCTTCTCAATTCCCTTTGCATCCTTTCTTTCACATTCTTGTGAAAACACTCTGGGGAACATGCGCCTGTGAATTTCCTACCTTCTTCCTGTCACCACAGCACTTTTGTCATCAGCGCTCACTCCTGTCCCGCCTCCACCTACCCACCCTCATCCCCCTGCCCCGCCAGCACAAACGCACCCAGTCTCAACCTGACTCTCCCGCCCTGCCTGAGACCCGGCTCCTCCGCTCCTCCTGGGTGCTCCTGTCAGTCCCACCCTCCTCCTGCCTCCTCCCTCCTTAGCACCGATGTCTTCAAGACGCTCTCCTTCCACGCTGTCTCCATTCCCCTTTGTGCCTTTCCTCCCCGTGACAACAGATCCCCTGCTCTCTGCTCTCACCCGCACAGCCCACTTCCTCTGAGTCACTGGGCCCTTCTCTGGGCCTCACTCCTCCACCTGAGTCCTTGAGTCTGGGACCGAGGCGTTGGAAACCCCAGCTGCACCACCGTGGTCCCATTGCCTTTTCAGCTACATCCATTTGTTAGCTGTCATCCTTGTCCTGGTCTGTCGGGAACTGTGTTCCCACACCTGACAGTCTTGACCCTGATGGCCTCCATCAGCCCCACTGCACGTGCGTCTTCCCCTCGCACTCCACGTATCTGCCCGGCTCTCCATCCTCCCACATCCACCAGTGATTCTCACCCGAGGATGCAGGACCCCAAGGCGGCCTATCAGAAGCATCTTTTGGGCTCGGTTTCTTCTTTTGCTATTGTCTATGTTCCTTTTAGAGATTGCTTTTTTTTTCCTTTACTTTTTCTGAGCTGAACACTGCTCACCCTTCAGATGATTGGATAGGCCTGCCTGGGGGTCCATGCCCCCAGCCCTCCCTCGGGTGAAACCCACCCCCCACCTCAGATAAGAATCACTGATGTGGACAGCCACCTTGACTCCCTATGGCCACCTGGACTCCCTGCACTTCAGTCTCCCGTTTGAGGCCTGGAGCCTTCTTTTTTTTTTTTTTTGAGAGAAGAGTTTCACTCTGTCGCCCAAGGCTGGAGTGCAGTGGTGCGATCTCGGCTCACTGCACCCTCACCTCTGGACTTCAAGCAATTCTCCTGCCTCAGCCTCCCAAGTAGCTGGGATTACAGGCATCCACCACCACGCCCAGCTGATTTTTTTCTTTTTAAGTAGAGACAGGGTTTCGCCATGTTGGCCAGGCTGGTCTCGAACTCCTGACCTCAAGCGATCCACCCACCTTGGCCTCCCAAGCCTGGAGCCTTCTTGTGCTTGCATTTACTGTTGAAGATCATTGTTTTGAAGGGCCAGAATGCCCCTTTATACCTGTTTTTGTTTGTTCGTTTTTTTACTACTTCTTTCATGTGCTTTTTATACTTCTTACTTAGCATTTTTTGTGTTTTTCGCATTCTAACTAACCTGGTAGTCTTCCCATGGAAGCACTTTCTTTTGCACATTTCCTTTTCTTCTGCACATTTCCTTTTCTTCCTCTGGCATCCTTCCACCCCATTCTTCCCATGCCTCGTTTCTCTACTCCACACTCGCCCTCCGACTCTTGAAAAGGATTTCTCTTAAAGATCTACATTGAAACTTTGACCCTTCAGTACATGAAAGCGACCTATACTCTAAACCCCCTTCGTATCGGCCTGATAGCTTCCACACCCGTACAATATTTTCTGTTCTTATTTTAATATTTCCTATCCTTGAAGTTTACATACTGTGACACAGGTGGCAAGATTCCACCTTTAGGACTGCCTCCAGTTACTCCCCACTCCTCTTATCCCCATCATGCATTCTTTTTACTGTACTATAGTATTTTCATTATCTTCATACTGTTAATCCATGCATCTTTCCTATCTTTTCATTATTATTCAGGATGTTTTCATCTCATTTTTGGATTTTCTTAAAGACTCTCTTAGTCCTACCTGGAAGCTCATTTGGCAATCCATTCTGCACCTCTTTTTCTCTTCTTTGACACTTTGAAGCCCCTGTGCCACTATAATCTGTTTACCACTGTCTTTCTGGTGCAGTGAGCAGCCCTTTCTAGATGTGGATGTGCACCCTTCAATTCCATTTCCTGGTTCCCTTTCCCCTGTCTCAGCTCAGTTCCTCTACTCATTTCTGAACTTCTTTCCTCCTTTTTGGAATCACATTTAAGTATACTACTCAATCTACGGTGCCTCTCCACCTTTTTTGTTTTTGCCTTTTTCTAATATTCTACTCTGATGCATATAGTTGTCTTCTGACTTGCTTCTTTTCTACCTCACCCTTTTTCCCTTCCATATCTTTGGTCCATCTTTAATCATATAACTCTTTTCTTAATTTATGCTCTTGTTCTTCTGACCTCATTGTTTCTGGGTTTCCTTATTGTGAAGCTGATTTGCCCTGTGTTTACTTAAGTTACTCTGAAATGTTGCCAAATCCATGCAGTGCTCTTTTTATTTAGTGTCCATCACTTGTTTTCTTCCTTGTTCCATATGATACGATTATAGTGGCAAATCTTATTTTTTAGTATGTCATCCTCGCATGACTTTTCCCATCCTAAGGTAAATTTTAAATGCCTTTTCCCTTTATTCTGTTGTTTTTCTTTTTCTGCCTTGGAAGAGCACATTGTTAACCACCCATACACTGTGTGTCACTCCTGTGTATTCACTAAGATCTTGCTGTCAGGCACCTCCTTCTGTTTGCTATTCACTGCTCAGTCCCTTTCGGTATTTCTTCTTTCCAGCATACTGTGCTGAACTGCTTTAGTTCTCTGTTTGTTCCTTGGTAGGATGCCTGCCACTTGCCTTGTTTTATGTCCACTTCACTGAATGTGTTGCTAATCTTTCTGTCCGTTGCACTTTTTAATGCAAATGTACTTTCCTGGACACTGTCTCTCTTATGTCCAATTTTTAGTTATCATTTTATCTTGTCCCTTTCTTTCTCCCTTGAAGAACTGCCTACACAGTTTTCTTCCTGACTCGACTTTTCAAGTACAAGCAATTTTCATTATCCTGTGTGCTTGAATAATAATTTTTGGTGGCAAACACTTACATTGCATTATCTTAAATTTGAAAAAGCTCTTATCCATCTCCCTTTAAAAAAACTCAACCTATTTTCTCAGTCATCACTAAAACACTATGATAAAAGAAAACTTTTAAGTATTTTTCATAATATACACCATTTTAAAGGATAATGACCTAATTATTTAACATATCATCAGTTCATTAGCAGACATGTTTGTGTGTAATACAAAATGGTCTCCTACTATAATAAAGACTATAATTGCATTTGCCTTCTATACTGCAAGGAACAATGGAATGTTTTCAATATAAATAACAAATGCATATACATTTTTAAATAAAATATAAAAACAAGAAGTTTTTTGGAAATATTTACTTACCACCTGATGAGTTGCTTGAATTGTCCCGCTCATATTATGGAGAAGATGACAGGAATAATGCATAACACATTTAACATCCTTCAGCATAGGGAATGAGCCTATCAGCACAAGAACCACGGCAAAAATATGCTATCTCAAGTAGGCTTGGGTGCAAGCTAAAAGTTTTTGTTAGCACAAGAATGCTAACTCACTGCACCAGATTTTCTAAGTACATGGTGAGATGTATATATAATGTAAATCTTTTCATATTAACAAGTATTTAGGCTGTATGAGCAGATAGCTGGTGATATCTGAATTCCTCATTCTGGTCTCAATAATATTTGCTGTTTCATACCTTGCATATTCCAAACCCAGACTAAGTCATACATTTTTTTCCTCCAACCAAGCATCTTCTCCTCTCCCTTTTCCTTTTTCTTTTTTATATACACAGGTCTTCTCAGTTGCTTAACTTTCAGCCAATCCTAACATTATTTCTTAACTTCTTGGCCAATTTAACATCATACTTACTGCTATGTCCTTTTGTAACTCCCTTTGAATATCTGCCCTGCCATATCGTAAATATTCTACAAATCATTTACCCACTGACTCTATAATAAGTGAATGCTGAATTATTCTCTGGATGTTAACCTTATCATGATTCCCAACCAGTCCTCAACCAATAGCATTCATTTGTTCTACAAAGAATCCCGATCTATACCTGTCAATCCTCATGTTTTTAAGGTTTCCACCAATGGCTTCTTATCAGGGTTTATCTTAATTCATCTCCTTCTAACCTTCCCTAGCAAGCAGTCACTTAAGAAATAAATTTCCCACTAAGACTTCAAGTGCCAGCCTATCCAACTTCTATTCTTTTTCAGACTCCTGATCTTTTCTCATTCTGTATACAGTTCTTCTGCAATCTGACAGTTCTGTTTCTTTAATTTATACTTGATCTGTCTTATTGTTTTTCCACCTACTCAAAACTGCTTTCTAATTCATACAACGTCCCATTTATTGACTTGCTATCCTCTGTTTCTTTTTTCTATCATGAGCTTTGGCTTAAGTATAGAGCAACAGCCATTTTTCCTGTCAATATCTGTGACTATTCAAATAATGTCTTTCCATTTACAAACAACCTGAACATTTCCCTTCTACTCCTTTTCTCCTTTTTCTCTTTCTCCTTTGGCTGCAAACTCCTTACATTTTCTCCAGCATTCTTTCTTCATTCAGCTGTATCATTTAGTGGATATAAACATCTCTTTTGGATGATATGTACACTCTTGATATTCAGCACTATTCAACCATCTTCCATCTTCCTCACTTTGTACTTAATCTCTTTCCACCCTCCATTCAGTCTGGACATCCTGGGATCCCTGCTCTGACCCATTTTAAGTCCGTCGCATTAATCTTTCTCTAACCTCCCATTCTGTTGACTCCACCAATTGCTTCAAATCTTTTTCCAACAAAGCTTTCTGGGCAGCACCAAATACTCCAGTTCTTATTTGCTATGTTCTCACTCCCCCCTTTTCTCCCATGGTTGGTATCTAGCTTAACATACAACTCCACTGAACTTGTAATTCTGATTCTCAGTGCTCCTCATCCCGGCCCTCCTTATACCCTTCCCTGTTTAACATTTTGCAAAATTGCATTGCATGCTCAGCACCCCAACCTAAATCTAACATGTCTTCTCCTTCCTTAATTGTAGCTTCAATTTTTCTCAACTTTTTCCTTCTCTACTCTTTTTTTTTTTTTTTTTTGAGACAGAGTCTCACTCTGTTGCCCAGGCTGGAGTGCAGTGGTGCCATCTCGGCTCACTGCAGCCTCCACCTCCGGGGTTCAAGCAGTTTTCCTGCCTCAGCCTCCCGAGTAGCTGGGCTTACAGGCATGTGCCACCACTCCCAGCTAATTTTTTTGTATTTTTAGTAGAGACGGGGTTTCTCCATGTTGGCCAGGCTGGTCTCGAACTCCTGACCTCAGGTGATCTGCCCCCCTTGGCCTCCCAGAGTGTTGGGATTACAGGCATGAGCAACTGTGCCCAGCCTACTCACTCTTTTTTATACATATCTTAATAGTTGCTCTTACAGCCAGTTCTAACATAATATTTCTGTTCTGAGCAAATCTTAGTATCATACTTCAGCAAGTTCTTCCTAATTTCCTTTATTTGCACTGTCATATATATTAACATCAGTATTATCAGCTTCCATCGATAATCACAGTGATGGATACATCATTCTTCTCAAGGTATACTCTTGAGGTATACTCCCTCAATGCCACCCACCTGCTCCATACCAAATACAGATCATCTTCTCACCAAATAAACCACTTGCCCATGCTCTCCAGTTGCTCTCTCAAACCAGTCTTTCAGGTGCTATCAGTGGCTTTGAATCAAGATTCACCCTGATCTTCCCCCTCTACCCTTTCTTATCAACAAAGCTCTTTAATTAAAACTTTTCATTCCCCCAAAATGAATACACCCACTTCTTCCTATCTTGATGTTACATTTGCTTCAGATCTTTTTTAAAGAAACCAAATATTGCACATATAGTTGAGACTTCCTCGGTATCACTCCCCAAAATCATTTACCTCTCTCCCTTCCAAGAGAAAATCACTACATGAATCTGATACTTATCCTCATACATATTTTCATAATTTTACTACATATCCATAATTAATACGTAGTGCTGTGTTTGCAATGCTGTATAAATGTATGTATATGTGTTCTCAATAGAAAAAACTTCCCATCAAGACTTGAAGAGCTAGTCTGTTTTCTGGCTCCTGCTCGTATTCAGGCCTTCGCTGCTCTTCACCATCTACACCACTCATTGCAATCTTCAACAACACACATTTAACCCATTAGACTCCTTCTGAGATTTGACAGATTTCTCCATTCCAGTTCTTTTTAGTCCACAGCTTATTTGTCTTTTTGCAACTTGACCACTCAGAACCCTGCTCTAATTAACACAGTGCTCCCATTACTTAGATGAAAAATCCTTTCTTCTTATCCTGTTATGCTCTATCATATCTTACCTATCCATTTTGGCTACTAGCATTAAATTATCATAGCAGTGGATATAGCATTATACTCTTGAGGTTTACTTCCCTCATGATTCCCTACCAGTCCTCAAGAAATACAATTAATTTCCTCTACAGACAAACTACTCACCCACCCTCCCTAAATGGTCAATACCGATGTATTTAAAGGTTGCTAGCAGTACCTTTTTAGGAGAATTCATCTTAATAAAACTCCCTTAAACTTTCTTATTAACCAAGTTTTTAACCAAAAATTTCTACCTACAGCATCAAGAGCTAATCTACTAATTCCCATTTCTGCCTGGGTCCCCGAAGCTCTGTTAGATGCACCATTCATTACCATTGGGCCTTCCCACCCAATTTGACCACTTGGGCCCATTTTGAGATCTTAGCAGTTTCCCCTTTTAAAAATACATCTGATCTGCCTAGTTGCCACTCCATCTAGTCTTAACTTTTGTCTGTTTTATACGATGGTCCTTTACTCAGCTAGCCAGCTCTCTCTTCCTTCTTATTCCATCATAACCTTGATCCAAGAATGGTTCCTTTACCCCCCAGTCAATACCTGCCTTTCCTCCAGTCATCCCCTCACATCAGCAGGAACCCTTCACTTTCTTCTTCCATTCCTTTCTTCCTCATTTTGCCCCAGAGAATCATGCTGCTATATCTTCTGTGTCCCTCCTTCTTTCAGCTGTCACCTGTGTGTCATTCTTAGGGACTCAATGGGTTCTTCTGGATACTCCCCTCCCCATGGGCACTCGCTGCTCAGCCCACTGCCCTCTGCCCTGTGCCACATTCTCCACTGTATTTGTCTGTGCTCTCAGATCTGCCTACACTTTCATAGGATTCTTGCCACTGGCCTGCCCTTTATGCCCATCCCATTTAGCCTCTCTCACCTCTCACCATACTGACCAAACCCATTACTTCTAACATTTTTCCAACAAAGCTTCCTGGACAGCAAAACCTTATGCCCTGGCTCTTACTTTGCCACCTTCTTACCTTACTCTCTCCTTGTTAATACACAACTCTGACAAATTCCCAACTCTCATTTCCTAATATTCCCATTTAGCCCTCTTTAATGCCCTTCCATATCTGTTGTTTTTCTGCACTGCATGTTCTGCCCCCTACCTCATTCACACGTTCTCTTTCCCTATTTAGCATCCAACCTCCATCTTTTGTTCTCTCCTTCTTTGCGATTTTTGCATATAAGTCTCCTCAGTTGCTTCTCTCACTTTTGGCAAGTCCTAATATGTTTTCTTAATTTCTGAGTACATCCTTAATGTCCCTCTCAGAACATTTTTCCAGATTTCCCTTTGGAGGCTTCCCCTGTATAGCCTAACCTTTCATAGTGATGGATACATATTCTTTTTGAGGTTTCCTCCCCTCATATCCCCACTGTCTCCCTCATTCAAAACCAGTTTTCTACTCTTCAGATAAGCCTTCCCTTCCCCTTAGATAGCATCTAACCTGGCTTCTTTATTTTCCATCATGACCTTTCGCCCAAGTATGGTGCCAAATACCTCCAGTTAGTATCATTGACACTTTTTTTGGTCAATACTAAGTGATGCCTTCTCGTCTGGAAGCAATTTTAACTTCACTATTGTACACCTTTTTATTTTGCCTTATAAAAACTATATTCAGTATCCCTCCTTCATTCAGAGACTGTGTATGTCAGTTCCATAGATTCAGTACTGTCTTTTGGATAAACAGACCCCTCACACTCAACACTCACTGTTCAGACTGCACACTGGATCTGAGATCCACAGCTTCCTGAACAGTGACCCCTCATAACCTCAATTCTTACCTAGCCACGTTCTCTCCTTCCTCTGTCTACTTGAGTGGCTGTGACTGGATTAACATAAAATCACTCTACCAGAGTTGCTACTCTCCCTGTCCCAGTATTCCTCATCCTGTCATGCTTCAGTGCCCTTCCTCACTGGCCTGCTTACTGTGCTGCAAGTTCAGCCTCCAGCCTCATTCATTTATCCCTTCCCTTTTGTACCCTCCATCACCTCCATTCTCTCCATCTCTCCTCTCCTTTCATTCAAGTCTCTTCAGTTGCTTCTTTTAATTTTCAGCTGACCCTAACACAACAGTTGCTAGCAGAGGCTCTTTATCAGAATTGTTCCTAGCCTGCCTTTGTCTAAAGCAGTGGTTCTCCAACTGCAGCTGGTTAAAACAAGCTGCAGGGCCTTACCCCAGGATGTGGTTTGGATCTGTATCCCTACTCAAATCTCATGTCGAACTGTCATCCCCAGTGTTGGAGGTAGGGCCTAGTGGGAGGTGACTGGGTCATGAGGCCAGTTTCTCATAAATGGTTTAGCACCATCCCCTTGGTGCTGTTCTTGTGATAGAGTTCTTACACGACCTGACTGTTTTCAGTGTGTGGTACCTCCTCCCACTCTCTATCTTTCTCCTGTGAAGTGCTGGCTCCCCACCATTCACCTGCCGCCATGATTGTAAGTTTCCTGAGGCTTCCTCAGCCATGCTTCCTGTACAGCCTGTGGAACCTTGAGCCAATTAGACTTCTTTTCTTTATAAGTTACCCAGTCCCAGGTATTTCTTTATAGCAATGTGAGAACAGATTAATGCACCCTGAGTTTCTGACTGACTAGGTCTGGGGGAGGGGAAAAGAATTCATATTTCTAACAGATTCCTAGATAGTGCCATGTAACACATTCTAAGAAGCATTGCTCTTCAACTTCTCCCTCAACCAAGCCCTTTAATTAAAAATCTCCCACTAAGGCATCAAGAGCGAGTCTACTGACTCATTCCTATTCAGGTCTTTCCTTCTCTCCCATATACTAGTCACTGCAATCTGGCCTTACACCCACTGAATTTGGCCAGTTGGGCCCATTCTGAGATCTGGCAGGATTCTCCAGGCATCTTTATGGCGCTGTGGTCTTTCTTATTACCACGCCACCTTTTCAGAATCATTATCTAGTTTATTTAATGCTCCCCTTAGCTTTAACCCCTCTTCATGTCTTTTGGCCCAAATATGGGACTGTCTCTCCAGTCAGTCCTGCCATTCTTCAAATGACCTTTTCATCTGGAGTCAACTTTAATGTTTTCTCCTATTCCTTTTCTCCTTGTTACCTATCTTGCCCTAAAGATGTACGCTACCTTATCTTCAGCCTCCCTTCTTTTAGCTGCTGTCCATATTTCATTCAGATGGACTCTGTCTCCTCCTGAATGGCACTTCCTAGCCAAATTCTCTCTAGTGTCTGTCTCTCATCTGTAGAAAATCTTCACATGACAGAGTAACTTCTAAGAGTAACTTTAATACCGCACTTACATGATATTCATTTGTTTCTCCCCTTTGGTGATTTGCCCTCCCTTAATTATATAGAGTAAAATTTCATCTACCATCTGTACCTGGAAACAAAGAAGTTTCACCCTTGAGATGGGTTTCCAACATGATCTCCAGCCACTCCTCTTCCAATATTAGTCATCCATTCTACAAACTACTCAAAGATCTATCCTGGTGTCTTTAAGTGCTGCCCTATTAGGGCTCATCTTAATCCATCTCCTTCTAATCCTTCTCATTAAACTTCTCACAAAAGCTTCGCATTACTTTTCAAGCACTTGTTCTTCTTCCATTGTATCTACTGCTTTTCAAAGTCTGCAATTAAGAGCCAACATTTGACTGAATAAACCCACATTTTTTAAGGGTTTACAAGATTTCCCATTCTGGGAAACACTTTCCTCATTTTACCTGTCCATGCCACTCCACCTACGCTTACCTACTCTTTGTATAGTTCTCCCTTTACACAGTTTCCAGTCTCTCCTTATTTAATCTTACACTTATGGGGCCGTATCCCTCCAGTCAATACCTGCCAATCTTCAAATGACTCCGTCTCTTCTGCAGGCTCTTCCACTATTTTCCCCAGTTGACCCTAGTAGAACAACTGTTAGTCACTTGTTTTTTCAGCTATCATCTTGTGTATCATTCTCATGAATTTAGTCTTTTCTTCCTCGTCACCTCCACACTACTCTGAAAACACTTGCACTTTCAGTTCATTCCAGACCTTCATAGGGTTCCTGCCACTGCCTATGGCAAGAATCCATTCCATTTAAACTCCTTGACCTTTCACTCTATTGGTCACACTTGTTGCTTCAAACATCATTCAAGCAAAGATTCCCAGATGGCACTTCCTCATGACACCAGTTCTTATTTATCTACTTACTCTTTGTATTCTCTTTCCTTCTTTGGTTGTAACCCAGCTTAACTCACATCTCTCTACTGCATATGCAGCTCTGCCATCTTCTGGTGTTCCTCATTCTGGCCCTCTTTAATGCCCTTCCCTACCCATACATATATATGTATATGTGTATATATATATATACACACACACACACATATATATATATATATACACACACACACACACACATATATATATATATATATATATATATATATATATTTTTTTTTTTTTTTTTTTAGACAGAATTATTTCACTCTTGTCACCCAGGCTGGAGTGCAGTGTGGCCTGATCTCGGCTCACTGCATCCTCCACCTCCCGGGCTCAAGTGATTCTACTGCCTCAGCCTCCCAAGTAGCTGGGATCACAGGCACCTGCCACCACGCCCAGCTACTTTTTGCATTTTTAGTAGAGATGGGGTTTCACCATGTTGGCGAGGCTGGTATCAAACTCCTGACCTCAAATGATCCACCTGTCTCAGTCCCCTGAAGTGCTGGGATTACAGGCATGAGCCACCGTGCCCAGCCCCTACCCACACTTTATATTCCACACTCCAGCCTAAATCCTACATCTTTTCATCTTTTAGCTTCCAGCCTCCATCTTCTCTTTCTCTTCCCCTGTGATATTTTCATTCATGTTTCCCTAGGAAATGTCTGTCACTTTTAGCCAATCCTCACATAGCAGAGTAACTTCTAGGCAACTTCAGTGGAACACTGTGCAATAGTCTACGATATCTTAACTGTCAGTCATCCTTTCACTTGCCATCTCTCTCTTTTTTCTTTTTTTGAGACGGAAACTCACTCTGTCACCCAGGTTAGAGTGCAGTGGCGTGATTTTGGCTCACTGAAACCTCCAGGATTACAGGCATGTGCCACTACGCCCAGCTAATTTTTGTATTTTTACAAAAATTTTTAGTAGAGACGGGGTTTCACCATCTTGGCCAGGCTGGTCTCAAACTCCTGACCTCAAGTGATCTGCCAGCCTCAGCCTCCCAAAATGCTGGAATTACAAGTGTGAGCCACTGCACCCGGCCTTACCATCTCTACAGAAATAGATATAGACTTTTTTACTTCACTCTTCATAATCACCCATTCCCCATCTAGTAGCAATAATCCATTCTCTGGACAAACTACATGTTCACACTCTCTTAATAAATCAAGCCTAATATTTCTAAAGTTGCCATCTATAGCTTTTTTGTTGTTTTTTGTTTTTTTTTTTTAGATGGAGTTTTGCTCTTGTTGCCCAGGCTGGAGTGCAATGGGGCTTGGCTCATGTTAAATTGTCAGAGTTGTATATTAACAAGGAGAGTTGTGTATTAACAAGGAGAGTTAACAAGGCTCACCAACTCGGCTTACCACAACCTCTGCCTCCTGGGTTCAAGTGATTCTCCTACCTCAGCCTCCCAAGTAGCTGGGATTACAAGCATGGGCCACCACGCCCGGCTAATTTTGTATTTTTTTTTTTTTTTTTTTTTTTTTAGAAGACACAGTGTTTCACCATGTTGGCCAGGCTAGTCTTGAACTCCCAACCTCAGGTGATCCACCTGCCTCAGCCTCCCAAAGTGCTGGGATTACAGGCGTGAGCCACTGCACCCGGCCCATCTATAGCTTTTTATCAGCATTCATCAGTTTATAACTTTCCTATCAAGCAAGTCCTTTAATTAGCCATTCCCTCAAAAGCTTTAAGAGCTAGTCTGCTGCTGCCTCCTACTGAATTCCTTGCTCCTTAACCCTTTCTGTGTATTTCCCATGCAGCCGACCATTTAGACCTAGACAGGATACCCCATTCTAAATCTTTATTCCACACCTGCTCTGCCAGTAGGCCCTTCCTTATGTAATATTTTCTTTCCTTTGCTTCCAGTCTCTTATTTCATACTCTCTTATGACTTTTGGCCCAGCAATGCTGTCTTACCTTCCTGTTGATGTGTGTCATTCCTTAGTGACCAACTCCTTTTCATCTGAGGACAACTCTAATGTTGCTTTCCAGTACCATTCCTCCTTCCCTTTCTGAATTTGTCCTAGAGAAAAACTCCCTCCCACCATTTGTACAGCATTCCCACAGACTCAACACGATTTTCCAGGTAGGTGTGTATTGCTTATTTTGGCACTCACTGCCCAGCTTTCCTCGATGTCCTACACACTATGCTGCACCCATTGCTTCTCAGTTCAGTCCAGACCTGCATAGACTGCTGCAGTTAGCCTGTACAGATCCATCTCTTTTGCCTTCTTTCTAATCTTTTGCCCTAGTGACATACCCTTTTCTTTAATTATTATTCTAACAAAGCTTTCTGGAAATACCTCATAAGTGTCTCTTACTTTGTCATGGTCTCCCCCAGGTGGTTGAGACCTGGCAGCTCCCTCCCACCTTTCCCACTCTGCCCTTTGCCACACTGCATTTTCTGTACCCTGGCCCAACTCACATGTCCCTCTCCTGTCTTAGCTGCCAGCATCTATCTTTTCTCTAATTCGCTGGGTTCTTTTCATACAAATCTCCTTAGTGGTTGACTCTCATTTTCAGTGAATCCTCACAAGACAAGCTTAATTTCAGAGAACAGTTTTAATGCAGATCTTCAGGGCATTCTTTCCTGATTCTCTTTGGTATTTGCCTTGCTTTGTCTGTGTAACTCTCATATTTACATTATGGCAGTGCATTCAGTATTTTCTTGCCATGGAAAGGCCCCCGCATCTTGCCTCCTCGCCCCATTTCGTCATCCTCTCCAGCAGCTTCGACAGATTACTGCCTAGACTTCCTTAGATCCCTGTAACCTCTCATTGTATCAATCAAACCATTTAAGTAAAAAAATTCCCACTAAGGTTTCAGGAACATTATCTCTACTAACACCATTCCTATTTACTTCCTTAATCTCTTTCTCTGTATCAGGTCCTTATATGTAAGTGTCTTCTGTCTTTACCTCCACATAAAACTCAGCCCCTGTGCCCAGTCTGTGATCTGCCTTCATACCTGATGTTGTCTCTTTGTCCTCCTCATTTGCTGTAGCCTCTCTGCTTAATTGGAACCACACTGGGTTGCTATAATTAATGTCTCTCCTGACTCTTCATTCTAACTTGATCATGACCTTTTCCCCTACCATATTCTGTATCTCTTTCATGGTTTAAAAAAAATGCCTCACCTGACCTGTTCTGGCCTTGTGTTAACTTTCACTTCTTTCCCCTTCTCTCTGAAGAAAATCCTATCCTAATTAAACCACAGTCGTTCTTTTCTCAACCCCTAATGGCATTGAAATTGATTCTGCAGGCTTGATAGGTTCATTCTTTCCTATATGGGAAAACCCACTGCCATCGTCTGTTTTCAGCATATTCTGTTGAATCCATCTGCTCTCTGAATTCAGACCCATTCTTCATAGTCCCCACCAGTGGCTTAAATTAGGCACCTTATCTAGCTTATCTCTAACCTTTCAATCTCTTGACTGCCTCAGCTCACCAGAGCCTGTTGGAAAATCATTTGAAATACAAGGTATTTTACAATTTATTCCTAAACAAATTATCTTCTCAGCACCTAGGCATTAGCATGCCTCTTACTGTTTCCAGCTGCCCGGTGGACTTTCTGGCCTCTTTCCTTTTGCCTGTTTGTACATCTTCCTCTGCTTGCCAAAGCTCTTTTGCATCTTTTGAGAGCCAGTTAAACTATTATATCGTTTCACATTTTTTACAGTTTTCCCAGGCTATTTGTTAATCCCGCACCCTCACATGGCACTCTCTTAAAACTTAAAGGATCTATGGCATTGAGTTGTAAAGTCATAGATAGATCACACACACACACAGCCCACACACTTATTTAACTCCTAGACAGCTCCTAGAGACAGAGATCATGTCTCAGTCATCTTTTTATCCAAGTGTCTGGCACATAAGCTTATACCTTTACGTGTAATGTCAACATGTATTGACAGTCACTACATGTGTGGATGGATGAATGGATGGAATTTAAAGTCAAGACTGAGCAGATGAAAGTCTTATTACCCAATCTGTCGTATATGGTCTTCACATCTGAGCCTGTTCTTTCCTCTCCTTGCCTATCCCCCAAATAACTTTTTAACTCTCCCAATATCTAATATTTTTTGTACCTATAAGCTTTTTCCAGACCATAGACAAGATCCTAAATGCCTTTTCTTCATCCCTGCTTGCTAAATCCCCTCCTTCAAACATTTCAGAAAATACTGTCTTTACTTTTTATAAAGACTTCACTTTCCAAAAATGTACCCCCACCTCCATTTCTTATTACTTAACACCACTTGTGTGAAAACATACAACTGCCCACTTGCTTTTCCATTTAAGACACTGACTTTACCAATACTAGAAACTCATTACTGACCTACTCACTTTAGGCTGAAGGTTGACAGATAAAGCAAGTTCTCTCTGGTGATCTGTGGACCCGCCATCAGTCCACAATCTAAAGATAGTATTGAGATGCTGATGAGATTGGTCAATGTTAATCTGATGATCTGTATGCTTTTTACCACAGGTTTTTTTTTTGTTTTTTTTTTTGGTCAGGTCCTACAGCAGTGGTTCTCAAAATATTTATTTTTCAACATTTAGGCCCCTTTGATAGGCATGGCAAAAAGCCCCCAAAAGTACCTCTCTGCTGCTTTCTTCATACCAATAGAGAAACAGTCTGCCCATGTTATCATTTCTGTACTGCTGTAACCCACAGCGTGGAATAGACTTTACATTCATGCTTTGTGAGACTGCCTTCCTGACCCGCTTGTAGGCTGCTTTTGAGAACCACTACCCCAGACAACAGGGCATGTGTGTTTAACTGGAAAATGTGGAACACAGTGCTGAGTACAGATGGAATGATGGAAACGTCTCCCTTGCACTCCCCACTGATGCAGGTTTGCCTCCCTTCTCCTCCAGTTGCAGGCTCCTTTAGCTGCACCATGAAGTTTACAGTCCGGGACTGTGACCCTAACACTGGAGTTCCAGATGAGGATGGGTATGATGATGAGTATGTGGTGAGTCTTCCCAGCATAGAGACTTTCTTTGACACCTTCACAACACTAAGTGACTTCTGCCTTGAGAGAACATTTTTCTAGGAGCATCTGACATAAACTTAAGGGATTTCTATTCTTCTGAAACAGATGACAAATTAGGAGGACCTGGACTAACCCTCCTCTGTAACTGGACAGCACCAGGCCAGAGAGAATTGAGATTTACCACTTCATCATTAAAACAAACTCACCCTTTTTTTTCTTTATAATAGGGATAATTAAGAGATGAAAATAATGACATGATTTTCATTGAGATCAGTTTTATTTAAAATGATTTGGGGAGGGGGTTGGTTTTGTTTTTTGGTTTTTTGTTTTTGCTTCAGCAGCTGTTAGTTTATAGCCAGATCATGGATTAAAAAGCCTTCACAGAATGGAGGGAAAACTTTTTTTAAAAAATATCAACCTCTTAGTGAATGATCAGAGGGTACCGTGTGCCCAGAACTCAGTGGTCAAGTGTGGGTGCAACATGACTACTCTGTACCTCAGGGCTACAGATGTTGATCTGAGGCTCTTGCCAGATGTTCTGTTTTCTTGCTTTCCTTTGCTAAGGGCTACAACATTAGATTTATCCAGACTACAGAACTTAAACTATTTTGGTGGTAGAGTTTTCTCTAGGCTCCGGAGGACCATATTGACTAGTTCCTTTATCTTTGCCCTATAACAGAAAGGACTTTTCTTTACTGACTGCTTATTACCCACTAGCTGGAAGATCTCGAAGTGACTGTGTCTGACCATATTCAGAAAGTACTGAAGCCTAACTTTGCTGCTGCTTGGGAAGAGGTGGGAGATACCTTTGAGAAAGAGGAAACCTTTGCCCTCAGTTCTACCAAAACCCTTGAAGGTGAGACCCATTTTGCTATCAGTATATTGCCTGATAACAGTATAACACCTAACAGGCATATTTGTTACTCCAGAAGAACTCCTTTAAAAAAAAAAAAACTTCATAAATCTCTTACTTAAAAGGCCAGCACCCTGTCTTCATCATCTAATTGATCAGCCATTTTCTAGTCCAGTAGTAGCCTCCCTCTACACATCACCAACAACCCCCTTCACCAACAAACCCTTCCACCCCAGCTCCCAGCATACACTGGTGCAGAGGGAGATCCCTGTGCTTTACTTTCCTAATACTGTCTCATACATCTTCTCAACACAGAGGCTGTCAACAATATCATCACATTTCTGGGCATGCAGCCATGTGAGAGGTCCGATAAAGTACCTGAGAACAAGAATTCCCATTCGCTCTATCTGGCAGGTAAGAAGCTTCCATCAGATTTTCCTTCCATTTTCTTGCAAAGCTTAATAATAGGATATAGATGGGCATCTTATGCCTTGCTGTTGTCCCATCATCCCATTATATGAGTAACAATTTGATACCCAGTCAAAATGAATAATTTGTTTTGCATGCTATTCTTGGTTATTCTTTTAAGATGTACATTTGGCCCAAAACAAATCTCTCCAACAGATACCAAGGCCACCACCAACATTCCTTTTGAGTACTCCAAATTGGTATTTTTGAATACCTTCTATGTACCTGGTTTCATGGGAATATAAAAATATATATATTTGGAATTTATGTTTGTTTAGGATTCAGTTTCCACAAGTCTCTGGAAAAGCTAAACTAAACTAATAGAAAGGAGATGCAGGGATAGCATGATAAATTTCATTATCCAGTGCTTGTTTTGGGTTCTTAATATGGTTTTCCTTACTTTTTTCTCTCAGGTATATTCAGAGGTGGCTATGATTTATTGGTGAGGTCCAGGCTGGCCTTAGCCGATGGAGTGACCATGCAGGTGACTGTCAGAAGTAAAGAGAGAACACCTGTAGATGTTATCTTAGCTTCTGTTGGATAAATGCTTACTGGACAAGAGGAAACTGATGCACACTACATGGTCAGTGGGCTTTTAGGCTAGTGGCATCAGTTTCCCAGAATCAGACTTTTGAAGATGAATGACTTTGGAGAAGCAAATTAAACATTTGGCCCTGAGCCAGCAGATCAAGCAAATGTCTATCTTTGCGCATGGGTTGTTTTTTTTTTTTTTTCTTTTTATTCTACTTGGTCAGCTTTGGGACGATAGTGCAGCTTTGGGTGATCTTGAAAATCAAATACTATCCTATACTCCAGCTGCTTAACTTCATTTTATTCTTTAATGTGTACCTGAAAGCTCCTGGCAATGCTGGAAAATTTTTATCCCAGAGGGGTGGGGGGGAGGGGGGAGGGGAAGCCAGAGTCCACTTTTGTCACAATTCATTTTTATTAATAGAAAATAAACACTTATTCCAGTTTCAAAGTTGTTATACTTGAAGTTGCTAATTTAAAAAAACGAATTTTAAATAATCACTTAATAATCCTGCTTTGACTAAGACAATGAAATGTGGCTTTAAAAAAAAAGTATTCAGCACCATTTGCTCATAGGTCTTTCAGAGTTTGTTCTTAAAGTTTCTGGAACTTTCCTGTCTGTAAAGTAACAGGAATTACTGAGCTACATTGGAAAGCCTCTCTGGGACAGGCAGTGGGGAGTTAAGCAGTCATCATAAAGGAATCAGTGTACATTCAGCATGGTGACTTGACTACACAACAATCCCTTCCCCTCTACTGTAGCTCAAGAGAGACATGCTTCTAACCACTGAGGTATGAGGAGTCTCAGACTGTTATTTGCTGTTAGAATTGGTCTTCCCAGCTAATAACAGTACATCTCTGGCACAGATGCTATTGGTCCTTAATGTCCTGTGATTTTAGGAAATAGTTTGGATTTAGTTCAATTTATTCAGAAACCAAATGTGTTTAATTAGCTTCACTACTCTGGCAGAGTAAGGGTATGCTGGTTTAGTATCTTTATAAAATATATATAATGTATAGGTAAATCATAGTCTTAAATCATACCTAAAATACTGTATCATTTAAACCAATATCTATTTTAACAAAATGTTTATAACTAAAAACAGCTGATGAAACACTAAATCCAAAGGTATGACAAAGAGGACTCAGCTCTGTGTTGCTTAAAGAACTTTTAAAAGGCATGTGCCCATAACGTCATTCGAGGAGAGGGAAGGAGCCCCCCTTCTCCTCCTCCTTACTATAGAATTCCTGTTGGGGGTGGGCCAGAAATTAGCACTTCTAAATATTTCAGAGAAGTCCAAAGTGTTAAAAAAAAGTCTTTTATGCAAAAGAACGTCTTTCTGCATCAGTGAATAGTAATGCTCATCAGAATTTCCTAATAGCACAAAAAACAAAGCCAAGTCTATACATTTGATCAGATATCAAAGTAATGGGAGGTGGACTATTATGTCAACCTTAGTCAGAGCTCCTGCTGGCTTCTTCCTATACACTGTTCACCAATTTGAGTAAAGTGGACTTTGTGAGAGAATTATGTTTGATGGCCAGGACCTCTTTTGGGCATTTCTTCCTAAGTGGAATACACAACACATAAGGGAGTAGGGGAGGTAATACAGGGAAGCTACTCTTTCCAGCTCAGAAGGAGTTGATGAAGCCCATATATGCATTCAAGAAGCCCATGGGATCCTCTAGCTGTGGATAGTGGCTAATGTGGTCATCCAGAATCGACACTGTGGACCGCGGCAGCGTTTTCCTAGTGGAAGAGAACAGCACGCAGGTGAACTTGAGGCTGGAGCGGGAGGGATGTAAGCCAGTGGGAAGCCCCAGTAAATGACCCTGTGGACACACCACACTGGAAGGAGCCACCAAAGAGCTTATTCACCTTCTACTCTGAAATTGTATCTTAGGCAGATAAACTTGCCAATTCCATTTATACAAACTAGTTTTTAAATGTTCATAATCCAACAAACAACAACTTGAAAATATAACACTTTTGCAACAATTGTCAAAGCAAGATGACTTTCAGCTCCTTAGAGAAGGATGAAGCATCAAACAAGTGGATCACACAGCAACTCACTGCCCAAGCAGAGATAACCAAGGATCTTCCCTTAATCCCAGGAGGAGATGAGAGAGGGGGTATTTTATTTAAAATTATATGCAAGCTGTTTACTACTAGCTTGTATCCAGTAGGCCACAGGAAGGTATGGAACATTCTTATGTGACATAATCAAGATTTCATATTCTGATACCTTCCAAGTAAGTACCTAGAGAGAATAGCAACCAATGAGAAGGCACTTTTCCACAATGAGCTCTTCTCAATCTCTCCTTGCCATCTGCTCAGCCTAAACCAATGAATTGGCTTTACAATCAGACTAAAACAAACAAACACTTTGTAGGTATATCCACTTTCAACCTTTGACTCACATGAGAGCTTTTTGTACACCAAGGAATATGTAGCAGTCATGACAGTGAAAACAGACTATGTATAAATCAAGAGAACGTATAACTGAATGTCTTGATACTACAATTATGTTAGAATAAGATTCCTCAACTCAATCTTTTTATTGTTTCCTGGATGAACAGCCAGCGAGGTTAAAGACAATGGCTAGAGCCAATAGCCCTCAACAGGCAATTCTGTTTACCACTGTCAGGATGAGATACTAACAAAACATAGACTTCTCTCGGGGAGACTCACCTGTACAGCTCCAAAAACTCTGGATAGGGATTTACAGGATCCAATGGCCCATAGATAAAATGAACTAGAAAAGAGAAAAGGAATGAAATACTTAACAGCTCTCACATCTGTTCTACTCCCACCCTAAAATTAACTCCTCTCCGAAAAGAAATGTTTTCTTCTTCCTTTTTTTATTATAATAGGCAAGGTCTCTCTCTCCCTTGCTCAGGCTGGAGTGCAGTGGTGCAGTCATAGCTCACTGTAACCTCAAACTCGTTGGCCCAAGCGATCCTCCCACCTCAGTGTCCTCAGTAGCTGAGACTACATACAGGTGTGCAACACCACACTTGGCTAACTTTTAAATTATCTGTAGAGAAAAATTTTTCTCACTATGTTGCCCAGAGTGGTGCCAAACTCCTGGGCTCAACCAGTCCTCCCACCTCAGCCTCCCAAAAAGCTAGGATTACAGACGTGAGCATCCTCACCCAGCCCAAGAAAATATTTTCTATAAATAATTTTTTGTGTGATACAAAACCTAGCTTGTTTTATTAGGTAACCTCTAAAAAACTGCTAGGCACGTACCAGTTCATTCATTGGACACATCTCCTCCTACAGACAACCATTTGGTCCCTCATCCAGCTCTCCTGCACCCTGGACCAAATGGGATATGCCCAACTTTCAACATCCTCTAAGTCCAGGATACTATCATTCTTTAAGTCTCTCTTCAGTTATAACAGACCCTTGACATTTGAAATCAACCAATAATTTCCTGAGCACTAATCACTATGTGTGAAACACCATAATTTTTTTTTAAATCTGTAAGAATGAAAAGACAAATAAGCACAAACCACCTATAGCCTCTTGATTAGTAATCCAAACAGCCTTCTGTCCGAGCAATTCAGCATGTAATGTGGCAGTCACTGACAATGCACACCACAGAAATCAGTAATACCAACTACCTTTACAGTAATGTCTCAGCTTTTTATATACTTCACTCTACACACACACATCACTGTTCCAGATGTCATGAGTACAGTTGCCAGTAAAATAAAGGATACCCAGAAAATTTGAATTTCAGGTGAAAAATGATTTTTTTTTGGTGTAAGTAGGTCCCAAATATTGTACAACATATACTTAAATACTAAAAAAGCATTTGTTGTTTATCTAAAATTCAAATTTAACTGGGTATCTTATATTTTTATTTGCTAAATCTGGTAACCCTAATTGTATAAAGGAGTTGCGATTACTTTAACCCTATAGTCCTTCAGTTTCCTATCAATAATACAAAAATACTCACTGGGGATAGTTACAGAGGCAAGAGCTCCCACCCAGCGCCTTCTGAACTTCTTCCTCTGATTGATGTACTGTAAGAGACTGTAGGACAGGTAAGTCAGCATGTGCAGAACAAGAAACCTTTACTGTTACAGGGATTCAAGGGCATAACGAGCCACAAGGAACACAAGATACAATTTCTTAATCCAGAAGCAGTTTAGCATTCCTGGAAATGTCCCACTTAATTTATCCATTTCTGTTAACCTCTAGAGTTAACCACCATGTAGCTCTAGTAGTGATTATGCCTACTATCAATATAAGAATTAGTGGGTTTGTGTATTTATTAAGCAGGGAATGAGATCTAGGAAGGCTGACAGTTGGTTTGGATTTTATGTAACTAAAAAGCCCAGGTCTGAGGTTCCAATTTAGGCTCCACCACTACCTACCTCTCTGACTCAAACATATAACACAGATCTTTCAACTCGGTTTCCTCATTTGTTGGTTTGTTTTTTAAAAGACAGGGTCTCCCTATGTTACCTAGGCTGGAGTGCAGTGGCTAGTCACAGGTGCAATCATAGCTCACTACAGCTATAACTTCTGACCTCAAGAGATCCTCCCACCCCAGCCTCCCAAGTAGCTGGGAGTACAGGCATGTGCCAAAGGACCTGGCTAGCCTCCTCATTTTTAAAATAAGAGGATTGTAACACATGATCTTCTGTGTTGACATCTACTTCTTTTTTTTTTTCTTTTTTTTTTTTTGAGACGGAGTCTCACTCTGTGCCCAGGCTGAAGTGCAGTGGCATGATCTCAGTTCACTGCAACCTCCGCTTCCTGGGCTCAAGCAATTCTTGTGCCTCAGCCTCCTGAGTAGCTGGAATTACTGGCTAATTTTTGTATTTTTAGTAGACACGGGGTTTCATCATGTTGGCCAGGCTGGTCTCTAAACTCCTGACCTCATATGATTCGCCCACCTTGGCCTCCCAAAGTGCTCAAATTACAGGCGTGAGCCACTGTGCCCAGCCGACATCTACTTCAAAATTCTAAGTGTAGATGTTGATGAGCACAAAGCTTCATCTGACCACAGATAAAATGGAGAGGATTCCTCTTTCTCCAGCGTAAGACACCACTGCCACATTTTAGAACTCAAACTCATGTATTCTACTCATTCTGCCTGGCAACTCCAGGACAGTTATTTTTGTGAACCTCAAATATCTCATCTTACAAATAGTATTTACTTTTTGGAAAGGAAAATATAATTTTAAAAGACAGTCTTAATTGTTCTTCAGTTTTTTAATACTAAAATGAAATATTCAGGGATCCTGTTGGGGCTTAGGAGAGGGTGGGAGGATTGGCTCCCTCTAACATACAATCCCCAGCAAAGCCATCAGTAAAAACACTGGAAGCTACACTGAGCCAGGTGGCTAGAAGTCAGAGTCTTATCCCAAGTAGTTACAGCTATCACCACCTCTGGGTCCCTTGTGAAAGTGTCTACATTCTCATTTGAACCAAGGCATGGGAATTCTTTGTACAAGACAGAGAAAGAGAAGTCTGCCCTCTCACTCCCCGTTGCTGCAGAAAGATAGGCAAAAGGAAGAGCCTTGTACCTTGAGGGAGGCACTAGGCTACTTTCACAACCATGATTCAATACTTTGAAGCATTTAATACTAACAAAGAGTCCAGTTTCACTCTTATTTTCTATTTCTTTCTTCATATAGACCATGACTTTTTGGTTTGCCCCATAGGTCATCATCAGCCTTCCTGTGATAGGGAATAAGCCAGCAAGGAACAGAACAAGCAATCCCCACTCTCCACAAAAACACGTCTCTGGAAACCAAAGCAAAGGGTAACTTCTTACCTGTCAATGACTAAGTTCCCGTCATTGTTGCGGATCCCTGCCCACATGTCCCACAGCTCACTCTCAGAGGGCCGAGTATACGGCCCAAAGACTGGGGTGAGACTGAAAGAGTCCAAAACGCAGGAAGATAAGTGTGAGGAGAACTCAGAATGTTCAATATGGCTGGAACCTCAGAGGCCATGCAGTCTGGGCCATGCAGTCTGACCCATAAGTGATTTATGAATTCCTTCTACTTCCCTGGCAAGCGGCCAACACCTTTGCTTTAAAATATCAAGCCTTAGGATTTGGCCCAGAATTGTAATGGCAGCAACTTTTCACGACATTGCTCTAGGCCACAATCTTTGACAGTGACACTTACCCTCGAGAGAATACAAAGAAGTTCATCAGTCGTGTGAGGATGGGTGACAGCACACCTCCATCTTTGAGTAGCTGGAGGGGAATAAGTGGAGGTAAAGCTCAAGAACCCAGAGGAAGATCCTCACCGGGGCAAAAGGTTTTATACTAGGAACTAAATCTTTAGCCAAATCTCCTGCTACTGAATGGTTTGGTACTTGGCATTTTGTTTTGCCTACCCGCATTCTTCTCTCAAGGAAGACAAATCTATTTCTAATTCCATCTAAGATTACTTTTCTACAATTCACTAAATCCCTAAAACTTTAACTCTGATATATTCAAGTTTAGAGTAGGATCCTAATTTGTTCAAACATCAAGCTTGTGACACAGATCTTTCCATAGCTGTAATTTCTCCAAATATTTGTTGATCTCTTATTCTTAGGATTGGTTTTGGGTTTACGTAGGGGCCACTGCCTCTGCTTTAGTTGCCTAAGAAGGGAAAAAGTAACTTCATTAATAGAAATTCACAAGGAAGAGGATTTAACTACTGCCAGTTACAGGAGCTATGGCCCTTAAAAGGTCCCAGCATTATTTACGTCAGTACAAATCCTAAAACTAAAGGTCTATCAGTGAAGTACCAACCTTTTGGAGAAGGAGTGGACGGTGAGTCTCAGGAAAGATACCTGTAGAAGAGACTTATCTTAGTCATTTACCTACAGCTTTAATTTTTTTTTTTTTATAGAGACGGGATCTCACTGGGTTGCCCAGCTGGTCTCGAGCTCAAGCAATCCTCTCACCTCAGCCTCCCAAAGTGCTGGGATTACAGGTGCAAGCCACCTCACCCAGCCTACCTACATTTAGGTCAAAGGCAAGCCCATTATCAGAAACTACCCACCCTATTCACCATCACCTCTGCAGCCTTTACTACCAAAACAGAATTACAAATAACAATTTAAAACTGTCATCTAATTACTTCTCCAGGAATTCTGTGTTTAACTGGTCACAATAAATCCCACTGGAATTACTTTTCCCATCTTAAAGATAGTGAAACGGGGAGAAAATATATGGTCATCCAAAATGCTGATAACCAGGCTCTGACTCCCCTTAGCATTTCCCCCTATCACTCAGAACACGAGGGTTAATGATTTGGGCTGTAAGAATAAAACAAGAAGTTTTTAAATAAGTATAGGTCCTTTAAAAACCCTAGAGTTTTTCCTTTTCCCTTTCTCTTCAGAGTCAGTGGAAGAAAGCCATGAGCATAAGTGATAAAGGGAGAGACGGATTTCTCTCCCAGTCTGCTCTTAAGGCGTTCAGGAGACATTTGGATATTCATGAACTTGCAAGCTGGCTACCCAGAAAGTCTAATCAGGGGTTCGGTATTTTCTAACTGAAACTTGGCACTGCCATCAGTTAGGAGTTGGGGAATCTCATACAGTTAAGTCCTCACTTAACATCAGGATAGGTTCTTGGAAACTTCGGCTTTAAGCAGAATGAGGTACAGCAGGTCCTTGAATAACATCCTTTCTTTAAAACATTGATGAGAAAAAAAATTGGTTCCATTATAACGTTTCATTTAAAGTCACAGTTTCCAAGAACCCATTGATGACATTAAGTAAGGATTTTCTACACTAACATCATAGTAGTATTAGAAACACTTGTGGCTTTTTTCTGTATCTTCAATCCTACACTCTCATAACCTATTGCAGTTGTTTCAGATATGGCAAACAGTCTTTACACTCCTCACTCCTTCTGATATAGCTGTTACTAGGTCCTCCACTAGAACTTGCTATCTAATGCATTGAAAAAGCACATGTGACTATAATGCAGCTTTTTATTGACTATGTAAGTAAAGTCACTATCCTTTGTAATGCTGTTTGTTTCTTTATTTTAAAACATTCTGAGAAAGGGTCCATAAATCTTGTCAGACCACCAAAGGAGTTGATGGCACAGAAGAGGTAGAGATCCCATAGTTTAATTATGTCTACTTGAAATATTATCAGATTACCATTTAGGTGCCGCTGTATCTAAAGATGGCCCTTCTAGATTACACCCACTTTCTACCTACCGCCAAGGCAATTACCTCCATTTGACAGACAGAGACTCTTTATGGTAAGCCGACCAGATCGATTCTGCTTGTACCTAGAAGGGAGACGAGGAAACACACATGTAGCTGAGCAAACTTAAACCAGTGCACCGCTGAAAACGAGAGAAAAAGGATACAAACAGTCCAGAAACAATGTACTTTCCTAGCATCATAAGCTGAAGTCTGAAGCTCCACTGACCTGTAGAGAAGCTCCTGAGCAACAATATCTCCATAGTCATGAGAAAGAAGGTTGATCCTGCGGTTCTGGAGCCCCAGATGCCGCAAAAGCGCTTCCACGATGCTGGCCTGCTCAAATATGGAATAGTGATGTGGTCTCTGAGGAAAGGAAAGCCCACATACACAGGATGAAGTCATGAGGACAGCTCTCTCTGCCAGCCTGACCCTCATAGTCTGCGTCTGCCCCCACACCCCATCACCAGCCCCACATAGGTGCTGCTTACCGGTTTGTCACTGAAGCCAAAGCCTAAGAAATCAAGGGCAATCACCCGATGAAACCTCAAGGTCAGACCTTCCCAAATCTACAAGAAAGAAACGATGATTTGGGCTTTCTGCTCCTGCCCCTCCCTTTCACCAGACCTACAGTTGCACAGGAGCTTCAGCCCTATCTTGGCTTAACAGACTTCCATAAAGAGAAAACGCCATGAAACTACCACAGGTCCCACAGATGATCCTCTTGGAAAATGCTTTATTCCTGGTAATTAATCCCTGTTGAGGGAGGGTAACTTGGCAGTGATCCCTTCCAGAGTGCCAAGGAGTTGTTTATTCCCTTCAGTAAATAAGGAACAGTTCAACATTTAATGTTTTTTTAAAAGCAATTCAAATGTGCAAGAGCCTTCTGGTGCTGACAACAAAATCCTTGAGGTTTTTTAAATTTTTATTAAAAAAAAATTTTTTTTTGAGACAGACTCTCGCTCTGTCACCTAGGCTGAAGTGCAGTGGTGCAATCTCAGCTCACTGCAACCTCTGCCTCCCGGGTTCAAGCGATTCTCCTGCCTCAGCCTCCCAAGTAGCTGGGATTACAGGCTTGTGCCACCATGCCTGGCCAATTTTTATACTTTTAGTAGAGATGGGGTTTTGCCATGTTGGCCTGGCTGGTCTCAAACTCCTGACCTCAGGTCATCCTCCCACCTCAGCCTCCCAAAGTGCTAGGATTTGAGCCCCCGCGCCCGGCCGAGATTTTTTAAGACATAGTAGGACGTAGAAGTCTGACTTCATTACCTTGTACCAGTCGTAGCTGGATGTTGGAAAACCGTGTAAAAGCACAACTATCTCTGGACTTCCAACCACACCCACAGAGTCTAGGAAGAAGGAAAGTACAATCAATTATGCCAAATCCCTATAAAAATAACCTCGAAGATGTTAAAATCTAAGTAATCTGATACAAAGAACAAGCAACTGTGACCAAATTGACATTAAAATGACACAATTATTTGTAAAATGTAAGCTTAACTGCGTTAGGTGAGAACAGGCCTTTTCTCCTTTCAATCTGTATATTAAAACATTGTAAAAATCATGCTATGTGAAAATACTTGAAGGCACCTTGTTTACTTTCACCTAGGTGTTTTTAAACAGCATCTCCCCATTTCTCCTTTTGTTCTGTAATATGCAAATTTTTTCAGTGAAAAGTAAATTTTCAGTTAAAAGCATATGATCACAACACATAAACTACAAATTCTTTGTACTTTATCATGAATGGCCTCACAGAAATTCTCTAAGATACAGCAACTATTCCCAAGGAACACCTTTAGCTTATGCTGTTTGCTCAGCACTTTTTATTCAGCAGGAGACCCAATCTAACATCAAAAACATAATAAAACTATTACAAAATCCTGTCAACTATAAAAAGGGCTTAATCAACATAAACATGAACTTTTTTAATGCATATGACAATATGGAAGCATTCAGCATCATCTAAATTAGGTAAACATTTAGACAATATTAACCTTGCTAATAGTATGGGATTAGAACAGGTATATTCATATACTGCCAGTGACATGAAAATTTGGTAATAAGGTTTTCAAAAATAATTTAGAAGCAGTTAAAAATTGTATATACTTTAGCCTAAGAGTTTTGTTCTTGAGAATCTGTGCAAATAAAATCATTCCATTTATACAAGTAGTATAGTTTGAAAATGTAAGGAAAAAATAAACTGTATGGACATGAAGCTTTTACTTCAACATTAGTTTTCTAAAACAGTAAAACTGGAAGTAACCCAAGCCAACATAATAAAAATTGTATACTTACTTAATTGAATATAGCAAATGAGAGGAGGTCAGGAGCAATAATGAAAAACGGTTTATGACAAACATTTTTCGTTATTGCTCTTGACCCCCGCTCAAAACAAATCATTTCCAATCTGTTTCTCAGTTTCTTCACCTATAAAATGAGGTTAATGGCACCTATCTCCAAATGCTGTTGTAAAGATTAAACAATGAAGGCTGAAAACATAACTCAGTGCCTGGCATATGGTAATTACTTGATAAGTAGTGGTCATAATAATCATCATCACTAGCAAATTAATTTATATAATGGTATCAAGACTTAAATCACAGTTACACTACAAATAATCTACAGAAAAAATGAAATCAGGGATGGTAAGGAGAGAGAACCAATGGTGGTTATATCTATTAATATTTTATATATTACCTGACAGGTTGCTCAAAAAAAAAAAAAAACTAATATTGGAATACATATCAAGCTACAAAGAAAACTTATACTAAAAGGTAAGGTCTGCAGGTTGGAATCTCAGTCCCTACCCCCATTCTCCCAGCAGTTTTCTGCGCTTCTCTGCAAGCACACTACACAGAAAGAGAGAGAGATACTCTCCTCCATCATTAAGGAGCAACAAGAGACCAATAGCCACAAAATAAATACCTCAGCTGGGACTTATGTGACCGATACACGCAGGACTTCCAATAGTCCACTTCTTACCTTGGTAGAAGATACGCAGTCCCTTGTAAGTGAAAAACTTGCCTGAAGACTTCCATGAGTGAAGGGCAGGGGAGAGCTGAGGGGGTGGGATGTGCAGGTACGCAGCAAGCAGGGGCACGGCCAGCAGCCCCACCTGGACCCACCACTCCCTCATCCTGTAGGAAAAGCAGAGACCCACTGTAAGCAGTCAGGTAACATTGTCCACTCATCTACAAACCAAAACCTGGTAAGATGGGGTGGGAGATTGCTGTTACCATGCAATGATTACATTGCCCTTCACATAGGCACAAAGCTGACCGAGACTATAATCAAACCTCTGTCTGCCATAGCACTCACCATATTTGTTCATCATTCTAATCTTAAGGAAAAAAAATACATTATTTCAACATATAATCTTCTGCCTCTGCTCCCCGACTTTAACCCCTTAGCCCCTACCCTTGTGGTCTTCCCAATACCTGCTGAAGAGGACTTTATATAAATAAAAGGGACATGACTTAAATGCTGGACACTCTTTCGTTGACTTTTATCAAGGCTTCCCAGGAAAAAAATAACTTCTTTCTTATTTACTCCAAAAGCTCTACCATCTACCCACTACCCCCAACCAGTAAAATGTTCAAAAAATATATATGTGCTATATCTCATGTTTTAAAGAGTGTGTGTGTGTAGTAACTTATCACATGTCCTCAAGCAGAGAGCTACTCCTGATTTTCAGCCCTCCTGCCTAAATGAAGCCCCATTTAGTACTCCTTTCTGGATTTGGGCTGAGAAACTGCTCAGGGTAAACAGTCTGTGAAAGTAAGATAGCTGCACTGTGTATTCCAACATAAGCAGCTTTGTCATGACCCTGAATATCTAATCTCTTGAGAGGTCAAGGCGGTAGATTACATTTCTGCTTTTCTTAGCAGACTCTTTAAGTTTCCATTTAATTTCCTAAGATGCTCCCCCACCCCCAGATAAGGCATAACTCATACCCAGCGTGTGAGAATTGATTTTGTCTTTGGAAAAAGAGCACTGGTTGGTACACCCAACCCTCCCATGCCCAGGACTTCAAAGGCACAAGTCAGTTTATCCACATTGACAAGGAGTGCCAAACAGGAATTATAAACCGTTCTGTTTCAAGTCTATGACTTCTGATGGTCAACAGATCAAGAATTGTCAGTAGAATGGAAGTTCTCTCAAAACAGCCAGAATGGAAATAATACCCTCCAAAACTAAAATTAGAGTTGTCATAGAGCTGAAATAAATTAATTGCTAAAGCCCTGGGGGAAATGGCTTTCCGTCTGTACACACATTCTTCCCTATTGCCTGTAATCTACCTACCCGTTCGCTAACTTCCTCAACTTACAAGATACTTTTCCCCCCCATATCCCTGATACTTTTTGCTAAAATCTAAAAACAAGCCTGTGGTTTTACAGTGGTAAAATAACCATGTTTCTTAAACAATGTCAGCTCCCCAGGCTATTTTTTAGGCATTATTAGGGCAGTCATTTCTTTTTTTCTCCAAAGTACCTGTCCATAAGACGGATAGAACCATTTGGTCCTACTTCTCAAGGTAATACTAGAAATGGTTCAAAAAAGTGCCAGAACATGATGGTTATATCACAGTTTTCACCCAACAATAGCAGGCTGTATCCCAGTATCTCCTTGAAAGGTCAGATGACAAAAACCATTAGGTTTTGACGATCATTTGCCCAGCCCTATCTGTCCTGTACTTCAATGTATACATTTTCATGTGCAGATTTCATTACTCCTTTCCCCCAGTGCTTCTCATCGCATTCATCCCCGGGGTTCCAGCAGCTGAATCTCTGCAGTGACTCAGCAGAGAGCCCCGGGAGGGGCGGCCAGAGCGGCAAATGGGGAGGCTTCCCCGCCGCTGCTCAGGGAAAGTGGGGGGTTAAAAAACGAGGCTATCGACCAACATACTCCACTCCTGGACACCCCCCTCCACACCCTCCTCCTCTTACTCCAAGAAAGCAAAGAGGCAACCTCTCAGGGGGCCATTTTTTGTCTTATTACCTCAGTAAAAATGCCCCCATGAACTTTTAGGATTTTTAGAAGTGAAGCAACCTAGCCGTCAGTAGGCAAAATGGGTTAAGCAAACATTTTTTGGCCAAAATCCCAACTATTTGATGAGCCATGAGCGGAGACAATAAGCAAACTCCAGTAACAAACTTTCCAAAAATTTCTGAGCCTTGATTTCTTCATCTTGTAAACAGAAAAACACACTCCCGTAATAATACCACCCAACCTGCCGCCCACCTGATGGCGTCGCCGCGAGACGAACCACTTTGAAAACCCGCGAAACCAAGGTGAACAATCCCTGCGCAACATGACAGTTTGGTCACATCGCCGTTCTCACTCGCGCTTGTTACTGAAATCTGAAAAATACTTAAGGCGGCTGACGGGCACTGCGAGTTCTAGTCACTGCGGTGACTCCCGCCACCGTGATACCTGGGTCTTGAAATCCTAAGCTGCACCGCGGCGATCTCGGCACTGCGATTATCCCGTTCTTGAAATCCTAAGGTGCGCCACGGAGACACCGGGGTTCTAAAAATCCTACATCGCACCAGGGCGATGCTGGGGCCTATCCTTTAAGTCGCACCAGAGCGATGCTGGGGTTCTAAAAATCCTACATCGCACCAGGGCTTTGCCGGGATCTATAAATCCTAAATCGCGCCACGGCAACGGCGGAGTCTAAGAATCCTGAATCGCACCAGAGGGAAGCCGGAGTCTAAATATCCTAAATCAAACCAGGGCGATGCTGGGGGTTAGAAATCCTAAATCATGCTGCAGCAATGACTGAGTATAAAAATCCTAAATCGCACCAGGGTGATGCCAGGATCTAAAAATCCCAATTCGCATCAGGGTGAGACCAGGGTCATTATGGATCCTAAGTCATATCAAGATGACGCTGGGGTCCAGAAATCCTAAATCTCACCACGACGATCCCGGGGTCTAGAAATCCTAACCCAAGGAGGTCCCGCGTTCTGAACATTCCATTGCGGGCAGGAGTGACACCCCCTCCTCAAGTAGGCAGAGCGGGCGCGGAATGCGTGCCGCCTGTCGGTAGAGTTTTCGCCCAGAGGCAGCCCCAGCTCGGACACGGGCACACAGTCCTCCGCTCGCCTGCGCCCTAGTCCCAGGGCCGCCAGCCACACCCCCTCGTTCCCACCGCACACTCACCTGCGGAGGCGATCTCGGCGCACCATGGCCGCGTTATCCCATGCCGCCCGCCGCAGCGTTGCAGAGCACCGGGCGCCGCAGAGCCCGCAGCCGTGCAGAGCTGGCCAGCAGCGGGGGCGCAGCCCGCAGCCCACAGCCCGCGCAGGGCGGCGCCGCGCCGGGCAGCTACAGCCACTCCGGCGTGCGCTGCGGCACTGCGCTTGCGAGGCGCAGCTGCCGCAGAGGAGGTGCCGGGGTGTGCTGGTTGCCGCGGCAGCGCGGAGCGAGTGGGCACCGACTTTTAGAGCCCACCCGCGCCCCGCCCCTAGCCCGCCCATCGCCGCAGAACCCCTACCGCCTGCTCCCTTGCTCGCCGCAGAGCCCCTCCCAGCCGCTCTACCACCGCCATGGCCACAAAGATGGGGTGCCCCTCTAACAGTGGCTCCTTTAGGGGGCACCTTCAGGGGTGTCGAGCCCCCTCCCCAAGACCCCGCTGCTCCCTCGTTAACCGCCAACCCTGAGCCCGAGATTCTGCTGCAGAAACCCTCCCCTGATGAGTTAAGGCCACGGGCAAAAACAGCAGACCCCTGAGTGCCCCAACTCTTTCCTTAGACCACCCACAAACCCCACAGGCCGCCCACAAACCCCACAGGCTGCCCACAAGCCCCACAGGAGGATGGCCGCTCGAACTAAGGGGCAGCAGGGCTCTGGGGTGCCGGCCGTGGCGCCTGCTCCCATCCCTCGTTCGAAGCGTGGGTACTGAACCGTGAGAGGTGGCGAGCCACGAGGGCCCTATGCGCCCTAAGCTTAACTACCGGTAACCACCAAGGGCACGAGCAAGCGGCTAGGGAGCAACAAGCTCTGTTGGACCCACCACCAAGCTAGTAAACAGATTCATGGGATGGCCACTATGGCCAAAGTTGCACAAAGTCCGGTTTCTCCCGCTCCAGCCACCGCCGCTGCGCGGGGCAGGTTTCCTTTACAGCAGCGCGACGTGGTCAGCATGCCAGACGCCTGGCCACAGCAGCGCCCTCGCAGCCCCGCTCGCTGCATGCGCCGGTCCGCGCTGCACAGAACAGTGGGCACAATTAGGAGAGCAAAGCCCCCTTTATTTACGTAAGATAGAATCACAATGCAAGGGCCCAGAGGCACAAGAAAGAGGGAGGAATTTTTCTAATCCATAATCCTTTAAAAGGCATCCCTTACGCCTTTGAAAAGTGTAGAGTATCACGAAGTGTCTGTGTTCATTTTCTGACCGTAAACTGAAATACTGGTGAACAAACGTGGGGTGCGAGCGGGTGAGCGGGGCGGCCGGCCGGTGCCCGCTGCATCCAGAGGGGGCGCTGCAGGCCTCCCTTCGGCTGCGCACGGCCCGGGCCCTCCGCGGCTCTGCAACTCTGCACCCCGAAAGGTTCGGTGCTGGACCGCGGGGCATCCAACCCGGGACCGGGGGCGACCCACGGACACTGAGGAAACTACCGCCTATAAGCCTATCATCAGAACCTCTGGCACAACACAGGTACACTTCTGCAGGGGTCTGGTTGCCCCCAGAAAAAGCACTCATGAAACAAATGCTGATTTAGCACCTACAGGGCACTAAGAACCGGGGGTGCGAAATAAATGAGAAATAGCCCCGGCCCGAAAACAACACACGGGCCATCTGGAGGGGAAGACAGACAAGAACTGCCACTTTGTAAAATTTTCCTTTTAATTTCCTAGCGACGTTTGTGGCAGTTGACCCACTCCTCCCTAACGTGTAAGGCCCTCAGAGGCAGAGCCCAAGTATTATTCACCTTTTGTAGCCCCAGAGCCCGCCACGGTGCCGGCCACAAAGCTGGCCCCTAATAAATACTGCTTGAATGAGTACAAGAATTTGAGGGCGCACAGGGGAGGAAGTAATTAAGGGGAGGGGCGAAGGGTGGTCTTGAATGATGAATAGACATTTACCAGAGAGACAAAGAACATTCCAGCCGGAGGGGACGGCTTTCGCAAAGCACCGGAGGCTCAGGGCCGCGTGTTTGGGGAAAACGGTTAGTCCTTTGAGCCGGCAAAAAATTAGGATAGCAAGAGAATTTCATCGTAGGGAATTAGGAATTTGTTCTAGAGAAAATGAGAAGCCACAGATGGATTTAAACTCTTTATGGCCTTAATTGGTTACTTAACAAAATTTAAATTAGTCTCTTTACAAGTCAAAGATTACCTATTTTAACTACCACTACCTTTTAAAGACTGAATTACTCTGCAAAATCTAAATCGGTTCTTCCAAAAAGGTAAAGGCTTTCCTATTTTAATAATAACAATAACAAAAGCCTTTGCATTATATATTTTTCATATTTATTGTTAATGGAAACTTTGAGTCCTACAAACAAATTCCACACTTTCATTCTCACCAGGCCAGAAACACCAGCATCCAAGATGAAGGCAATTTTCTGTTTATGGACTGAGTACCCCACAAAAGATCTTATTCTGAAGGCCATGGAACATGTCTACCCACATGGATCAAGTGGGCAGACTGGAGGAGAAACAGTTTAAAGGCCCTGGGGGAAGGAGGGAGCGCCAGGGAGAGCTCCTGAAGACAACAGGAATTCCAAGTCTGGCACTCGGGAGAAATCCTCCCTTCAGACATTATTGATGTCTGGCCGAGGAGTTAGGAAAAACTTCCTTGAAGGAGGGATTGAGGTTGAGATGGGCATGGAACCCAGATCTTAGGCAGAGAAAGCATATTCCTGTTTGGAAGAACCCTGAGTACAGAAGTCAGCTCAAAGATATCAGCTTGGCCCAACCAGGAATTCGCTGTGGGAAGTCTAAGAGAGAAAATGCTGGCCATAATCCCCCAGGAGCCAAAGAGTTAACGAATCTTCTAAATGTGCCTGATTTACTTCCAGAAAGGAGCTTCCTCCGCAGGGGGAGAATTTGACCCAAGGTATAAAACACTTGGAGCCCTGAGAAAACACACAGCCACACATAAATTCAAAGTCGGCTCTGGCTTGCTCGAAGTTGCACCCTTTCAGTTCCTCTGGACAGATGCTATCCTGGACTGTGCAGGATATCTCATGCAGTAGTACTCCCTCAGCCAGTGGCTTATCACACATTCTTGTCACATTCCAAGTCTAACACAGTTCCGCCTCATGATAAGACCTCAGATCTGTGCAAAAATTCATGTAGAAAGCTCTGCATTTATTATCTCGCTGATTCACAACAGTGGTATGGGATCAGCAGAGATGGTACCACAGATTCAAGAACCATATTTTTCTAACCCCAGTTTGAGACCCATAATATGACAAGTGCAGGATATTTATGGAGACAACAAGACACAACCGGGACTGCCACTTTCAAGAGCCATCATTGTAGATTCAAATCAACTAAAACACTTCATAATGGGAGAAACTTGGTTGAACAGGAGCACATGTTAACGAAGGGGTTTTGGTTGAGAAACTTACTGAATCAGTAAGACAGGACCCTTAAAAAGGCTACTGTGACTGCAGACTGAGGGGAAGTACCAAAAATAAGCTAATCCTACTCTATTATGCTGGTTAGAACTCACAGAAAGCATTTTATTCTGTTCTACAGAGCAGATACATATTGAAACAGAGACAAATAGGAATGTGTTCAGAGAAGGTCAACTAAATGAATTGCAAACTGAAGGTGTAACAGTTCTCGTATTTTAAGCTCCTACCATGAGCATGGATCTTCACCCAACATATCCCTGATCCTCACAGTAGCCTGGCTAGATGAGTATTTTCACTCACAGATTTCAGAGAGAGATACGGCAGCTCGGAACGCTAAGTGTTAGGATGTGAAGGGGCTGGGAACTGAACGCAGATGTGCCTGGCTCCAAAGTTGGCCTTCTTTCCACTACTCCACACTGCCTCCCTGTTTGAAATAGATGGGCATGTTTGGTTTGAAGAAAAGAAGCCTTGTGGAGTAAGTAGAAGAAGGAAATGTGTTAGCAGTCCTCAAATATTTGTGGAAGCAGCATTAGACATTTTATTCTGTATGGCTCCAATGAGTGCAAATTGTAGAGAAACAGATGTCGATTCAACATAAAGAATTTTCCAACATAGGGGCTGTCTAGAGGGATTGGGTGGCTCAGCCATTTTGGTATGGGACAAATTCTCTGTCCACTGGGGGCTGGGTAACCCTGTGGCAGGTATGCGAGCTCTGCATGTAAGACAATGAATGACCTGCAAGGTCTTTTCCCATCTGATGTAAAATAAGGCTCCAAGATGAACTGGAACTTGGCCAGGGTGATCCTCTACTGAGGGGACAAATTCACAGCTCAGTCTTCCCTAGTTATGTCCCTCAGCCCAGAACCCTTGGTACAACATGCTGCTTTGTACTGAGGGCAAGGCAAATTGAAGACATTATCATCAATAAAATCACATCGAGCCCGCTCTCAACCAAATTAACCAATGTGGCCGGGCGCAGTGGCTCATGCCTGTAATCCCAGCACTTTGAGGCTGAAGCAGGCGGATCACTTCAGGTCAGGAGTTCGAGACCAGCCTGGCCAACATGGTGAAACCCCGTCTCTACCAAAAATACAAAAATTAGCCATGTGTAGTGGTGTGTGCCTGTAGTCCCAGCTACTTGGGAGGCTGAGGCAGGAGAATAGCTTGAGTCCCGGAGGCAGAAGTTGCAGTGAGATGAGATGGCGTCACTGCACTCCAGCCTGGGTGACAGAGCGAGACTTCATCTCAAAAACAAAACCAAACAAAAACAAATTAACCAATATATCCCTGAAGCTACTGGTGTGTTCCTCTTCAGGCCCATTTTTGAGTAAAAGTGTTTGGCTGTAAAAAGCTCAAAAGATGAGTGGCAGACGAGGGAAGCAGTGGAACTGAATAATCTCTTACCCAAATAAGATGAACCTAAATGACAGATGGTTGTTTCTCCAGGTGACAGTATTAGTGGGCACCCCTAAACTATCTTCACACACCCTCTGCATTACTCCACACATCCCATTATCCCACAGCTGGTACTTCTTCACCAGGTACTCCTGCCCCACTATCCCACACCTAGAGGACATTTTATCCACTCAAACAGATAAATAGGCTGAAGGATTCTAATTAAGTAATAGAATCTTGCATTTTTATAGCTCTTTACCCTTTCACATATATCATCTCATTTGTCACTCACCACAGTCCCCTAAGGAAAACAGCTACTTTCTTTCAGACAGGCAATTTTCTAGCTGCCTGGGAGCTAGGAGGAGGAAAGGGCTTCAGCACAGGCACAGTCGCTCTTTCTCGCTTTTTTTTTTTTTTCCTGTTACTACCTTCCCACATTAGATTATGCCTCCAGCCAGAATGAGTCAACCAGGAGCAGGTGCTTCCGTTTTCCTCGACTGCTCTCCTCACCTCACACCTTCTTCAGCTGTCCCCCTCCCTGAACCAGGCCCCCAGCCGCGCCACCACTGCCGCTCTCCGCCCTGGTGACCCCAGCGCCTGGACCTGGACCGACACCTGCAGCTCCGACCCGGAACAGCCACGCCCTCTACCACTCGGTCACACCCGTGTGCCTGCGACCTTTCCAACCTCCAAGGCTGGCTGTCCCACAAGTAGGAAGGCGCAGCCTCCCAAGAAATCGAGTCCCCACGCCCAGGAGGGCGGGTGGAGCCAGCTAACGGAATGACTAAACTCTGTCGCGGGGGTCAAGCCTCGGCGAGGGTTGTGTGACTTTTGTGTTCTCTACGACCCCGAGGTGCTGGGAGGCGACGACCGAGGCTCTCGCCCACGTGGCCCTCTTCTGGACCGGCGGCGGCGCACCTCGTATGGGCACCCACGCGCCCCGGGAGCCCTCCCCTCGCCAGCACAGCCTCACGCCTCCTGGGCCACGCGCACTTACCTGCCCCTAGGACTGGTGTGGCCCACGCACACGAGCCACACCCCCAAGGAGGGCTAGTCCCACTCCTGGAGCGGGCTGCGAGGGTGCACGGGGAGGCTCCACTCCTTCCCCGCCCGCCTCTTACCTGATTCAGGTAAGACCTTGCCTACAGGACTCCATGTTTCGGAGAACCGGTTGCGCATGCGCTTCCTGAGGCCAGAGGTTCTCGGCCTTCACCCTGTTCCCAGGGAGGACCCGGCCACGAATACGCGGCTCGGGGCTAGAGCGTCGCCAGGTCCGCGCACAAGCCCATCGCCCCCGAGCCCAGCATGTGCTGCCGCCTTCTCCCTGCCAGGCGTCAGCGCCACCTATTGCAAAGGGTATGAAATGGCAGGCCGTGGCTTCGACAATAGCCTCCGGCATTGGATAAAGAGAATAAAATTGTATTCGGCCTGATCTGAGTACTTTTACATAATAAAAGTGAAGGCCAAAGAAGTGACATTTTGATAGTTATTAACTACCTAGAGATCTTCGGCGAGCCTTCCGTATTTCAGCCCTTCCCCTAATTTCGCAATTACCCTAAAGATGGTGTCCATCGCCAGCCCTCTCTCTACCCCGTGCTCTCGATCCTTATATTTGCTGCTTTCTGCTGTTCACATGGCGAACACAGGCATCACATACTCAACAAGGGCCAGGTGAAATTCACTACCCTTTCTCACCTCCTCTTTCCCACACTACAAACTGACCCCTGTCCTAAGAACTGACGCTTCCTTCTCTAGTCTGTATCTTGGTTAACGCACTTCTGTCCACCCCTGTCTCCCACACACTGTCACCAACCCCTGTGGAACAGTGGAATGAGACCAAGGGGTCGGGTACCCTTAGATACAGATCCCAACAAGTTCCCTCCTCCCCATCCTTTTCATCTTACCTCCCAAGGGTCTCTTGAGTTCAGCTTGCTCCCCTCCATTCCTAATGCCATTTGCCCTTGTTCGGGGCATTATTTCTCACCTGGACTACTGCCTCCTAATTGGCTTCCAAGTCTCCACCATCACACATTTCTGGTCCATCATTCACAAACCTGCCAAAGTGATTTTTCTAAAATGCAAATCTGATCACATCTCTCTTATAAAACTCTTTACTGACACCCTATTGCTGGTGCTAAATTCAAGCTCTTCAGCTCCGCATGCAAAACACTTCAAAATCTGGTCCTTGCCTTGACTTCCTCTAGAATCTTCTATCTTACCACCTCCATCTTACCCACCCCCACCAAAACCTCATGATCTGACCAAACATTACTAATTATAGTTCCTCCCAAAACACCATGCAGTTTCCTTTCTCCGTGCCTTTACACATGTTCTCCAGGACCAGCTATGTCCTGTCCCACTTGGGCTACCTAAAAAATTCCTCCTCGTTCTTTAAAAATCAATGTAATTTTCACATCCTCTTGCAAGCCTTCCATGAAACTTTCCTATGGAAATGATCCCTCCCTCCTCTGTGCTTTCTCTGTCCCTCTGTTGCCTTATCACATTGTTTTGTGATGATGTTTGCAGACCTGTCTTGTCTCTCCTACCACAGAGCTGAGCTTCTTGAGGACAAGGACAGCATCTTACTCATTTCTATGTCCCTTTTGCCAACCCAACATTTTAATTTTCTTTTTATAGACAAGAGATCTCACCCTGTCTCCCAGGCTGGAGTGCAGTGGTGCGATCATAGCTTGCTGCAGCCTCAAACTCCTGAGCTCAAGAAATCCTCCTGCTTCAGCCTCTCAAATAGCTGGTATTACAGGCATGCACCGTCATGCCCAGCTCAACCCAACATTTTATAATAATGATGATAAGAATGAATAACAGCAAATATTTGTTAATCGCTTTGTGCCAGACTCTGTGCTGAATTTCTCATATGTACATTTTTAACTTCTGATGATTACCCTATAAAGAACTATTATTATCCTAATTTTACTAATGAGAAAACAGGCTTTGAAAGATTAAGGAGCTTGCCCATGGTCACAGAGCTGGTAAATTGTGGAATCAAGATTTAAATCCAGATCTATCTGCTCATGTTTATCTATTCATCAGTTTGGTAGAACTAAAATATTTGAAAAACCACTAGTCATTTTTTAAAGTATTAATGCTTACAGAGTTAATTTATCTTTTAAAGGGAAAACACATAGCTATTCTACTCTAGTGGATGGAAATAGAGTGTTCTAATTTAAACTAATGGTATAGAAAGCCAAATAAATACTCTTGATGTCAGGCTAAATGAGAAAATGATCCTACTTTTATCCCATGTAATCTGTTCTTATTATATGAATGTTACGAGTATTTTTGCTTAGAGATTGATATATTACAAGCCAGTAATAGATTTTTCTTAAAAACTCCTTTTGAAGAAGAGAGATCTAAATTGAAAGACAACCATAGAATGTTTAATGAGTTGTGAGAGATGAAGATACCAAGATATTGTGAGGGACGTGTGAGGTCTAAATGAGTTAATATGTGTAAAGCACTTGGTGGGGTGCCTGGCACACAAGAAGCACTGTATTATTGCTGCCGCTGTTCTTATTAAGAACTTCAAGTAGCTTGCAATCCAGTGGTAGAGATAAACGCATAAGCTGACAACAAGTAATGTGATAAATGATGTAATTTAGCTATGATCAAAATTCTGTGGGCATTCCAAGGGGACAGGGTCTGCCAGGGAATAGGGAGAGTGGCAGGAAAACAAGATGGCACCCAGAGATCCCACAGCTGCAGAGTGAGCACGTTGCTAGAACTAGAGCAACGCAACCTTTTTCAGAAACACTTTATTTGTTGGTAAATCTTTTACTACTAAAGGCTTTACTTCTTAGAATCCACAATGTTTAAAGTTTCCACAGTTTCAAGCACTCCTTTGCCTCTGGTGGTTGGGGGAAGGGGGCCACTGGGCAGAAGGGCAAGGCTTTCACCAAGATGATATGAGAATGGGGAACAGGGGGAAGAGGTCTCTGAAGCTTATGAAGATGTGGCCCAGTACTCAAAGGAAGTTCTGGCCTCATCTAGAAGTCCAACGAGGATGTTCAGACTCCAGGAGGGGAAGACACATTCCCATCCCCCAGGCTCCTGTCCCTCTCTAGTAGAGGAGAAACAGTGGAGCACAGACTTGGTGATGTGTACATTGAGCAAGAGGGAAGGGGTAGGCGGTGGAGCTGTGGCCCAACTTGGCGGGCACTGCCCAAAAAAGCCCACCTTTTTCCTCCAAACCCATGCCAGGTGTCTAGCACACTAACTCAGTGTTTCCTAAGCCAAATGACATGGAAGGCTGCTTAAAAGTCTACATTCTTTACTACAGGCCATTAACTTTATGTAGGCAAAACATATTTATGTTCCTCTGGTTCTTCAATAAACAGAGTAGAGAAACTTTCTGTGGGTAGTTCACTCTGGGCCGGTGAAAAGAGGGCAGCTATTCTGATGTGAATAACTAATAAAACATATACAGAGAAAAAAAAGTTCAAAATTAAACAGAGGAACACTGTTGCTAGAATTAAATAGATACAACTTTTTGGGAAGGCATTTTGGCAATAGCTATCAAACTTGACCCAGCTATTCCACTGTTTCACATTTATACTTTATGTATACTCCCTGACACATGTCTAAGAACAAACAATGCTGTATTATTTGAAAAAAAAATTCAAACTGGAAACAACCTAAATGTCCATCGACAGGGTGCTAGTTATGAGGTTGTCTAACATGTAAAGCTTCCCAATGTTACATGAAAAAGCAAAGTTCAAAATAGTATGTATATTGTAATCCTGGTTGTCTAACATATATGTACCATGTATCTAAACATTTATAGTTACATTTATAATATTGGTATAGATGTATACGTATTAGAAATGCTGGAAAGATCTAGGTGGGGCAAATTGGCAGCACAGGAACAAATTTAATCTGCAGGAAGATTTGTTTATTGGTGGTGGTTGTTTTTTCACTTAAATGGGAATGCCTTTAGGAGAGGCTCCCATACAGTTCCTATTTATTCCTCAATGTATTCCCTGTTATCTTACACTCTCTGCTTCCCTCAGTTCCTTCTGGCCCTCAGAGGCAAATGAGGAAAGAAATCATGGTGGTGGGGGCAGCTGAAGGGATGCTTTAGTCTTTCCTTTCTGTTTCAACACTGTAAGCAAACATTACTTCATAATTTAAGGGAGGGTAGACTAGGAACTTCCATCATTTCACATCCATGAGAAGAAGGAATAGAGGAAAATAAGGATTCTGGAAGAAGAGGCACTGAGTGGGAAGTGATTGCTATAGTCTAGATAAGGAGCAAGGAGAGTTCGAACTAGCCAGTGACAGCAAGGATAAATTGTGAAACTCAGGTTTAAAGCCTCTTTCTGAATCCCTTCTTGGCCACTGCAGTTAAAGGAATGCACAGGCTCCCTCATCCCTTCTTTCTCCACCATGAAACATTGCAGCCTGTGGTTGATCACATGGGCTGCTGGGCAGAGCTTGATCACATGGGCTGTTGTGCTCTATGGGAGTCTAACTCTGCCCATAGCACACCCAGAGAGTCTCATTCTCCTGTCCCTGCAAGTTAAGTTCTCACTCTTCACAGTGCTGGCACCAGCTGTGTAGGAAGCAGGAGCTGTCAGCACCAAAGGTACTAGGGAAATCAAACCCGAATGTCCCGGAGCCAAGGTCTACCAGAGAGTACTGTCCTGGCCCATGTCTACAACATAGGATCAGTGGTTTCCCCAGTTAACATCAAGATAATATTGAAAACTCTACAATCTGCAAAGTAAAGATTTACCTTAAAAGAAGAACAAGGAACACTTCCAAGTGAAACATTCTTTTGTTTTTGGCAGCAGCTAAAAGTCAGACTGGTGCAAGAGTCCTGGAGGCCGTATTTTATCTATTTTATCTACTGAAAATTCTTCAGTTGAATGAAATTACTTATTTAAACAGGTTTCACTGAATTTAGGCTGGTATTTCAGAGACTTTCTCCTCTGTGGTCTAAGCAGTGGGGAATGGAATATGGTACTAAAGTGGGGAGAATGAACCATGAATAAAGTCAGATCCATGAATTACTCCTCTCTTTGGCCTGTTCATTTCTCAAAAAAAAAAAAAAAAAAAAGAAGAAGAAAGGAACAAAACCCAGAATTTCTTTTTTTTTTTTTTTTTTTATTATACTCTAAGTTTTAGGGTACATGTGCACATTGTGCAGGTTAGTTACATATGTATACATGTGCCATGCTGGTGCGCTGCACCCACTAATGTGTCATCTAGCATTAGGTATATCTCCCGATGCTATCCCTCCCCCCTCCCCCGACCCCACCACAGTCCCCAGAGTGTGATATTCCCCTTCCTGTGTCCATGTGATCTCATTGTTCAATTCCCACCTATGAGTGAGAATATGCGGTGTTTGGTTTTTTGTTCTTGTGATAGTTTACTGAGAATGATGGTTTCCAATTTCATCCATGTCCCTACAAAGGATATGAACTCATCATTTTTTATGGCTGCATAGTATTCCATGGTGTATATGTGCCACATTTTCTTAATCCAGTCTATCATTGTTGGACATTTGGGTTGGTTCCAAGTCTTTGCTATTGTGAATAGTGCCGCAATAAACATACGTGTGCATGTGTCTTTATAGCAGCATGATTTATACTCATTTGGGTATATACCCAGTAATGGGATGGCTGGGTCAAATGGTATTTCTAGTTCTAGCTCCCTGAGGAATCGCCACACTGACTTCCACAATGGAACAAAACCCAGAATTTCTAAAACCATAGATGGGGTTCCTTCCCATCTGTAACCCACCTACCCCCATTTCCACTATCTCCATCGTACAACACTCTGCTTGTCATAGTTGTTCAAGCACTTTAAGGCAAATCCACTGAGTTCACACAAGTATCCATCAACTGATGAAGGGATAAAAATAAAATGTGGCATATCTGTACAATGGAATATTATTAATCAATAAAAGGGATTGAAGGACTAATCCATGCTACAACATGGGTGAACCTTGAAAAGTAAAAGAAACCAGTCACAAAAGAACATATATTGTATGATTCCATTTATATGAAATGTCCAGAATAGGCAAATCTATAAAGACACAAAGTAGATTAGTGGTTGCCTAGGGCTGGAACGGGGAGCAGTGAAGGGGAGTGATTGCTAATGGGTACAGGGTTTTCTAGGGAGGTGATGAAAATATTCTAAAATTGGTGGTCATGATGGTTACACAACTCTGTAAATAACAGAAAGCCATATAATTGTATACTTTAAGTAGGTGAGTTATATGGCATGTAAATTATATCTCAATAAAGTTATTAAAAAAGATTTATACCAAGAAAATATTAATTTAAAAAGCTGAAGTGGCATAATTTTGATGCTACTTCAATAATGATACATTCCTTCTTCTAAAAAATTTTTAGAACAAAGATTATATCATGAGTAAATAAAGACTTCACAATGAAAAAGGGATCAATTTATCAAAACAATAAAAAAATCCTAAAAGCATATACATATGATAGTAAAACTTCAAAATAACTGAAGCAAAAACTGATAATTTGTGGAGAAATAGACATATCCACAATTATAACTGGGGATAAATAATCCTTTCTCAATAACATAAAGGGGAAGTAGAGAGAAAATCCGGATATAGAATGCTTGAGCAACATAATAATCAACTTGAACTAATTGCTATAAAGAAAGCTTCACACAACAAAAGTAGAACACACTCTTTTCAACTACACATGAAATATTCACCAAGATAGATCATATTATGAACCATAAAATAGGTCTCAACAAATTTTGAATTCATATGACATATGTTCTCTAACCACAGTAGGATTAAATTATAAATCAGTAACAGAAAAATACATGGAAGTCCTCAAATATTTGAAAATTAAACAACAGACTTACATGGGTGGGCATGGTGGCCCATGCCTATAATCCCAGCACTTTGGGAAGCCAAGGTGGGTGGATCACTTGGGTCCAGGAGTTTGAGACCAGCCTGGGCAACATGGCAAGAGCTCGTCTCTACAAAAAATAAACAAAACAAAAAAAAGTAGCCAGGCATGGTGGCACATGCCTGTAGTTCCAGCTACTTGGGTAGCTGAGGTGGGAGGATTGCCTGAGCCTGGGAAGTCAAGCCTGCAGTAAGCTGTGATGGCACCACTGCACTCCAGTCTGGGTGACAGAGTGAGACCCTGTTTAAAAAAAGAAAAGAAAAGAAAAAAAAAATCTCTAAGCCTAGATGACTTTACTTGGTAGCTCTTCCAAACATTTCAGGAAAAAATGATCCCAATTTTTCATAAAATCTTCTAGAAATAGAAGAAGCAGGACATTTCCCAACTTACGAGGCCAGCATTATTCACTTGCCAAAAGCAGACAAAGGCATTACAAAAAGAAAAAAACTACACGCTAGTATCGTCATGAACACAGATGCAGGAATTCTCAGCAAATTTATGGCAAGTTGAATGTAGCAATATATAAATGGATGACCTAGTATAAACAAATGGTGTTCATCCCAGGGATCTTGAAATTGTTTTAACATTCAAAAATCAATTAATATAGCTCACCATATTAACAGACTGAAAAAGAAAAAGCAATCTCAATAGATTCAGGAAAGCATTTGGCAAAATTCAAACTCCATTCTTGATCAAAACTCTCAGGTAATGGGTATACAAAAAGCCCAGACTTCCCCCCTACACAATATATTCACGTAAGAACACTGCACTTTACCCCCTTTATTTATAAAAATTTAAAAAAAATTTTAAACTCTTAGCAAACTGAAAATAGAAGAAATCTTCCTCAATCTGATAAAGGACATGTATTAAAAACCTACAACTAACATTATTCTTGATACATTCTCCCCTAATACAGAGAACATGGCAAGAATTGAATCTGAATAGAATCTTCACAATTCTATTCAGCATTGTACTGGAGGCCCTAGCCAATGGAATAGTGCAAGACAAAGAAATAAAAGGCATACACACTGGAAAGGAAGAAGTAAAACTCCTCCTACTTACATACGACAAGATTGCATATGTTGAAAATCCTAAGGAACTTACAAAAAACCCACCAGAACCAATAAGTAAGTTTGGCAAGATTGTAGAACATGAGGTTAATATACAAAATCAATTGTATCTCTATTTACTAACAATGAATAATTAGAAATTGTATTTTAAACAATACCACTTACAATAACATCAAAAAATATGGAATACTTATAGAAAAATTAAATAAAATGTTACAAGATCTGTACACTGAGAACATTACTGAGAAAAATCAAGGAAGATCTAAATAAGTGAAGAGTTATACCATGTTCATGGATTGGAAAGCTCAATACTGTTAAAATGTCAATTCTTTCAAAATTGACCCGTAGATTCAACATAATCACAATGAAAATTTGGGCAGGCTTTTTTTGTAGAAAATAACAAGCCGATTCTAAAGTTTATGTGAAAATGCAAATGAGTAGGTGGGACTATAGGCTCATACCACCATACCCAGATAATTCTGGACTGACTCTAAATGGACTTGCTTGGACATATACCCTTCCCTGAACACTGGGACTCTAATGACCAGGCCTGGGTCACAGGAACCATGCTTGGAGCTGAGTAGCAACAGGGTGGTATCAGCCCCACACTGAATAGTGGTTCCTAAAAAGAGAAAAGAAAAAAGAGAAAAAAAAGAGGCCCTGATAGAATAAAGGCACTGACAAGCAAACACAGCTGATGACTATTATGATGCACTACTTTGGGAATCAGGACAAAAATATATATTTTTTAATCTTTAGAATAACTGAGCCCAAGGCAACATGCTTTGGTGCTCTTTTAACAGAGCATAACATAAAGGAAGAGAGATGCATTCCTTGGTCCACATATCAGTGTCCTCTGAGATGGACTGAAGAAGAGCTAAGAAGATGCGACCCAAGAGCTAAGAAGAGCTACAAAGATGCCACTCCTTCCTTGCCAAAACAGAACATAACCTGTAGAATGAGGTGGAGGTAAGATTGGGCTTGGAGGGGATTGGTAAAGTCCCTTAAAAAGAAATGGCATAGGAAGTTGGCTAAAGATGAGTAAAGGATTTCTGAGCCAAGTCAAGCTGCAGGATGGAACCATTCTGGGCCATGGGGTTGGCTGAAACTCTTGTGGGGTCACTTTGTGCACCATGAGTATTTGAGCTCCTGGATGGAGACATCGCATTTCTGAAGTGGCAGACTCATTTTGCCTGATGGTAAGTAATTTTAAACATTTTAATATCAATACAAAAGGAATCTATTATAAAGTAGAATGCAAACACTGAATGCATTTTTAACACAAAATACACATTTCTTGCTTGCAGTGATCCCTTCAGACTGCTTTCATTTTTCTCCTTTGCATGTTTTCAGTCTTCGCTCTTAGGAATACTTTGTTGGAAAAAATTTGAAAAAATGCCTCCTTAAAAAGTAAGGGCTGGGATCAGGGATGTTCTTGAGATTTTTACAGTGTCCAGACACTTTGCCAGAAGAGGAAACCAGGCAAGTATTCAGAATGAAAAGGTTTGGGATTCTGAGGACAAGGCTAACACCTGGTGGGGTTGGCAGAACCGATGTAAGCCTATGAATGAGGGACTGAGGTTTGGAAGCTGCTCACACAAACCTTAAGAGCAGCTGCGTTCCTGGGGAACATCTCATGTGCAAAGTATGGGATCCTGCCCTGGCTTGAGGTCTGGACTAGCATCTCTTGGTAGGAGTAGGAATCTAGTGTTCTTGGAGAGGCAGATTCATTTCTGGGGTCAGGGGAAGTTCATCTTAAAACCAGCTCTAGTGAACCAGCTTTTAGTTTCAGAATTGGTGGAAGAGAGAGATAAAACCCACAGGTTTCGAGTTCACAGGTATAATAAAACACAAGAGCTCAAGAAAGGGCCATAAAAATAAAAAGACATTTTAATACCACAAAAGCGAGAAGGACAAAATAGAAATGACTACCCTTCCCCAGAAAAAGTTCATTCACTGGCACCTGGCCTTATTTTTTTTCCTTTCATTACTGGCCAGAAAAAAACTTCCTCACAGACTACATCATCCGAGGGACCAGGAACCACTGAAGAACAGGCGGGGTGCTCCTCTCATGCATTCTAGGATGACAGGAAAATTACCCCAGGATGACTCTATTCAAAGATGGGCTGAACGAACAGCTTCTGGCCATCAGCACGAAACCTGCAGCCTGACCACAAGAGGTCCAAAGATACTCCCGTGTCTGTCTCTCCTGTTTGGGGCCCTCTGGAAATTTTAATCAATAAGTCTTGATTATCATAGAGGCTTTTAAAGCACAGAAAATGAGGCAGGTGGAGTGAAGTGGGAGAATTAAATTGGCAATATAGCTTCTTCGACTGAAGCAGTTGAAAAAATTAAATAATTACAATGCCAAAGGCAAAGAAGAAAAAGAAAAAGGAAAAAAAAATACAATCAGCCTACACCCGGAGCATTAGGTTCTGAAAATCCAATTTGCACATAAAAAGTCGAAGGGTCTTTGCTGAGGGGGCAGGGGCTGAGGACTCACTAGTGAGCAGGGGACCGTTGCCCTGGAGACAGGTCTTAGCTTGGAAATGGCAAATAGGAAAATTACAAGGGCTTCAGGGAGAAAGAGGGAAAGAAAGGCACGACTTAGGATGGTTGAAATCTTAGAACCCAGACGAGACTACATAAAAGCAACGTACTTAAAAGGACGAATACAGATTTAACTGCTCTAATAAATGAAGACAGGAATGAGGAGGCTATTTTAGTTAATATTTGGTGGTTAAAATGGGTGATCAGGCACTTAAGGACTTTAACAGAAGAGAGAAGGGAAATTTGTTAGGAGCAGAAACCGGGACACACTTGCCTGTTTCCTTGCCTCTACCCAAGAGGGTACTATTGAAATGCTCCTTCAGACAGCCATTGATAGAGAAATAAGAGTAAATATTATTTCACAGAGCATCCTCCTTAGCGCCTCTGACAATAATCTGAGGTGGCAGATGCAAGAGGGGGAAGTCTGGAGCTATTAGTGCAAAATGCACCCATATTAATTGGCCAGTTCCAAGGCAAGGCAATGATTGAGGGGGAACGGCTTGGGAAACTATGGCTAGGAGGTTTCAGGGTTAAGACTTTGCAAGAGTTGGTCTGGACACAACCCCCTGCAAAGTGGTTAAGGGTTTTGGTACTGAATTTGGATCCCCAAGAGGCCAGAGCTAGAGAAGGGACTCCTGCCTGGGTGACACGGAGCATGAAGAGCCAGTGAGATGGGGTCAAAGGACTCAGAGATAAGACAAAACCAAGGAGGGCTGGGCGCGGTGGCTCACGCCTGTAATCCCAGCACTTTGGGAAGCTGAGGCGGGCAGATTACTTGCGATCAGGACTTCGAGACAGCCTGGCCAACATTTTGAAACCCTGTCTCTACACTAAAAATACAAAAATTAGCCGGGTGTGGTGGTGCACGCATGTAACCCCAGCTAATTGGGAAGCTGAGGCAGGAGAATCGCTTCAACCTGGGAGGCAGAAGTTGCAGTGAGCCAAGATCATGCCACTGCACTCCAGCCTGGGCGACAGAGCAAGACTCTGTCTCAGAAAAAAATAATTAAATAAATAAAGAGAAAACCAAGGAGAACCAAGCCCAAGAGGATGAACACAAAGGACAAACGTGGAGCTAAAAACAGTAGCCAACAACAAAGGAAAAATAAATGGGATCATTGGATAACACAGGGAGACAGACCCTGGACAATTGCTGACTATGGACCAACACAGGGTTCCCAGTCAGCAGTGCTGGCCTCTGACCTGCAGCATCGGCATCACCTGAGGATTTGGTAATTTGCAAATGCTCCATCTTCCCAATCAGCAACTCTGGGGATGGAGCAATTTGTGTCTCAACAAGCCCTCAAAGTGATCCCGATGCACGCTAAAGTTTGAGAACCACCCCAAAAAAGCATCCCTGACTTGCTTCTCATGGCCGCTGAGTAGAAGCTTGCTGGGGAGCAGGGCTCCCTTGAAACCACTAGGTCAGCCTAGACAGGTAGACAAATGGCAAGACTCACTCAAGGGGAGACATAAGAAACCAAGCCTGGGTTTCACAGAGGCGTTGGACTGATGGTGGAAGAGATTTTAAGCAAGATTACCCAGCCCATAGAAGAGAGGTAGACAGGACTGGTTTAAGTAATAAGGCTCTGGGAAGAATCAGAATTCACTGATAATCTCTTCCCTATAGGAAAACTAGTTCTGGAAAACTACAAGTTTGTAAATGGAAGAATTAGCAAACTCAAGAACAAAAAAACAAGCAAATGTGACCTTATGATCTTAATAGCGAGCATGTCTACATATCAGAAGGCCCCCAGAAAATGGAAAAGGAACATTTTCAGCTTGGAGAGATCAGATAGTAAAGCAACAAGAAGCTTCAGACATCAGGAACCAAAAACATGCAGACATAGCTGGATGGGGTCAGGGCACTAATGGAGAAGATTGCAAATGACTGTAATTTGCAGAACTGTGAAGCCGTAAATTGCTCTGGGAGAGCTGCCTGCTATGAGTACAGCACTCTCCGCTCTCAAGATGAAGCAGCTGAAAGCTGTGGAATTGGTTAAAATGACTCCTGGAAAAAGAAACAAAGTTGTATATGAAGGCTAAGAGGTGGGGCCCAAAGCCATGAATATAGGCGCCTGGACCATGATCAGAGGTGAGACTATCTTCATGTTTCCGCAGTCCAGGGATGGAGTTTTACAGCTAAAAATTCAAGGGCATTAAAAACAAGCAAACAAACAAACTGCCAATTCTTGTCACCATTAAATTGTTAAAACTGTTATACAGAGACAGTGGAAGGACCTCAGCCTATTAGATCAGGGACTATATACAAGATACAGAGAGGGAACCAAAATTGTTGCTCTGGAAATGTTCTTAGCTTTGGAAATGACCAAAGGCAAACTAGGGACAAAATAGGGGCTTAAGAAAAGAGTAAAGAGACCCAGTACCCTTTCCAAGTTCTAACCCCACAAACTGTTGACACAGCAATAGGAAATAAAAGTGAACATGCACAGCCAAAATGAGGAAGAATAGAGGCACAGGAAATCCAAAAATGAGAACAAGGCAAGTAGGGGAGGCAGAGATAAATGACTGCCAGAGACCAACATCCACTTAAAGCTGTCCTCAGCCCTCTCTACATTTTTCATTTCTGGTGAGTTTTTAACAGCTTTATTGAGCTATAACTGTTGTACAATAAACCACATATATTTAAAGTGTGTAATTTCATGAATTTTGACATATGTGTATACCCCTGAAATCATCACAATAATCAAGATAATAAACAAAGCCATTACCCACTCCGCAAATTTCTTCATGGTCCTCTGTAATCCATCTGTCTTCCTTTTTCACAATCTGTTATTTGCTTCCCCCATCCCCAGGTAATCACTGATCTAATTTCTATCACTATAGGTTAGTTTTCCTTTTCTAGAATTTTATATAAATGGAACCATGCAGTATGTATTCTGTTTTGATTGGCCTCTTTGACTCAACATGATTTTGAGATCCATCATGTTGCTGGGTGTATAGATAGTGTATTATTTGTTACTGCTGAGTAGTATTCCTTATATGGAATCAACTATGTAGCCATCAACTACTTATTTATTCATTTACCTAGTGACTTACAGGAAGACATTTGGGTTGCTTCCATTTTGGATTGCTATAAATAAAGCTATTATGAACATTTGTGTACAAAGCTTTGTGTGGACATATTTCTCTTAGGTAAATACTGATGATATACTTTTTATTTATTTTTAGTTTTAATTGACATTTAATAACTTTACATATTCATGGGGTATGTAGTGATGTTTCAATGCATATAATGTATAGTGAGCCAATCAGGGTAATTAGCATATGCATCATCTCAAACATTTATCATTTCTTAATGTTGGGAACATTCAATATCCTCCTCTTAGCATTTAATACTACATAATAGGCCAGGCGCAGTGGCCCATGCCTGTAATCCTAGTGCTTTGGGAGGCCGATGCAAGAGAATGGCTTGAGACCAGGAGTTTGAGACTAGCCTGAGCAACATAGTGAGACCCCTCTTTTTACAAAAAAAAAAAAAAAAAAAATTTTAATTAGCCAGGTATGATGGCATGTACCTGTAGTCCTAACTGTTTGGAAAGCTGAGGTGGGAGGATTGTTTGAGCCCAGGAGTTTGAGGCTGCAGTGAGCTATGATCACAGCATGCATTCCAGCCTGGGTGACAAAGTGAGACCCTATCTCTAAGAAAAAGGGAAGGAAGGAAGGAAGGAAGGAAGGAAGGAAGGAAGGAAGGAAGGAAGGAAGGAAGGGAGGGAGGGAGGGAGGGAGGGAGGAAGGGAGGGATAAAAACTACATATTATTGTTAACTATGGTCACCTACAGTGGAATACAACACTGGAATTTACTCTTTCTATCTAGCTATAATTTTGTATTCTTTAACAAATTTCTTCCTATTCCCTCCTTCCACCTGCCCTTCCCAGCCTCTAATATCCCCTGTCCTACTTTTCACTTCTATGAGATCAACTGTTTTTTAGCTTCCACATACGAGTGAGAACGTGTGGTGTTTAACTTTCTGTGTCTGGCTTATTTCACTTAACATAACGTCCTCCAGTTGCATCCGTGTTGCCACGAGTGACAGGATTTCATTCTCTTTATGGCTGAATAATATTCCACTGTGTATATATTACCATGTTTTCTTTTCTTCCTTTTCTTTTTTAACTCCTGGCAAGCTGTGAAACTATGTTTTGTTTATCCATTCATCTATTGCTAGACAACTAGGTATGATGATGTATTATGATTTGGGTTTGATTTGTTAAACTTTTGTTAAGATTGTGTCTATGTTCATGAAATATATTGGAATATAGTTTTCTTTCTTATAATGCCTTTGTCCAATACTAGTATCAAGGTAATGCTGACCTAACAAGATAAGTTGGGAAATGTTTCTTCCTCTTCCATTTTTCAGAAAAATGTATTGGTATTATTTATAGCATTGGTATTATTACTCCCTTAAATTTTGGTGGAATTTATCAGTAAAGTTATCTTGCCCTGGAGGGGTTTGTTTTGTTGGCTAGTTAATGTTATGGGGGAAGAGGGTTTTTAGTCTATAAATCCAATTACTTTAATACATATAGGACAATTCAGGTAAGCTATTTCTTCTTGAGTGAGATGGTGGTTTGTAACATTGTCAAAATTTATTGGCATGTATTTTTTTCATAAATAGTATTATCTTTTTAATGCCTATAGGTACTCTGGTGATATCCCCATTATATCTCCTATAATATTTATTCCTGATATTAGTAGTTTGCGCCTTCTCTCTTTTCTTCCTGATTAGTATACTACATATTATCAACTTTATTGATATTCCCAAAGAACCAGCTTTTAGCCATCTGAAAAGAATGAGCTCTTGAAATGCCTGCAGTGGCTTACTCCTGTAATCCCAGCTACTTGGGAGGCTGAGGTGGGAAGATCACTTGGGCCCAGCAGTTCAAGGCTGCAGTGATCTATGATCATGCCATTGTACTCCAGCCTGGGCAACAGCAATACCCTAAAAAAAAAAAAAAATAGTTCCAGGACCTTGGACCATTAGTTAATATCTTATCATGAGATCATTCCAATCTAATGTCTAAAAAGACACAAATATTAGTGCAACTAAAGTATCTCAGGTTGCTAAGGAATTATGCTTGAACATAAATTCACCTTCCATCTGGATATATGAGTCCCCAGCAGGATCAACAGGCTGGGCTTCCTGATACTACAAAATCCAATTTTTCCTTGACAATCAAAAACCTGCTGATGTTCTTAGACCAATGCTTGAGTCAACTGTGTCCCTATATAATTTTCTAGGCAAGTTTGTGTCTCCCTAAATGCTGCCCTCTCTGTTGAAAACCAAAGATTAGCATGACTAAACGAGAAGGAAGGGAGAAGATACAAATTGCCAGTATTAGAAATAAAAGGAGAGAGATCTGACAAATATTAAAAAGGATACTAAGGCAATGTTACAAACAACTCTATGCCCCCAAATTCAAAAGCTTTGATAAAATGAACCAATTCCTTAAAAGATACAAACTACAGAAGGAATAGATAAGAATAGTTCTGATAATGCTATATTTATTAAATAAATTAAATTTGTAGTTAAAAACTTTCTCAAAAAACTCATGGCAAGATGTTTTTACTGTGAATTCTACTGAATATTTAAGGAAAAAACAACACATTCTCTACACATTCTCTTCCACAAAATAGAAAAGGACAGACCACTTCCTGACTTATTTTATGAGGTCAGCACTACCCTAAATACGAAAATCAGACAACAGAAAACTACAGACTAATATAACTCATAGACAAAAAAATCCTTCACCAAATATTAGCACATTTAATTCATCAATACATAAAACAGACAATACATATGACCAAGTGGGGTTCATATTAGGAATATAAGTCTACATCAACATCCAAAAATCAATCAATGTAATTAACCACATTAATAGACTAAAGTGAGAAAAATTATATGACCAATTCAGTAGATACAGAAAAAAGCTTCTGATAAAATTTAACATCAATTCATGGTCAAAATTTTTGGCAAACTAGAAATAGAAGAGAACTTCTTTAACCTAATAAATGGTATCTACAAAAAAAAACCCTATTACTAACATCATAATTAATGGTGAGAGATTGAATCCTTTTCCTCTAAGGTCCAGAGAAAGGCAACAATGTCCTCTTTACGATTCCAAGTAAACATTATACTTGAGGTCCTAGTAGTGCAATCAGGTAAGAAAAATAAATAAAAGGTATGTAGATTAGAATAAATAAATGTAACTTTCTTTGATCACATGCAATATGATGGCTTATGTAGAAAATCCCAAAGAATCTACACTAACAAATATCTTGGAAGTAATCAATGAGTTTAGCAAGGTTGCAGGATACCAGGTTAACATACAAAAGTCGATTGTATTCCTATATACAAGCGATGACCAACTGCAACCTGAAACAAAGAAACGAAAACAACAACAAAATGCCCTTTCCAATAGCACCTCTCACACTGCAAAAGAAAGAAAAAAAGACAGGTATAAATCTAACAAAATATGTCCAAGATCTGTACTTGGAAATCTAAAAAAACACTGAAGAAAGTAATAAAAGATCTAAACAAATGGAAAGATATATCATGCTTGTAGACTGGAAGACTCATATTTTGTTAAGATGTCAACTCTACCAAATATGGTCTATAGATTTAATGCAATACCAATCAAAACCCCAGCCAACTTTTTTTTTTTTTTGAGACAATCTATCACCCAGGCTGGATGCAGTGGCGTGATCTAGGCTTACTGCAACCTCTGCCTCCCAAGTACAAGCAATTTTCCTGCCTCAGCTTCCCAAGTAGCTGGGATTACAGGTGCATACCACCATGCCTGGATAACTTTTTGTATTTTCAGTAGAGACAGGATTTCACCACGTTGGCAAGGCTTGTCTCAAACTCCTGACCTCAAGTGATCTGCCCACCTGATTCTCCCAAAGTGCTGACATTACAGGCATGAGCCACCACACCCAGCCCCCACCAACTTTTTTGTAGACATTTCCAAGCTTATTCTAAAATTCACATGGAAAGGCAAAGGAATTAGAATTGCCAAATAATTCTGAAAAAGAACATTACCTGATTTCAAGATATACTATTACTATAACGCTACAGTAATAATGACAGTAATTATTGATATAGATCAAGCAGGATGTCAGGGGAAATCCCAGGATGGAATGTAAACTATGACAAATAAATCTAACTTTATTTTGTAATAAAATTATAACCACACTTAAGGGTGTGGAAGAAAAGGAACTGAACTAAGTAACTTTGGAAAGTGCATTTTAAGTGGAAGCTTTAAGGCTAAAGGCAAAAGAAACTGTATATCAACACTGTATTCTAGTTGGTAAATTTGCTTCTCATTGGAGTATAGGTGAACAATTCTGAAATTGCTTTACATGTATATGGGAGATGGGCAATTAAGTAGGTGAAGGGTGAATGGTGGGAGCCAGGTTCCCACTGTTGGGGAGGAAAGTGACAGAAAAGCAAGAAAGGTGGGCTAGAATGAGCTCTGTGGGACTGAATTGGAGTCAGAGGCATCAGTATGAATGTATATGTGTGTGTGTGTGTGTGTGTGTGTGTGTGTGTGTACTATACATACACACTTACATGGAGAAACAGTCTTTGGGTTAGTATACTTACATATATTACCTAGCTCTGTCTGCTGAGAGGAACTAAGCAATGACATCCTGGTAGTAATGAACAAAACCAGTGCCCAGATTTCGGGTTCTGCCAAAATCTAGGACAATTTGAGCAACAAAATAAATAACATTATTGGATTATAATCCAAATTACAAAGTAAATATACATGAGTCCCTACTGATATAAATAAGTGATTGAATAAACAATTTCATAAGTAAATAAATCAAAGCGAGGAGACAAATCTTTACATAAGAACCAAATAATATAGGTAGATACTCTCCACTCTATCAGGTAGAATTTAATTCCTTCTTCCTTTACTTAGTGACTCACTTCTAAAGAATAAAGTGTGGAAAGGGAGAAATATTAACTATACCATGAAGAAACCTGGCAAATCCTACTTTAACCAAATGGTCAAGGTTAATGTCACTAGTGATGTCATACAGCCATGATGTACCTCCTTATATGATGTGATGAGAAGGGCATTTTACCTCTGTGGCCTTCCTTCCAAAACCCCATACCCCAATCTAATCATGAGAACAACATCAAAAAAACTCAAATTGAAGAATGTTTTATAAAATACCTGACCAGAACCCTTCAAAACCGTCAAGGTCATGCAAAGACTGGGACAGTATCATACATCAAAGAAGACTAAGGATACATGATTTGAAAAAAAAAAAAGCAATGTGGTACCCTGGATAGGATCTGGGAACAGAAAGAAAACATTAATGGAAAAACTGCTGAAACCCAAATAAAATCTGAAGTTCAGTTAATAGAAATGTACCAATGTAGGTTTCTTAGTTTTGACAAATGTCCCATGGTAATGTAAGATGTTAATAATAGGGAATATGCTGGGCATGGTGGCTCACACCTAGTAATCCCAGCACTTTGGGAAGCCAAGGCGGACAGATCACCTGAGGTCAGGAGTTCAAGAGCAGCCTGGCCAACATGGAGAAACCCTGTCTCTACTAAAAATACAAAAATTAGCTGGGCACAGTGGCGAGTGACTGTAATCCCAGCTACTCGAGAGGCTGAGGTGGGAGAATCACTTGAACCCAGGATGCAGAGGTTGCAGTTAGTGGAGATGGCTCCACTGCACTCCAGCCTGGGCAACAGAGTGAGACTCCATCTCAAAAAATAAATAAATAAAAAATAGAGAAAATGATGAAGGACTTATGAGAATTCTGTTATCTTTGCAACTTTTCTGTAAATCTAAATTTATTTCAAAATTAAACCTGTATTTTTTAAAAATAAAGGTAATATGAAGACATTTTCAGGATGGGTGCAGTGGCTCACACCTGTAACCCCAGCACTTTGAGAGGCCAATACGGGCAGATCACTTGAGCTCACGAGTTCAAGGTCAGCCTAGGCAACATGGTGAAACCCCGTTTCTACCAAAAATACCCCCCAAAAATTAGCCAGGCATGGTGGTATGCGCTTATAGTCCCAGTTGCTTGGGAGAAGAGGATTGCTTGAGCCCGGGAGGTGGAGGCTGCAGTGAGCCATATTCATGCTACTGCACTCCAGCCTGCATGACAAAGCAAGACGCTGTCTTGGGAAAAAAAAAAAGACTTTCAGATAAACACAAAACTGAAATTATTTGTGTCTGGCACTATTATACTATAAGAAATGTTAATGAAATTTTTCAGTCTGAAGGAAAATGATACCTGAAGGAAAATTATTCCTTCTTGAAGAAAGGAAACTTAGATCTCCACTGCCCTACACACACAAATCAGAAATGGTAAATATGTGGGTTAAAATAAATAAATTTTTCTCATTTCTGTAATCCCTTTAAAGTATAATTGTTTAAATACCAATAATAACAACGCATTGTGGGATTTAATATGTAGAAGGAAAACGGCAAGAGCACAAAGGTCGGAAGGGGAATATAGACAGATACAGCGGCATACTTAATGGGATAGAATATGATTTATAACATGGTGTAATAAGGTAAAGATGGATATTATTATACATAGAACAGCCACAGAAACATCAAAGAGCCATAGCTAGTAATGCAATAGAGGAAATAAAATGAAACACTAAAAAATAAGCAATTAAAACAAAAGAGGGTGAAAAATGAGAAAAAGAAAAAAATAAGATGAACAAATAGAAAAGTAATAGCAAAGTGGTAGACATAAGCTAAACCATATATGTAATTAAATATAAAGAAATAAAAATATTCAATTATAAGGCAGAAATTATCACAGTGAATAAAAACACCAGACCCAACTCTGTGATGGCTACAAGAAACACACTTGACATAGACAGAAAGAGACTAAAATAAAAAGAGGGAAAGAGAAATAACATGTGAAAAGTAATTATAAGAAATCTAGGGTGACTATATATCAAATTAAGTATACTTCAGAATAAGGAGTATTGACAGAGATAAAGAAGGATTGTATCAATTTTCTATTGCTGCATAACAAATTACCAAAGCCTAGCAGCTTAAAACAATCCCATGTATTAATTTGTAGTTTTGTATATTGCAAGTCCAGTGTGGCATGTATCAGCCAGGTTGAATTCTCACCTGGAAGTTCTGGGGGAACATCTGCTTCCAAATTAACTCTTGTTCTTGAAAGAATTCAATTCCTTGTGGTAGTATGACTGGGTTCCTCTCTCTCTCTCTTTTTTTTTTGAACAGGGTCTCAATCCCGTTGCTCAGGCTGGAGTACAGGGATGCAATCATGGCTCACTGCAGTCTCGACTTCCTGGGCTCAGGTGATTCTCCTGCCTCAGCCTCTTGAGTAGCTCCAACTACAGGCATGTGCCACCATGCCTGGCTAATTTTTTATACTTTTAGTAGAGACGGGGATTTGCCATGTTGCTCAGGTTGGTCTCAAACTCCTGGGCTAATGCAATCTGCCTGCCTCGGCCTGCCAAAGTGCTGGGATTACAGGCATGAGCCACTGCACCCAGCCAAGTAGTTCATTTCTTTGCTGGCTGTCAAGGAGGAGTAGCTCTCAGTTCCTAGAGGCTACCAACAGTCCTCCACATGTGGTCCTTGCCATCTTCAAGCCATCAACAGGACATTGAATCCTCAAGCTCCAAATTTTTGACTCTTGTTCTGTGACCAGCTGCAGAAAACTCTCTGCTTTCATATACTTAGGACAGACCTACCCAGATAATTCTTTCAATTTTTTTTTTTGAGATGGAGTCTCACTCTGTTGCCCAGGCTGGAGTGCAGTGGCGCGATCTCAGCTCACTGCAAGCTCCGCCTCCCGAGTTCACACCGTTCTCCTGCCTCAGCCTCCGGAGTAGCTGGGATTACAGGCGCACACAACCATGCCCAGCTAATTTGTTTGTATTTTTAGTAGAGATGGGGTTTCACCATGTTAGCCAGGATGGTCTCAATCTCCTGACCTCATGATCCGCCCACCTGGGCCTCCCAAAGTGCTGGGATTACAGGCATGAGCCACTGTGCCTGGCCAATTATTTCAGTCTTAAGATCACTAGTGCCCATATAACATAACTTAATCCTGGAAATAAACTCCATCATATTGAAAGTCCTAGAGATTATTCAGTTCATGTACCCTAGAGACGAAGGACATTTTGTGGGTCATTCGAGAATTCATCCTGCTGAAAGGACGTTTCATAATGATAAAATAATCAGTTCATCTAGACACAGCAAAACTGAATGTATTTGCACCTGATAACAGAGCTTCAAGATATATGAAGCAAATATTAATGGAACTAAAAGAATTAGAGAAATTCACAATTATAGTTGGAGATCTCAGCCTTTCTCAGGAATTAATAGAACACATAGACAGAAGAGAAGTTAAGATATAAAATACTTGAACAACACTATTTACCAAATTGACCTAATTGACATTTGTAGAGAATATTCCCAATTACTTTAGAATGCTCTTTATTTTTTTCAAGTTCACATGGTACATTCACCACTACAAACTCTATGTTGGGCCACAGAACAAGTTTCGATAAATGTAAAAGGATGGAAATCATACAGAGTGTATTCTCTGACCACAAAGACATTAAAATAGAACTCATAAAGCTTGTTATAGCAATTCCACATGGCATAGAGACACTCCAATTTTATGCTTGGATGTCAACATGACAGTAATTCTGTGGTATGATCAAATAAATATGAATTACTCACATAGGAGTAGAAGTCCCAAAGTGAGTGGTGGAGAGGATGGCTCTCTCTGGGACAAAGTCCAGAATACAGACAGAGTGAATAGCAAATGTGCAATGGTTTATAAAAAGAAAGTCGTCCTGCTACCATGAGATTTAAAAGAGGTTCCACCTAGCATGAAATTTCAAAGAGGCAGCAAGAGGGCACATGTGCTTATGAGACCTGAGGGTGAGTGAGCTTTATCAGGGTACTGCAGGAGGCAATAAACACAGGCAGGAACTAAGACTTAAAGCTATCTAGCACTGAATCAAATGCCAACGGGAGTTCAAGTTTCTTTTGTATAATCTTCACAACACCATATAAAAGGAAATTAAACAAACATAAATAATTTGGGATCAAGGATAAAATCATGAAGAGAATGAAAACATATTTTGAATTAAATGACAAGGAAAATACAATACTGCATATGAAAATTTCTGGGATGCAGCCAAGGCAGTGCTCATAGGGAAGCTTATACCTCATCCAAAGGAAAAAGATCTGAAATCATTAACCTAAGCTTCCACCTTCAAAAACTGGAGAGAGAAGGGCAAATAAGCTCATAATCCATAAAAGTAAAGAAATAACAAAGAGCAGAAATTAACAAAGGAGAAAAGAGACAGATAATGAAAACAATAAACAAAGTAAAAAGATACTTCGTTGAAAGCATCAAAAAACCCAACAAACCCTTAGCTAGATTGATCAAGGGATAAAGAACACATATCGCTAATAACAGGAGTGAAGAAGAGTTACCACCACAGATCCCACAGACATTAAAAGGATAATAAAATGACATTATGAGGCCAGGCGTGGTGGCTCATGCCTGTAATCCCAGCACTTTGGGAGGCTGAGGCGGGTGGATCACTTGAGGCCAGGAGTTCAAGACCAGCCTGGCCAACATGGAGAAACCCCATCTCTACTAAAAATACAAAAATTAGCCAGGTGTGGTGGCATGTTCCTGTAATCCAAGCTACTTGGGAGGCTGAGGTAGGAGAATTGCTTGAACCCAGGAGGCAGAGGTTGTGGTGAACTGAGATCACACCACTGCACTCCAGCCTGGTGACAGAGTAAGATGCTGTCTCAAAAAAAAAAAAAAAAAGACATTATGAATAATTTTATGCTGGTAAATTTGAAAACCTAGATGAAATGGAGAAAGTCCTTGAAAAATACAACTTATAATAACCGATACCCCAAAAAAGCAAGTATTCACAACATGTATCAGACAAACGACTTGTATTCAGAATATATGTGGAACTCTTAAACCTCATGAATTAAAAAAACAAACTGCCCAATTAAAAATAGACAAAGGGTTTGAAGAGATCTTCACAAAATAGGATGCACAGCCAACAAACACACAAAAAGATGTACAATATCATAAGTCATCAGAGAAATGCAAACTGAAGCCACAATAATTTACTACTACACACCCACTAGAATGACTACAATTTTTAAAAGTGAGAATACTGAGTGTTGGAGAAGGTGTTGAGAAACTGTGGCTCTCATATATTGTGGATGGGAATATAAAATAGTACAGCCACTTTAGAAACAGTTTGGCAATTTCTTACAAAGTTAAATGTATATTTACCATACAACCCAACAGTTCCATTCCTATTTACACTAGAGAAATAAAAACATATGTCCACACAAAGGCTTGTACATATATATTCATAGTAGGTTTATTAATAGCTAAAATCTGAAGTCAGCCCAATGGTCAATTAACAGGTAATAAATACACAGATTGTAGTATGTCCACACTTAGCAATAAAAAGTAACTAAGTACTAATACCTACAACAACATGGATAAGTCTTAAAAACAGTATGATGAACCACAATAACCATACCATATGATTTCATATAAATGAAATTCTAGAAAATGCAAGTCTAATCCACAGTGACATAAGCAGACCAGTGGTAGCCTAGGACCAGGTTAATGTATATTGCTTGGACCAGAGCATAGGGGAACTTATAAGGATGACAGAATTGATTGTAGTTGTGGTTACACGGGTATATACATTTATCAACATTCATTGGATGGTATGCTTAAAATGGGTACAATTTAAGGGTGTAAATTCTCAATAAAGTCAAGTGTAAACAATATTCCTATAAGAGAAACTCCGAACAGGAGAGAGGTTTCCCTGACTTCTATTAAATATTCAAGGAAAAAATAATACCAAGCTTACACAAATTGTTTCAGAAAACAGAGGTGGGAAAACATTCATTTTATGAGACCAACAATACAGTGATACTGAAACCAAAAACATTACAAGAAAATAAAACTCCAGGCCAATATCCCTTATGAACATACATACATAAACATAGACAAAATATTAATAAATTGAATGCAACAATAAATAAAACTGACCAAGGGGGATTATCCCAAAAATGGAAGATTGGCTTAACATTTTAAAGTCAGTGGATGTAATTCAATACATCAATGAAATAAGAGAGAAAAAAACATAAATGAGGCAATTTTGTAGGTACTCTGAAAATACCTTTTAAACAAGTCTCCCTCCAGGTGAATCTAGTTCAATACAGGCTTATCATGAGTAGCTTGACCCTACCTGCTGATTTGCCCCACACCTAATCACAGCTTTTTTTTGAAAGAGCTGTGCACTCATCAACAAATTTCCTGCCTATCATTGGCCTATGCCTGCATAATTGCATGTGAGGGTGAGAACAGGCATTCAGAGGAAAACATCGCCCTTGCTTCGTGACTACTTTGTTGAAACATTCCTTTCATAGAAAGGGTTTACATTGCTATGGTGATCATACTGGATTCTGGGATTTGTTGTGTTTTATTTTCTCAGTGAGCAACATCTACATATTTGCCCCACATGTGGAGAATGCTTGCCTGGTGTTCCTCTCCTCCAAAAACTTAAGGAAAGCTAGTGAAATGTGTTTCCTGTCTTCAGCCTACCCAAAAGAATCCAAAGAAGGCTCTTGATCATGCCAAACCTTGCATTTAACAGTCACCCTGAATCCTTAGAACCTCATCTTCCTAATCTCTAGGCGGCAAGACTTACCTGTTTGTCTCTCTCTAATCACTCACCTAAATCCTTGAAGTTGATGAGTCTTTTTCCCCGAACCTCCAAAGCAGTTTCAGCCAAGATGCAGACACCTGGAAGACTATCACAGAGCATCTTCTTCAACCAGAGAACTCAGTACCACAAATTGCAAGCCATATCTTGGCCCAAGAAGCCCAGAAAGGGATTGTCATGTGGCTGCTCTTACCAAAGATAAATGGAAAATATCTGCAAGAGCCTGGAGGTGGGCCTTAATTCCTCTGCTAGCCAGAGCAGGTGGGAAGAGGATCTAGTGATTGCCTTATAGTAACACAGGAGGAATCAGCTTGAACTAAGAACTCCCCTGAGACAAGAATCCAAGCGATACCTGAGACACTGTTGGGGGAAACCTCTATGCATTTGTTGGGGAGCCATGCTCAGTCCTTTCGACTGTCATCCCTACATCCACTCTTAATCCTAGACTGGCTCCCCAAGTTTTCCATTCTTGCAGTAGTTCCTGAGTCATCTGCTGCTGCTGTCAATAACTAAGGTGGCCATAAAATTCATCGTCCAAATTGGGACACTTTTGAGAGTGCAAAGTGGATGCTTTTAATTATTACACTGTGACAACAGGTATAAATTGGGATTGTCCCAGGAAACCAGCATATGGTCACCCTAAAAATTACCCCTCCATCCCAAGGAGCTCTCTCTCTCAAAACTAACTGGAGAGTCACAGTCACTACACTGTTCTCTCTGCTGTCCCCACAAACATGCAGATAAACTTCTCACTTGAAAGGCTTTACTTCTGGTTGTTACAGGTAAATTGACAGTGATCACTGAAGTAACCAATCAGGGAAAGTTAAATGAATGTTTCTAGTGTATTGTCCCTGGTCTGACCAGCCAGATTTACCCTGAAATGGCAACTAAAGTTTCATGGATTTTAGTTTTAGATTTTATTTCTTTTACTTTATGTAAATGACCATGTATTATTGCAGACATATCACATGGATATTGTGGAAAATTAGAACATTGAGACCAACCAGTATTACAAAATAAATTGCCACATGACCATCACCAAGAAATTATTACTGCTGAATGATATCAGCAAGAATAGTAGACTAAGAACCTCAAAATCTTCTCCTCCATGAAAGCAATGGGAAAACTGGAAAAATGGTCAGAATAAACCCTTTCAGAACTCTGGAAATTAACCAAAGGCTTACAGCATTCAGAGAACATTTATTCAAGAAAAACACCTAAGGCCAGGAGTGCAGTGGCTCCAAGGCAGGAAGATTGTTTGAGGCCAGGAGTTTGAGGCCATTTTGGGCAACATAGTAAGACTCTGTCTCTATAAAAAAAAGAAAAGATTAAAAATTAGCTGGGCATGGTGGTGCATGCCTGTAGTTCCAGCTACGTGGGAGGCTGAGGTGGGAGGATGGCTTGGGTCCAGGAGTTCAAGGCTGCAGTGAACTATAATTGCATCACTATACTCCAGACTGGTGATAGAACAAGACCCCATCTCTTAAAAAAAAAGAAAAACAGCTGAATCTCAGTAAAAACAATGAGTTTTGTGATAATTTAACTTTCCCTATTCCCATGCTCCTCTTTCTAGATCCACAGAAGCCTTGAAAACAAAGAGCCCACAATTGCAGTAAAAAGCAGCAGCCCGGCAGCCACCAGAGAGGGCAGAGTCCCGCAACCTCCCACCACTTTGAAGGAGCTGGAGCTCCTTCAAAGCCTCATTCAAAAGAAATTGTCATTATTTTACCTATCTGGTGTTTCCCGGGAACCCTACTTGCAAGGCTGGCTTTATGTGATTAAAGTTCATCAGTGTAAAAAAACCTTTTCCCTAGTATGTTTGTCAAAAACAATTAAAGGTAATTGTTTAACTTCATGGCTGCTTGAGTTCATGAATAACAGTTGGAGCAAATAATAGACAAGCAAAAAGCTTAACAGAAAATTCTGGGAATGGAATGTCCACAGGAACTTTTAAAAAATCTGCATATTCCTTAAACTCTACAAGTCTACATGCATACATAGGGCATATTTGTGCCCAGGGCTGTGAAAGACCATAAGAGCTTACTTCTACTGACACAAAAGAAATTCAAGACTTGTACAGTGAAAACTATAGAACATTGTTGAAATAAGTGAAAGAAGACCTAAATAAATGGGAAGATATATAGTTCATAGGTTGGAAGATTTATAATGGTTAAGATGGCAATACTCTGCAGATTGATCTACAGAATCAATGCAATCCTTATCAAAATCCCAAATGCCTTTTTTTTTTTTCTGCAGAAATTGACAAGCTGATTCTAAAAATCAAATGGAAATGGTAGGGACACAGAAGAGCCCAGCAACCTTGGAAAATAATAAAGTTGAAAGACTCACACTTCCACTTTCCAATTTCAAAACTTACTAAAGCTACAATACAGTAGTCCCCCTTTAACCATGGGGAGTACGTTCCCAGCCCCCCAGTGGATACTGAACAATATATATAGCTCTCTCTCTCTCTCTCTCTATACACACACACACACACACACACACACACACACACACACACACTATGTTTTTTTCTATGCATACAGACCCATGATAAAGTTTAATTTGTGAATTAGGCAAAATAAGCAATTAACAAAAATAGGCAATAAAATAGAACAATTATAACAATAAACTGTAATAAAAGTTATGTGAATGTGTGCTCTCACTCTCTCAAAATTTCTTAATATTTTAGACCACGGTTGACTGTGGGTAACTAAAACCACGAATGGAAAGTGAAACCTCAAATAAGGGAGGACTACTATATTCAAGACTGTATGATTCTGCCAGAAGGGTAGACATATAGATAAATGGAATAGACTTGAGAGTTCAGAAATAAGCCCATACATTTATGGTCAACTGATTTTTGACAAGGGTGCCAAGACAATTCACTAGGGAGAAAACAGTCCTTTCAACAAATGTTTCTGGGGCAAGCAGTTACCCCCATACAAAAGAAAGAAGTTGGGCTCCTACCTCATACTAAATACAAAAATTAACTCAAAGTGGATCAAAGACCTAACTGTAGGAGCTAAAACTGTAAAACTCTTAGAATAAAATATAGGGGTAAATCTTCATAAATGTAGGTTAAGCATTGTTTCTTAGATATGACACAAGAAACAAAAGAAACCAAGCAAATATAGATAAATTGGACTTCATCAAAATTAAATACTCTTGTGCTTCAAAGGACATGACCCATAAAGTGAGAAAACGACCCACAAAATGGGAGAAAATATTTGCAAATCACATGTCTGATAAGAGTCTAGTGTCCAGAAAATATAAAAGAATTATTTTAGCTTAACAATTAGAAAACAAGAATGAATTAATTTTAATGTTGGCAAAGGACTTGAATAAATATTTCTTCCAGGCTGGGCTCAGTGGCTTATGCTTGTAACCCCAACACTTTGGAAGGCTGAGAAGGGAAGATTACTTGAGTCCAGGTGTTTGAGACAAGCCTGGGCAACATAGCAGGACTTCATCTCTACAAAAATTTTTAAATTAGCTGGGTGTAGTGCCATGTGCCCGTAGTCCTAAGTACTTGGGAGGCTGAGGTGAGAGAATTGCTTGAGCGTGAGAAGTGGAGGCTGCATTGAGCCATGGTCATGCCACTGCACTCCAACCTGGGTAACAGAGCAGGACCCTACCCCAAAACAAAATAAAACAAACTAAAAATTTTTTTCAAAGAAGATATAAAAATGACCAATAAGCATATGAAAAGATGCTCAACATCATTAGCCATCAGGTAACGAAAACCAAAACCACAATAAGATACCACTTCATACACAGTAGGAAGGTTTTTATTATTATTATTATTTTTTGAGATGGAGTCTCACTCTGTCACCCAGGCTAGAGTGCAATGGTTTGATCTCAGCTTACCGCAACCTCCGCCTCCTGAGTTCAAGTGATTCTCCTGCCTCAGCCTCCCAAGTACCTGGGATTACAGGTATGCACCACTGTACGTGGCTAACTTTTTTGTATTTTTAGTAGAGACGGGGTTTCGCCATGTTGGCCAGGCTGGCCTTGAACTCCTGACCTCAGGTGATCCAGCCGCCTCTGCCTCCCAAAGTGCTGGGATCACAGGCATGAGCCACTGCACCTGGCCAGGAAGGTTATTATTTTTTAAATGGACAATAGCAAGTGTCGGAGAGGATAGGAGAAATTGGAACCCTCATACATTGCTGGTGGAAATGTAAACTGTTGCAGCTGCTTTGGAAAACAGTTTGGCTTTTCTTTCTTTTTTTTTTTTTTAGAGACAGGGTCTCGCTCTGTCACCCAGGCCAGAGTGTGGTGGCACAATCACGGCTCACTGCAGCCTCAGTCTCCTGGGTTCAAGTGATTCTCCCACCTCAACCTCCTGGGTAGCTGGGACCACAGGCATGCGCCACCACACCTGGCTAATCTTTTATATCTTTTGTAGATATAGAGTCTTGCCATGTTACCCAGGGTTGTCTGGAACTCCTGGGCTCAAGCAATCCTCCTGTCTCAGCCTCCCAAAAGTGCTGGGATTATAGGCATGAGCCATCGTGCCCAGCCTTGCAGTTTGGCTTTTCCTCAGAAAGTTAAACATAAAGTTACCATGTGGCAAAATTCCACTCTTAGGCATATACCCAAGAGAATTGAAAACATATGTTCACACAAAAACCTGTAAATGGATGATCATAGCAGCATTATTCAAAATAGTCAAAAAGTCAAACCCCTGGTCGCAGTGGCTCACGCCTATAATCCCAGCACTTTGGGAGGCAGAGACGGGTGGATCACTTGAAGTCAGGAGTTCAAGACCAGCCTGACCAACATGGTGAAACCCTGTCTCTACTAAAAATAGAAAATTAGCTGGGCATGGTGGCTGGCGCATGCCTGTAATCCCAGCTACTTGGGAGGCTGAGGCAGGAGAATCACTTGAATCCAGGAGGCAGAGGTTGCAGTGAGCCGAGACTGCGCCATTGCACTACAGTCTGGGCAACAAGAGCAAAATTCCATCTGAAAAGAAAAAAAAAAAAGGTCAAACCAACCCAGTGTTCATCAACTAATAAATGGATCAACAAAATTTAATATATCCATACAATGGGATATTATTCATCCACAAAAAGGAATGAGGTAATCATACATACCATAACATGGATGAACTTTAAAAACATTATATTAAATGAAAGAAGCCAGCTACAAAAGGCCACATGTTATATGATTCCACGTACATGCACTGTCCATAATAGGCAAATCCATAGAGACAAAGTAAATTATTGCTTCCTGGGGTGGAGAAAGGGGAGATGGGGTACTAATGTATATGTGGCTTCTTTTTGGGGTGATAAAAATAATTTGGAATTATATAGTGGAGATGGTGCCACAACCTTGTAAAATATGGTATGTAAATATATGGTATGTATGGGTGAGTTTACAGTATGTAAATTGTATCTCAATAAAAAAGGGAATATACAATTGCTAAGCCCCACATTAATATCTTTTTGCCTCTTTCTTTGTGTTTATATGTAATGTTTTAACCAAATGACATATTACTAAATATACTCTCTGGAAACTTCAGTTGCCTTTCCATTTCTGTAAGTTTCCATTTCAACTAACCCTCAATCATATTCAAATTTTTCCATTTGCTTAAAAATTTTTCTTTACAGTTAGTTTGCCCTAATGGATGGCCAATCTAGGACCATGTATTGCATCTTGTTTTGATGTCCCTTTAATCTCTTTGAAGCTAGCACAGTACCTTTTCCATGAGTTTGGCCTGCTGAAGAGGCCAGGTCAGTTATCTTGCAGAATGTCCTTCTGATTTTTCTGATTGCTTCTTCATGACGCCATTCAGCTTGTTCCTCCATCTCTTGTTTTCCCATAAAAGTTATATCTGAACTCTATGTTTCAGTTCAATACATTTTGCTAGAACATACCATAAATTATATTGTATGCTGCATCAAGTTACATCAGGGGACACATAATATCTAGCTGACTATCTGATACGGTTTGGCTGTGTCCCACCCAAATCTCATCTTGAATTGTAACTCCCACAATTCCCACATGTTGTGGGAGGGACCCAGTGGGAGGTAATTGAGTCATCGGGGTGGATCTTTCCTGTGCTGTTCTAGTGAAGGTGAGTAAATCTCAAGAGATCTGATGGCTTTATAAGGTAAGTTCCCCTGTACAAACTCTCTGTCTCTTTGCCTGTTGCCATTCATGTAAGATGTGATTTGTTCCTCCTTGCCCTCTGCCATGATTGTGAGGCTTCCCCAGACACATGGAACTGTAAGTCCATCAAACCTCTTTCTTCTGTAAATTGCCCAGTCTTGGATATGTCTTTATCAGCAGCATGAATAGACTAATACACTACCCATTAGTAAAACTAAGATTGACCACCCCCAGATATGAGGATGCTGACAACCTGACCCCTTCATTGTATGTTTTTTCCTCCTTGCCACTGAGAAGCTGTCTGGGATGTGTTTGTTTGGTACTATACAAGTATCTAGCTCCCCAGCATTTTTTTTTAACAACAATTGAAGCTTTTTGCCTGAATCAGTAATTTTATTTGGGCTTCCAAAATTTTGCTTTTCTTATTTTATAATTCCTTCTGCATTTATTTGATGACATTCTTCTGACAGAGCTTTTCCTCACCAACTGGGGACTATTTGCTTACCCTGAAATCAGTTCCTGCTAGAAAGGAAGAATAAATGCTTAATTTCCTCCAGTTAACTACGAATTTTTAGGTTTTTTTTCTTTTCTTAGAATAGGGTTCACCAACCCCATCTTCCTTCTCTCTACTTTCTACAGATCTTCCTTTCAACCTGAAAATGTATACAAGGCCTCTCTCCAGCCCAACAACAATCCATTTGGCATTTCCTCTCAGTAATTCCATTAACTTAGCTCCTAAATTTTTCCAGAACTCAAAGCAGCCCATCAAGATAAAGCACCCCAGAATAGCCACAGCACTACCAAAACGTTGGTGGAGGCCTTAGGACCAACAGAAATTATCCAAGCATCCATCCCAACAGGACTAACTCAACAGGGTAGAGGCTGGCCATCTCCTTCTCCTTCCTCCATTCCACTTATGCCTGAGTCCTTGACAGGGTGAACCACAGCCAGAGTCATCTCGATATCAGCTGTGTTCTCTGGAAGTGTTTTTTCCTAATCCCTGACCTTTGAAAATTATTGCTAAGGTGCATGAATGTATTGGCAGGGAACCACAGCACAGGAAGATAGAACTGTATCATGATAAAGAAAATGTGGTACATATACACCCTGGAATACTACACAGCCATTAAAAAAAAAAAGAAATCACGTCCTTTGCAGCAACATGGATGCAGCTGGGGGCCATTATCCTAAGTGAATTAACACAGAAACAGAAAATCAAATACCACATGTCCCCACTTATAAGTGAGAGCTAAACATTGGGTACACACAGACATAAAGATGGAAACAACAGACACAGCACTCTAAAAGGAAGGAGGGAAGGAGGGGGCAAGGGTTGAAAAACTACCTATTGGGTACTATGTTCACCATTTGGATGACAATTTCCATAGAAGCTCAAGTCTCAGCATCATGAAATATATCAATATAACAAACCTGCACATGTACCCCCTGAATCTTAAAAACAAAACACTGTATCATGAGCAGAGACCAGGCTTCTGAAGAAGAGGAAAAACCCTGCGGGAAGGTCCTGCCCATCAACACTGACTGTGGGTCCAAAGCCCTTTACCTCTATGAGGAAGAGGTAAGCCCAAAGCAAGATGGGTTTATACCTGGAGGAGCTGTGGCTGACTCCTCATACTTTGTCCTCAGCCCACACTGGCTGGGTAAGGGTGCAAACAAAGGGGAGCAGGACCTTGCTGGCAGTCCTAGCAAGAGCTGGAAGAAGGAGCACCTCTGCAGACCCTGGGGTATATAAACTGACTGATATAGAAACCAGAACACCAATGCATTCGTATACAAAGAGAACGCTCCTTGCCAAATGGACCAGATGTTCATGTTGACTGGTCAGCGCATTCTCTCCTGTTGGAAAATCTACATGGGAAGCCAAATTATAATCAGGAGGCTGTTTGTGAGCATGAAATCAGAACAAAGGGAGGGAATTGGATGAGCTCTGTGGCATCCATAGGGATATAGGGTGGACTGCATACTTGTGCCTAATGGTCAAAAAACAACTCTTTCCCTTGACAGGGCTAGAGACATCATGACAAATGTTTGTTCCTTGGCTCCACTTTTCAGCACTCCCTATAGACCACCCCCCTTCTGCTCACATATTCTTTCTTCAGCTGTTAAGGCCATTGATTAGGTTACAGCTTTCCTTCACATTCCGTCATGCTTTGATTAGGTTTCCAGGCACTGTTGCATCCTGTTTCTTAGGATGATATTTGCAGACATTTATTCACATCCATCGTGTGTGGATTTCACCAGTTTAACAATCAAAAGATACTATTTATCAGATTGGGAGATACTTCACATTATGCCCTATATACTGATTCACTAGACAGTAGAAAAAAAGGTGGTGAATGACCAGTATGCTAAAGGGGGAAGCTTCTCATGTCCTGGTCTTCCATGTCCCTTCACGAGCATTGTCCCATAATTATATTAATTTGACAACTATTGATTGAGTGCCTGCCATACACCAGACACCATACCAGGTACTAGGAATATAAAGAATGAGACATGATATCCCTGCCTTCAAGGAGCTGATAGGGTAGTGAAGAAGGCAGACAAGAAAGTCGCCTATCACAGTATAGCATGGCAGCCCACAGATGCCTTTAAAAAGAGCGCCTCCCAAAGTCTGGGATGAGGGTTGGTGGTCGCCCAGGAAGCCTTCCAGAAGGAGGTGATTTCCATCTTTATCCTAAAGCACAAGTAGAAGGTAACCAGATGAAGAGTGGGAGAACTTATCAAACAGAAGGACAAGCAGGCACAAAGACTCAGGGCAGAGACAACACGGCACATTTGAAGAGCTGTCTTCAGAATGGCAAGAACTCTTGGTATGGTAAAAGACTGAGTGGAAGTGATTGGTAGAGGACAGGATTTCAAAGGCCTCATTGTGGAGGTTCACTGCAGGGTTCTAAAGCCTACTCTGAAATTAATATAGCTGGTATAGCTTTGGTTGTGTTCTGTCTGTTTTTATTGTAGTAAAACGTACATAACATGAAGTTTACCACTTTAAACATTTAGATCTGCAATTGAGTGGCATTAAGTACATTCATAATATTGCATAACCATCTATTTCCAAAACTTTAACTCTGTAACTTTAAAACTCTGTAACTTTGTTTTTTTGTTTTTGTTGTTGTTGTTGTTGTTTTTAAGTTTTTGTTTTTTGAGAGGGAGTCTTGCTCTGTCACCCAGGCTGGAGTGCAGTGGCACAATCTTGGCTCACTGCAACCTCTGCCTCCCAGGTTCAAGCGATTCTGTCGCCTCAGCCTCCCAAGTAGCTGGGATTACAGGCACCCGCCACCCTGCCCGGCTAATTTTTGTATTTTTAGTAGAGACAGAGTTTCACCATGTTGCCAGGCTGGTCTCGAACTCCTGACCTCAGATGATTCACCCACCTCAGCCTCCCAAAGTGCTGGGATTACAGGCATCAGCCACTGCACCTGGCCGAAACTCTGTAACTTTAGAGCAATAACTCCCCACTCTCCCCTCCCCTCAGCCCCTGGTAACTTCTACTCTACTTTCTATCTTTGAATGACTTTGCCTATTCTAGATAACTCGCATAAGTAAAATCACACATTTTCCCTTTTCTGTTTGGCTTATGTAATGTAGCATGTTTTTAAGGTTCATGCAAGTTACAGCATGTTTCAGAGCTTCATTCCTTTTTATGTCTGAATAATATTCATTATACATATATACTATATTTTGCTTATCCATTCATCAGTTGATAGACACTTGGGTTGGTTCCACCTTTAACTAGTGTGAATAATGCTGCTATGAACATTGGTGGACAAGTTTCTGTTTGAGTCTCTGTTTTCAAGTATTTTGAGTATATACCACTGAGGAGTGAAATTGCTGGGTCATCTAGTAAGTCTATATTTAAGTTTTTGAGGAACCACCAAACTGTTTTCCACAGCAGCCCACCATTTTATATTCCCACCAGCAATGCCCAAGGGTTCCAACTTCTCCACATTCTAACCAACACTGGTTTTCTTTCTTTCTTTCTTTCTTTCTTTCTTTCTTTCTTTCTTTCTTTCTTTCTTTCTTTCTTTCTATCTTTCTTTCTTTCTTTCTTTCTTTCTAATAATAATGTAATAACCATCCTACTGGATATGAAGTGGTAGCTCATTGCGGTTTTCATTTGCATTTCTTTTTCTTTCTTTTTTTTTTTTTTTTTTTTTGAGATGGAGTCTCGCTCTTGTCGCCCAGGCTGGAGTGCAATGATGCAATCTCGGCTCACTGCAACCTCCACCTCCCAGATTCAAGCGATTCTCCTGTCTCAGCCTCATGAGTAGCTGGGATTACAGGCACCCACCACCACACCGGGCTAATTTTTGTATTTTTAATAGAGATGGGGTTTCACCATGTTGCCCAGGCTGGTCTCAAACTCCTGACCTCAGATGATCCACCTGCCTTGGCCTCCCAAAGTGCTGGGATTACAGGGGTGAGCCACCGTGCCCGGCCTCATTTGCATTTCTTGAATAACTATGATGAATATCTTTTCATGTGCTTATTGGTCATATTTATATCTTCTGTGGAGACATGTCTATTCAAGTCCTTTGCTCATTTCTTATTTGGGTTTTGTTCTTGTTGAGTTTTAGAAATTCTTTATATATTCTGGATATTAATTGCTTATCAGATAAATGATTTGCAAATATTTTCTCATATTCTGTGGGTTATCTTTTCACTCTCTTGAGGGCGTTCTTCAAAGCATAAGCATTTTAAATTTTTATTATGTCCCATTCATCTATTTTTTTCTTTCTTGCCTGTGTTTCTGGTGTCATATTTAAGAATTCATTGCAAAATCCAGTGTTGTAAAGATTTCTCCTTATGTTTTCTAGTTTTAGTTCTTACATTTAGGTTTTTTATCCATTTTGAGTTATTTATTTATTTTTTCTTTGAGACAGAGTCTCACTCTGTTGCCCAGGCTGGAGTGCAATGGTGGGATCTTGGCTCACTGTAACCTCCACCTCCCAGGTTCAAGTGATTCTCCTGCCTCAGCCTCCCGAGTAGCTGGGACTACAGGTGCCTGCCACCACATCCGACTAGTTTTTGTATTTTTAGTAGAGATGGGGTTTTACCATGTTGGCCAGGCTGGTCTCGAACTCCTGACCTCAAGTGATCCACCTGCCTCTGCCTCCTAAAGTGCAGGGATTACAGGCATGAGCCACCCTGCCCAGCCAAGTTATACCTCTTTTTTAAGAACTGGTTGCTCTAGGGTTTATAATATGTATATTAAACTTATTAGAGTCTACCTTGAAATAAATACCACTTCATGTATAGCCTAAGAATGTCCCAATAGTACACTGCCAATTCCTCTGCTAACCTTTGTGTTATTGTAGTCATATATTTTAATTATATGTGCTATAAATCCCATAATACATTGTTACTATTGTACTTAGTACATTTTCTTTTAAAGAGAATAAAAACTTAAAGTTAATTGTCTTTTAAATTTATACTGCTTTTTACCATTTTCATTACTCTTCATTTCTCTGTTTTTTTTGTTTTGTTTTGTTTGTTTTTTTGAGACAGAGTCTTGCTCTGTCACCCAGCCTGGAGTGCAGTGGCGCAATCTCGGCTCACTGCAACCTCCACTCCCCAGGTTCAAGCGATTTTCCTGTCTCAGCCTCCCAAGTAGCTGGGATTACAGGCGTGCAGCACCAGGCCTGGCTAATTTTTGTATTTTTAGTAGAGACAGGCTTTCACCATGTTGACCAGGCTGGTCTTGAACTCCTGACGTCAGGTGATCTGCCTGCCTTGGCCTCCCAGAGTGCTGGGATTACAGGCATGAGCCACTGTGCCCAAGCCATTTCTTTGTGTATACCAAAATTTCCACTAGTATGATACTGTTTCTGCCAAAGAACTTCCTTTGTTTTTGTTTTGTTTTGTTTTTGAGACAGGGTCTCGTTCTGTTGCTGAGGCTGGAGTGCAGTGGCTCGATCTCAGCTCACTGCAACATACACCTCTGAGGCTCAAGCAATCCTCCCACCTCTCAGCCTCCCAAGTAGCTGAGACTACAGGTGCATGCCACCACACCTTATTAATTTTTGTATTTTTTTGTAGAGATGGGGTTTCACCATGTTGCCCAGTCTAAGAACTTCCTTCAACATTTTGTGTAATACAAGTCTATTGGCAATGAATTCTCTCAATTTTTATCTAAAAAATTTATTTCATCTTCATTTTTAAAAGACATTTGCCTTGGGTATATAATTAAAGATTGACTCTTTTTCTTCTTTCTGCACTTAAAAATGTCCCTCCATTGTTTTCTGTTTTGTACAACTAAGGTTCTAGAAGTTTGCTGTAATTTTATCTTTGTTCTTCTGTATATAATACTTCTTTTTTTCTCTAGCTGCCATTGAGATTTTTTCTGTATCTTGGGTTTTTGTCACTGTGACTATAATGAGTGTATAGGTAAATTTTATTTTGATTTTGTTCCATTCTATTGTATTTATGCTGTTGAATTTCTCGGATCTGTAGTTCCTTATCTTTCATCAATTTTAGAAAATTCTTGGCCATTATATCTTTAAATATTTCCTCTCCCCTATTGCCTCTCTGTCCTCTCCTTCATATTGTTCTCCAGTTTTTAAATGATGAGTTCTGTAACTTCCTTCTCAACTTTTTCCTCTTTGTTTCATTTGTGATCATTTCTATCATACTATCTTCAAGTTCATTGATTTCTTCATCAGCTATGTCCAGCCTGCTGATGATCCTATTACAAGGATTCTTCATTTTTGATGTTGTGTTTATTTGTCACATTTACTTTTTTTATAGTTTCTATCTATTCTCCAAATTACCCATATGTTCCTATGTATTTTCTATTCTGCTAGATCTTTTAATATATTAGTGATAGTTATTTTAAAATCCCTGTCTTATGTATCCTTATTGGTGAGCCTGGTTCTGTTGAGCCTGGTCCTGTTGGTTGTTTTATCTCTTGACAATAAGCTTTTTCTCTCTTCTCTTCTCTCTTTCTCTCTCTGTCTTGTTTTTATTTTCTTTTTTTGTATTATAATTTATTATTGAATGCTGGACATCATGTGTACAAGCCAGGAGAGATGAGGTAAATAGTTATACCTGGAAATGGCCATGCTCTTTCTTTTGTTAAGTTAGTATTGTGGAGGGTTGAGTTAATCTAGTTAGCAGTTGAGCTATGACTGAGTTATGTTTTTGCTATCACTAACCTTAGTGCACCAGAAAGTGCCATTATCTTGTGCTTAGTGTGGTGAGTGGAGAGTTTTTCTCAGTATTCCTGTTCTGTCATCAGCTTTCAGCAGTACCTGCATACCTGTACTGTTGAGTGGGGTTTTCTCTCCATAGTATTGCCTCCACTTCAGCAATAGACTCTTGTTGCTTGCTACTTGTTGCCAGGGTTGTTGCTTAGCCAGGTAGTGATTCTTGTATCTCCTAGTCCAGCCTTAGTCTTAGGCAAGGCCTACGCACCTGGGCTTGGGGGATGGGACCTTCTCAAATTCCTATCCTCCTCCCCTCACCTGCCCCACGGTAGCCAAACTCTGCCTTGTATCTTTGGTGGACCTTGGGCAGAAGACTTTTACCTGTATCTCTCCCATAGGTAGTCTATCTCTACTTTATATTGGTTCAGGTTCTTGGACCCAAGAGGTTTTTTTGACCCTCCCACCCCCACCCCAGAAGCAAATAGCTTTTACTTCTGCCCTCCCACTGAAGCATTAGATATTTACTGATATCATGAGAGCACAAAGGATGATTTCTTTTCCTTTCCCAAGTTTAGCTTCTACCCCTCCCCTGGTGATCCTGGGAGGCTGCTGCCCCTCCCTTAAAGCCCTTTAATAAGAGAAGGGTCATAGAATATGGGTGGTGGTTTGTGACTGTCTTCAGAAGCAGCAGCAAGTCACGTCCTGCAAATGTACACCACCAAGGGGGACTCTCTCTGGTCTCCTATCTCGCCCCCATCTTTCTTTTGAGCACTCAGTGGACACTGCTGGAGAAGACACTGCAACAAGTAAACATAAATTCCCCTTGTGTCTGGGGCTCTGTATTAGGGTTCTCCAGAGAAACAGAAACACAGAAACAATAGGGTAAGTGCGTGTGTGTGTGTGTGTGTGTGTGTGTGTGTGTGTGTATGCAGAGAGGAAGATTTATTTCAAAGAACTGGTTCATTGGCTCACACAATTATAGAGGCTGACAAGTCCAAAATCTGCAGGGTAGGTAGTCTGGCAGGCTGGAGAACCAGGGAAGGGTTCAAAGGCGGTCTGCTGGCAGAACTCCCTCTTCCTTGGAGGAGATCAGTCTCTTTTCTCCTGAGGACTTCTACTGATTTCATGAGGCCCACCCACATATAGAGGGTAATCTGCTTTACTCAAAATCAACTGAGTTAAATGTTATCTCGTCTTTTGAAATACCTTCACAGAAATATCTAGAATAGTGTTTGATCAGATACATGGGTACCACGGCCTAGCCAAGCTGACACATAAAATTAGCTGTCACAGGCTTCCAGTCATTCTAACCTGATCCACTAGCCCAAACTCAGCCTTTAGGATTAGTGAAAATTTGAGCTGATTTCTTCTTCCCCACTTCTATGATGGTTACCTTTTCCCCTAGTGCTCTGCCAAATGTGAAACTGTTTGTGTATCTCTTCTGTTCTCAGTGGGGCTTGTTACTTTTGGAATTACATTATGTGGTTGCTTTGTGATCTCAACTCTCTGAAGAATACAAGAAAACTTATGATTTTGGCTGGGTGCAGTGGCTCAGGCCTGTAATCTCAGCATTTTAGGAGGCTGAAGCAGGTGGATCGCCTGAGGTCAGGAGTTTGAGACCAGCCTGACCAACTTGACGAAACCCCATCTCTACTAAAAATACAAAAAATAGCCAGGCATGGTGGTGGGCACCTGTAGTCCCAGCTACTTGGGAGGCTGAGGCAGGAGAATCACTTGAACCTGGGAGGCAGAGATCGCAGTAAGCTAAGATCATGCCACTGTACTCTCCAGTCTGGGTGACAGAGCAAGACTCTGTTTCAAAAAAAAAAAAGGAAACTTATGATTTTGTAGGCTATTCATTTTTCTTATTTTAGGATAGGAGTGATGTTCCCTTGCAACTTTTTACATCCTAAATCAAAGCAGAACTCCATTAATATGGTTTTTGTTTTTGTTTTTACTATGGGTATGATATGGATTATTTAAGAACCAGGAAGGACAGGAATTACATTTGCAGCATCTAGCATAGGGACTACAAGTTAATGGCCCATAGGTTTCACATGAAAACCTAGGTTTCTGGATTATTTTAAGAAATGTGAATATCTGACACAGTTGATCCACATTTACTGGCCTCTTCGCAGGGCACAGGCTCGCCAGTTGTCCATTGTGCCAGAGCGAGACAGGTACCTCTCAACACTGATTCCTCCTTCATCCCCTGGGGGCAGACCGTTCTGAGACCCAGGTCAGTTCAAGAGCCCCCTTGGAACTAAGTCTGTGGCAGAGCATTGTTCTATGCAAATCCCACGCCAGAAACCAGATCATGGCATGTGACAACCAAATGCACTGGGTTTGCTCACAGATGGTAAAAGAGGTCTTGAATCTTGCTGGAAGGGCCATCATGCATCTCTTCTGCCACAGCCAGGAGTTCCATGTGGCCCACAGAGGTGGCTCCAGAACTGCCTAGGTGAGAATGCCAACCCCATCAAGCAACCAGGATGCCAATTTCCTCGTTTCATCAGAAAGTAACACAGCCTGTGATGGTCCCAAAGAAATTCTGGGAGGTAGTTATTATTCCTCTGCAAGGGGCCATAGGGATGGTTGAGCCCTTTGGGCTCAGGCCAAGTACTTCAACTCTAGCCTAAGCTGGAGGCAGGCAAGGGCCAGGCCTCCACTCAGAGGCTGGTATGTCCCTCCCTCGGACACATTCTGCCACTAGGTGGAATGAAATCAAATTGCTACCACAATTGCAGGGACTTCATTGCAGAGTGGGACCTGCAGATCTGTGGGTTCACTGCCTCAGGTGTAGTTCCATTTCTGGAGGCCAGGGGAAGGACCCCGGGTCTGGACTGGATTAGGCAGAATTGTTCCAGAAGCATCTGGAATTGCATGTCATTTAGGGAATGAGGGTAAATGAAGCCAAGGGAAGGAGCCAAGGCCCACATCAGAGAAGTAACATCATGAGACAGGTCTGAGGGGAGGGTGTTGGGCTGCAGTTAGGAGATCAGGCTTGAGCGCTGAGGGTGGGAGTGGAGAGTTCTTTGGGGGTTGTGAGGTTGGAAGAGAGGGATTCAGAATGGGAGAAGGTCCAGAGGGCTTTCGGTTCAAGAGAGGGCCAGCCTGCTGGACACCAAAATGCCCATTTAGTTCCAGGGGAAGGGAAACGAGCACCTAAAACACAAAATAGCCCTAAACCAGCCACACTTAGCTATCTAGAGCTTCTACCAGCTCTGCAGAGAATAAAAGCTTTTTGGAACACATAGAGGGTTAAAAAGAAGACATCAAACAAATGGAAGTTCGCAAGAGCACTTCTAACTTTGAGAAAAATAAGATTAATCAGTGGAAGTAGGAACTTTTAAAGAAAAGAATCAGAATTTCTTCTCTTACAAACAAAGCTTGAACCTCTTAGCAATCACGACTTTGATTGCAAGACTCTTACTAAAGTGCCTGGAGAGTCTTTTACTGCCAAGAACTGCGGCACTTCAGATAGAGGAATTACTCAGAATTCAGCTTCAGTCTAAATCAGCCCACACAAAAGCCATAGACAGTTTCCAGGCTGAAGTCAACATCAGGTTTTTTGTTTCTTAGAGGGAGAATGTAATTTTTAAATTATAAAATTAATTCACAGTCAATGAAGAAAATTTGTGAAATACATAAAAGTATAAAGAATAAAACAAATATCCACATTCCATAATCCAAAGATGGTTTATATTTTTGATTTTGCTTTCAATTTTTCTCTGCAGATACCTGTATTTTTCTCCATGCAAATCAGGATTATATTAAATAAAAAGTTGTTTCTTGCTCTTTTCATCTACTGTATCAGGAACAGTTCTCCACTGCCTTAATTATGCCTTGAAACATACTTTTAAATGATTCCATAAGATTACTTTGTATAGATATGCCAGCATTTATTTTAATCATTTTTAAATTGATGATCAATTAGATTGTTTCAATTTTTATCATTTTAAATATACTTCCAGTAAACATCTATGGATGTAATGTCTGTACATTTGTCCAATTATTTCCTTAGGAGGAATTCTTAGCATATTAAGATTTGAGGACTTCTCAATACCTACTCTCAAATTATTCTTCAAAATGATCATGCTCCTTTATATTCGCACTAACAATATGTGATCATGTTGTTTCATGAATCATTAGCCAGCACTAAGCATTATTGTTAAAGAAAAAAACTTTTGTACATTTGATAGTTGAAAAATGGGATCTAGTTATCTTGCTCTGTATTTTTTTTTTTTTTTTTTTGAAACGGAGTCTCGCTCTGTCGTCCAGGCTGGAGTGCAGTGGTGTGATCTCGGCTCACTGCAAGCTCCGCCTCCTGGGTTCACGCCATTCTCCTGCCTCAGCCTCCCGGATAACTGGGACTACAGGCACCCGCCACCGCGCCTCGTTAATTTTTTGTATTTTTAGTAGAGACGGGGTTTCACCGTGTTAGCCAGGATGATCTCAATCTCCTGACCTCGTGATCCGCCAGCCTCCCAAAGTGCTGGGATTACAGGGGTGAGCCACCGCGCCCGGTGCTCTGTGTTTTTTTGATATGTTTATTGGATGTTTTTCTTTTATCAGTTATCATTTTGTACCATTTGCCTATTTTTTACAAATAGAGACACGGTCTCACTGTGTTGCCCAGGCTGGTCTTGAATTTTTGGCCTGAAGTTATCCTCCTGCCTTGGTCTCTCAAAGTGCTGGAATTACAGGCGTGAGCCATTGCCACCACCATTTGCCTATTTTTTCAAAGTAAGCACTTGGCGTTCGTTTTGATCCAGTTTTGGCATAGCAGGATCCAAAAGGAATCCTAAAGAGAAATACATGATGTTAAAAGTCTTTTGGTTTATAGCTTTAAGCTTTCCAAGGATTCCATTGAGGCCAAATGTGAAGGAAAGGGGTGACTCTTTTAAAGGAGAGTCTCCTTGGACCACAACACCCCCCGCTCCCCACCCGCCGGCCAGAATCAGAATTGAGGGATTGGGGAGGGAACATGTATTTAAATTACCCCACCCAGACACACAGACACACAGTCAGTTGGATCCAAGAACCAGCCGGGTTCTATAATCTCTCTATAATGCTTCCTGTGCAGTCCAAATGTGACAACCACGATGACTAGTGAGGCAAGTAAACCAGATGTTCTCTGGAACAAAAGAGAGACAACCGTACAAAGAAGTGAGCCAAAACACTGAAGAATGGAAGTTGAATGGACTGTTGGACCTACTTGTACTTTCTGCTGTTTTGGCTTTTTGACTGTTGTTCTTTAACTTGATTAATGCATTATCGCCCATCTACTCAGTTCCTCAAGTTAGAGAAACTATAGCCATCTTTGATGAATTTCTATTCCTTGCACCCCTTACCTCTTCTCATGTATACTATTGATTTTACCTACACGTCTTTAAATCTCTCCTTTTCTGTCTTTCTCACCACCTCTGAGTGTAGTCCCCTATCATCTCCCTCTCTCCTTTCCCGTTATTCTATCCATAATCTCTATGGTTACCCACAAGGTGCACCAGGTAAGCATACATTCTAAATACTAATGAATCTAGAAGTTTCTGCTTGCTATGCAAAAGCTTCTAGATTAACATTCTTCCCTCTGCCTCCTTCCAATTTTTTGCAGCCTTCAAACCCTTCCTTAGCAGAGGAGTGAGAGACTGAGAATTTTAGAGGGGTTAAAGAACTGGCAAAGATTATGGAAATTAAGACAAAACTTAATAAACATGAAAGAGTGACATGAAAAGTCCAAGAAGCAGCTGTGGCCAGAATTCAAAATTCTGGTCAAGCAGCACTGACTGGCAACATGATCCAAGGTGTAGCCCTAAGGTTGGGTTGCTGAAGTGCCTAAGAGAACAAGGGCATGTGAGGCCATGTTGTTGAATGGGTCATCTCACAGACCCTGAAGTAGCTCAAATGTGTGCTATTATTCACTAACAGACAACTGGCGAGTATGAACTGCTCAGAGTAACCTTTCTCCATTCCTGGAAAAACAACTTAGAGCAAAGGACAAAGGGTTACTGTGTTGTTCCTTTCATGTAAAAGGAAATAATAATTTTGATGGATTTGGTGGGACATTTAGGAGCCAAGTCAAACTGTGTGTGTAATTGTTTTGTAAAGGTGCTAGGACTTCATTTTCAGATCCGGAATGGGAACAGGTGGTGGCTGGTGGCAGGAGTCACAATGGTTTCCATGACGACGGGATTGGGTCCTAGTCATCCTCCCATTCTCCACAAGACCTACTGCAGCTTTTCTCATAAGGTGCTTATTAAGTATTTGTTAAATGAACGATGAACCACAGAATAGCGCGTGTGCTTTGCAATTAAGGATGTCGCTCTATAGCTAGCCTAAAAGCTTTTAAAGCACCGATAATTACTGTATTTACCCATGTATTTTGCATAATTCGCATATTAACTTAACCAGAAAATAATAAACCATACTCTCCCATTTCTGCTGAACAACCCTGGCCCATATAATATTCCCTGTTGTGGAATCAGTAGCCCAGATGTTTGGTTGAAACGGCCATAAAACGGAGCTGGGGGATGGGGAGTCTTGTGTTGTATTTATGGTTCCACATTAGCTAAAACTCGTGTTTTGTCCCGGCTCTCAAGCCACTGCCCCCGCCCCCGGCTTTGCGCAGGCGCCAGCCTTCCCCTCCCCCCGCGCCTCTCTTCCCGCCCTAAGGCTGGAGCCGGCGAGCCCCAGCCCAGAGAACAAAAGGCCTCGCTAGCCGGCGTCCCGCGTTGCCCTTGGCAACCATTGAGCGGCGTCTTGCCCTTCTGCGACCCTGAGATGAGAGAGTAAACGGGGCCCCCATTGGCCGGCCGGGGAAGACGGGCCAATCGGAGAAGAGGGTATAGGGAGGCGGCTGAACAAGGTTGTGGGGGTAGGAAGCTAGGGTTAGAGGCAACCCGTGAGGCTAGAACCCCGAACGTGGTCGGTTGGAGAAAATATGTCCCTCCGGAGGCACATTGGGAACCCTGAGGTGAGGGCCAGGTCTCGGCCGGAGAGCCGGAGGGGGCGGGCGCACCGGAAAAGGCTCATGTGGGCAGGGAAGAGCAGCCAGCGACTTCCGCCGCCCGGAAGGCGGGAAGGGGCCGGCGTGAGGAGGGGTCGGGATGCAGGGGCGGGGCGGGCCGGGCTTGGGGGCCGCGGGGCAGCGTTCAGGACCCCGTTTTGAGGAGCGATCTCTCCCCGCGTACGCACGCCAGTACTTGTGACTGCGAGGAGCGAAGTACCCAAAGACACAGCCCTTGCCCTCAAATGGCTTACAGTCTCGGAGTGACAGTTACAAAACAGAAAAGACAAAGGAAGCGCTGCACACTAATGGCACGTGTTGAAAGCCAGCCAGCATCTCTGATTGTGGGGATACAGGAAGAGCAGGAGTAAGCTGACCAAACCTTTGGAAAACGGGCAAAATAGGACATTAGGCTTACCCCTCTCTCCATAGGACCCTTCAGTTTCTTCATCTGTTTCACCGCTAGTCCCCTGCTGCATTTGTGGCAGTTTCAACAAACGTTATTGGAAACTTCCACGGTGCAGTAGGTGCTAGACGTACAAAGAAGACAAGGCCTCTGCCCTTTAATAAATTGCGTATAGTGGACCAGGCGCGGTGGCTCAGCCTGTAATCCCAGCACTTTGGGAGGCCGAGGCGGGCGGATCACGAAGTCAGAAGTTTGAGACCAGCCTGGCCAACATGGCGAAACCCCGTCTCTACTAAAAATACAAAAATTAGCCGGGCGTGGTGGTGAGGCGCCTGTAATCCCAGCTACTCGGTAGGCTGAGGCAGGAGAATCGCTTGAACCCAGGAGATGGAGGTTCCAGTGAGCCGAGATCGTGCCATTGCACTCCAGCCTGGGTGATAAGAGCGACTCTGTCTCAAAAAAATAAAAATAAACAATAAATAAATTGCGTCTAGTGAAGGAGCCTGTGAACAGAATTTGAGTACAGTGTGGTCGGGGAGCAAGATGTTACGAGAAAATAGGTAGTACTCAACTGAGGGAGTGAGAGAAGGGTTGTGGAGATGGAAGGGGTGGCAAGGCCATTCATTAGCCAGGTGAAGCATCATCCCGGGTAGAACAGCCCAAGTGAAGGTAAGGAGTGTGTGAACTCAGAACAGGCCCCTGTAGGAGTCCAGGCTTTCTCTGCCTTGCTGAGGTTCTTAGCCTTTATCCCAAATAGGAGTTGTAACTGTTTCATCTCTTGGTGGCTGCCTGGTACTAGGCTGAGAAAGCTGTAAGGCTGAGTCTAAGCCCTGCAAGAGAGCCATGGTCAATTGGTAATGTCTAAATGCTGCATGATCTCACTTATACGTGGCATCTTAAAAAGTCCAGCTCATAGAAGTAGAGAATAAAATGGTGGTTACCAGAGCCTGGAGGGTGGGGGGAAGGAGGGCAGAAATGGGAAGATGTTGATCCAAGGGCACAAAGTTACAGTTAAACAGGAGGAATGGTTTTTGAGATCTCTGGCACAGCATGGTGACTATAGTTAATAATAATTACAGCAGACTCATAACCCCCAGTAGAAAATCCATGTACAACTTTTTACTCCCCTCCCCCCTGCAAAAAAACTTAACTACTAATAGCCTACTATTGACTGGAAGGCTTCCTGATAACAGAAACACTTGATTAACATATTTTGTATCTCATATGTATTATGTACTGAATTCTTAAAGTAAGCTGGAGGAAAGATTATTATTAAGAAAATCATAAGGAAGAGAAAATATATTTACTATTCATTAAGTGGCAGTGTATCATCATAAACATCTTCATCCTAATTGTCTTCATTGCTAAGGGGCAAGGAAAAGGAGGGGTTGGTCTTGCTGCCTTAGGGGTGACAGAGGCAGAAGAAAATCTGGGTATAAGTGGATCTGCACAGTTCAAGCCCATGTTGTCCAAAGTTCAACTATATTGTAGATTTCAAAATAGAGTAAATTGTATATTTTATGAGAGTAAATTTCAAATATCTCACCTCAAAAAAAAGATAAGTGGGTTGATGGATATGTTAATTTGATTTAATCATTCCACATTGTGTGTGTGTGTATATACCAAAACATCAAATTGTACCCCATAAATGTATAAAGTTATGATTTGTCTATCAAAATATTAATAAAAATGTTAATATTGTGTATCATGGGGGTGGGAGAGATAGGTGAGGAGAATGGCAGTTTGCCACATATTTATCTTGTCTGCTGGTCAGGATTTGAGAAATTTTTTGAGTTATTAAAGGAGTGACATGGTCAGATTTGCATTTTAGGCAGATGGCTGTAGCTACATTGTGGAAGATGGGTTTGAGGAGGCTCCAGGACTGGAAATGAGATTGGTTAAGTGGTTACTATTTTTTATTTATTTATTTATTTTTGAGACAGAGTCTCACTCTGTCACCCAGGCTGGAGTGCAGTGGGGAGATTTCAGCTCACTGCAACCTCCACCTCCCGGGCTCAAGCAATTATCCAGCCTCAGCTTCCTGGGTAGCTGAGACTATGGCGCACACCAACAAAGCCTGGCTGGTTTTTGTGGATTTTGTAAAGATGCGGTTTTACCATGTTGCCCAGTCTGGTCTCAAACTTTTGAGCTCAAAGCCACCCGCCTGCCTTGGCCTCCCAAAGTGCTGGTATTACAGGCATGAGCCACCGCGCCCTGCCAATAGTTACTATTTTGATAGAGATCTAAACTAAGGCCATTGAACTAGGGATGGAATCGAGGATAAATATTTACGGGGGCAAAATCATCAATACTTCCTGATTAGCTTTGAGAGATGCGTGATGGGTGACTTAAGTCTCAGCTTAGACTACTCATTGGTGCTGGCGCCATGAGTGAGATCAAGAATATGGGAGAACGAAAAGGAGGAATAGTTTTAGGAGTGTGGGGGAAGAGGAGCAAGTATGTTCCGTGTGGTTATGTTTGTGCCCGAGACAAAGATGCCCAGTTTACTCTCTTGTTTGAATAGAGCACAACTTCTAGTAGTTTCTTAAGAAAGAATTCATAAGAAATAGTTTTAAAAATTTATGTCTAAAATGTTAGGCATGTCTAAAAATATTCTTATTCTACCTTAACATTTATTTGCCAGTGAGTTTGGCTGAGTATAGAATTATTGGTTGAAAATCATCAACATCTTTTTTTTTCTTTTTCTTTTTTTTTTTTTTTTTTTTTTTTGAGACAGTCTTGCTTTGTCACCCAGGCTGGAGTGCAGTGGTACAAACATGGCTCACTATATCCTTGACCTCCTGGGCTCAAATGATTCTCCCACTTCCTGAGTAGCTGGGACCACAGGTGTGTGTCATCGTGCCCAGCTCATTTTTTTGTATTTTTTATAGAGATGGGGTCTCCCTATGTTGCCCAAGAGGGTCTTGAACTCCTGGGCTCAAGCAATCCTGCCTTGGGCTCCCAAAGTGCTAGGATTACAGGTGTGAGCCACCACACCTGGCCATCATCAGCATCTTGCAAAACATTGCTTAGTGGTCTAGTGTCTTGTGTTGTTGTGAAGTCCAAAGCCATTCTCTTGCTTTGTGACTGAATTTTCCTCTCAGGAAGCTTGTGGAACCTTTTTTTTTTGTCCCCAGTGTGACTTTACAAAGATATTTATATTTTCACTCATTTTGATAGGCACCAGAAATTTATGTCTTTTTAGTCTGAAAATTTTCTTAACTTTCTCTCTCCTATTTTCTCCATCCTCTTTTTCTTGAATTCATTATTCTGATGTTCTGTATTCATATAGATAACCTATATGACTGGTTCTCTGATTTTCGTAACTTTCATCTCCTGTTTCCCTCATCTTTGTCTTTCTGCTCCCTTTGGGAGATTTAATTTTTATCTTCCAATCCTTCATTTTAGTTTTTAATTTCTGCCATCATGTTTTTAATTTGTTTGTTTGTTTGTTTTGAGATAAACTCTCACTCTGTTGCCCAGGCTGGAGTGCAGTGGTGCGATTTCGGCTCACTACAACCTCCGCCTCCCAGGTTCAAGCGATTCTCCTGCCTCAGCTTCCCAAGTAGCTGGGATTACAGGCACCTGCCACCACGCCCAGCTAATTTTTTTGTATTTTTAGTAGAGACGGGGTTTTACCATGTTGGTCAGGCTGGTCTTGAACTCCTGACTTCAAGCCATCCACCTGCTGCCTTGGCCTTCCAAAGTGATGGGATTACAGGTGTGAGCCACTGTGCCCAGCCCATGTTTTTAATTTTTAAGAGCTCTGTTTTTTGCTCTGTTGTACTTTTAAAAAACGTTTTATTTCAAAATAAGTATAGATTCACAGGAAGTTGCAAAAAAAAAAAAAATAGTACAAAGAAGTCCTATGTATCCTTCACCCATTTTCCCCAATGATTATATTTTACATGAGTACAGTACAGTATCAAACTAGAAAATAGAAATTTGCACAATGTATGTATAGTTCTAGGCCATTTTATCACTTGTATAGATTTAATCAAGATTTACATATATGTAGATTTGCAATCAAGATAAAGAACTATTGCATCACTAGAAATATCTCCAAGCTACTCTTCTGGTCACACCTACTTTCTTCCCTCTCATCATCCTAACCCTGGGTAACCATCTCCATAATTTTGTCATTTTGACAATTTTACATAAATGGAATCATACAGTATGTGACCTTTTGAGATTGGCTTTTTTTTTTTTCACTCAAGATAATGTCCTTGAGTCGCATACAAGTTGTTGCATGTAGCAGTAGTTCATTCTTTCTGGTACCTGATCAGTATTCTGTGGTATGAATGTACAGCAGTTTTTTTGTTTTGTTTTGTTTTGTTTTTTGAGACGGAGTCTCACTCTATCACCCAGGCTGGAGTGCAGCGGCACCATCTCAGCTCACTGCAACCTCTGCTGCCTGGGTTCAAGTGATTCTCCTGCCTCAGCCTCCTGAGTAGCTGGGATTACAGCTTCCTACCACTGTGCCCGGCCAATTTTTTGTATTTTTAGTAGAGACAACATTTCACCATCTTGGCCAGGCTGGTCTTGAACTCCTGACCTAATGATCCACCAGCCTCGGCCTCCCAAAGTGCTGGGATTACAAGCGTGAGCTACTGTGCCTGGCCTGTACAGCAGTTTTTTAACCATTCAACTAGTATAGGACATTTTGGTTGTCATCAGTTTTGGGCTATTACAAATAAAGATGACATTTGGGTATAACTCTTTGTGTGGATGTTAATTTTCATTTATCTGGGATAAACGCCCAGGAGTACAATTGCTGGGTTGTATGGTAAACATATGTTTAGTTTTATTAGATACTGCCAAACTTTTCCAGAGAGGCTGTACCATTTTACATTCCTGCCAAGGGTGTATGAGAGATTCAGTTTTTGCATACTCTTGGCAACGTTCAACACTGTCAATATTTTTTATTTTAATGTTTATAATAGATGTGTAGTGCCATCTCATTGTGGTTTTAAGTTGCATTTCCTTAATGGATACCAAGCACATCTTTTCATGTGCTTATCTGTCATCCATATATCCTCTTCAGTAAAATATCTCTTTGTGTCTTTTGCCTATTTTCTATTTTTCTTAACTGTTGAGTTTTTGTTTCCTTTTGTGTTGTTGGTGATGACTGTAAATATTATTGCAAAACAAGGAAATGTAGGATTACATTTCCTTTCTTACTGCTTTTTGTTTTTTCCTGGAGTTTCTGTTTCCTTTATTTTTAATTCTATACTTTTAATGAATAATTCAGGACATTTTCTTATATCACTATGTACTATGTTTTCATAGTTATCTTTTCCAAACCTTCTCTGTACATTTGAACATGTGTGTGATTGGGGGATGGAGAGAAATATAAGAGTTTTATTTTGTAGTTTTGTTTTACATAAATGTTACAACATTGTATATATAGTTCTTTGACTTGATTTTTTTCACTTAACAATATATCCTGGAGATCTTTCCATGTCAGAAAAATATACCTCAGTGTAATGACTTCCTTTTAACTCTTACCTAAGTATTTGGTGTGGTTGTATCACAGTTTTGTTTATTTGTTTTTTTGTTTTGCTAGTTCTGTAAGACCTCAGTTGTACAAATGGACTGATATGATTTGATTATCTGTATACTTCAGTTATAGCCAATTTTGGTTCTTATTGCTTTTATTCCCACTCTTCTCCTTTGACTATAGACATCTGCTCCCATATATTTAATGTATATCTTTCTAATTCAGCAGCCATATTTTTCATATAAAACAGACATTATTTTGTGAGCTTAAAAATTTTACAAAAATAGTGTTATGCTATTTGTATACGATTTGCTTTTATCATGCAAATTATGCTTCAGATCCATCTATGTTGATAAATATGTCCAGTTTATTACTTTACCTATTGTATAGTAATCTAGCATGTGACTAGAGCACATTTTACCTATCAGTTTCCCCATGGTCATTTAGGTTGTTTTTGACTACCTGCAGTTACAAACACTGATGCAATGAATAGTTTTACTTTTGAGTTTTGAGAGCTCTTTATATATTTGAGATAGTAGTCCTTTGTCAGATATGTGCTTTGCAAATATTTCCTCCCAGTCTGTAGCTTATCTTTTCATCTTCTTCACAGGGTCTTTTGTAGAGCAAAAAGCAATTTTAAAAAAAATATATTTACTTTTTACATTTTTTTTCTGTAAGAGCTTTTTTGAGATGTAATTCACATAGCATATGTAATATTGGTTACAGTGGTTGTGGGGAATGAGATAATGTAGGTAAAATGCTTAGTGCCTGATGATATAGTAAGTACTCAATAAATGTTAGCAGCATTACCATGTTTCTTATTGTTGTTAAATCATCTCCGGCAAATAGAACAATTTGTTCTTTAAACTTGCTTTTAAAGTGGCTTTGCTATTAAAAATTTCTCCACTTGGAATACTTTTTCCATTCCTTCTTCCCATCTTTTTTATCCACAGAAGATCAACCCTTAAAACATAGCTCCAGTGTCCATTCTTCCATGAAGTCTTTCTTATCACCCCCAGTGGATGAACAATCTCCTTTGACATTCCTCCCTAGAGCCCTCCATGTCCGTGCTGCCCACGTGGCACCAGCATGCACACTACATGTTGCTCAGGTCTTCATTTGGCAGGTACTTGTTGCTCTCTCATTAGTAGAGGGTCTTGTAGTAGGTACAGAGATCTACAAGATAGAGCCCCTGTCCCAAGTGCAGGAGTAAGACGTGTGAATGGTACAAAGAACTGTGAATATTCAGTCAAGGAAGAGATTTCCATTTGACTAAGGCCTTCAGAGGAATCTTCCCAGAAGATAAGTTTGCCCTGAGTCTTGGAAGTCACGTAGAATTGAAATAGCTGGGCTGTGGTGGGTAGACAGGGAGGACATTTTCTTTTATGTAAACCCTCAAAGGGTCTTTGACATTTTTGGTTGTTTTCAAAGAGCCTGTAATGATACCACAAACAGGAACTTTCTCAACTTCCTGCCTCTTCCAGATGAACTTCATTCTGACCACCTACCTATCTTATATCTTTATCTTAAATAGATCCAAAATTGACCCTGCTGTCTGGGCTCTGGACCTCATCCTCTCCCACTCTCTCCATACCATTTTCAACCTCTCTTATCTTGCCCATTAGCCTGTATATACATCCTCAAATCTCTCCTTTTTTTTTTTTTCAAAACAAAATAACAGCAACAAAGATTATTCCTTAGCAACTCTCTTAAGGGAAAAAGAAAAGATCATCCAGCTACTGTCCTCTTTCCTCCTTCGCCTCTCATATACTTGATCTGCTGTTTTTTGCATCTGCCGCATCAGTTTCCCATAGCTGCTTCCACCAGGGCCGTCAACAATGTCCTGGTGTGCTAAATTCAAATTCACTTTTCTCTTGGTCTCTTACTTGAACAGCATTCTTGTTCACTTGTTCATACTTGACCTCTTGTTCTCTGACTTGACAGCATTGTTCACTGTTGGCCACTCCCTTCTTCCTGATTTAATTTTCATGACCCACTTTTGTATGGCCTCTTCTGAGTTTCATCCCAGGTGCCTCTCCTCCACCTGACCTTAAATGTTGGGGTTTTTCAGTCTGCACTCTCCTCAGCATGATTTTGTTCATTTCCATGGCTTCCTCTGCTGCCTGTAGGCTGACAACTCCCAAATCTTGTTTTTTTCTAGCCCAGGTCTCTCTCCTGATTTCTAGATGCAAGTAGCCAACTAGGTACTTCCATTTCGTTTTTTGGGTTTTTTTTTAGTGAGAGTGTCACTCTGTCACACAGGCTGGATTGCAATGGCAGGAACATTGCTCACTGCAGCCTTGACCTGGGCTCAAGGGATCTTCCCACCCCAGCCTCTCGAGCAGCTGGGACCACAGGCACATGCCACCATGCCCAGCTAATTTTTTTTTTTTTTTTTTTTTTTTTGTGGAAACAAAGTTTCCCTGTGTTGCCCAGGCTGGTCTTGAACTGCTGGGCTCAAGCGATCCTCCCACTTTGGCCTCCCAAATTAATGGGATTACGGGTGTGAGCCACTGTGCCCAGCCGATAGTTCCATTTTAGACAACCCACAGATATCTCATACTCAGCACACTCCAACTGACCATATTATGTTTTTAATATGTGCTTCCTCAACTCCCTTTTTTGGAGAATGGTATCACTGTCCTGTTACTACATGAGTCAATTTTAAATTATATTGATTTAACATTTTAAAGATTTCTTGAAACGGTCTCTTCCTCTTCATCTTTACTACCACTTCCTTACTTCCTTAAGACTACAGATCCTCTTAGCACGATAGCCTTTCAACTGATTTTCATGCCTCCTTTCTTGACTCATATTCTCCAATATTGCTGCCAGGGTCACCTTTCTAAGACAGAAATATAATCTTGTCACTCCTCCTTCAAACTTCTTCAGTGACCCCTCATCATCTTCACCAACCTAGGCACTATTGGCGTTTGGGCTGGCTAATTCTTTGTGGTGGGGCTGTCCTGTAATTGTAGGGTATTTAGCAGCACCCCTGGCCTCTACCCACTAAGATGCCAGTAGCACCTCCTACCACCCAGTTGGGACAACCAAAAATGCCTCTAGACATTGACAAATGTCTTGGGGGTACAAGGAGCAAAATGGTACCTGTTCGAGATCCACTGATCTACAGGATGAAACCCAAGTTTTTTTAAACATGTATGCAAGGCTTTTTGTGATCTGCCCCTGCTGCCTCTCCAGCATCGTTTGTCCCCGTATTTCCCGCTATGCTCCAGGCCGGCCAGTTACTGTTAGATTGCTGAAAACTGTTGGTACTCCCTCTAGTCTCCACTCTTTCTCCATGCTTTTCCCTTGCCAGAAACCCCGTAGCTCTCACCCACTACTCCTTTAGCTTGACTAACCTCCTCAACCCTCAGAATTCAGCTCAGAAGTGACCTTTCAAGAAACAGTTCTTGACTCTTTTAACCTGGATTAGGTGCCAATCTGATGTGCTTTTGTCACACCCCCTCCTTCCCTTTCCTTGTTCCTCATGCAGCCTGGCGTCTGTTTATCCACTTGTCTGTCTTCCCAGCAGTCAGTGAAAGCTGGATGGCAAAGACTGTGTTTCTCACCTCTCTGTCCTCAGCACAGAGGCTTGCCCCTAGTAGGCACTCAGTAAATGTCCACCAAATGAATGGTTGGTGCTCAATAAGTCTTTGTGGAATGAACAGTCTTCCTTGAAAACAGCTTCTTTTTTCAGCTTCTTCACTTTGCACCATTCCATCCTGTTTATGTAATTGAAAGAAAGCCAGTTGGTCAGTAGGTCAAAAAGCAGTCACCCCACAAAGCAAGAATTTTAAATAAAAAAAAAGTATGTCAGTCCCATAAAATCTATGGTGCTCGGCTTGCAGTGGAGCACAAATAGTTTTACATTGCGGTTGGTACTAGAAAGTCAGGAACAAGAAATTGGACTGCAATGGGAACACAGAAAAGAAACTACATTTTTTTCTCTTGCAGCATATGGATTTCTCATTAGTCTATGTAAGGAAAAACCGGGGGCGGGAAGGGCTCAGCCACTGCAGCTGTCCACACTCTCTCCCCTCATCATTCTGCTGCCACCACACCTGGTCCCCAGAGACACCCTCACTTCTTAGCTATTTTGGCTTAGGTATGGACAAATCCCCTTGGTTCAGCAGAGACTAGCCTGGAATTTTTAAAAGAAGCTTTGCTAGGAAACTAGTGGGAAAAACAAAACAAAAGTAAAAACAGGAAATAGAGTATAGAAACGATAAAAAAAATACAGAGTGCAGAAAAAAAATCCCTTAGCCCAAGATAACTGCAATGTAGTATTAGCGTTACTTGACTCAATTTACCAGGCACATACTTTCCCTGTTTTTTGTTTGTTTGTTTGTTTCATTTTGCCATGATATTGTCTGTCTCTGGAGAATTTATACTGAAGTCTGGCTTTTCAATCTTTGTATGTTTTCCTTCTTTTACTAAAGAATCTGCTCTGTCTTTCTCTAGGGAAGGAATTGAAATTGGCATTATAGTTACTTTCTCATAGACAAGTTACTGATCATTTGGAGAAACAAGCTTTCCAACCTTTTTCTAAGGATAAAATAGCTCAGTGGTTCCAAACACAATCTGAGGACCGATGCTAAGAGTTGGTGATAAAGATGTGATTTGCCTGGGGTGAAGTGAAAATCACAATGTCATGAATGGTTTTTAATGACACTGAAGGACTGACCCTTTCACTCTGGGATTTTTTTTTTCCCCTTAGATGTTAAAATAGCAGATAGTTGTTGTGAGGCTTTTGCTTTGGTTTTGTTTTTTATGTCCTTGGCAATATTAAAAGGTGCCTCTAGTTTTAAAAAATTCTCCCTGGTCCTGAAATCCAAAACTCTGGCCAACAGATATTTTGTAAGACACTAAAGTATCCCATATCGTTTGTATGCTTTGTGGGTCATTTAAACCCTTATTTTATACGTAAATGTTTATTCTGCAATCTTCCTGACAGAGTATGCTGTAGTTAACTGTTTTCAAAGGCAAAGGATGCAGTTTTTATAAGTCCGATGTTCTCTTCTGAGGAACCAGATAGTTGCTGTAATACAATCTTCATTTTCGGTATTCACTTATTGACTGAATATCAATAAGTGTACTTACCATGCACTAGGTCCTAGGCGAATACAACCAGAGTAAGTCATTGTCCCTGCCTTCAGGGAAATCCTAGACTAGGGAAGAAGATTGAGGTTTAAACAATGGAGCGGGCTGTGAGTACTCTGGGAGCCAGGGAGAAGAAAGTGCCTAGTTCTGTACTGGACAGCTTTACAGAGGACATACATTTTGCCCAAGGAGTAGTGAAGGAAAGGCATTCTAGGCAGACATCTGCAAAGACTGGCAACCTGAATGAGTGTGCTGCATTAAGGAGACATTCCCAGCAACTTCAACATGGGAACATGAGGAAGGGTGGCAGAAGATAAAGCCAGGAAGACATTGCAGTAATTTCATGTTCCACAGCTACCTGTTATTGAAGAAAGGACTTTCATACCTGCAGGCCAGAAAAAGGCCTGAGCAAAAAGTGCTATTTCATAATGTCTTTGTTCATTAGCTTCTCCTCACTTAATGGCTTTCACAATCGCCACTCTAATTTAATGTGGGTTAATGTCTTATGCTTGGATTCAAAGAGTTAACTACCAGACAGCAGCACAAAGGAGACCTGACATATGCATTTTTGCTGACCCTAAACTTGAACTGAGCCCCAGGTGAGCCTCAGCTGCCACGAGAGCAGATGCCATGGTCGACATCCCTGGAGCTACAGACTCTGGGGAGCAGCGGGAGCCTGCCCACCTGGGGCCTGGCCTGCCCACATCTGGAGCACTGTGCTTAGGGCTGGATCCCTGCAGGGGAGAGATGGATAAAATCTCAGGGGTGTCCAGAGGAAATGGCCTAGAAACCATCATAAAGAAAGTGAAATGGAAGAGGGTCAGGACAACTGCCTTTGGTCATCTTAACAGATTTCTTGAGGCAGAGGCAGATGACTTACAGTGGGTTGCAACAGTGGACTGAATGAAAATTGGAAAGACTGATTTGGGCTCAATGTAAGAAATTATTTATTTATTTATTTATTTATTTATTTATTTTTTTGAGACAGAGTCTCACTCTGTCACCCAGGCTGGAGTGCAGTGGCACGATCTCCGCTCACCGCAACCTCCGCCTCCTGGGGTCAAGTGATTCTTCTGCCTCAGCCTCCCAAGTAGCGAGAGTATAGGTGTGCATCACCATGCCCAGCTAATTTTTGTATTTTTAGTAGAGAAGGGGTTTCACCATGTTGGCCAGAATGGTCTCTATCTCCTGACCTTGTGATCCACCTGCCTCGGCCTCCCAAAGTGCTGGGATTACAGGTGTGAGCCACCGAGCCTGGCCAAAAAGTAATTTTTTAGGCAGCTTTTTTTTTTTTCTTATCAGGTAGTGTGCTGAGATGAGTTTGATGAAATATGGAAGTGTTCTGACAGAAACAAGATAAATATATTCAGCTATGGAAATGCTGTTGAAAAGAATCCTATATTGAAAAGACAATTGGACCTCTGGAGCTCATTCCATCTTTTTTTTTTTTTTTTTTTTTTTTTGAGTCAGAGTCTCTCTCTGTCACCCAGGCTGGAGTGCAGTGGCATAATCTCACCTCACCTCGCTGGAGCCTCTGCCTCCCGGGATCAAGCGATTCTCCTGCCTCGGCCTCCCGAGTAGCTGGGATTACAGGCGCCCATCACCATGCCTGGCTAATTTTTGTATTTTTAGTAGAGATGGGGTTTCACCATGTTGGTCAGGCTGACCTCGAACTCCTGACCTTAGGTGATCCACCCACCTCGGCCTCCTAAAGTGTTAGGATTACAGGCGTGAGCCACCATGCCCGGCACCATCTTTAATTTCTAAGAAATTTTAGCACTTTTTTTCCATTTTTAAAGTATCTGACTCCTGACTTTACCTTATCGTTATCCTTACATTAACCCAATTAATTGTGAATTTCCTTATTTTTTAGTATCTGATGAAAAGGATACCACAGAACCCAAGATACCAGCATATCAAATCAAGACTGGACACTGGTGAGTAAAGATTAGAAAATTAGAATTAAAAAAAATCTAATAGCTAATTATTGACAGAAAGCAACCCCACATATCTGGTATAAATCACAGCTAAAAGTTTCTCACTGTTTTGCCTGATGTCTTTCTCGGCTCAGGATTTATCCTTGAAAGATGTTTTTCAGATTATCAGTAAAAATTCATATTTACATAATTTAGCTTATTATTCCTTACCACATAAGAAATAATATAAACTGAGAAAATGAAATTCCAGAAATCAAAACCATTGTTCAGTAAGTTTCAGGGCTGAAGCTAAATAAATATCAGGAGGTCAGCCTCTATTTTGGAATACCTTAAGTATATTCCTTTAAACTGGCAGTAACGGATTAGACACATGCATATTTGTTCAATGCAGTGTTTGCAAAGTGCTGACCATATGGCAAGTTATGGACCATGAGAGATGTAAAGCTGAGTATGAATTGTGTTTTTTTTTTAGTTAAAGAGTTTAGATTCAAGCGGAGGCAGACAGACTTGAATGAGTAACTGAAATACCAGTCAGAATTTAATTAGTGCTGCAGTGCAGGTAAAATGAACTGCTTATTTCCACGCTGTTCCCATTTTTCAGTGTTGTGATAAAGACTGCTGCCCAGACCCTAGTGGATTTTCAGTCTTGTGAGGTTTTGGTTGTTTGTTTTTGTTTTTTTTCAACCTTTTAAAGCCTGCTGTGGAAAATTCACGTGATTAAAATGGTTTCGCTAGTGGATTGGGGTACTGTATGCCTTTAGCAATACCGAATTTCCCACTAGTAACCTCAAGACAATTGAGAAAAGTAAATGACGATGTTGACTTTGTTTAAATCATTTTGTTTATTTTGTTTCTCTTTCTCCAGTCTCCTTCAAAAAATCATTATCTTCCATTATGCATGTTTCTTCATATAAAATAGACTTAAATTCAGTGTTTTAAATTCACCTCATTTGCAGATGCTATTTCTTGGTACCCGTCATTCAGACATTTCCATGCCGTACAGATATTTATCCTTGCAAATATCCCACTTGATGGGCAGGTGAAAATATTATCTCTGTCTTAGAAGAGGAAATTGTGGCACGGGGATTTTGTGATTTATTCGGAGTTCAATAAAGGAGAGAGAACTAGGATTATATACAGGATGAGGAAGTCAATATTGGAGATCTGGTGCCAAGTCTGGTGTACTGTTTCTTAGGCCGTACTGTTCCTGTATTTCCCCCAAGCCTTGTTTCTTCTGCCACAAAAACCCTCAGCTCTTTCATCTCTACCCATCTAACCCCTAATTGCAACTGTGATCCACCCTTCTGAAGTAAGTGATTCTGTGAGGTAAGCACCTAGATTTAAAATGCTGTATTTTTTCTGAGGAGTCTAGATATTATTTTACAGACTACTATAAAGGAAGGAATTTCTTTTGGAATCTGTATACTTTCTTATAATTAAAACTTTAAGAGCTGAGGTTTATTTCAGATATATAGATTTGTCTATGCCTTCATAGTTTGTTTTTTTTTTTTTCTTTCCTCCTGGAAATTAAACTGGGATTTGTGAAGGACAGCTCCCTTCTTCCTCTTTAATTTCTCAATTCATAACCAAAATTTGACTCAATAATGGTGCCTAAGATTAATTTCATTTTTTTGATATTGAGATAAAAGTATATCTGCTTTTTACAATACATATTAAATACATATGTCCTTTTATATCCTGAGATTTTTAAACTGGCTTTTTTGTTAAACTTTTAATTTTAACATAATTGTAGATACATATATATTTTGTAGACAATAATGCAGAGAGATTCCATGTACGCTTTACCCAGTTTCCCATAGAGGTAACATTTTGCAAAACTATAATGCACTATCACAACTGTGATATTGACATTTGATACACACAGTCAAGATACAGAACGTTTCCATCACCACACGGATTCCTTATGTTGCCCTTTTATAACCACACCCACTTTCTACTCCCACCCCTTAGCCCCTGCGATCACCAGTCTGTTCTACATTGCTGTAATTTTGTCATTTCACAAATGCTGTATAAATGGAATCATACAGTATGCAACCTTTTGGATTGGCTTTTTCACTTAGCATAATTTTCTAGATATTCATCCAGGTTGTTGCATATATCAGTAATTTGTTCCATTTTATTAATGGCTGGTATTCCATGATATGAATGTACCAAGTTTAACCATTCACCTGTTGAAGGACATCGGGGTTGTTTCCACTTTTTGGCTATTAAAGTATAAGTGCTATAAACACTTATGCACATATTTTTGTTTGAACCTAAATCTTCATTTCTCTGGGATAAGTGCTCAGGAGTACAACTGCTGGTCACAATGTAGTTGCCCATGTAGTTTTTAAAGAAAATGCCAAACTGTTTTTTAAAGTGACTGTACCATTTTACATTCCCACCAGCAATGGATGAATGATTCATTTTCTCCACATCCTTGTCAGCATTTGGTGTTGTCACCAGCTTTTATTTTGGCCATTCTGATAGCTGTGTGGTGGCATATATCATTGCAGTTTTGTTTTGGTTTGTTTTGTTTTTTGAGACAGAGTCTTATCCCGTCACCCAGGCTGGAGTGCAGTGGCATGATCTTGGCTCGCTGCAACCTCTGCCTCCCAGGTTCAAGCGATTCTCCTGCCTTAGCCTTGCAAGTAGCTGGAATTACGGGTGCGCACCACCATGTCTGGCTAATTTTTGTATTTTTAGTAGAGATGGGTTTTGTCATGTTGGCTAGGCTTGTCTCAAACTCCTGCCTCAAGTGATCCACCCGCCTTGGCTGGGATTACAGGCATGAGCCACCGCACCCAGCCCATTGCAGTTTTAATTTGCATTTTCCTGTGGTAATAGTGAACATCTTTTCATGTGCTTGTTTGTTTTCTGTATACCTTCTTTGGTGAAATACCTGTTCATATCTTTTGCCTATGTTCTAATTCGTTTGTTTGCTTTTTTACTGTTGAATTTTGAGAGCTCCTTATACATTCTAGCTACTGATCCTTTGTCAGATATATGGTTTGCAAATATTTTTTCCTAGTTCATAACTTGTCTTTTCATCCTCTTAACAGGGTCTTTGGAAGAACAAAAGTTTTTAATTTTGATGAGGTCCATTTTATCAGCTTTTCCTTTTATGGATCATTATTTTGTTGTCTAGTCTAAAAAGTCTTTGCCTGGCCTCGATCCCAATGATTTTTTTTTCTACCATGATTTTTTTTCTAAAAGTTTTATATATAAGTTCATGATAAACTTTGAGGTAATTTTTGTATAAGAGATGTGACTCACATCAAGACTAAGTTTTTGCTTACGGATATTCAATTGGTCTGGTGCCATTTGTTAAAAAGGTTACCTTTTCTCTATTTAATTACGTGTTCACCCTTGTCAAAAATCAGTTGGGCATATTTACGTGGGTCTATTTCTGGGTTCTCTATTCTGATCCCATGATCCATGTGTCTGCCTTCTGCCAATATCCTAATATTGATTACTATAGCTGTATAGTAAATTGGATACTTAAAATTGGTTAAACTGACTATGCCCACTTTCTTTTTCTTTTTTTTTTTTTTTGAGACAGGGTCTTACTCTGTAGTCCAGGCTGGAGTGCAGTGCTGTGATCTTGGCTCACTGTAACCTCCACTTCCTGGGCTCAAGCAGTTCTCCCACCTCAGCCTCCCAAGTAGCTGGGATCACAGGCGGGCGCCACCATGCCCGGCTAATATTTTTGTATTTTTTGGTAGAGACAAGGTTCTACCATGTTGGCCAGGCTGGTCATGAACGTCTGACCTCAAGTGATCCACCTGCCTCGGCCTCCCAAAGTGCTGAAATTACAGGCATGAGCTACAGTGCCCAGCCTTTCTTTTTCTTTATACAGTTATTTTAGCTATTTTAATTCCCTTGCCTTTCCATATGAATTTTAGAATAATCATATTTACATTTACTTTTTAAATGCTGTGATTTTGATAGGAGTTGCATTAAGCCTGTTTGTCAACATGGGGAGAATTGACATATTTACTATGTTGAGTAACCACTAATCTACTTTCTCTATCTATGGATTTGGCTATTCTGAACATTTCGTGTAGATGCAATCATACAGTATGTAGCCTTTTATGTCTGGCTTCTTTCACTTAGTGAAATGTTTTCAAGATTCATGTATGCTGTAGTATGTGTCGGTTCTTCATTCCTTTTTATTGCCAAATAATCTTCTGTTGTATAGCTATTCCACATTTTGTTTACCCACTCATCAGTTGATGGACATTCGGGTTGTTTACACTTACTGGACATAGTGCTGCTAAGAACATCAGTGTACAAATTTATGTGTGAACATGTGTTTTTAATTCTCTTGGGCATATACCTAGGACTTGAATTGCTTTTCATATGGTAACTGTATGTCTAATTTTTTGAGGAACTGCCAAACTGTTTTCCACAGCAGCCACACCACTTCACATTCCCAGCAGCAATGTAGGAGGGCTCTATTTTCTCCACATCATCACCAATGCTTGTTATTGTTCATCGTTTTGATTACCATCTTTGTGGGCATGAAGTGGTATATTATTATGGCTTTGATTTTCATGTTCCTAATGACTGATAATGTTTGAGCACCTTTTTATGTGCTTTTTGGTATTTGTATATCTCTTATGGAGAAATGTCTATTCAAATCATTTGCCCATATTTATGTTGGGTTATTTTTCTTCTTATTTGTTGAGTTATAAAAGTTCTTTTGGCTGGGCGCAGTGGCTCACACCTGTAATCCCAGCACTTTGGGAGGCCGAGGCAGGTGGATTGCCTTAGCTCAGGAGTTCAAGACTAGCCTGGGCAATACGGTGAAACCCTGTCTCCACTAAAATACAAAAAAATTAGCCAGGCATGGCAGCGTGCACCTGTAGTCCCAGCTACTTGGGAATCCGAGGCAGGAGAATCGCTTGAACCCAGGAGGCGGGGGCTGCAGTGAGCCAAGAAGGCGCTACTGCACTCCAGCCTCGGTGACAGAGCGAGACTCCGTCTCCAAAAAATAAAAATAAAAAAAGAGTTGTTTTATATATTCTGGATACTAGAGTCTTGTCAGAAATATGATTTGCAAATATTTTCTCCCATTCTGTGGGTTATCGAGGGTTTTCTTTTTCTTAGCTGGAGGAGTAGCTAAGTACATCTACCCCATCTTTCTGGAAGCAGAAGTCTCCCAAACTAGTCTTGTAAAGCTTTTGGAAGGGCCAAAGTGTGTTTCATTGCTTAAAACTCACAGTATTTTAAAGTCAGTGTGGGAGAGAAATCTTATTCTAGTGTTCGATTTTTTTTGTTGTTTCAAATTTAGAAATTATTCTAAAGTCAGTTTAGGGGAGAGATTTTTATTTTAATGCTTATATTTCTGTGCATTTTTGTGACTTACCTCCCTGTGTATTCAGAAAAAGTTTTCTACCTGGTGTGCAGCAGCCTATGCATTATGTGCCAGGGTACAGATCCCTGCAGCCCTTTAGCCAACAGGGCCTGGATCAACCCAAACCCAGCATTGTATCCACATTTTATCATTGTATGTGTATCATGAGGTGAAAAGGGTGAGGAGTTAAGAAAACAGAAAAGGGACCTTATAGCCCAAGTAAGAGTACAGAGTTTCTACCTGTGGTTTGTTTTTAAGCTCTGCAGTCAGAGCATTGGAAATAGGCACAGGAATGAGTGAGCATTTCTCATTTTTAGGCTAAATAGATGGGTCTTTCATCTTTTCTTACCAAACAGCAAGCAATTCAGAGTAATCACAAGAAATCAAGAATTTCGTGATATCTCCTGTCTTCACCCAAATCACATTCTACTGAGTTCTTCAAAGACTGCTATCTTCCTCCTGGTTAAAGATTATTTTTTGTTTTTATACCTCTGGCTCTGCTTCTCATATGAACTCAAACACTGAGTGCAGCCATGGCTAGAAATCTCAGAATTATTTTGAACTTCAAATATTTCTTTTGTTCCATAGGTGCCTGTGTGTATCTTACCAGCTCCCCAGCACTGCCAGACTGTGCCATGAATGGATTATGCTTCTGATGAAATCCCTGGCTGCGTTTTGTTCAGTCACCACCGCAGGGTTCTTGTATATTCTCAAGCACCCTCTCTGGGTTTCTGTTTTGCAGCACTGCAGGCTGATTAAGGGACACTTTCCAAACCACAGGGCTCTCCCTTTATTAGTCCCCACAGTCTTTCATTGGCTGCATTGTCCTCCCATTTCTATCTATATTCAATCTAATTTCCAATTTCTTTAGCTTTCTGAAATTCTGTAGGCTTTCTCCACTCAGTCTTTTCTAGCCTTATTTTTGTCTTTTTAAAAATTCACCTTCCTTTTATTATCTCTAGACAAACTATTCATTCCCTCTTTTCTTCTTTAGGCTTTACTTTTCCTGAATATTTGCTAATAGCCTTGACTGTAAGCATCAAACTCATTATAGACTAGGTACTCTTCATTTTTATTTGTTGTTTAATTCTGTTTCTTCCGTCAAAGGAAGAAATATATGTGAAAGGCTTTTATAAACCAGAAAGCACTATACACACATATCACTTATTGAGGTTAACAAAGGACCACTGTGCCTCTTTTCATGCTTTCTGCTCTTCCAAGCCAAGAGAACTTCTCCATAGAGGAGGGAAATATTGAAGAAAAATAAAGCCATGGAGTTGTCTCTTAGCAACTGAGTTCGTGCCTTATAAATCTCATCTACTTTAGATTACTGCTGCACAAAATCACTTGCTTTTCTTATTGGCTCAGTATAAATAATGTTATTAAATTATAGGAAAACAATGGAAAAAATCTAATGAATGACTCATTCACTGAATCAGTTGCACTCTGTGTTTGCACAGCACTGTTGCTATAGTCGGGTTGTTTCTTCCTCTTGATTCTAATTGTAAAGTTTTGTTATATATCTTTTATCACAACTTTAGTTGTAAGTAAACAAAGTAGAAGCTAAATGCTACCTTATACATTTATAGGTTGCTTAAGTCGTGAAGCAATATGAGTCATATATGTAGCACATAACATATACTGTATATAAGTCAAGTTGTACATAGTTTAAAGAAAATCAGGTGTGCAGAAACTCAGACCAAATTGGGAAGTATTTGCATTATAAAATAACTCATTATAAGGATTTTTCAGTTAGTAGATCTCCATAGTAAATTTCATTCAGCAAATGTGTATTTTTCCTATTTATTTATTTATTTATTTATTGAGATGAAGTCTCGCTCTGTTGCCCAAGCTGGAGTGCAGTGGCGTGATCTTGGCTCACTGCAACCTCTGCCTCCCAGGTTCAAGCGATTCTTCTGCCTCAGCCTCCTGAGTAGCTGGGACTACAGGTGCGCACCACCATGCCTGGCTAATTTTTATATTTTTAGTAGAGACGGGGTTTTACTATGTTGGTCAGGCTGGTCTCGAACTCCTGACCTTGTGATCCTCCCGCCTCGGCCTCCCAAAGTGCTGGGATTACAGGCGTGAGCCACTGTGCCAGGTCTAGTTATTTATTTATTTATTGTAGAGATGGGCTCTCACTGTGTTGGCCAGGGTGGTCTTGAACTCCTGGCCTCGAGCAATCCTTCCACCTCAGTCTCCCAAAGTGCTGGGATTACAGGTGTGAGCTATCACACCTGGCCATTTTTTTTTTTTTTTTTTTTTTTGAGATAGAGTCTCACTCTGTCACCCGCATTGTAGTGCAGTGGCGCATTCTTGCTCACTGCAACCTCCCCTTCCTGGGCTCAGGGGATCCTCCTACCTCAGCCTCTCAAGTAGCTGGGACTACAGGGATGTGCCACCATGCCTGGCTAGTTTTTGTGTATGTGTGTGTTTTGTAGAGACGAGGTCTCACTATTTTGCCCAGGCTGGTCCGGAACTCCTGGGCTCAAGCAATCCTGCCTCCTCAGCCTCCCAACGTGCTGGGATTGCAGGCATGATCCAGTGCACCTGACCATCATTCAGCAAGTATTTTTGAGTGTCTCCTATGCTAGACAATGGAAGGGATAAAGATTATTCATACGTGTGTGTGTGTGTGTGTGTGTACGTGCCCATAAATAGTCCTTGGCTTTCTGTCTAGTAAGGTAGGTAAGACAATACAGTGATAAATGCCTTGTGAGTTGTAAGCCGAGTGCTATAGAGGCTCAGAGGAGGGAAAGGTCACTTCCTGCTGAGTGAGCTCTTACGAGTATGTGGCAAGGTGATACGTTAGAGAATGCAAGACTAAGAGTTTGTCAAGTTAAGTAATTAAGGCAACATTAAGAGGTAGTGAGTTGGTGTCCAGTGCTAGAGCAAGGAGTTTCAGCTTTAGTTAGGAAGCAATGGGGAGCCACTGACTTTTTTTTTTCTTTTTGATCAAAAAGTCTTATCTGGGAAAATGTATCTGGCAGTAATGTGTAATTTCAATTTTTTTTAAAAAAAATTGGTTCTTGGATAGTCTTTTAGGCTTCTTTTGTATGAAACAAAGCCATGTTTATAAATAAGTGAATTATGAAATGGATTCATTTCCAATCTTTTTAAAAGGTAGTCAGAAACTATCTTCAGATGCAATTAGATACAGTAAGATAGGCTGCATAGTTAAGATGTAAGCAGTTTACACAGTGGGATAAAAATGCTACTTTTCATACTTTCTCAAACCATTTTTAGGGGTATTTTTGTGTCAGCCATCCTGCTATCTCATTTGTCCAATTAAAGCAAGGAAGAAATCCTCCATTCTCCTTTTTTCCCCATTCTTGGATAGAATGAATGTCTATAGTGAAAAGAACTCATCAGTAGTCCTCTCAGATTTGGTCTGAATTTCACCAAATATTTGTATAATTGCAAAAAACTTGTTTCTCAGCCTTCTCCTTTAGGGGGAAAACAAATAGAGGGCATGATGGCCTACCTCCCTGCATTGTGGTGAGGGTCAGCTGATACAAAATAAAGTGTTAAGTGTAATTACCCTGAAATGTTTGTAATTAATGGAGAAATGAAGTGTAGACACTTTGTTAGTAGAAACCACTGTGGTTTGGAAATGCAGTGTTTCAATAATAAAGACTGGATAAATAAGGTTGTGGTTTGGAAATGCAGTGTTTCAATAATAAAGACTGGATAAATAAGGTTGTGGTTTGGAAATGCAGTGTTTCAATAATAAAGACTGGATAAATAAGGTTGGCTAGTGTTTTCCATTCTTCAGGGAATTTACAACACAAGATGATCCCCACCTCTCACTATTAAGGAAGTAGCATTTCCTACAAATTTACCTCATGATTAATTGTGTTTTTTTACAACAACACAACAAAAAAAGATGTGTTTTTCAGGAGGTTGGAAATGCGAATCCTGGCTTAGTTACTAACTTGCCATGCCACCAGACAAATCAGGTGTTCCTTTTTGTCCCTCATTTTCTGACTAGATTGCCTAAAGCTTCCCTAGCCGAAAGAAACTACCTGCCACGTCAATAACATGCAACTGTGGGTGACTCAGGGACATATAACCTAAAGCTACTGGGTAAAATATTTTAAGAATGAGACTTGGGAAGCTGAACAGCATACTGATTTGCCGTCTTCTTCCGCCATTGTATTGACCAGGCAAGTCCACGCCTGAGTTCAGAGTTGCAGTGGGCAGGAGAGATGTGTGTCCAGGAAGAAATTGTGGCTTCTGCTCTGAAGATCTGGTCACATCTCGGGTCAATTGCAGTTTGAAGAACCTAGGAAAGACTGTATTTGGTTCTAATCTTGGTGATATTTGGGCCTCTTCTAAGAGGTATTCAGTGTCTCTCTTGAGAAGGCTTAGGCCTTCCTGGCAGCCCTGACTGCCTTCATTTCTCTTGGAACTTCCAGGTCCAGGCCTGCTCTGAATCCTCCTTTCTGGTCCTGGATACAGAGAGTGTATGTCTTAACACCAAAAAAAAGAAAAGAAAAGAAAAGAAAACAATGGTGGATTTTTATTCCATGATGAATTCATGGTAAAGATTTAATAATAGCCAATGAAATAAGTTGTTTTTTTGAAAATGTATTTTGGGTTTCAGAGCAAGGATTTTCTTTTTCTGCTTCTGACCCAAACATGAAGAAAAGTTCAGAATAGTCCTTGAAAATGTCAGTTCATGCTACTATTAATTGAAAGCATTTCTTTTATCTGATGTTGGGGCTGCATCTGACTAGATCCTCTCCAGGCTTAAAAAGTTAGGAGCACAGTTTTAGAAATGAGAAATTATTTTGAATGTTTTCCTTTTGCCATACCTTTTAGGTGACAGAAAGAGCTTCCTGCGTTGAATTGAATCAAATCGAAGCATACCCAGTAAAATATAATAGCCCCTGGCTTGACAGCTAGAATTGAGTTGGAAACCAGAAGGTTCCTGGCTGAGTTTTTTAAGTCTGAAAACCTCCAAACCACCTTGGCCAGTACTAGTATTATAGAAACATACTATAAAACATGAGGGCTGGGGCCTCTCTGCAGTTTCAAGAATCTGCTGTTATTTCTCAGCACATCAAATCTATGGTGAATACTAGTGTGTAGACTGTGTAGTCTAGTTCAGACTGCAACGTGAGCATGAACGGTAGAAGAGTAAGTTCAGGAAAGAGAAGGAAACTGTGAAGACAAAGCCGAGAGGAGAGAGTTGCTTGGGTAACCACAAAGGCACATTTTAGACACTCAAAGAACACTGCCTCCTTTTTGCTCCTCTTCTGTGTATCTTCCCCACAAAAAGATCGTCAGCGGGGGCAGGGGAGATAAAAGGAGGAGGAAAGCCTAGACTTGAAAAACAAACTGATAGAAAATGATCATCTGTATCTCCTGGAACTTGTCAATGTTTTGGGGGTATGCATCCCAGCTTAAACACATTCTACCAAAACATTTCCCTCGGCTCTGCAACTTTTAATAACGCTGTATTATCCAAAAGATTTTACTGTGTGTGGCCTGTTTGCTGCTGTCCAGAATCCCCTAAGAACAGGATAGGAAAGCTTAGGGGATACTTTTCCTCCATTCTGTTTCCACAGTGTTACTCATTTGCTTCCATTTAAAGTATATCTAAAACCCCTTATTTTCTTTTTAGGTAACAGTATGACTAAATATACTGAGAAGCTCGAAGAGATTAAGAAAAGTAAGTAACACTCTTGATGGTTTGGGAGAGTGGAAGTCTATAGTTGTTCTATAAATTGGTTCTTAACTAACAATTGTGTTCCACAGGTGACAGGCACAGAGAGCTATGGATGGTCCGATAAGCCTAGCAGGTGCCTCAAGGGCTGTGGGAGATCCTGGGTGCTGTACTGGGCTGCTTCTCAGATTGTGGCCTGTAGGCCTAAATTCTGCCCTATTTCCATCCCATAGGAGACATTAGTGTTGGCCTGCAGAGTCAGATCTGGTGGAATGAGCTCTGCTTAAGCTTCTAGTGTCATTGTACTGCAGTCTTCATGCCCTTCTTCAAGATATTTCATCTTTTCTGTCTTATTTTGTCTCTATTTGAGATAGGGGGTAATAATATCTTCCTTCAGAACATTCTTGTGTGTATAAATGAGAGTATTCATGGAAGACAGGGACGTGAGAACTTAGTGTTATGCATTATCAATTCATTGCAGTCTGTTTTCTTTTAATTAAAAATCATATTTCATCTACATCCTTTTAAAAAACTTATCTGCAAAGATATGTTACCAGTCATTGAGTGCATTGCCCTTGCACAAAATCATAATTTTTCAGTCTGCATCCAAAACTGATGTAAAGTGTATACTTCAAGGCCAGAATTAAGGAAGAAGTAGAAACATCTATTTTCTAAGATGGATTTGCTCATATCTTGAATAAGAGAACCCAGTGCTAGGGGATATTTAGTTAATGGTGGTAAAGAGGTACTCTGATTAATCATAGTTCAGGACTTGGCTCTGGTAATGTACATCTTCTTGGAAGATAAAATTGCACATCCAGAATACATCAGAACATTTTCTTCTTTTACACAGCAGACCTTTTATTTGAAATCAAAGTTCCATTTGAATTGCTGCAATATTGGGAAACCCCAACCAATAGATGTGGACTCAGGAGCTGCTTTATGCTGTGTTTTCATTTGCCATGTTCAGCTATAAGGGCTAATGCTACAAACTTCTTAAAAATATGTAATGCCACAGTATCCTTCTCTTTTCTTCCTGAACATTTTATATTACATAAGTATATGTATTTTAAATATCTATATAAAATATATACTTTTAAACTCTGGAGAAAGATCGCATTTACTCACCTACACTTCATTGTTGCCATCCTTGACTCATCCAAGACAGGCAGAATCCAGCTGGCCTGCTTCTTTTTGGGTTTGTCGTCTCTGTCACCTCTCATCCATTTGCAGCTGAGTGTGAGTTCACATGTCCTCACTAGAAATTTGTCCCATAAAAATGTCCCACTCTGCCCAGGTTGCCATAACCTCACTTAAAACATTTCTTCAAAGTACGATGTGGTTTCTTTAATATCTAAACCTTACGTGGAGGTGATCTCCCAGAACAATACCCTTGGAACAGAACCTTGAAAAATGCTTGCTTCACTTTCCCTCTGTAGGAGTGGAGGGCTTCCTTTTAGTAGAGCAGGAGATTCCTGTTACCCCATTTCACACACTTTGTGCTGATTCCCTGACAGAATTGCTTTAGATTCTGGTTTGGCATCTACATTTTAGAAGATATTTCCTTCTCTTTCCCCATTTTCTGTTGTAAGTATTATTTGGGGTTGAAAGGGAGGAGAATATTCCCTTGTTTCTTGATACCCTAGACCCATCACTTTACTCAGATTACCTTAGATGCCATTTCTTTCTGTGAAACCACAAACCTTGTTCTGTTACTTCCTTTGATTTGTCTTCCACTGTGAACCCAACTTCCCTTTGCTAATAATGCATTTCAACAGAACCCTGAAAATGCAGAAATCCTTTGTAATCTGAATATTCTTTCAACTCTACCTGGGGAAAATAGACACTCTATGTCTATTGACAATTTACAAAGCCCATTCTTGGTTTCTGGTGGTTAGATGACACTAGTTGGACCCAGTGTGAAACATCCTAGATAGTCAGGTCTCTGTCCTTCCAGTAACTCGAGAGAGACAGACTTAGAACCTAGACTTACTGGAGAAGCACACCTTGATAACATATCTGAAACTAGGATTGTCTTCAACACAGAGTTTGGGAGAAGACACATAGCAGAAGCTCCATTCTTAAAGCTCTGTTCGCTCTTGCGAGGACAGACTGACAGAGCCTTCCAAGTCATCCTTTTTATAAAAATTTAAACTTACTGTAGAACATCTAGTTTGATCTTTTATCTCTGAGTAATCATGTCAAAAAGTCCTACTGACGGCTGTCCTTCTAAACCAGAACCAGGTACGTGGAGTTCAGGTTCAAATATGTAGGGGGCTGCTAGTGCTTGTGCAGAAGACAGTAGAAATCCCAATCTTTAGAATAAAGCAGTCTTTTTTTTGTTTGTTTAAATTAATCTTTGTTTAGTTAAAGGAGATTTTAAAGTATACATTTTATGCTTAGAAGCATTTTAAACCTTGTAACCATACCAAAAGAATATCAGTGGATAAATGTCACAGTGCAAACTACTTGAAAGCTGTTGGCTGTTTCCATTTGCTGATTTATTGTTGTTTTGATTTGCATAAACGACTTTTGGTGGGCAAGTTGGTGGCAATCAAAAGGAACACTGTAGTTATTTGGTTGTACTTTGTAAAGCCTCAGCTCGGCCTATTTGGGTCTGCATCCCGGCAGGTTTTAGAAGTTCCACTGCATATAGGTTTGTTACCTTGTTGTATCCAGAAGCAGCATCTCTAAGCATTTCCTAGAAGTAATGGTCTGTTATTAGCCAAATTGCTCTCTTTAAGACATTTTAGAACAGAGAAGTTTAATTCCCTATTTTTAAAAAGCCTTGATATATTTACAGAAGGCTAGTTTTTAAAGTAGTATCATTTCCCGACTCTGAGTCTTAAGGTCTGTGCTGGTTTTTGGAAAATTCATGAAAGTGATTAGTTACACCAGGTAAATAATCTTAAATACTTTTAATCCTTTCCTTTGTTGCTAGGAGTCTTGGTTTATGAGACATTTATGCTGTGAAGGCCATAGCAATTAACCAGCTAACCTTTAATAATTCTGAAATAATGAGGCAGCAGTTAAAGAGTCATGGGTACCAATATAAAAACCTAGGTGAGGAGGAAAGCATGAGGGCGGGCAGAGTTCAACACTGAAAACCATTCAGAATTTGACTGTCATCTTCAAAACAGTTTAAGGAAGCTAACCTTTAACACGTATCTATGGAACAGATAATAGATAAAGTGCAACTGGCTTAGTTTTTAATAACTGTTTAATGTGATGGGAAGAATTATGAACACAAGTGCAGAAGTACCTATATGTGAGTTATAGCTCAGAATTGTCAAGACAGCACTGAATAAATATTGATGTTTTAAGTTTTTTTTTTGTTTTTTTTTTTGTGACACAGTTTCACTCTCACCCAGGCTGGAATGTGGTAGTGCAATCTTGGCTCACTGCAATCTCCACCTCCCAGGTTCAATTGATTCTCATGCCTCAGCCTCTGGAGTAGTTGGGATTACAGGTGTGCACCACCATGCCCAACTAATTTTTGTATTATTAGTTGGGATTTGTATTATTAGTTGTATTTTGTATTATTAGTTGTATTATTAATTGGAGTGTTGGGATTACAGGCATGAGCCACCAAACCTGGCCTAAGTTGGTTTTATTTTATTTTTTTAAATGGTGGGGCCGGACGCTTTGGCTCACGCCTGTAATCCCAGCACTTTGGGAGGTTGAGGTGGGTGGATCACTTGAGGCCAGGAGCTCGAAACCAGCCTGGCCAACATGGTGAAACCCCGTCTCTACTAAAATACACAAATTAGCCAGGCCTGGTGGTGGGCAACTGTAATCCCAGCTACTCGGGAGGCTGAAGCAGGAGAATCCCTCGAACCTGAGAGGCGGAGGTGGCAGAGAGCCGAGATCACACCACTGCACTCCAGCCTGGGCGACAGAGAAATAAAAATAAATAAAATAAAATGGTAGTAAACAACAAAAACAAGAACACATAACACCTACCATCGTAATGGTTTTTAAGTGTACAGGTCAGTGGCATTAAGTATTTTCATACTGTTGTACAACAGAACTGCAGAACTTTTTCATCTTGCGAAACTAAGTAGGTTAATTTTTATTGGAGTGAAGTTGGAGAGAAGCTGAGAGATGATCAGAACCAATCACAGCTGTGTGCCCAGCATACACTTAGAAATGTTGTCCTGTGGCTTCAGCATAGTGTGTAATGGCAGGAATAATATTGCTTTCTTTTTAAGCTGGAGTCAGAATAGTGGGGCATGAACGTCTCACCAGCTGTTTGAGCTGGGGCAGCTCAGCCTCTCTGAGTCTCTGTCCTCATTTGTAAAACACGGACATTTCTTCCCTGCTTTACTCTGAAAAGGATTTGAGGCGGCTTACAAAAATGCGTGGAGTACAATGTGGTCGAAGTAGAGACAGCTTAGTTAAAGGAAAATGGTAGACTAATAAAATAAAGGCAAGGGGTAGTCACTAGACCAAAGGTAGCTTATAAATTCAACTTTAAGCTTCCTAATGACAAAGCAAAGGGAAACAAACTGAACAGATGATACTACTACCTGCCACACCTAATTTTGATGATATCATGAGGCTCAAATGAGATAATAGATGTAAAAGCATATAAATAACTTGAAAGACCACGTCACTTGACAACTAGAAAGAATAGCTCTAAAAAAGCAAAATAGATAAATACTTGTCTTACCATATTTTTCAGATTATAGATACAAAAAAGATGAGCTTTTCAAGAGACTAAAAGTTACAACTTTTGCCCAGCTGGTAAGTTTCTTGATTTTTCCACTGGAGTAAAGTCTGTCTAATTTGTGCCACTTTATGTATTTCTAAATTCAACTCTAGGGAAAGTTTGCAGAGGAGTTTCTTCTGATTCTTTGTATGTCGTTCAGCTATGGGAAGATTAATTGGTATGTGGTGTGTGTGTTCACATGAAGATGGTGAGAAATGTTTCTCTCTTCTTTGATAAGAATTCTATAAAGTAAATGTTTGCCCTACTTTTAATTCATTAAACTTGTGGTTAGGGGTTTTTTTCCTTATACATTTAACTTAATATTTAGAATCTAAAATTCTGGATCCTGGATTGTTTCAACGTTTTTCTCTGGAAACCAAGTGATTTCCCCTTTTCTTGGACTGATCTTTTCCAAATCATCCTGCCAGAGCTGTTTTGTTATTTTGGGCAAGTCACTTTCTTCTTTTATTTGAAAATTATGGAGAAGGTGTCTTTCCAGTTCCAAGAGTTCCACTGGCATAACTCAAGTTGAATCTTGGGTCTTGTGAGCTAAGTTGTGAAAAGTGCTTTAAAAATGAATACTGTATAGAAGTATAAAACACTGTAATCAGTGTATTTGTTATTACATTTACTTCTTCATTGCGTGGATAATTGCTGATACCATTCTATGTTATGCTAGGTCAGTATTGCATTTTCAAGAAATAATGTGTAGTGCTTGGACCACGATATATACAGATGTGGTTTTAAACTCTTATTCATGTTTCTTGTCCTAAATTTTCCTCTTAGCATTCTAAGTTTATGTAGTGTTCTAAGTGTGCTTTTCTTCTGAAATGATCATCTGCAGTATATTACCAACACAAAAGGAAGGAGGCCTGAGATTCAGCGTTCAGTTGAGGACACTGACAGCTTCTTAAAACAACAGATCTTTGATGTTTGTTGTTCCCTCGTCTTTTGTAAAAGACAAAATTGCGTCTGTTTAAAAACAAACAAACATCCACACATTTCATTCTTTTTTCTATCAGATCATCCAAGTTGCTTCCCTCTCTGATCAAACACTGGAAGTGACAGCTGAGGAGATTCAAAGGCTGGAAGGTAATGAGAATTGAGGGTGTGGGGAAAATAACAGGCTGACCATTTGACTGAAACACTCACCCTGTACACATTTGCTGTCTGTTCCCAGGGACTGGGACTTTGATGTATCTATTTGTAATTAGATTGTTACTCTCAGGGAAATGCTACCTGATACTTTAGTTGTTAATTCTTATTTTAAAAAGCCATCTGGTTTTCTGACTCTAACACTTACAGTTTTAAATGTTTTAGATGTGTTTAATATACTAATTACTTTTTTCAACAAATATTTTTAGCATTCTTTGTACCTACACATTAAGTACTATGAGACTGCAGAGGTGAACAAAACACAGCTCTGCTTACATGAAATTGACAGTCACATGTGTGCATGTGCACACATGTATGTGTGTTGGGTGGGCTGAATGATAACAGTACCACAAAATTACTAAGGTGGCAGAATTTTAAAATGGAGGAATGGAAGGAAACCATCGTTTGTTGGCTGTATATTGCAAGGTGAATTCACATGAATTTTCTTACTTAAGCTTCTTAAAAACTCTGGAAGGAAGGTACACTTTACAGATGAGAGGCCCAAGCTGCAGAGGTTAAGCTGCCTCCTCAAAGTGATACAGCTAATAAGGAAGGGACCTGAGTTACAAATCTAAGTGTGCCCAGTAGCATCCAGTGTCTTCTTGCTGCCTTCATTGTACCCTTAAGGGACTGAAAAGTACCTTCAGGAAAGATGCAGGATGTTGTGGGAGAGTTCCAAGGAAGGAAAGACACTTCCAGTTAGAAGACCAAGGTAGGCGGCCAGGCACGGTGCCTCACGCCCAGTGCCTCACCCCCATAATCCCAGCACTTTGGGAGGCCAAGGCGGGCAGATCACGAGGTCAGGAGTTCAAGACCAGCCTGTCCAACATGGTGAAACCCTGTCTCTACTAAAAAAAATAGAAAAATTAGCCAGGCACGGTGGTGTGCACCTGTAATCCCAGCTACTCAGGAGGCTGAGGCAGGAGAATTGCTTGAACCCAGGAGGCGGAGGTTGCAGTGAGCTGAGACTACGCCATTGCACTCCAGCCTGGGCAACACAGCAAGACTCTGTCTCAAAAAAAAAAAAAAGAAGACCGAGGTAGGCTTCCTCAAGGCACTGGAACTGGGCCTTGAAGTGGGGTAGAATCTCAACAGGTACAAGTTAAAGATGAGGCTGTTGCAGGCTGAGGAGCAGCCTGTGAAAGGCATGGAGAGGACAGCACACCAGGCATGTTTGGGGAATCGAGTCATCCAGTCTGGCTGTGGTCTAAGGGACGAGTAGGCGCTGGGTAGGAGATAAGGCTAGAAAGACAGGTAGGCTCCATTTCTCCTTTCTTAAATACCAAGTTGAAAATAAAACCTCCTAGTTGTACTCTCATGAAAAGAATACAGAGAGTTAAGGTCTTTATTTTATCCTGAAGTACCCAGCAATCAGTGTGTGGCTGTTTATTGAAGAGGAATGTGTTTGTTAAGGTTGATGTAGGTCAGGAATTTGACTTCTGATTTCAAGACAAGTTTCTCAGGAAGTCTGAACACTGGGTTTGTGCAACTCAACTGTCATTTCCCTGGACTGTTTTTTGTTAGGGAGGATAAAGAGAATCTGAAAACGACAGGAATTTATCTTTGACAGATGCCTCTCACAAAGCAGAGAAATAAGAGCTCCTTGTAGCAGAGATAATTTGAGTCTCCTCATACAAGTACTCCAATTTTAACTGGGTTATATAAGCACCTAGATTTGGTCCTTTAATTCATTGTTGAGATTGCAGCACCAGAACATATGGGCACATGCAATTTTCTCTTCTGAGATAAATTTGCACAGCAAAGTAGGCTCTTGTAAAGTAGGACACCATAATGTGTGAGTAATATTAGTGTTTTTCTAGTGCTCTACACAGATAATAACTCACTCAGGAGTGCCTGGGGAACAGATTGTATCTGTATGCATATTGGCTATCTTTGAAGGGATAAATAAAAATCTCCTTTTATAATGTTTATCGCTTTTTCCTAACTTAAAAGTGTATTTCTAGTAAGTTAGGAAACCGTAAAAAGTATATAAAGAAGAAAAATAACTAATAATCACTGTCTATGTTTTGGTCCGCTTTCCTCCTCTCTAACCCCTCACCCCAATTAAATCTATATTCTTTGTATATAATTTTGTATTGTGCTGTTTTCAATTATCGCTTTTTCATTCATACTTTCCCATGTCACTAAATAGGCTTCAAAAGCATGACTGTAAAGATTGTGTTGTCATCTAATATCTGTCCTTTGGATATACCATAATTTAATTATTCTCTTGTTGGGCATTACAGTTTTTTCTGATTTTTCACCTTTATAAAATAATGCTGCAATGTATATATGTAAATGTTTGTATGATTCTGATTATTCCCTGAAGATAAATTGCTGCAGAGGGTCAAAGGGTGGAACCATTTTAGACACCCAGTGCTGATTGCCACATTCTCTCCAGCATGGTTCTACCTGTTTGCATTCCCACCAAGAGTGAATGAGAAGACCTGTTTTTCCTCATCCTAGCCAAAGCTGAATAATTATCATTTCTGTAAATATTTTCCAGTTCAATAGATGAAAAATAGTATCTAACAGTTTTTTATTTATTTGATAGTAAGATTATGCTCTGTGTGTGTGTTTACTGGTCATAAATACATATTTCTTCTTTTAAGGAGTTTATGTGCTCTTTTTCCTTTCTTTCTAATAGGATGTTCATCTTTTTCTTATTGGTTTGTGAGAGTTCTGAATAATTATGATATCTTTGTACAACGGAGAACAATATTAACTTGACAATGGATGAGAAAAAATCTTGATTAGTTGGAACAATTTCCAGGCTATATTAAGTAAAAATAAAACAACAATAAAACAAAAACCCAAAGTATAAAATAATATGAATAGAATTCTCCTGGATTTGTAAAAGGGGGAAGAAGTAAAATATATGCAAGCACATGTAAATGTTTTATTTCTGGAATGAGACATAAATACGTGAAAGTGTTTAATATACTGATACTTCCCTTGGGGAAGGAGGCAGGAGGGCCTGCATGTCTTCGGTGGGGGAAAGACTTCCTTTCCATGTTAACGATTTAATCTTACTTGCATTTTTACCTCGTGCACATGATCCTATTGCTTTTTTACTCTTTTCACATTATATTAAAGAGCTAATTTTTTAAATCTATAAATTAAGTATATTAACCTTCTTAATTCATATGTGTTACAGATCTTTTTCCTAATTTGTTATTCACCTTTTAATTTTTTTGTGTTGGTTTTTGATATATATGAGGTTGAATTTTTACGTAATCAAATCTATTAGCCTGTACTATTGTTTTCTTTTATTGCTTTAGACTCATAAAATTCAGTGTTGGTAAATTATTTACCTACATTTTGTAATAATCTATTGGCTTGTTTGTTTGCATTTAAACCATCTGTTATGTATTTTGATATATGACACGAGGTGATTATCTGAATTAGATTTTTCCAGATAGTTGAGAAATATTCCTAGCACCATATACTCAGTAGTTCTCCCTTTACCCACTGATTTGTGATATGGATGTATTGACTTTTTATTTATATTCTTTTCCATGTTTTCTATTATATTCCATTGTTCTGGTTGTAGTGCTGTACTATTTTGATCATTTACCTTTTTAACATATGTTACTATTTGATAAGGCAGGTCTCCAAATCACCCCTAATTATGTATGTATATACATATATTTTCCTATTTCCTCATACATATCAAAAACCAACACATCAAAAACCCATGGGTATATATTGCTTCCAGAATATTTAAGTCTTGTGAAACTGAATAGGAAAAAAGGATCTGAGTGTGTGTGTGTGTGTGTGTGTGTGTGTGTGTGTGTGTGTGTGTTTACTCTTGTTATTTTTTAAATCCTTTTAAGTTTTAAAAAAATCCCTCTGGGATTAGTATTAAGAACAAAAGTTAAATTTGGGAGGGATTAACATTTTAGTTTTACTTGCCCAATCAGGAACATGCAGAGTGTGTCACTCTCTTCATTGAGGTCTTCTTTAAGGCCTCTAAGTAAAATTTTTGTAAGTCCTATAAAGGATTTATACATTTTTATAGGTTATTTACATTCAGTTTAGGATCATTTCTTGGAGAGTATATATATATATTTTTTATATACTTTTTTTTATTATACTTTAAGTTCTAGGGTACATGTGCACAATGTGCACGTTTGTTACATATGTATATATGTGCCATGTTGGTGTGCTGCACCTATTAACCTGTCATTTACATTAGGTATATCTCCTAATGCTTTCCCTCCCCCGTCCCCCCACCGGAGAGTATATTTTATAGCTGCAGTTGTTACTGTATATGAGATTTTTTTTCCTGTTATTTTTTAATTGGTGTATAGGACAAATATTTTAGCATTTCTTTTATCTAACCACATATTTATTGCAGTTATTCTCATTCTCTTAAAATTTCTAGGTACGTTATCATATCATATGCAAAATAAATTTAATATCCTCTTTAATAATTAGACTTGTTATTTTTATTTTTATTTATTTATTTTTTTGAGATGGAGTCCTGCTCTGTTGCCCAGGCTGCAGTGCAGTGGCACGATCTCAGCTCACTGCAACCTCCACCTCCCAGGTTCAAGTGATTCTCCTGCCTCAGCCTCCTGAGTAGCTGGGATTACAGGTGCCTGCCAGCACACCTGGCTAATTTTTATATTTTTAGTAGAGATGGGGTTTCGCTATGTTGGCCAGGCTGGTCTCGAACTCCTGACCTCAAGTGATCCACCCGCCTCAGCCTCCCAAAGTGCTGGGATTACAGGTGTGAGCCACCATGCCCGCCCTGTTATTATTATTTTTAAAAAAACTTTATTGTATTGGTTAGAACAGCAAATTCTCAAACGTTTTGTTCTCTTCCTCCACTCTATTAAAAATTATTGAAGATCCCAAAGAGCTTTGGTTTATGTGCTTTATGTCTATTAATATTTAGTGTATTAAAAATTTAAACTGGGAACTGAAACAGTATTTATTTATTATTTCACTTAAAAATAACCATACTAAACCCATTACAAACATACATAACATGTTTTTATGAAAAATAGCATTATTTCCAAAACAAAATTTTGCTGAGAACGTCGTTGTTTTACATATTTTGTAAATCTCTTTAGTGTCTGGTTTAATGAAAGGATTGCTGATTTTCCTCTCTGCTTCTGCGGTGTCTGTCGTGATGTGCTGTTTGTGTTAAAGTGTGTGAAGAAAATCCAGCTCACACAAACCTGTAGGTGGAAAAGGGAGAAATATTTCAATAGTCCTTTCAGATAAAACTTGACAACTGCTAGTTTCTTAAGGATTAGCTGTAATGTAGAATCTGAAATCATATCAATGAATCTTTCATACTGTTAGATTAAAATCAGGCACTTGCAGTGTAACTGTCTTATACTTTGAATCTTTTACCCATGCATGATTGTATAACATCATGCACTGGCCATTTAGAGAATATTGGTTCACTGAGTTATGAAGATCTTCCCAAAGGTTAATACATTTTATTATACAACTGTCAAAAAAATCACATATATTATTCTCACTATCTATCTTACCAAAAAGGTCTGTAAGCATGGGGAAGCAGCTCCCCATACTTCGGTTCCTGATGGCAAATATAGTTTCCAAAATTCTGAGTTTGGCTTAAAATATAATCATTGGCAACAATGCCATCAGTAGTGTTCCCTGAAATAACAAACAGGCTTATTTAGTTCACTTTTGAGAAAATGTCTGCCAAATATACAAGTCTAACTAACCATAGTTTTTCTGTCAGTTTTTCTTCCAAGCAAAAATGGTGTGCATAGCAAAAGTTACTGGTTCAGCCTGCAACTCAGCAATCACACTAATACTTTTCCTTGAGATAACCCTGGTAATTTGGTATGTAGCAAACGTGATGTATGTGGACTCCTCACCTCATCACACAGAACATTAAAAAAAGCATGTACTTACTTCAAGGTGAGATGTAATAAGAATAGTAAGTGTTACTGCTTTAACAGGGACCTTCTTGTAGTGTGACTGCCATACTTATTTACTGTGAATGCATGCGTGATGGTGAATAATACAATGATTGCTAATAAAGCTTGGTGCCACAGCCCTGATTCTTACTAAGGTGCTAGCAGCTTTATCCACCATTTCTTTTGTACCATCAGTGCAAATATAAACACAGTAAAAAAGACAAGTAACATCTCATGAAAATAGTTTTTACCTTGCAGATCCCCTGAAAGGGCCTTGGGGATGTTTGGGGTCCACTACACTTTGGGAACTTGTACGTTAGCACTTCCACGACAATTTAATAATGATGATAAGATTTCCTTTTCTTGACTTAATGTCAGTGGAACTAATAAGTAAATACAAATCCTGAGGTTCAATCTAATTATTTCTTCATTTGTAAATATTAGACAATGATTCTGCAGCTTCAGACCCTGATGCTGAAACCACTGCCAGGACCAATGGGAAAGGAAATCCAGGTGAGCAGTCGCCGAGCCCTGAGCAGTTCATAAACAACGCAGGAGCAGGGGACTCCAGCCGCTCAACTCTTCAGAGGTACTCGAAGCTGATTCATATTTTCACTGCATTTTGCCTTTATATTAATCTAGACGCCAATTTCAGGGATCTTTTTTTTTTCTTGCCTTAGAAACAGAACTGGCAGGAGTAAAGTCTCACATTTTAATCCCAGCCTTCTACTTTATCTTTATATAAATGCTACCTCCTGAATCTTTTTCACTGCATTCTTACTGAGTTAATGTGAGAATATATTAATAGGAGAGTTTAATTTTCATTTCTCGTTCCATTCTTCTCCCTCCTACATATAAGTTTGTTATGAGGAATTAGCTTTACAAATACTATCTTTTGATTCAGAGAGTATGATTTTTCCCCCTTTTCCGACTGCTGAAGCTTATAATACCCTGTCCGGAAGTGACAGTGCCACACATAGTGCTCTGATACTGAGTAGGTGCAAAGGAAAAAGCAGTACTTGGTGTTTATTCTAAAGCTGAATGTGGCTGTTCCTTCTTTTTATTTTATTTTTCTGCTCCTTCTTCTAAGGCATGGGCCTCCTTATTCCAAGGATTACATGGACTTTAGTCCGTGTAGTACTTTCTAACTAATATTAACTGTTGATTATAGGGCAGTACTGATTTTCAGCAGATGTCCATCCCTTTGACTGATAAAATAGTTCTGGAGAAATTAGTTCTACCAGAGAAAGAATTGCTATCATCATCCCACCATTATTATTATTCTTTTAGCTTTATATTATTATAGTTACTTTTGCGAGAGGACTCTAAAATTGCACTCAAGAAGAGATAGGCCAACAGGACTTCCACTGAGGATGCAGTTTCTTATCAAACAGATGTTCTTCTCCTTTGGTTCAACAAAATATGCACTATATAGCATAGAGTTATAGTGTTTATTGGATTTAAATGCAGAATTTGATTTGCTGTTATGGGAAAGGAGCTATGCTACATACTAATCTGTGATTTAGCATATGAGTCTTAATATTTCCTAAGAAAGTAACCATCTTCTTATTCCAGTAAGGATATTTCACTGCTTGCCATTTTGTTCATAACACCTAGTCTTGTTATTACTTTGATTCATGTTTTTACCACATTTTCCCTATAATATTAAGATGGTGACCAGTTTCAGTGATTGAATGACCTTAGAATTAGAACTGTTAGTGGTAGTGGTTAGCTTCCTCATTTTAATCCCAGCTCTTCCTCTGCCTCATTCTATGAATGCCACCAAATCTAAAGCCTCGTCAACCTCAATGTTGTAACCTATAAAACTGGAGTAAGTACAGAGAGCTATGTAAGTATTAAGACTCAATACCATAGCAGATATGTCACTGACTACGTATATGAAATATATAAAGCATTATTGTTACTTTATATTACTTACACGTAGAAAGAAATGTCTTTCCTTTTTCCTGTCCTACCAACCATATTCTTCCCTCTTTCGCTCTACTGGATTCACAGTTCCCCTCTTTCTCCCTCTGATGCTGCCCTTGTGGCTAGAGGCAGCATGTGCCCTTCAGTCCCTACCCCCTCAGCCATGTAATGCACTGACACGCATTGTCTGAAGGTGAGTGTGGACATGTGGGTCTCCTCTGTGGGGTCCAGTGTAGTAGAAGAGAAAATCCACAGGATCCTGCATTCAGAGGCAGAACTGAGACACCACGTCCATTTTCCTTTGCCTTTGAAGCGTCCTTTGAAAAGACATTGAGCACTCACCTCACTATTCTGAAGAGACACGTTCGACCTTTAAGCCACCAACCTCTGACTAGTTTCTGCTGACCTACTTTTTCACTTGCAGTGTCATCAGTGGTGTTGGGGAACTGGATCTAGACAAAGGGCCAGTGAAGAAAGCAGAGCCCCATACCAAAGACAAACCTTATCCTGACTGCCCCTTCCTGCTGCTAGATGTGCGTGATAGAGATTCTTACCAGCAGTGCCACATTGTTGGAGGTAAGAGAGAGAAGGCTTTAAAGTGCCTCACTCTCAAGAACAGAGAGCCTGCTCTTGAGTCTAGGCAGGCTGGAACCACAGCCCATGGTAGACAGTTGAGGAAACCGTATGTTAGCTGGATCCATTATGGAATCCTATAGGGTTGGCTCCACCATAAAATACTCTTGAGAGGCTGCTGATTTTCACAGATGGCTGTCAGAAGCAGGGAAGTGAAGCTTCATGCTTTGTTCATAGTGCTCTTTCTTTTCTTTCACAGAAGTGTTTAGGTTTATGGCTTGTTGATTTTTTTTTTTGTTTTTTTTTTGTTAATACCTTGCTCTGTTGCCAAGACTGAAGTGTAGTGGCGCGATCACAGCTCACTGCAGCCTTGCCTTCCTGGGCTCAAGTGATCCTCCTACCTCAGCCTCTCGAGTACCTGGGACTACAGGCATATGCCACAACACCCGGCTAATGTTTTTGTATTTTTTATAGAGATGAGGCCTCACCATGTTGCCCGGGCTGGTCTCAAACTCCTGGACTCAAGCGGTCCACCCACCTTGGCCTCCCAAAGTGCTGGGATTATAGGTGTTAGCCACCATGCCCAGCAGCTCATGGATTTTGAAGATGTATTTAACTCTTAGATTTTAAACCAGCTGGGAATTGAGGCCAAGTTGTATTAAGAGAACAACAGACTTCCTAAACTTTTTCTTCTCTTTGCAGCTTACAGTTACCCAATTGCAACTCTGTCTAGAACAATGAACCCTTATTCAAATGATATTCTTGAATATGTATCCTTTGTTGCATTTTAAGGAATTGGGTGGTATGAGGATTGTAAGAATCAAAGTTATCATGAACCACGCTCCTGGTAAGAATGCTGTGAAGGACCTTTGATATTATTTGGCTGAGCATATTTTAGAATTTGGATTCCTAGCTATTGCCAAGAATCCTGACTCTTTAGGCGGATGCTTTCAAACCGTCTTGCCCTGGGCCAAAAAACACTAGGTTAAGAGTTAGGATCCATTGAGAGTTAGTCCTAAGAGAGTTTTTTTCCTCCCAGAAAACTTTCCATAGCAGAACTTAGGGTTTTTTTCTATTTTAATTTTTTCCTTTAAAATTTTAATTTTTTCATTGATAAAAATTATACAAGCAGAAAATAATTTAAATACCAAAAATTATTAAAAGGAAAATTGAAATATCTTATAATCACACAGTTGAGCAGTGGCTTCTATTACATTATTAGTATATTTTATTCCAGACTGTCTTCTGTGTGTTTGTTTTTTTTTAACAAAGTTGAAACCTTACTATATATGTAATTTAGTATCCTGCTTTTTTTCAGTTCATATCCCGATGTATTTCCCCATGCTGATGCAAGCCTTCTGTAAACCACATTTTTGATGCTGTGTAATATCTTCAGATTTACTATGATTTACTAAAATATTCCTTTATTTTGGACTTTTTAGATGGCTCCCACATTTTTACTGTCATAAATAGGCTTCAGTGGACACATTAGGCATAGAAGTTGTTCTATTTCTTCATCTGTAAAATGGGGATTGTAATATTTACTTTCCAGGGTCATAGGGATAAGAGAGCTAAAGGATGTAAAGTCCGGAACTAGTGCTGTCTTTTAGATCATGGTAACATCAGTTTGCAAAAGAAACGAATACCAGCTTGTGTGGTTTCCATGATGGGAAACCATCCAGTCCCTGCTGGTGTGACGGTAGGAATGGGCTTGTCCATCGTTCCCGGGAACTCAGACAGGTGGACCTGACCTTTTATTCCTTGGGGGTTTCTCGTAGTCTTGGGACATCAGCCCAGTGCCTTGGAACCTTAACTCATCTGACTCTTAGAAAAATGCCCATGGCAAGATCATCATTCTGTATGACGATGATGAAAGGCTGGCCAGTCAGGCGGCCACCACCATGTGCGAGCGTGGATTTGAAAACCTCTTCATGCTTTCCGGAGGTGAGCAAGGTGATACTCTGCTTGGGACTTCAAAGGCTGATCATCCTTCAGTCCCACCTGCATCCCCTTTTCTCTCTTGGTGCTCAGAATTCAGTGTTCTGGAAAGAGAAAAAGCCATGCTGGCTGAAAGGAGTCAGGAGTTATGTGAAACTTCCCTTAGCTTCATCAGCACATGTTTTTAATTCCTGATGTTGCTTCAGGGCTCTGTCACAAAGCCCTAATGCTGAAGACTCGAGCAAAAGGATTTCTTGTGGAATTCTCAGAATCCCATGTAACAACAGATATTTTCTGGTATAATTTGCTTAATGATGAAATAGTTAAGAAAGATTTCATGTCCTTGTGTTGGCCTCAACTTGATGACCAGAGATTAGAAGACATGCAGGCTTCTTTCCAGGTTTTGGCCTGGCCTTGCCATATTAATGCAGCTTTTTCTGATGATTTTCCAAACCTAGGTCTAAAAGTCTTAGCTCAGAAATTCCCGGAAGGACTGATTACTGGTTCCCTGCCAGCATCTTGCCAGCAGGCCCTTCCTCCTGGGTCTGCCCGGAAACGATCCAGCCCCAAAGGGCCACCCCTACCAGCTGAGAATAAATGGAGATTTACCCCAGAAGACTTAAAAAAGATAGAATATTATCTGGAAGAGGAGCAAGGGCCTGCAGATCATCCTAGTAAGATCTTTTGACCTTTAAAGATAATGTTTGGTTTGCAGCTTTGAATATCACCTCATCATATGAAAACCTTCATCTCTTATATTTAGATTCTTAAAATACTAGGGAGGTATGTTACAGGTGCTGGGGAGGGGAGGCAGTGGAGGTGACCCCAGATAGTGGCAAGAATTACGCATTGAAGAGAGACTTTATCAAAACATAGCGACTTTTTTTTTTTTTGAGACAGAGTCTTGCTCTGTCACCCAGGCTGGAATGCAATGGGATGATCTTGGCTCACTGCAACCTCCGTCTCCCCGGTTCAAGCGATTCTCCCACATCAGCCTCCCGAGTAGGTGGGATTACAGGTGCCCGCCACCACACCAGGCTAATTTTTTTGTATTTTAAGTAGAGACAGGGTTTCACCATGTTGGCCAGGCTGGTCTCGAACTTCTGGCCACAAGTGATCCACCCACCTCAGCCTTCCAAAGTGCTAGGATTACAGGCATGAGCCACCACGCCCAGGCAAAAATGTAGAGACTTCATCAAAAAGTATATCTCAGGTAAAATTGAGGAGTTAAGCATCAGACCTTCAGATTCCTTCTTGGAAAGTTTTCGATTCCTTCTGCAGCTTTTGCTTCTCCACTCTGAGAGCCTCTGTGGTTTGTCTTCCTACCTTAGTTTCACCGTACTGCTTTCTCTTTTCTTTCCCCAAATCACTCCTCGTCTGCATCCTCTCTACCAAGGAAGTAGTGGAGGACAGACTAGGTTTGTTGGGGATGTTGGAGAGGAAGGGAAAAAAAACCTATCTGGGTTTCCCTTCATTTCTGTCCCCCTCCCCACCTTCAGGCTGATCTCAAGGATGAGGAGTAGGCCATCGTTGGCCTAAAGTAGATACTGCATAGGACTTCATTAGCTTAAAAGTGGTTGTAGGCTAGGACTTCATTAGCTTAAAACTGTACTTGGCAGATTGTCCCTGGAATCATTCTTGCAGCTCTGTTCCTTCTTTCTTGCTCCCTTCAGGCCGACTGAACCAAGCTAACTCCTCCGGAAGAGAGTCCAAGGTGCCTGGTGCCCGAAGCGCTCAGAATCTGCCAGGTGGCGGCCCCGCCAGCCACTCAAACCCCCGCTCCCTCAGCAGTGGTCACCTGCAAGGCAAACCCTGGAAGTAAAGACTTTGTCTCACTTAGGCAAATAAATGTTCTTCCTCTTTTCAGAACCCCTGAGCATTTCCCAAGTTGGGTCATTTCCAGAAACTTCTGCAGAGGAAAGACCATGACATATGTATGGGATAGGCCTCTTCCCTGTCCCTGTCTCCAGTTCCTCTCCCCTCAGGAGGCCACCTCAGGAAGGATTTTGACAGGTGACCATAAAAACCAGAGGTGTGACAGGCTCTAGTCTCCTCCCTGTTGTTTACAGCATATTTAAGTCTTGTGAAACTGTATAGGAAAAAAGTATCTACGTTTTTAGTTTTTTTGTTTTGTTTTTTTTTAATAAGGTCCAGCTTGTTGGGTCTCTCTGTGTTGTTTTGTAAATACTTCAGTCACATCTGCCCGTGTGCCTGTCCCTGCCACCTTTTCATTCACTGTTCTTGACTTCATGAAGGCTTCTCCGGGCAGTCTTGGTGTGAGAAGCTGTTTCCAAGGGTGCAGATGAGCCTTAGGTTCCAGCCGCCTGCAGACCCCACCCCAGCAGGCTCACTCAGCAAGGAGCTCTCTGCCCAGCATATTGCAGGCCCTGTTTTGAGTATGGAAGCCAGTGCCTGTGTACTCACTGAAATTGAAGATGAGGAAAGTAGCTGTACACTCACTGAATGCTCCCCCTTACTAGATATTTCCTGGAGCCAGAAAGGTATGCATGTGGGTGTCTTCACACCGGGGAGGAGGGCCTCTCATGGGAAAGCCCTGGCCACCACACCGGCCTGTGCCCCTTGAAGCCCACCAAAGCGGCCCTCACTTGTGGTCAGTATATCAGTTATGACGCCCATTGCCCAGCTTCAGTCCATCCATGTTAGATGGACAGAAATTATGGCCAGTTGAAAATACCAGCTTTGGTTGGACAACTGTGGACACACAAGGTGAAGAGGACTCCGAAGTCCTTTGTCAGGGCTGACAACCTCGTAAGCCCTTGCTTAGAAATACAGTATTAGTCTAATTGAGTAATTAGTGCAATTTCCTGCTTACTTTTCATTCTCATGACTGAACTGTGATTAGGAAGTTGTGATTATAGATTCTGGTTTTGGCCGGAATTTTGAATCAGCATTAATTGAATTGCTAAATGACTGACATTCATTCCATTTAATTGGGGGAACAAAAGGCCTCAGGTAAGGATGAGGAACTCTGAAATCAGATGGAAAAGAGCGGTGTTAATTTTTATGGTCTGTGATCGTAGCTGTGATAAGGGACTGAGGAATAAATTGTGCTCTTTGTCATGGCAACCAGCTTCTGAAAAGCCCACTGAAAATTGCCTGTCCTGCTGGTAACTGCTACGGGGTAAGATTTGCCTTAACAGTACTATTTTCTCGCCACCAAAAAAAAAAAAAAAAAAAAAAAAAAATGCACCACAGTATTTCTAGCATGGGGGCTGTGTTTGTATGAGAAATAAACGTAATAAATATCTCATAGAGACATATGGAAAAATAACTTTCAGATTCAGCCCAGTTCTGTTTTAGAGTGTGTTTATTCTTCTCTACTTGATTTCCAAAGTGCAACATTTTCCGATGCTTTAGAAATCAAACAAACCAGGGACATTGTTCAGATGTCAAGCCATGCCCAATTTTCCACAAGATTCAAGAATCTTGTATAAAATTCAGCCAACGTACACATAGCTTTAATGAGGAGCCTGTCATGTTTCCCCATAAATTTATTGCCTGAGAACTTAGTTCAGCCTTTGCTAATGCCAAAATGCTCTGGCTTTGTATTTTCTTTACAGCATAGATAGAAAAATGCACATTTTTCCACACTCAGCTTTCCCCTAGCATGGACAAGATTTTCAGCCATTTTTGCCACATATACATTTTTAAGGAAAAAAGATTTTTCTCTGTAAGAAAGTTCTGGTTATGCTGTTTTAAAGGTGACTTGTCAGGAGTTGAGACTTCCCTGCCGGATTCTATTTTGAAAGTAAATGGTCTTCCCTCCTTGTTCCGATTCTGCGTTCCCATCGTCAGACAACTTTGGAGTATTAGAAACCACTGTATATATGTGGAAAGCCAGGTCAGCCAGACCTGTTAGAATTGGTGTGCACTCACCTGAGAGATCTGGCAGGTTGGATATATTTATGTGTATTTCTCCACAGTGCTTGCTTTGCCCTGTTGGTAAGGATTTTAAATAACCATGCTCAAAAGAGCTGTTCTAATCTGCGTTTTGCATGTTAAGTGTTAATATCAAACATTCTTTACGTGCTCGAGGTATTGCTTTTAACATTCTACTTTGCCAGTTTCTTCATTAGATTAATTGACATGTATTATTTAAATGACCAGTGATGCTTTGTGCAATTATGAATGTTGAAGATTAAAGTACATAGTTACTAATTTGTCGTTTGCTATTAATATGCTGAAAACTGCCAACTTCTCTCTTCTTTTCTGTCGAGATGATTTGGGGGAGCCACAGGAGACTGGTGTGATTTTTGCTGCATCTCCTAGGAAAGCATTTTTTAAAAAAAATAAATGAATCAGGAAATCAGTCCAATTAGGGCAGGGGGCCTCAGCTCTCCAGTCAGAAAGCCTGGATTTCTTTTCCTGCTCAGGCTGGGACTGAAGCCACCTTCAACAACTGGATCATGGCTTCCTACCAGCGTCTCAGGGGTTGACTAGCTGCCCTTGTCTGGGGCTTGTGAACCCTGAGACAGAAGGTGCTTCATCGATGTACAACTACAGCACCCTGAACAGCAGTGATGGCCAAAGTTTAAATAATACCTTAAATGCTTTAAAGGGGTTTGTGTTTAAGGAAGGGAGAAAAGAAAAAAAGAAAGGAAGGGAGAAAGAAGCAAGGAAATGGGAAGAAGGGAGGGCAGAGAGAAGAAAAGAAGCAGAAAGCGAGAGAGAAAGGAGAAAGCTACATTACTTATTTGAAAACAAAAGGAACACCCTGGGCTGTAATAATGTCAGGCTCAATCTCTTGAAAAAGTATGGAATGATTTAAATGGCCTGCATTCATTTTATCTTTTATCTTTTTTTTTTTTTTTAACCTTTAGTGGTTAGCCAGGACCAGCACGATCATATTGGGCTTGGTATAAATCCGAATGAAAAGAGACCAAATAACATTCATTAGTTGCTCAGGGATTTTTCCTGTGGTGCTATTTAAATTATACAAAAATTCTTAAGACTTTAGGCTACTCGACCAAGAAAACAGAACAAAACAAAAAATCGTGTTTTCTCTAATTCCCTTGTGGAATGTAAGTGAAATCAGAGTCCTAGGCTAGGAAGAAATACGTAGGTAATTTTTCTTGTGTTGGTTTTGGTTTCTGTCATGTTGTTTATTGGCTATAGATTCTGTCTTTTATGTTATCTGACTTTTTTAGAGCGAATAATTAGTTTCTGTCCACCTGGATTTAAATCCATGACCACCTTCTTGCTCTACTCTGAAGATAATCAGTAAGAACCTTTCTTTCTCCAGTTCTAAAACGTTCTCAGTGTCTTTAATGTGTGTTTATTTTCTTCCCAATTCTTTCAAAGATTTAACTCCCACGATACTTTTTTTTCCCCAGGAAACACCGCAAATGTGTGGAATATAATTCACCAGTTTAATTATGTGAGCATGTTGAGTACTTACATGCAGGTCCATTAATTTTTCACTAACAATTATTTTTTCATGCAAAAGCAATAAATAACATTGTGCTTCCAAAATGTTCAGAATACATTTGGGTAGTAATACTTTCCTAGATTTACAATAATTATTGAAATTATTATTATGACATCTTTAAATGGATACACAGGTCAGTTACAACATAAAAAATGTAATGGTGGAAATTTGTCAGCCTTGAATTCAGGCAGAACAGGATTCGGTGCATGATTTTATGTGTTTTCGAAACGGTGTCTGTCACATTGTGATCCCCTGATGGCTCCCCTCTCTGTTGCTGATCCTCTTTGTTCTGTACAGAAGCAAATTCTCACCTGTGTAACATCCTGAAGCACCTGGTAAAATGTGAGGCAAAGAGAGGCCACTTCTCAAATGCTGTGGACGGATGGGCTGCATCTTTTAAAGGATATCAATATGTCTTCCTGTTGCAATTATTTTGACTATAAGCTCCCAGAGAGTGAAAATCACCAACCCTGTGACAGTGGCCCTTAATAAGTGTTCATGAATAAATGAATTGAACCTGTCAAGATTGAAGTTTGGATGTGATGCCCACTGTGGTGGCCACTCAGTGCTAGTCTGTCATTCTGGAGACCCAGAAAGCTCGTTATCTTCTGTCCCCCTTGTGTATCCTGCCTTTGTGGGCGAGGCATTCAAAACCCTGAGGTTTTTAGATCTCCCTCTACAGGAAGTACCCAGAGAGCTGCTGGGGGTGTTATTACCCTGTCTCTGCCAGGCTTAAAGTATCCTCCCAAATTCAGCACGCAAAGGTCACACACCACCCCCATCTTAAGAGTAGGTTTTCTCTTTTGTTTCAAATCTTGAAGATTTCCAGAAAATAATAATACTAGCCAATGTTTGTGGAGAGCTTACTTTGCTCCTAGATTCTTCATTATATGTTTTGACCCATTTAATTTCCACAACAGTCTGATGAGGCAGGCACCCCCATTTTCAGATGAGGAGACTGAGGTTCGGGTAGAAATTAAGTGACTCAGGTTTGCCTTCAGTCTCTGACCAAGGGTTTGAAAAGCCAGGAGCCAGCCTGAGAACTGTGGCTCCAGAGGGTGTTCTTTCAGCCACTCCGCTCTATGCTTCTCACTCTGGGTGGGCACAACCATGTTCTCCTTTGGTGATGCCTCTAACTTACCGTGAAAATGTACCTTTCCCTTCGCTATTGGCTTCCCTTCCCTCCTAGTCAGCCGAGATTCTTTTGAAAACTTTCCTCCGCTTGCCTGCACAAAAGGCGATGGAAATTCAGGAACTGAAACATCTGCTCTGGGGAATGCGTATTTCCACATTTCCACCGCCTGTGTCTGCTGTCTTATCTTGAAGACAGGTGCTCCAGGGCTTCCGAGGTTATTTTGTCTGTTAATGGACACCTTGCAAAGTACCACTTAAGGAATGAGAATTACAAACTTTTAATTATATTGTAGGGGGAAAAAAGTAGGCTGTTTTCCTGATAGGTCTAGCCATTCATTCAGTAAACCATATTGATATGATTTGTGCCTGATCTTTTCTTTCCTTTGTGGTGATGTTTCTGATTTCGGCTGAAACATAAGTTGCATGAATTGGCGATGGCCATAGGCCTGAGTTCCCGGGGGAAGCAGAGGCAAACCTCCTTGCCCCAGTCCTTGTCAGCAGAGCCCTTATTCTACTGCACTCTTCTAAAAATGTAGCCAATACCACTACTGTGGTTAAGCAGAAGACTTTCCATTTTCTCCTTTTAGTTTGGCAATAAACATTTGGCAATCCCAGTCTCTGAGGTTGTTGGATGATGCTCAGTGTTTGAGTTGCCAAATTAATGCAGATCCTGAAAGCTTTGGGGAATAATTCATTACCCTTTGACAGTTTTTTAGATTTGACGATGCATGCTCTGTGCTTTTCTGAGAGCTTCTCCTTGATTTGGCCAATTTGAATGTTACGGTTAGTCATATCAGCTTCATCTGAGTAGCATCTGGGTCTTAGTGTGTTCACAGAATGATGTTGCTGTAGTCCTTAAAGCAAGAGTCCCTGTGCATCTTCAAATCCACCTCATCCCACTCGCCCTTGCAAAACAATTGCCAGGGTGATGAATCGCCCCGCACTGGATGAAGGACCAGTGAGGTCATATCTGGATTGTATTCAATGACATTCCCATTTTAACTTTAGGCCAAAGACAGAAAGCTAGCTGTGCATATCTGAGTGTTAATTCAAGAGGCTACCCTAAGGATTCTCATAGATCACCAATATTGGGCCCACAGGCCATTAGAGAACCATATGTAATGGTCTGAGTAAAAAGTAAAATGAGTTCATTTGAAAATAAAGATTTTCAAAGGCCCTGGGGAATAGGCATTAGCATAATCAATTCCCAAGATAGCTACAAGAACTGAATGTGAGCAGGAAGGGGTTTTGGGAATTTTCATCAAGCTACAACAAGGGGTAGGATGGGGAATGGCCCCCAACTGCATGAGCTGAGTAATCTCTTCCTTTGGTAGAAACACTGCTGCTTCCAGCTGTATCTTGGAGTGTGAATTTTTCTGAAGATAAGACAAACTGCAGCGTTCCGGGCAAGATGATGAAACATTATACCGGAGCAGAAAAAAATGAGTTTAGACAAATCAAAAGAATCTGAGTAAAAACTAAGATGGCCATTTAGCTGTTTGATGTTGATAATACACCGATGTTAGGTAACTTTACACACATGTTATCTACTGTGTTCGAAATAGCTCCCTTCACTCCCTGCCCGTTATAAAAGCTGATTATAGAAGCTCATTGCGAGAAATGCTGAGAAGCATAAAAAGGAAAACTACCACCACCACTACCCAGGTTAATCATTATTATTATTGGGGGATATATCCTTCCAGGAAGAGAAAGAGAAGGAGAGAGAGAAAGCATGTTTGTGTGTGTGTGTGTGTGTGTGTGTGTGTGTGTGTGTGTGTGTGTCTTTTAAACAAGATGGGATCCAGACTCAATATTTTGTATCCAGCTTCTTTTTTAAAACAACTGTATTGTATAAATCACATACCATAAAATTCACCCATTTTAAGTGCACAACTCAATGATTTTGAGTTAAGTTTACAGAATTGTGCAACCATCACCACAATCCAGTTTTATAACATTTCCATCTTATAGCCAGTTTCTTTCACTTAGTATGTTGTGAACATTTTTCCATGTCAACACAGCCCTTAATGGTGTCGTGTTGTTCCAGTGTGTGGATGTGTCAGATCAGCATCAAGACTGGTAATTATCTAGGTTTTTTGTTTTTTACTTTTCCAATCTTGTACATACATATTTTTGAATCCATCCAAATATTTTTATAAAGTAAATTCTTCCATGTGGGTTTTCTGGATCAAAGACACAATACATTTATAATTTTGATTTATATTGCCAAATTTGCCCTCTGGGAAGGTGGTGCCAGTTTCTGCTCCACCAGCACTACATGTTAACACTGGAGTCATCAGTCTTTTTATTCTTTGCCAATCTGATGAGAGAAAAATATCTTCATTTCTCCTTAATGAACAAGAAATCACTTAGAGGATCAGTGTCTTTCATACATGTATTGATTTGTGTTTCTTCTTAGTGGAATTGCCTATTTTTCTTTTGAAATGTTTGTCTTTTTCTTTAACCCTTTTTATTATTTTAACCCCTCAAGGTTATTAATACTTATTTTCATATCAATACTTTCATTTTTAAGTTGCAATATTTTCCAAAATTGTCTTTTAGGTTATTAATACTTATTTTCATATCAATACTTTCATTTTTAAGTTGCAATATTTTCCAAAATTGTCTTTTAGGTTATTAATACTTATTTTCATATCAATACTTTCATTTTTAAGTTGCAATATTTTCCAAAATTGTCTTTTAGCTTTATGTTTTTACTTAAGAATTTTAAGTGTCTTCACCCATAGATTTGTAAAAATGTGTATCTACAAACAAAATGTAAATCTCTTCCCATACTTGAAAGTACAAAAAAAAAAAAAACCAACAACTTTCTTGTCTCCATTTAACAAGCATTTATTATTTTTTAATATATTTCTTTCTTTTTTTTTTTTTTTTTTTTTGAGACAGAGTCTCCCTCTGTCACCCAGGCTGGAGTGCAGTGGCACAATCTTGGCTCACTGCAACCTCCACCTCCTGGTTTCAAGCAATTCTCATGCCTCAGCCTCCCGAGTAGCTGGGATTACAGGCATGCACCACTGCCCAGCTAATTTCTGTATTTTTAGTAGAGATGGGGTTTTGCCGTATTGGCCAGGCTAATCTCAAATTCCTGACTTCAAGCAATCTGCCCACCTCAACCTCCCAAAGTGCTGGGATTACAGGCATGAGCCACCACACCCAGCCTAAAATTGTTTTTTTTATAGAGACTGGGTCTCGCTGTGTTGCCCAGGCTGGTCTTGAAATCCTGAGCTCAAGCAATCCTCCCACCTCAGCCTCCCAGAGTATTGATATTACAGGTATGAGCCACTGCACCTGGCCAAGCATTTATTATTATTGATATTAATACCAATATTATTACTGTGTGCTGTGCACTTGGCCAAGCAGTGGGGGTTAAATGGTGAACAAAACAAAGCAATCCTTGCCCTTGTGCAATTGACATTCATTCATTGACTTCAGCTTTCTTAAGACTTACTCAACTCTGGGAATTCAAAATAACTTGCACAGGGTGTTTTCAGCAAGCCTACAACATACAGATCATAACATTTATGAATTCACTAATAAAAGTAGAGAGCATTCACTCAACAGGTATTTATTAGGCATCTATGTGTCAGGTACTGTTAACGCTATTGGGGATTGAATGCCAAACAAGGTGGTTCCTGCTGTCGGGAAGCACAGTTTATTTTAAATTAAGCAATTCTACCATCAAAGTCTAGTGCTCCAGTTTTATAAAGTGATAAATTGTCATGCTAACTTAATATTTCTTCTCTTATCAGTCTTCATTAAACAAAAGGTGATCAGCTTCCTACTCACTCAAACTAAGCAGTTAAAATGGGTTTTGAGAAGAGAGTTATAATGTCGTTATATAGATTGAAGGGAAGCATTTTCTAAAAGATAACTTGAAGAGGGTGTTATCAAATCTTTTAGGTCATCTTTCTGTAAAGACTGAAACACCATTTTACCTCGTCTCATAAATTTACATGTTTATACGTTTATGTAAATGATATAATGTAATAATGTAACAAATACATACAAAATGTAACAATACATACATAGAGCCTCATCCTTTTTTTTTCTTTTAAGAGACAGGGTCTCACTTTGTTGTCCAGGTTGGAGTGCAGTGGTGCCATCATGGCTCACTGCAACTGCAAACTTCTGGGCTCAACGGTTCTTCCCACCTCAGCCTCTCGATTAGCTGGGATTACAGGTGCATGCCACCACACCCAGCTAATTTTTTATTTTTTGTGGAGGTGGGGGGGGGGGGTCTCGCTATGTTGCCCAGGCTGGTCTCGAACTCCTGGGGTCAAGGAATCCTCCTGCTTCAGCCTCCCAAAATGCTGGGATTACAGGTGTGAGCCACTGTGCCCAGCCCTCATTCTTTTTATTTTTATTTTTAGAATGTTGATAGCAAAAATAATAATAAAATAAAAGTCCAAGATGAAAATTCCATCAATGTTCCTCTTTTTTTTTAAAAAAGGCATTTTTGGCCTTCAGGCCATTTTATATGGAAAAGACTCAAGTCAACAGAGCTGGATGCTTCTTGAAACCTGGCCTGGCTGCTAGAGAGAGAAGCTGCCATCCTCACTCCAGCCCCAATCCACTCACTTCCCCAGCAGAGTCTGTGGGAAAACCCCCTGCTCCACATTCACACCTGAAGTGATATGGAAGAAACAAAGGGAGATTCTTTTTTCTTTCTTTCTTTCTTTTTTTTTTTTTTTTTTTTTTTTTTGAGATGGACAACAAATTTCATGTCTCCATTTCACAAGCATTTATTATTTTTAAATATATTTTAATTTTTTTTTGAGATGGAGTCTCCCTCTGTCACCCAGGCTACACTACAGTGGTGCAATCTCAGCTCACTGCAACCTCCACCTCCTGAATTCAAGGGATTCTCCTGCCTCAGTCTCCTGAGTAGTTGGGATTACAGGCATGCGCCCCCATGACCGGCTAATTTTTTGTATTTTTAGTAGAGATGGGGTTTCACCATGTTGGCCAGGCTGGTCTTGGACTCCTGACTTCATGATCTGCCCACCTCAGCCTCCCAAAGTGCTGGGATTACAGGCGTGAGCCACTGTGGCCAGGCCAAAAGGGAGATTCTTGCTTTGAAACAAGTTGGGATATCTTATGTAGTCATGCTAGCTGCTAATTGTAATATCACTTGCATCAGGATCACCAAGCTGAAGAAGGGAAGCTAAAGCCTAGGAGCTGTGGTCTCAACAGGAGAATGGGAAGGAGTGGGGTGGATGGAAACACGAGGGAGCAGAACCATGTACCAAAGACGCTGGGAAGGATGTGGCAAATGAAAAGTGGGTGATTTCTATCCCTAAAGGCAAAATCTTCAGAATATATAATTAATTTATACAGTTAATAAAATATCTTGGCCAAATGTGATGGCTCACACCTGTAATCCCAGGACTTTGGGAGGCCAAAGCAGGAGGATTGCTTGAGCCCAGGAGTTCAAGACCAGCCTGGGCAATATGGCAAAACCCCATCTCTACCAAAAAAAATTAAAAATTAAAAATGTCTTGGGATTGGCCTTTGGATTGGTTCTTTATCTGCAGTTAATGATTTTATTTAACCCAATTGTTTTCTTCCAATTTGATTCCGGAATGGAAGATGATATTTTGCTCTTTAGTAATCTGTTTTACTTGGCTGCAACATCTATTTTGGACAGCAGTGGCCACCTGGATTATTATATTTCATCTTCTAGGTTGTTGCTTTTATAGATGAATGGACACAGCTAGCTAGACCTTTGTACACGCCGAATTCCACACCACTGTGGGGTGCCGGGCATTTGGTTAGCAGCTGTTGCTGCTGCTTGCTACTAAGGTATGAACAAATCATCCCACTGGTGAGCTGAACTCAGGGTGGTCTAATTAAAACAGACGCCACTTGGATACGACTTCACAGGATGTTGGAATGCAGGGGAATGTAGGGGTCATCTAGTCCAACCACCCACACATTTCCAGTGAGGCCTGCAGGAATTAAATCACTTTTGCCCCAGCTTGAAGAGGCAGACACTCCACATGCAAGCCCCAGGATTCTGTTCCTGGTACACTCAAACTTTATTTGGTTGCCTGGATGGGGCCAGAGAGGAGGACAAGAAGGGTGTCAAAGGGTCAGCTCAGTAGGGGTGATTCAGGGTGTGCTCCATGATGGTCAGAAGCGCCAGCCACGTCTCCTTGGCTGTGGGGATGATCTGGGAGGCTGGCAGCAGGAAGCCATAGCGCCCAGTGTCCCGGAGCTCGAAGGTGAAGGAGTACTTGATGCCCTGGCTGTAGGTCCAGTCAATAGTGCTTCCACTGGCTTGATCTGGGGCAGGAGTAAAATAGGAGAGAAAGGGTCAATCACTTTGGGAATATTTACACGGGTTGGGTTAACGATCCAACCCTGTCCAAAGCTCTGTGCCTTGTGCAATGCTGAGTGGAGTCAGTGTCTACTAAGGTCTGCTGTTGACCAAGCAGCCTCACTTCCAAGAAACTCCCACTAAAAGGTCTAAGCCAAGAGGTCCAAAGAGGAGACCAGCAATGGTTCCCCTATTCACTAGGGGATGCAAGGAAGTCTCTGCAATTGCACAAGCCCCTCTGAAAACAGCCTCTGTCCAACAGCCCTTTCGGTGAAGCCCCTAAATATACCGAGTTCCCTGCTTGGGTAACCAGGATTTGTTCCCCTGGGGCTCTGGTCTGTGAGGGGGAAAGTGCAAAGAGCCAGAGTCAAAGCAAAAGCCCCTTGTCTTTCTTTTAGGAGGAAACTTTGCCCGGGAAACTGTAATTAACAGTGGGTAATGAAGCCACTTTTGAATTGGCCCAGGAGAGAGCAGTAGGCTGCATATCAGAATTTAACTTGACCATGTTGAATGAAGCAAAACCTTGACTCAGAGTTGAATCAGTTTCCAAAGAAGGCCTGGAGTCCAAAAGTGAGGTCAACCTTGGATAAGATTGTGACCTGCTTGCCCACCAAGGCCTAGGCACTCAGGCAGGAAGCGTGTGAGGTGTGTACGCAGCCCTGCCCCCTCAGCCTTCTACCCAGCTTTGACCTTCACTTACTTGGAGGCAGCCACACCAGTCTTGTTGTTCCAGCAACATCCCCGGCCAGACCACACTGTAGAGCCTTTGCTCTAGAATGTTCCTCTGCCTGGAAGGCTCTTCCTAGCTGGATAGCCTCCTGGCTGCCACCTCCTCCACCCACTTCCTTCAATAGTTGCCCAAATGTCACTCTGTCAATGAGGCCCACCCTTCAACCCACCTGCCCCACCTCCACCCCCAGTGTTCCCGATTCACCTCACCTGGTCTAGTTTTAGTTTTCCTCCCCAGCATTCGTCACCTCACATACTGTATCATTTACTTATTTATGTTCATTGTTGGTCTCCCTGGCTAGAAAGTTCCCTGATCTTTGCTTATTTCATTCATGGCTATATCCCAAGTACATGAAACAGGGCCTGGTGTATAGTAGGTGTTCAATAAACATTTGTTGAGTTAATTCCATTTTGATTCAGTAATGCTCCTCTCAGGGGCACTGCATGAATAAGTAAGTGAGGAATAAATCAGGCCTATTGTCTAATTGAGGGGCACTGGAGGAGAAGTGGTTTTTGTTTTTGTTTTTTTGACATGGAGTCTCGCTGTGTCGCCCAGGCTGGAGTACAGTGGCGTGCTCTTGGCTCACTGCAACCTCCACCTCCCGGGTTCAAGCGATTCTTGTGCCTCAGCCTCCCGAGTAGCTGGGACTACAGGCGCACACCACCACACCCAGCTAATTTTTTGTATTTTTAATAAAGACGGGGTTTCACCATGTTAGCCAGGATGGTCTCTATCTCCTGACCTCGTGATCCGCCCACCTCAGCCTCCCAAAGTGCTGGGATTACAAGCATGAGCCACGGTGCCCTGCCCCCGAGAAGTGTTTTTTTAAGTTGAATTTCCTGGTGATCTGCAAATCCCAGCAGGACTCTCCACCCCATCCAACCAAGAAACTAGACTTGGCCCCAACACAAGAGGACAAGAGCTGTCAGAGGAATTCACATTTGTCTGAAAGTATCAAAGGAAGCAGAGTTCATGTCAGGAAAAGGGACTGCCCACCCCTCAGAATAGCCCTTGCCAGCAGTTGACAGATCTGGGTGCCCTTGGCTACTTCCTTCCATGAGGGATACTCCCTCGGTCAGGAAGAGCCAGCAGATGTTCCTCGCAGGCCCATCAAGAGAGACCCTACGGCCACTTACAAATTGCCTTGATGATGCTGCCATAGTTGAACTTGGTCCCGTAGAGAGAGGCCAGGGCTGTCACAGCAGCCTTGGAAAGCTGATCCTGGACAAAACACCAAGCAAAGCCACCTGTCATGGCCAGGCTCCTGGAACAGCATGTCCAGGGTAGTCTGGGGGCTGGCAGGGGAGCCTAGGAGAAGCACCCTGCAGAAGTGGGCCTCCAGCAGGGAGCACAGAGCCTGCTTAGCCTGGAAGCTCAGCCCGGGAGCCTGTCAGCACAGTTTTCTGGCCCTTCAGGGTGTCCGGCTGGCCTTCCCTGCCCTTCAGGCACATGCACCTCCACATGTGGTGCCTAAGATCGAAGTCTAGCCCTGCCCCTTGCTCTGTCACATTACAGAAGTGACTCCATCACTCCTGTGCCTCAGTTTCCCAGAAAAAATGGTTAGTCCACCCGCTGGTCTTCCCAAGCCATCAGGGAAGGAAGGGTGTCAGGTACTCTGGAGGTGTCTGTGCCTTAAGCAGGTCTGATGGGGGAAAGCCTGGGCCTGTCCGAAGCCACCTTGGGGACGAGGGGGCAAGCCGAGGTCAGTGCCTACCAGCTCATCCTGGTCAGGGACTGGTTCTGTTTTGTAGCCATAGGGATACATGAGGAGCTGGGAGTAGCTGTGGATGGAGATGAAGGCCTTGATGTTCCCATGGTCCTTCACAAAGTCTACAATGGACTTGACCTCCACTTCGGAATTGGCAAACTTGCCGTGGTAAGTCTCCGAGCAGGGGTTACTGCTGGCTCCGGACACTGTGGGGGGACAGAGGGCATGGCGGTGTGGCTCCTCCAGCTTCTGTGGCTTCTGGAATCCAGTTCTTTGCATGGAGTTGGGGGTGAGGTGGTATGGAAGGGCTCACTCCCACCCCTGGATTCAGGAAAGCCCAAAGGCCTTCTATAACCTGGGGGAACTGCCCTCCCAGCCTGGTTTGGGCAGAGCTGATGGACACACCCAGGGAGGGAAGACGGGCTCCTCAGTGGAGACCAGTTCTCACAGAGACGTGGCCAAGGCGGGAGGACTTGAGGTTAAGCTAGAAGCCCCCTAGGTAGGATTTCAGACCTTAGCCCATTTGCAAGCAACTTGCCTTTTGCAGGCGAGTAACAACCAACTCTCAGAGCACAGCCTCCATCCCCAAGAGCCCTCAGAGGCAGAGCTGCCACCCCCAACCCTCCCCTCACTGCAGGGGCAGGAGAGAGGCGGGGAGCAAGAGCAGTGGTGAGGAGCCATTCGAGGCCATCCCATCCTTGCTCCCAAGACACTCTGGGCCTTACACCCAAAGCCAGCGTCCCAGTTCCTGTTGGGGTCCACGCCAATACAGAGGGAGCCTGCTGTGTGGGACCGAGTCTTGCGCCACATGCGATTCTGAGGAAGGAAATGGGATCAGCCACCCCGAGGCACGTGTGACGCTTGTCACAGTGCTGGGTGGGGGGTGGTTCAGAGGCTGCAGAGAGCAGAGTGGACTGAGGGGAGGGCTCCCTGGAGGTGGAAGCCCTCAACACAAGTGCCCTGATTGGAAGCTGAGCTGCAGGCACAGCTTGGGATGGGATCCACTCCCAGCTGGTTGTCGGGGAGGAAGATCAGCAGAGGGGGCATCGGGTGAAAGAGAGTGGGGAAGGCCATAGGATGGCATTTGGCCAGAGGGTTCTATATGGCGAAGAAGCTGCGAGGTGTCCTCCACCACCACTGTGGCCCCATGTCATTGGTCAGATGTTTTATTTGCCGTAAAAATAGAAGTAGGACCAGGAAGTAAGGTCTGGGGCAGTGGGCCTCCACTGGGGACAATCTTGACCCTCCCCTGCGATATTTTGCAATATCTGAAGACATTTTGGTTGTCACCACTGGAGAGGGGGGCTCCTACTGGCATTGAATGGGTGTAAGGTTAGGATGCTAGAAACACCGTGGATGCACAGGACAGCCCCCATGACAAAGAATCATTCACCCCAAATGCCAATCACGCCACTGTTGAGACACCCTCGGCTAGGAGCACAGGTCTGATTGCCCCTCCCTTGACTTCTGGGGCTTGAGATTAGGGGTGAACTACTTGTGCAGCTTAGAAGCCAGAGGCCCATCCTGCTTCCCCCAAGGACAGGAGAAGGCCGGTACCGTGCTGTGCGTGAAGGCAAAGCCATCAGGGTTGGTGACGATCTCCAGGAAGATGTCCAAGGTGTCGAGAATGGCGGTGAAAGCTGCATCCTGCCCGTAGTCTTGAGTGATCTGGGGGGTTAGAGGAGCAGAGGGGCAGCGCAGGCTGGGCCAGGCATCTGCCAAGCCACAGCAATGGACACCTTTCCCCATGTCCTCTGTGGTCACTGCTTCTGGATGGGCAAAGGGAGGCCCGGGCTTCTGTGGGCCTTGGACACCAATGCCCCACCAGGTGAGAGCCCTCCTCACCTCCCCGGCCTTACCTTCTTTGCAAACCAGACCCCACTGGCCTGGGTGACCCACTCCCGGGAATGGATGCCCGTGTCGATCCAGATGGCTGGACGCTTACTGCCCCCCGTGCTGAACTGGAGAGGAGGCAGGGGAGTGATCAGAGGCAATTTCACAGCTGAGGCCTCATCTTGCTGCCCTGAAGGAGACCCCGACCTGGGCCAGAGACCACCTGCTCTCTGTGTATCTCAGGTAGAGGCTCTGCTTGTGGGGCCATCACTCAGGTGGGTTTGGGGCTGGGGGCTGGACAGGGATCCCACAGAGCTTGGCCTCCTGCCCTCAGCCCAAGCTTGGGGTGAATATGACTTGACCAGGCCCCTGGCCCTTCCCCTGTTCTGCTGCTCGGACAGTTCTCTGGGGGACATCACAAACAAAACACTTTATCTGGGTTGGGCGTGGTGGCTCACGCCTGTAATCCCAGCACTTTGGGAGGCTGAGGCGGGTAGATCACTTGAGCCCAGGAGTTTGAGACCAGCCAAGGCAACATGGCAAAACCCTGTCTCTACTAAAAATATAAAAATTATTGGCCAGGCGCAGTGGCTCATGCCTGCAATCCCAGCACTTTGGGAGTCCGAGGCAGGCAGATCACAAGGTCAGGAGATCGAGACCATCCTGGCTAATACGGTGAAACCCTGTCTCTGCTAAAAATACAAAAAATTAGCCGGGCGTGGTGGCAGGCGCCTGTAATCCCAGCTACTTGGGAGGCTGAGGCAGGGGAATCGCTTGAACCCAGGAGGTGGAGGTTCAGTGAGCCGAGATGACGCTACTGCGCCACTGTACTCCAGCCTGGGTGACAGAGTAAGACTCTGTCTCAAAAAAAAAAAAAAAAAAAAAAAATTACCCGGGCATGGTGGCACGTGCTTGTAGTCTCAGCTACTCGGGAGGCTGAGGCAGGAGAATCGCTTGAACCCAGGAGATGGAGGTTGCAGTAAGCCGAGATCATGCCACTGCACTCCAGCCTGGGTGACAGAGCGAGACTCTGTCTCAAGAAAATACTTTATCTGGACTACCCAGACTCTACAGTACCTTCCACAATGGACACTTGATTGGAAACACTGGATCACCTGTCTTTGTGTATGGGCAGGAGTGCACACGCCAAGACCAGGGTGGAGACTCAGGCCTTTCCAAATGTCTGCATGGGGAGTCCATTTAACAGCGTGTTCCCTGGTACCATGATTTCCCCGGGAGAGCCCACGCCCATCACGGATGCCACGTGTGGGTCCATTCTCCCCTGTGTATGTCCACATGTGGATGTTACCTTCAGCACGTAAATGGGACGCCCTTCATAGGTGTTGCCAATCTGGATCTTGCTGACAAGGTGCGGGTTCTCCGCCACCAGCAGGTCCAGGAAGTCATAGATCTGAGGTGTGAAAGAAGAGACCACTGGCCTTAATAGCTTCTGGGCACCCAGATGCTTCCCTTAGCAGCCCCACCGTCCCAGCCTGCTGCGAGCCCTGCAATGGAGCTACGACCACACAGGCCACATGGAAACAGAGCAGGCGCTGCGCACACCCAGGCTGGCCCTGGCCTTGGCCCTACCGCGTTCTACCAGCCATGATGAAGAGCTGGTGGCTGCAGGGAGCGGCCGCTAGGGGCGCCCTCACCTCCTCCAGGGTGTGGTAGGTGGCGTAGTTAAAAGTGTCGGTGGAGCGCGCCCGGGACCGGAAGGCGAACATCTGCTCCTGCTCCTCGTCCAGCAGCGACTGCACGTCCTCGATCATGGTCTCATAGCTGATGCCGTGGGACTCCAGAAAGATCTTGACCGCCTGGATGCTGGGGAAGGGCACTCGGACGTCGATGGGGGAGCCAGGGTGGGCAGGCCCCCGCCAGAAGTCCAGCTGGGGAGGACAAGAGCCGGCACGGTCACAGCGGGCTGGGGGCACCAGCCAGGACAGCAGGCAGGGACAGGGCCTGCGTGGGAGGGGCTGTTGGTGCCAGAAGTTCTCATATAATTGGGGATAGGTCAGGGGTAATAGGGCCAGAGAAATACGGGGAAACCCTGGGGACTGGAGAGTCCAGTGTGGTCAGGGAAATGGCCCAGGAGCAGAGTGAGGGGCCTTTGAGACAGCAAGGCAGAGGGAGGAACTGGAAAGGGGCCCGGCCCCTTGCCCAGGTGCTCAAGGGCAGCAAGGCTCTGGAGCTGGGGGCTTGAAGTCGCTTCCTAACAGAGTCAATTCCATGTCTCCTTGTTGGGTGGAGACAGCCCAGGCACAGTTGGCCGCTGGGGACCTGGGGTGGCCCCAGCTGATACCCTGGGGCCTCAGAGAGCCCTTCTCCCCTCTTCTGACCTGCAGGTGCTCCAGGTCCTCCAGCTCCTTCACCTTCTGTACCTGGGCCTCATCGGCTACAGAGATTCGGAGCACCTGATGCCTGGGCAGAGTGGGAGTGGGGAGTGAGCACCCAAGCTGCACCTGCCCTGGCCACAAGCACTCCCCAGGTGCAGGAGGGAGGCAGCAGCCCAGAATCCCCAGACTGGGCCTCGTCCTCTGGGCTGGGCAGGGGACAGCACCAAGGGTCTCAACAAGGAGAGGCCTGGGCTCCCTCACCTCTTCTCTCCCCATCTTTAGAAACTTCTAGACGCTGTTACTATCTCAATCCCAGTTTGGACTATTTCTCTGTTCCAAGCCAGCCAGGCCTCCTCCTTTCTCCTCTCCTGAAAACTCCTCCTCAGAGCTCAGGTTTCTCCAGGGCTCAGGAGACTGTCTTGGGAGACACAACCTCTTCCCAACCCTGGTTGCTTATCTGCCAGCTGTCCCAGGTGGTGCCAGGCCATCCTCTCTGGCTGTGTTGCCATGTATCTGTCTGTCTGTCTCCTCTACTGGTTGGGGGCTGAGTCCTCCCCATCACCCTCAGAGGGCACCCCCTCCTCTCCACATCCCTACCCCACAAAGTCCTCCTTGCCAAAGACAGCCCCCAACAGGACACTCAACACCAGCAACCCCCGCATGCTGCTGCCGGGAGGGAAGGTCAGACTGAGGTCGAGACGGCCCCCTGGCTTTTAAACCCTCCCAGGACCGAGGACTCCTGGCTGCTCCCGAGGTCTGTTCTCCCCCAGCACCTGGGTCCTGTCCCACGGGGAGGCTGGGGTGGGAGTTCTGAGCTCTGACACCCTCTCACCCTCCATGATAAAGTGGCAGGGAACTGGGCAGCTGGAGAGATAAGCCAGAGCTCCACCCCCGACCATCTGGGGCCAGCGGGGCCTGAGGGTCAGCGGGGGCTCGAGGCCTCCTGGAGTCCCAGCCAGGACTCTGCCTGCCCACACCCTAAAGCTGCGGTTCTGTTTGCCCACTGGGTAGCGGAGAAGGAGCCAGGACTCCAAGCAGCCACTCCTGCTGGGGCCTCATTCCAGGCGTCTCCTTGTTCCGTGCTCCTGAGTGCCAGCCTTTCATTCCGGTGATCGAGCAAGTGGGGCTTCTGCCCTCTCTTGTCCCCAAGGCAGCTTCAGGCAGGCCCAGGCTCTCCCCCATTAGACCTGTGTGAAGCACAGATACCTGCGGAGTGCCGGACACCTCCTCCTCCCACGGACCCTGATGCCTTGGAGAGACCAGCAGGGTGGACTAACCTTTTGCGTCGGTTTGGCCTGTCACCACACCGGCTTTGTCCAGGCTGCCCCGGCCCTGTGCGGGGCAGTCCCTCTGTGGGACTTCCCAGCCCCCTCCTGCTGGCCTTAGGGTCCTGTGGGAGTCCAGCCCGGGCAGCAGCAGCAGGGTCAGGAGCCCAACCCTTGCCAGCATTTCCCTCCACCCCCACCAGTACAGGGCCCCGAGGTCGGGGTTGCCCTTCATGGGAACAGTAACCAGATGTCGTCTGAATAGCAAGTGTGGCGGGGGGAGCCAGGGCCAGACCCCTGTGAGGACTGCACAGTGTCCAGGAGAAACTGGAACCCACACAGGGGAATTCACTGGGTTCTGGATGCTGATCTCACCCTAGAGACAAATCCATCACAAATCCCACAAATCCATCCTCATTCACGGGCCCCCCAGGGCTTTCCCAGCACCATCTAGAGGCTCTGCTCTGTGTCAGGACCCCGACCTTGGGCACTGGTGAGAGCCATAGTGCCCGTTCTAGTTTCTATTCACTCCCACTGCCTCCTACCCTACCCCCTAGCTGGCCAACCCTCCCACACCAAGACAGAGTGACCCCCTTATATTTATCCACAACTATCTCCCAAACCTAACTCTAGGAAGGTGAGAAAGCCCTAAACCCGCTTTTAACAGATGTGGAGCCTATGCGGCAGCTCCTGCTCTCCCCTGTACAGCCTTGCTGGCCCCACCCGCCTCTGGCAGGGCTGCAGTGCTCCCTGGAGCTTCTTCTGGCTGCTTCCTGGCTCACCTGTCTGCTCCTTCTCTAAATGCTCACCCCTTTGTCGATGTATTCAATCAATACTTATTCTTCTGGGCCAAGTACTGTGCTCCACATGGACACGACACCCAATACAGATGTTCGCTGACCTCAGGGAGCTCACGGTCTAGGCGGGAAGACAGAAGTAACCAACTAACTTGTTGGTCCTCTAACAGGTCCTCCAAGAAGCTGTCACCAATAAGGGATTAGACGTGCAAAGGACTTTTGGGGACTGTTCTCCTCCCTGCAAGAGACCTAAACAGGGATGTGATGTGGTATGAAAAGTACCATGAGGGCTAAAAGGACACACACTATGGCACAAAGTCCAGGGAAGACTTTACCAAGAAGGTGACATTTGACCTAGGCCTTTTTTTTTTTTTTAAGACAAGTTCTTGCTCTGTCACCCAGGCTGTGGAGAGCAGTGGCACCATCATGGCTCACTGTAGGCTCAACCTCCTGGGCTTAAGCGGTCCTCCCACCTCAGCCTCCCGAGTAGCTGAGACTATAGGTGTGCACCACCACACTTGGCTAATTTTAAAATTTTTATTGTAGAGATGGAGTCTCACTATGTTGCTCAGGCTGGTCTTGAACTCCTGGGCTCATGCAACCCTCCCACCTTGGCCTCCCAAAGTGTTGGTTGGGATTATAGGCTTGAGCCCAGCTTAACTTAGGTCTTATGATAGGATTTTGCCAGGTGGGGAAGGGTGTTCATCACGCTATTTAGTGCTTGAACACAAACTTACATTGATTTCTTCTTCGTTGCTCCTAAAATGTTATTTTTGTCTCTCCATGGAGACTGTAAACTTCCTTAGCTGGGCGTGGTGGCGCCTGTAGTCCCAGCTACTTGGGAGGCTGGGACGGGAGGATCTCTTGAGCCTGGGAGTCCAAGGCTGCAGTTAGCCATGATTGCCCCAGGCTGGGCAACAGAGTGAGATCCCATCTCTCTAAAAAGTTAAAAAGGAAATTAAAACATTAAAAAAAAATTAAATTACCCCAGGCCAGGAGCCATGTCTTCCCTACTCCTCATTTCCTGGTGCCCCACAGAGTCCTCGGGCTTCTCTACCCTGCTCCCCATGGGGAAGGAAGGTTTTGTAGGGTCTTTATTTAGTTTGCATTATAAAAACAATATTTCTTTTTCTATTCCTAAATATGAAGCTGTCCTATAATTTTGAATCTCTTTTGCTCACACTACACATGTTGGGGGATGTTGGCTGGTTCTTGGGCCTTCTGTGAATTCCTTCCAGAAAAGACGACACCTCTGAAAAAGAGGGCGGCCTGGGGGAGAGGGTGCAGACTCACCAAGGGAGCCTCTTGTACCTCCAGCCAGCAATTTACGATGCCCAAGAGTCATATAATATATTTTTTTGCAAGGCTGGAAAGGATGAATTCGATGCTACAAGTTCAGCAGAAAGTGGGCAGCATCATGGCAGAGGAATTTGGGTCTCAGGTGCGGGCTAAGCCTCATGCTTCGGGCCCCTCCCGGCCACCTCAGGAAGCCAAAAATGTACCTCTTGGTAAAGGCCAATTTGCTGGAATGTAACCTAGGTCAGAGGGCCTTCCCACTCCATGTGATGGTTTCACATTGGTCCAAGCAAGGCAAGGGCAAACATGGAGGCCACTGGGCCGAGGGCTGGGTAAGTATAGCACCAGGACCTATCACCATGAGAAAGAAGCCACCAGGCTGGGATCTAGATTCAAGAATGAGTCACGGGCAAGTGCCAGAACGCAAACAGTGGGAGGCCTGCAGCAGCCACGCTGACTGTGGCCCACAGCATCCCTCCCTGTTTCTTCCCTGCTAAATAAACCAGATTGTATGTCGGCATCCGCCCCCAGAAACACTGCCATTGCCAGCTCAGGGACAAATTCTGACTGGTCTAAGACAATTGAAGAGATCTCATTGGCTTTTGCAAGTCACTGGTTTAAAGGTGGGCACATGACCCAGCTTTACCAATCAGACATGAGAGGAGGCCCGTGAGGAAGCTTCTAGAAAAGGTTGCCCCACTCCCCAAAAGAGGGCACCTTTTTCTGGATACTGTCAGGTCTGTTGCCTCACCTTCAGACTATATATGTATATATATATGTTTATGTATATGTTTAGGTCTATATATATATATAGGTCATATATATATGAAAGAATATACATTTCTTTTTTGTTAGTTGGAGTTTCTGTTGTTGAAAAAAGCATTCTAATTGATGCACCTATTAAGCTTTTAAAGTGTTTGTATTTTCAGAAAAGGGGACCAATTCTAGCCTATCAGAGCCTTTATGTAAAATGCAGAAAGGCACCTGTTTTGGTCCATGTTCACACTGCTGATAAAGATATACCTGAGACTGGGCAATTTACAAATGAAAGAGGTTTAATTAGACTTACAGTTCCACATGGCTGCAGAAGCCTCACAATCATGGCAGAAGGCAAGGAGGAGCAAGTCACATCTTACATGGATGGCAGCAGGCAAAGAGAGAGAGCTTGTGCAGGGAAACTCCCCTTTTTAAAAACCGTCAGATCTCATGAGACTTATTCACTATCACAAGAACAGCACAGGAAAGACCTGCCTCCATGATTCAATTACCTCCCACTGGGTCTATCCCATAACATGCAGGAATTCAAGATGAGATTTGGGTGGGGACACAGCCAGCCCATATCAGCACCCCTCCTTGTCTGGGCAGGTATAGTCCCTTTCTCTCTCAGCAGGATGACTTTGAGCAGTGCACAAACTGGACAACTATCCATGACAGGCCTGCTTCCAGAATATCCCCAAACATGGTAGACAGAGGCTCTAAGGCAATGCTCAGAAACCCCCAAAATGAAACTTAGAAAATGGATTGTCAAAGAAGCAAAAGGAGAACTGGTCCCCAGTATCCACGTTAGGGATCAATAGGGGACAGTGGAGAAAGATCCCTGTAGAGAACATGATGGGTGCTGTCAGAAGGGCCAGATGCAATAGCTAGATGAGACTTCAGCTGCCTCCCTTTGGCAGGTGTGTTCAGGGTTGGACATGACATGGTTGTGCACATGGAAGGGAAGTCTGAGAAACTGCAGCAGCCGAGTCAGGGACTGCAGTGTATACCTCTCATTACCCTGCCTGGTAGCCTCTTCCATCTGATAACAGGACCTCCATTTTCCCCTAGAGACCACTCCTTGCCCACTCTGAGGCCACATGATTCAGGTGGACTTAGACATCCCAGCCCAACCCCAGTTCTCTGGATGGGCCAATGAATTAATTTCTTCTTTTCCTCAATTCAAGTTGGTTTTCTGTTACATGTGACTGGGGACAGTGCACAGGTGATAAAAAGACATTCTCTAATTTCAGAAGAGAGCAAAATAAAACAGGAATACTTTCTAAGTGGTTTGCCGCAAACTCGTTATAGGACTTTGGGCAGGTCACTTCACATCCCTGGGCCTTGGTTTCCTCATCTATTAAATGGGGGAGTTGGTCAGAATAATCTCTGCGGTCCCTTCCAGTGGTGACACTTTACGATGCTAGGATATTTGGGTTTTCTTTTTTTCTTTTTTTTCTTTTTTTGAGATGGGGTCTTACTCTGTTGCCCAGGCTGCAGTGCAGTGGGGTGATCATAGCTCATTGCTGCCTGGAATTCTTAAGTTCAAGGGATCCTCCTGCCTCAGACTCCCAGGTAGCTGAGACTACAGGTGCATGCCACCACACCCTGCTAATTTTTTAAGTTTTTTTTTTGTTGTTGTTGTTGTTTTTTTTACAGATGAGGTCTCACCATGTTACCCAGGCTGGTCTCAAACTCCTGGGCCCAAGCAATCCTCCCACCTCAGCCTCCCAAGATGCTGGGATTACAGTCATGATCCACTGCACCTGACACACTTAAATTTTTTACCCCAAAACAAATCAAGCCATGGTGACAGGTCTGGGAAGGGTGGAAAGAAGATGCCATGTTTGCAGGGAGGTAAGGATTGAGCCAGGGAGGGCCTGGGGCTTGCAATGGGTATGCATGTCCAGTGCAGTTTGGGTTGAGAGGGGCTGCATCCTGCTGAGGCTGTGTTAGTGGGAGGTCACCAGGGCTTGGGGGCATTGTGGGAGGCTGAGAGGATGAGGTCCAGTCAGTGGCCTCCTTAAGTTTTGCTTTTATAACTGAGTGTCCAGCAGAGCCTATTGGTGTGTTTGCTTTGAAGCTACAGGGCTGTCAAAACTTTAAAGTGGCTAGTGGTATTTTTTCTCTAGAAGTAGAGGCCGAATTTTTCTCTGATAGAAGGGTCCCCTGAAGAGAGAAGCCCCCCAGTGTCCAGGGTCTTTAGGGAATGTTGAGAACAGAGCCCCAGTCTCAGAATGGAGATCTGCCACTAGGAGGAACTGGGCAGGGGTGCACCTCGGGTACTGGGAAAGATGGCGGGAGCCTGAGAGGCTTCAGGAGCACCTGGAGGGCGTCCGCACTGTGGGAGGGGGTATGGGCCACCCCAGCAGCGTGGGAGCCAGCTGAGGGTCAAGGAGAGTGAAGGCCTATTGGGGTGACCCATGGTGGGACATGAACCACCAGCTCCAACACCAGAGACATCCAGCGTCCAGCTTCCATGTTTTATTTTCTATATTGTATGTTCCTTCCATATCCCAAGTAAAGTTGTGGGAACTGTTACCCCATGGTCTAGCCATGCTTTGGGGAATTGAGAGAGGTGGGCTGACAGGGCAGGAAGGTGGAGGGAGAGCCGCAGAGCTTGGCAGAGCTGGTTAGAAGAGAGCAAGAGGTGAACTGCAGGCCCCAGAGCAAGAGCCTGGTAAGGGACGACCAGAGGGAATGGATTCCCACTCTAAGGACATCCTAGAAGCTCAGGGAAGAAGAACCTCAGTCAACCAAGCAGGCTGGAGTTCTCCTTCAGGGGCCCCCTCCACAGAAGGACATTTTTTGCCCCCCGAGTTTGAGATGTGGGGCAGGCCTGTCCCACGCCGGCAGGCCATGCTGGAGGACAGGGCAGGAGAAGTCTGCTACAGAAGGGGTATCAGCAGAACCCAGGGCTGCAGCCCAGGAAGTGGACCTGCTGCCTGGGAACATTCCACAGAGCACAGCCGGCCCGTGTCCCAACATGCCTGGGACCGGGTCTGGGAGCCGCAGCAGCCAGGCCTGGCTCTGGAACGTCAACAAAGTGACAGCAATAAATAATGGGCGGCGGGGTGGGGGCGGCGTCCGGAAGGACAAATCCAGGCAGCCTGTTTGGCCTCCAAGGTTCTCCTACCCCACGTACTTGGGATAGTCCTTGGAAATGATAACACGTTTCCCAAATCCGGTCTGGCTTGCCCGTCCTAGCCTCTGGCCCTGGGGCCCCGCAGGCCTTCCCCTGCCTGCTGTTGACTCTGTGCTGGTGTGGTTCCCACCACGTCTGGGAAGTTCCGACAGGCCCCATGTTCGCTGCATTCTCTCCCAGCCTGTGCTGACCGGCTGCCTGGGCCTTCTTGTTTTCCTAAAGGGGCATTTTTACATTAAATTAAATGTTCTCAGTAAAGTCGTTTTCTGTCTGGGCCTGTTTCTCGCTGGAGTGGTCAGAGGGGCCATGGAGGAGGATCGGGGTGTGAAGGGCCCCTCACTGCACTCCCTGGATCCCTGCCAGGGCCCAGCCCCCACGGCCTCCCGGCCAGCCTGGCCTCACACAGGCCCCTCACATTCCAAACTGCCTGCCTGGTTTGTTTTTTTAAGAAAGCAATAACCGCAGCACATTCGCTGTGGTTCTTTATAGCTTTCCATATGTAGAATTGCTCTTTCTCTCTTCAGTTTTTCCAATGCTTTTTTTCTTTTAAATAAATGCTCATAAATTTTGCTGGTGTAAAGGATGAAAAAACATACCTAAAAAGAGCAGTTTGTTGGAAAAAGAAAAAAAAAAAAACCACCAGCAAGCAGTATGTTGAAAAACGGAGCTGCTGTTTAGCATTATATACTTCAGAAAATGGGGGAAAAAACGTTCAGGGTTTATAAAAAGGAGGTTCTTCTGTAGCAGCTCTACAACTTGCGTGTCTAAGTCTTGAGCTTTTATTTGATAAACTTAAACCCCCGCCATTATCTCTCTGGGCTTGCTGAGGAGACCCAGAGGGGTGAACCCTCAATCTATATGGAAGGAAGCTGTGGTGGGGCTGGGACTAGAGCACCCCCCTGGCCTTAGTCTTCTCCCAGCTGTTAAATTCACGTGGGGCCTCGTGCAAATCTTGTGATCCAGAGGCCCCTGTCTTCATAACTGCAAAAATGAGCGGGTTGGGCTAAAACATCTGGATAATTATATGGCTTTAGGATTAGGTCCTTGATAAACTAGAGCAAGAAATGGGTTCTGAGGCCTCTTCAGATCCTCCCTGCCCCTCAGAGAAGCTGCTGCAGACTCTGCTGGCTCCTTCCAAATATCCGTTCTTCCCTTCCTCCTTGCCCACAGAACTCCAATTTTCATTGGGGCAGCAATACGCCCAGCTATAGAGCTATTTCCCAGCTTACCTTACAGCTAGGCATGGCCGCATGACACAGTTTCAACAAATATAGTGTAAGGCGAAGTCTCTGGACCCGCCACCTCAGCTGGCTCACTTGTTTGCCCCTTGCTCTTCCTGCCTGGAATTTCGTCACAAGGGAGGTAGAGCAGCCATCTTGAAAGTAGAGGTCAAAATAGAGCAGAATGGTGAAGCAGAAGAGATCACAAGGGTCTGGGTCCCCAGTATACCCAGGAGTCACTGTCCAGCCCTGGACTGCCCACCTCAGATGACTACTTGCTATATGACAGAAATAAAACCCCTATCTGGTTAAGCCACAGTAAGGTGGACTTCTGCCACATAGAGTGAAACCTAGTCCTAATTTTACTAGGCTGAGAAGAAACAGTCCTTTAACAAATATAGAGAATCTTCTGTGTGCCCAGTGCTGACAGGTGCAGAGAGAGTGAGCAACGCACACACGGCCCCTGCCCTCATGTAGCTCGCACATGATGGGGGTGACAGACAGCAGTGGACTAAGAAGTCGATTAGTTATTGATTATCATTGCATTGCTCTGAAGGAAATAAATGAAGTTCTGGAAAAGAGAATAATAGGAGAAGATGTACTTCCAGTGGGTGGTCCTAGGACTTGTGAGGAAGGATATTGAAGGGGGAGAGAGGGAGAAAAGAATGTTCCAGGAAAGCAGCACACACAAAGCCGCTGGGCAGGAACATTGGTGTTGAGGGAACTGAGAGGAGCCAGTGAGGTTGGAGCTGATGAGCAGGGAGGCAAGAGGTCCTGGCACAAGGCAGGAGAGGTAGACAGGGCCACTGGGCAGCACCTTGGGCCTTTTAAGAAGACCTCCATCTGGGGCCGGGTGCAGTGGCTCATGCCTATAATCCCAGCACTTTGGGAGGCCAAGGAAGTCAGATCACATGAGGTCAGGAGTTCGAAACCAGCCTGACCAACATGGAGAAACCCTGTCTCTACTAAAAATACAAAATTAGCCAGGCGTGGTGGCACATGCCTGTAATCCCAGCTACTCGGGAGGCTGAGGCAGGAGAATCACTTGAACCCGGGAGGCAGAGGTTGTGGTGAGCCAAGATCGCACCATGGGCAACAAGAACAAAACTCCGTCTCAAAAAAAAAAAAAGAAGACCTCCATCTGGACAGCAGTTTCAGCCTCAACTTTTGTGAGCTTAATGGCTGTACAGAGATCTGGCCAAGCTGGCTGTGAGAACAAGTTCCTCATCCCTGATCCTGCAGAGCCTTGGCCGTGAGTTGGGTTCAGGTTCTGAAGGCAGATGATGAGCTACCAGCCTGCAGGTCAGCCCAAACCCTGCCACTCAGGACCTGTGTGCCTTTCAGCAACCATCCTGTCTGAGCCTGAGTCACCTCCTTGGCTGAAAATAAGGACAGTAATAGTCCTGCCTCTGAGAGCTGTGAGGAGGCGACATGTTGAAACCCCTAATGCACTTGGCACCGTGCCTGGCACATTGTAAGTGCTAGAAAAGAGTTTATTTCGGCTTGGGAAGCTCATCAGAGCCCAAGGCCTCCTGCCCCTAGGCCAGTTCTTGTCCAATTTGGCATTCAAATCTCCTAGGCCCCACCCACTAGAGACTTGGATTTAGTAGGGCTGGGACTAAGCTCCCAGGTGATGTGATGCCTGTGGTCTGCAGACCACACTGCTTTAGGCTAGGGCCAAGGCAGCCCCCAGGAAGTACTCTAGAGAATGACTGGCCTCCCTCTGTGGCAGCCACCTCCAGCCCCAGTGGACAATGGCAGAGTGGGGAGACCCAAGGCCCAACTCCCCCCGGAAGACTGGAATATATTCTTCCCGGGAGGCAGGGGAACAGGGGTCAGTGGGTATTTGAAGATACCTCAGAACTCCTTGGGCAGTTGGTAAAAATGCAGATTTGGGGTGTCTGCCCCCAGATATTCTAATTCGGTCTGGAGATGGAACCAAATCCCTTCCTGTTAAACAAGTCTCCACGGATTCTGCTGCAGATGGGCCACCGGCTGCACTTGGACAAATGGTGACAGTGGTTTTGGAGTTTGACAAACCCAAGTTCAAATCTTTCTCAACAATTTTCTCTCCATTGTGGCCTTGTATGGCTTTTGAAACATCTCCGAACCTTGCTTTCCTTATCTAAAACAATGAACTTATTAATACCAGGAATACCCTCCCCAAGAGGATGAAATAAAAATAAAAATATTTGTATCGACAGCATAAAAGTTATAATCACAGACTCCACTGTGCAAAGGTATAACTGGCTTTATTTACCTCTAGCTTATATTAACTTAGCCCATGACCTCGAATTTCCACTAGCAGCAGAAAACTTTGGGTTGGAAATTCTAGCTCACTCAGACCAATTCCAGCTTTAAAAAAAAAAAGTCTCCTGTGGGAAACTTCAGCCAAAGTCAAGATTTTCTCCTCCTCTGCTGCTGGCTGTTCCCCTGAAGATGATCTGGGTTGTTCAGGGGTTAATTACCCTCACTTCCTCAGGGCTTCTATGTGGCACAGCTGGCCTTGGGCATCTGCATGCCCAGCCAATGCCCAGCCAGTGCCTGCTGTGCCACCATGACCACTGGCTGCACAGCCCCAGGTTTGGCCTTCTGGCCTCTATCCTAGGCCTCCTCACCTGCCAACCTTGTTTCTTTGCTCAGAGCTCTCCACAGCTGCACCAGCCCCATGGCTGCCTCTAATCCTCTGTCTAGTCTCCTTCTTCGGCCATTAGTCATTTGCTGCTTAGACACTATATTGGATATGAACCTTACTTGGGGTTTTGATCATCTCCCATCCCCTTCTTCTACCAAATGGCCCAAGCACTATCTCCTTTCACAGGCTGAATGGAAAGGGAGGCTAAGTTCATATACACTAGAGATAAATAAAGCAAGTTATGCCTTTACACAGTGGAGTCTGTGATGATAACTTTTATGCCTTCTACACAAATATTTTTGTTTCACTCTGTTTTCTTCCCTGTCTCCGTGCCCTCCAGGGGTTGGCTCTTGGCCATCCAGTTTTACACACACACACACGGACACACACACGCACATGCACACACGTGCACACACATGCACACACACACACGCACACACACAAACACACACACAGCCTGGCTCTTGCAAATGCAAGTCTTGCTCTCACGACTAATGTTTCTGCCTCAGACTTACACAACCTCATTTGGCTCTTCCTGTTTCTAGGGGTTATCTGCCTTCCTGAGGGCAGAGCAAACAGCCCTGCTATCCCTGCTGCATAGTACAGCCTGCCAGTCCCATCATTTCCCAGAAGGCAGCAGACAGAATGAAGAGGCAAAAGGTACAAGGAGGCCTGGGGCTGGGGGAAGGAGTCTTCTTAGTATCTCACGAGTGCCCCTTTAACTCTCTTAGGGGAAGTGCCTACTTAACACAGCTCAGGGATGACAACCAGGATGGTGTCGCTGATGATGATGATGAGAAGCTCTTCTTCCTGGATATGCGGTGCTTTGATGTGCTGGCTCTGACTAGCTCTGACCCTGTGTTCCCAAGACCCAGGGAGCCTTTGAGGACACCTCGGGGGGAGCAGGTCATAAGCCAATGACTCATTCGTGTTGGGTTGTGGGGTGAGTGGTAACCTCCAAAATGTGCTCCTGCTCCCTCCCTGCATGGGAAGTGAAGCCAACCGAGGCAGAGGTGGCCTGTCTGGGCCAACCTTTCCCTCAAGGTGGCAGAAATGCCCCCATCAGAAATGCTCTTTTAGAGCAAACATTGTCCCCTCCAGGAGCATCTTAAAATGTAAATATGCTGGGACAATGTGTGCCTTCTGTGTTCCGGGCCCTGAAAACACTGCAAGAGGAGAAAAGCTACAGCCTCTACCCCCTTATTTTCCTGAAGGTAGACTGGAGAGTGCAGAGGCTTCCCCCACATTTCAGGCTCCCCTGCGGAATGAGAAGCAGCCTCTCGTCCCCTTGTCAGTGCTGAGCCCATAGGGGTGGTAGCCAACACGAGAGGCAGCGAAGCCTGTTCAAACTTGTATTTATTTTCTAAGAGGTCGGGATGAGGGCATGGGGATGGGGATGCATAACTTGGGTTTCGGGAGGAGCCACAGACCTTGGGGAGAAGGATGGAGCCTCCTGCCCTCAGTCGTGCTGCTAGTAGGGGTGATTCAGGGTGTGCTCCATGATGGTCCGAAGCGCCATCCACGTCTCCTGGGCCGTGGGGATGATCTGTGTGGCCGGCAGCAGGAAGCCATACTGCCCAGTGTCCCGGAGCTCAAAGCTGAAGGCGTACTTGATGCCACTGTCATAGGCCCAGTCGACGGTGATCCCACTGGCCACATCTAGAAACAAAAGTTCCAAAATGTGCCCCACAAAAGGAAGAAGGGGATGTGGCTGCAAGGTACAGAGGCATCCTGGGTGGAAAGTGAGCCCTGGGAGCCAAACCCCCACCCACCCCAGGCCACACCAGGCTTCCTGCCCAGGCCTCAAACAGGATCACATCTGTGCACCCAGCCCATTCTCTACTCCTGCAAAAAGAAAGCTCCTGCAGGCTACTAGGCTTAGGAACCTTGCAGTAAGCCAGGCACTGGGAGCTGTGCACAAAAGCTGCCAAGAAACAGCTCCCTGGGTACCACTGTTCACCCTTCTATCCAGTGTGGGAGGCAGCTTTGGGCCAGCACAGCTAGATCCTTGGCACTGCCCTGCAGCCAGCCCCAGGTAGATGTGGTGTCTGAAGCAGGGCCAGGGGAGGCTCACTCACAGAGGGTGGTGCTGATGCTGCCAAAAATGTACTCGATCCCATGGACCTTATACAAGGCCTCCACCGCATCCTTGGCAAGATCGTACTGCAAGATGACATTGGCGGGGTGAAAGGCAGGGGCTCCCCGGGGCTCCCACACACTCCCCCACCCTCACCAGCTGGTGAGAAGCATGGATTTAGCAGTCCTGGAAGTTGAAGGTGGAGATGGCCCTTGTGAGAAGGGAGCACAGCATTTCCAGCTTTGAACTTGATCACACGTGAGAACAGCAAGCTCCCCCTACCCCACCCCCGCACCATGGGGTCAATCAGCCCAGACCCCTGCATTCAGAGTAACAACCTGAGCCCTCTGGGAGTATGACAGATATGGATTTTCCTGTGAAGCGGTCTCTTCTCCCCAGGCCCTAAGCAGCCAGTCTCACCAACTCCCTCTGATTTGAAACGGGCTCCAGCAATCGGCCGTAAGGGTACATAAGCATCTGAGAGTAGCTGTGGATGGAGATCAGAGCCTTGAAGTTGCCATGGGCTGTGATGAAGTTCACTATGGCAGCCACCTCCGGCTCCGACTGAGGGGAGGGCCCGTGATAAGTTTCTGAGCAGGGGTTGCTGTTAGAACCATTTCCTGGAAGTAAAATAAAGCCACCCAAAGAGTCAAATCCCCACGTGCGACACAGACGGTGCTCACAAAATACCTGTGTGTTCCCCTACATTTCCCAGCCTCCTTTGCAGTATGACTGAGGTCATGTGACTACTTTGACCAATGGAAAGGTGAGCAGAAATGACACGGCACTTCTGGGTTGAGATTGTTAAGAGCAAGTGTGACTTCTCCATGCTCTTTTCTGTCTGTGTGGCTGGAAGCAAAAAAAAAAAATTCTAGATAGAAACAGCCTCCTGGATCCCTCTCTCACTGCGGAAGAAAGCCGCCAAGGAGAGTCACCTGTTCATGTTGGACTTTGTGTGCATGAAAAACAAACTTTCATTGTGTTAAACCACTGAGATTGGGATGGATATTTGTTACTGCTGCATCCTCTAATCTAATATGTCAGAGGACTGCAGCCGCACCATACCCTGCAGTTCTGAAGCCCTGCAGGGAGCCCCCTCGGCTTGTCCTGTGGTCCCTTTAGGAAGGTGGGCCTGGCTCAGAAGTTGCATCCAGAGGAAACTGTAAGTCTCTGCCCCAACCCTGGCTTCCCCTAGTGAGCAGCAAATGCCTTTAGGCTGACCGTTCCTGGGTGTGCCATCAGTTGAGGGCTCAGACTCGGTGTCAGCTGAAGCTTTGCCACAGCCATGGCCCCAGGTGCGCCATGAACTTGGGGTCTGGGGATATGGGAAACCAATACGGGAGAATAGTTCCCCATAGTTGCCTGAGGCTGTTCTGGGAGCCAGAGGTGCAAAGAAGTCTTTGAAAATTCTTCTTGGGGACTTAAGATGAGGGAGAGAACAAAGAGGAGCAGGGCTTTTATTCTTTTCCCAAGTTTCATTTGTTTCCATTTCCCCCTGGACTCTTTGCCTTCGCCCCATCTCTGTCTTCCTCTTCTGCTCCTCCTCTGCTTTTCCCTTATTCCTGAGGGGAGGGTTGGGCTGTGCTGAGCTGGTCAAGACTTTGTAGGCTAAGGACACACTTGGAAGGAGTCATCCCAGTTTCTCCTCTCTCTCCTCTTCCCTGGAATGTTGGCACCGTCCAGAGATCAGGGATCGCCTCAACTTCTGAAGTCTCCTGAGGAGGCCACAGCATTCCTCTTGACTCCTGGGGCTGGGGGCTGGCCCATGGACCACTTCAGATGATGCTCTAGGAATGCAGCACACAGGTCCTCCCCAAGAATGCACAGGAGGCCAGGCACGGGTGGGAGGGATGGTCTACAGGTTACTCATTACACAGCCATTCAATTAAGGCAATAACAAAACCATAAACAAAATCATCCAGCCTGAGTCACCAACCCAGACACACACTCTTGCTGGCCCCAGGGAGGCCCAGGGAGCGCGCCCCTTCTCGGTTTGGTGGTCCTCACCTGGGATGGGGACCCTGGTTAGAAGGGGATGTGCCGGCAGAGCTAGGGGGTGAAAGGCAGCCCCCAGGCTGGAATCAGCCCATCTAACAGTGGCCTTGTTTGTTATGTCTGCCAGGAGCTCCTGCACCTGCTCCACTTGATGAATGACAAACAGCAACAGATGCGCAGAGCGGGGGGAGGTTGAAGGCTTTGTCTGCCTTTGCGGCCCACGCACAGAAAGCGGTTCCCCTGCCAACGACCAGGTGGCTTTGCCCAAATATGGAGAAACACTTTAGGCCATTAGTTCTGGTTTGAGCTAAGCAGAATAAACTAATCTTCCCCTGGCCAAATGGGAATTGGCTGCCTGCATCTCTGACGTTCACAGTCAAGGTCCTCTGAGTCCGCCTGTTTCACAAGTACCTGCTAATGGATTCATTAGCTATTTATTTTTCCTTCTCTAAAAATGTAATTTGTAGCAAGGGGAAATCTCTGGAAGGACATGGTAAATTATTAAAAGCAGTGATCTTTGAGTGGTGGGATTATGGGAGCTTTTTGCCCCCTCTGGGCTTTTTTCCATAATTGTTTTGTACACTGTGTGTATATGGATATTTTTTTTCCTGTGGTGAGACCCACAGAAGTTATTTTCTTTAAGAGGTAATTTATCTTTCTACTAGCCAGCCTATCTTGGGATCCATGGGTACTCACTCCAGTCAGTGCTGAGGGGCCACATGGATGCCCCCCCTGAGGCAAGCGTCTGTTCATTTGGAGGTGGAAATGCCTAATTTTGCATGGTCTTGTTCCATTACACAAGCAGTTACAACCCCCACGCTAGGGCCAGGGACCTCACTCTCAGTGCTTTGGGGCCATCCTTATTTTTCAGTGAGAACAGACCCCAAGAAGCCAGATTTTAAAAGCAATGGGCATCCAGATCTAAAATGTTCTATCTCATTGGTTGGGACACCAGCCTATAGGTCTGATTATCAACAGCAATGACACCGTCCCCTGTGGAGCCAAACCCTGAGCCCCCGGTGAAGTGCAGATGCCATGTCTGGGGGCCGAGGGCTGTGTCTGTTCTGGAATCTCTGTCATGACTGGACCCATCAAATTGTCCTGCCCATCAAATTGCTGTATTTCCAGGGTCCATGGACCTGTCTCTGAGCTTTCTGGAGGCCTCAATTTCCCAATCCCTGTGCCCCTTGCATGGTTAGGGAGATAATCAGGGAAGAACACCAAGGAACTCAGGAGAAAGCTGCCCCCTCCCCCTCACTGGGATCAGCCAGCTCTGCAGGTATGCACCAGGGTCATAAAGTAATGGGTCAAAAATAAAAATCAGGCTCAAGCCAGCCTTGTTGATAAAGAATTGGCTCAAGGCCAGGTGTGGTGGCTTATGCCTGTAATCCCAGCACTTTGGGTGGCCGAGGCGGCTGATTGACTTGAGCCCAAAAGTTCAAGATCAGCTGAGGGAACATGGTGAAACCACGTCTCTACAAAATTTTTTAAAAATACAAAAATTGGCTGGGCGCAGTGGCTCATGCCTGTAATTCCAGCATTTTGGGAGGCCGAGGTGAGTGGATCACCTGAAGTCAGGAGTTTGAGACCAGCCTGACCAATATGGGGAAATTCCATCTCTACTAAAAATACAAAAATTAGCCCAGCGTGGTGGTGGGCACCTGCAATCCCAGCTACTCAGGAGGCTGAGACAGGAGAATCATTTGAACCCAGGAGGCAGACATTGCAGTGAGCCAAGATCACGCCACTGCACTCCAGCCTGGGCAATGGAGCAAGACTCAGTCTCAAAACAAAAACAAAAATTAGCTGGGTGTGGTGGTGTGCACCTATGGTCCCGGCTACTTGGGAGGCTGAGGTGGGAGGATCACCTGAGCCCAGGAGGTCAAGGCTGCAGTGAGCCATGATCACACCACTGCACTCCAGCCTGGGTGACAGAGTGAGACCTTGTCTCAAAAAAAAGAAAACAAGAAAAAAAAGTGGTTAATTCTATTGGACACTTGAAACTATTGCCCTGGCCTCCCCAGAGGGCAGATTTCAGGTCCTAGCTCTCGGGGAAAGAGTTCAGAGGCATTTCTTCATGTTGTGCTCCCTTCAGGGCAGGGCTAGGGATATTTTAGGAGCACCATAAACTCTGGATTTTGAACAACAAGCAAGGCTACTTTGTACCTCCTTTAAGTCTTTCTCTGTCATATTTAGGATTTGACTCATGCAGTTAGTCCTCATTTCAGGAGCTGGGGCTCCCCTAACTGTTTCCCGTGAAGGTTTGGCACATGTGTACACTCAACACACACACACACAACCTCTCCCGTACCCACAGCCAGTCTGAGGTATGTGCTTGCCTGTCCCTGGCCGTGACTCATGCATATTAGCTGACTACATTGTCCCATGCCTCCCAAGTTGAGTCAACATAATCTGACTGAGTGGGAGAACCTGCCATGGGCCAACACCTCTTCTCCAACCCTGCCCCAGGACAGCAGGTTGCCATACCTCCAAAACCCGACTTCCAGTTCCTGTTGAGATCCACGCCGATGCAGAAGATTCCAGGTCTGATGGACTTGTTCTTCCGCCATAAGCGGTTCTGGGAAAGCCCAGGACAGGTGACCTCATTCACTGGGCCCATTCCCAGGGATGGGAGCCTCTGATATCCTGGCCTATGGGGGTAGGGGACCCTAGTGGGGCAGGGAGGAGCAAAGGGAAGGAATTGCCAGGACAGGATGGGGCTGGCATGGGGCTGGGCCAAAGATGCAGCTCAGATACTGTGCAGTTGAAGTCAGGGTCTAGGGAGAGGCCTGGGCACAGGCTGCCAATAGAGGCCTTCCCTGGGCAGCAAGAAAGAGGTCAGAGGGCAAGAGGCTGCAGGTGCAGTACCTGAGCAGCCCTCCTGCCCTTGGTGAGGGCTTCTGCAAAGAGGCTCTGAAGGGGCTGGTTCCCAAAGCACAGTGACCTTTTCTCCATCCCCCTAGAGCTGACCCCCTCCTTCCATCCTTCCCAGGTTCCCTCACCATGCTGTGGGTAAAAGCAAACCCATCAGGGTTTGTGACGAGCTCTATGAAGATGTCCATGGCATTCAGTATGTCTGTCAGGACACGGTCTTTGCCATAATCACTGACAATCTGCAAGAAAGAGTGAGGAGGGATGGGAGGCCCTACTGGGTCTCCTGGGAGGTGGCACAGGACATTTTCACAGCCAGTGGCTGCAGGAAGGGATGGCATGAAACCCCTGAGGTATATCTTTTATGCAGAACCAAAGGCTTGGATTTTAAACAACTAGAAGGCAGGGGATCAATGTGGGCTCCGTGCTGCAAAAGGTAAGAGTGCACGGTGGCTGCTCCAAAGGGCGGGATGGAGACAGCACCCTGAGTGTAACTGTTGAACTGAAGGTGCCCTTAAATAGTAAGTTCCTGCCCCCAGTTGCAGCCCCCATCGTGGGTGCACCTTGGCTACAGGTCCATGCTGACCTTATTGGCAGTCCAGATGCCGGTGGCATGGGTGATCCACTCCCGGGAGTGAATTCCAGTGTCAATCCAGATGGCTGGGTGCCGAGAACCTCCAGTGCTGAACTGAGAAAAAGAATCGGGCCCCAAACCGAGGTTTGAACTCAGACAGCTACTGTCTCTGGGCTACCTGGAAGGAGGTCCCTGAGGCATCCTCAGTGCCTGGGGCAGCTTTAAGCACTGGGTAAGAGGGTGTGTGTGCAGGTACCTGTCCATGTGCCCAAAAGTGCACACGTGTGAGGGCCTTTGAAAATATGGTGGTGCCATTGGCGAGCAAAGTGATCCATCCAGAAGCACAGAATTTCCCAGGATTGAAAGTATCTTAAGACCAGGGTTTCTCAAACTCTAATGGGCACATGAGTCTCCTGGGGATCTTATTCCAGTGCAGATTCTGACTTAGTAGGTCTGGGGAGGGGTCTGAGGTTTGGCATTTCTAATAAGCTCCCAGGTGATGTTGATGCTGCCATGCAGGGGCCGTGCTTTGAATAGCAAGGCTTCAGACAACATTAGAGAGAGAAGACCATGGCCCCTGGAGAAATGGAAGCAGGGACAGGTTAAGTCAAATCCCAAGTTAGGTGGGTCCACTTGGCTGCTCGGAGGAGCCCATCAGAGAATCGTTGAGAGCAGCAGCAGGCACCTGCCCTTCCTGACAGCTGATGCTAAACGCCCCGCAGGGTCCACACTCCCGGGTGCCCTTTTGGGCGCAAACTAAGAATTGCTTTCTGATGGGCTCTGCATTCACATCTCCTACTTCCTTCATGACCCAAGGAACTGCAGGGTCCTGAGTTGCTTGAATTCTGTTCCAGTGGCTCCTGTGAAGGGCTGGGAGGCTTCTCTATAGACTCAGGCATGTCTGTAGGGCTGTCTAAGCCAGATGACCTCATTAGCAAATGGGCCTTCTGTGTACCTCTCTTCCCATTGAACAGATGAAGCAACTGAGGTAATAGAACGCCAGCTCACCCACACTCACACCCCAAGTCCAGGGTGACAACTGCCAATCTGCAGCCCCAACTCCTTAGCCATCCTCCCACCTACTTCCTGACCAAGGACAGGCTAGGTCACCACACTGTCACCTCTTCATACTACAAGGGTGGATCTCTGAATGCCACAACCCCAAAGTTTATGGGTCACCTGGGGACAGGAGTAGACAAATTGTCCTTCTCCGCAAAACTCCCGCCCAGCCACTACCCCATATGAGATCAATCTTATGCCAGAGGCCCTCAAGGTAGAGTCTACAGGTTGACATTGTGGGCTTTTACCTTCAGGACAAGAATGGACTGGTTTTCAAAGCTGTTGCCAATCTGAATTTTTGAGACAATATCGGAATGCTCCATTACAAAGTTGTCAATCCAGCTATATATCTGAAAGGAAAGAAGTGTGTAAGATTGGCAGTTAAGCAGGAAGAGGGATGAACACTGGGGCCTCTCTGAATGTTCTCCCTGTCCCTTCCCACTCTCTTCAATGCTTTGGGTATTTAGACCCTCGAGGGTCTAAAAGAACCCAGATAAAGAATTGCAAAAATAGAGCACTCCCTCAGAGCTAAAGGAAGTGAGTTGTGATCTTGCTGGATTCCCAGGCTCCTTGCTCTGTGCAGAGCTATGCCTTTGCCTGGAAGAACAGTGTGTGCTGAGCCTGCTCAAATCCCCAGGCTTGACCCACATGGCTCTCTCTGGTTAGAAATTCTCTCTTGTCTCCATTCTTTGGCCCATTCAATCCGTTTGACAGATCTGACAGGCTTTGTAGTGTTGTTTTTATCTTCTCGCTCCTTTTAGACTGTAAGCCCCTTGAAGGCAGGGTTCTTGTTTTATTTATCTTTGGCATCAATAAATAGTGACAGACTGTATTATTTCATTCTCTTGTTCTTTCAATACATGTAATTGAATTAACAAATATATGAAAGAAAATGGATGCTCTATTGCATGACTTGTGAAGTGGGAAAAGCGATGATGATAATAGATGGATGGTATCAAGAAGGTCATGTCCTTTGACACGCAAAATGAGACGTGTGCCTTGAGTTCCTTTCTGGAGTGGGCATCCCTGCACCCTCTGTGTACATTCTCCTTTATAAACAAGTCACTTACCCTGGCTGGCTCTAACTGTGGTCATGAACTTTCTCCAAGTGAAGGCACCTCCCTTTTATTCTACAAACATGGCTGTCCAATGTGCCTGGCTTCCTGCCCCTCATATTATATACCCCAGCACCCATGGCTGGGGCCACTGAACACAAGGACTGGTCACGGGCTGAGAGCCCTAGGTCCCTAGCTGGAGGATTGGATATGTGTAAGAGTTAAAGAAAGAGGAAAGAAACACAAAATGTGGCTTCACAGTCAAGGACAAGTTTATTTTAGAGAAATAAACCCAGGAGGGGCTTCTGGCTGATTTTTGTCCTTTTTATAACTATAAGGACTGGATTTAGGCAGTTTTTTAATCCAGGGGAACTTAGAATGGTGGTGTTTGTTCAAGATGGCGACGCTCCTGCTCTGTCAAGATGAAGGTAGCTTCTACCTGCTCTATTCTGGCCCATAATGGGTCCCTGCGTTAGTGTTCTGCCTAGTAGACCCATTACTCTGCTCTGTACCTGTCTAGGGCTGTACAGTTGAACTACTGTCCCCTCTATCTGAATTCTGGCTTCCAGATCTCTTTGAATATGACTCTCTGCCTAACAGACCTTAACCTAATGTCTGCTGTACAGTCCCTAAGTGTCAGTCACAGTTTCCCATAAACCCTGGAGTCCTTCACTAGTTTCTGACTGAGTCAGGAGACCCTAAGGGGCCCAAAGACACAAGAGAGCCCAGAGCTTGCCCGGCCAGACCTACCTCCTCCAGGGTGTGGTATGATGAGTAACTGAAGCTGTTGGTGCTGCGCTCCAGCCGGCGGGATTTCGCCATGGCCTGTCTTTCCTCATCCAGCAGCACCTGGGTGATGGGGAACACATATTGGAAAGGAAGGGGAGAGCTGGGCTGGCTATGCCTCTTCTGAGCCCTGCCTCCACTGGCTGTGCATAAAGACAGCAGCAACACAGGAGAATGAGCCACCATGAGTGTGAACTGCACAACAGAAGGAAGGTCCAGGTTGCTGGCTGATTCTTCTGCCTGGCAAGCTGGCAGTCATGCTGCCATTTCCCAAATGATCACAGGGCAAGGAGTCCAGAGAGCTGGGTTCTAGGTCTGCCTCTGCCACTAACTGGCTGTGGAATTTACTGTGGCCTTAGTTTCCTCAGCTTGAAAATTGGGAAAGCAATATCTGCCTTGCCACCTCATAGGATAAAATGTAATAATGGATTTGAAGGTGTTTTTGGGGGAAAAAAGGTGCTCACAGTCTACTGCCAACATTGCTTTTGCACTTAATAAACACTCTGTTGAGTCAGGACCCAAGGTGAACCATGTGCACTGACCCCCCTGGGGGAAGCAGAGGGTTCCTCTGACCCCCAACATTAACTCCACTTCTAGGAAACAGCCTAGACAACTGGTATCCAAGCCATTCAGAAAGCCAGGCATGGCCAAAGTCAGTCCAAATCAATATGATTAATGTGCCAATGGTCTTTCACTTATCTCCTAAACACAAGTCTTGATGAGCCAAAAGCAATGTCCTTGGGTATCAACGTGGAGTCAAGCATTCAAGCCTTACATGGTACTTCCCGCTGCCCATACAGAGGGCAGTATAATGCCTGGTTGGGTTAACCACTCACTCACTGCTCAGACCACCTACATAATCTTGGGACATTTTTCTCTGCTTGGGTCACAGTGAGATGAGCTAGTGTCCTTCACCCAAGCCCATGCCCTTATAATGGCATCCAGGAGCCAAGGCACCCCAGGATTCAGCACAGACTGTCCAGTGTGGGAAGTACTCAGGTCGTCTGCCACAGAGGATGCTGAGAAAGCATCCTCATTAACGCGAGTTGCCCTTTGTTTGCAGCACTGGGCCACAACTAAGTCTTGCTGATAACTTATTTGGGGCTAGAGCCTTAGTTGACCAAGCTTCTTTATGTTCATGATCTCACTTGATCTGGTCAGATGACCTGAAAACAGGACAGAAATGAGCTATTTCTGTTTTAGAGCTAAAGCAGATTGGAGTGGTAAAGGGACTTAATGGCAAAGCTAACAAGTGGTGGAGGTGAGATAAGAACCAGGCATTCTAGTCTGTACCCTTGGGTTCCTTAAGGCCAACTATCAAAACTAAAGGCCAACAGTAATAACACATATGCAGGTTGGGCATGGTGGCTCACACCTGTAAACGCAGCACTTTGGGAGTCCAAGGCAGGAGGGTCGCTGGAGCCCAGGAGTTTGAGACCAGCCTGGGCAACAAAGCAAGGCCCCATCTCTACAAAAAATTAAAATTAAAAAATTAGTCAGGCTTGGTGACGCATGCCCGCAGTCCCATCTACTTAAGCTGAGGCAGGAGGACTGCTTGAGCCCGGGAGTTGGAGGCTAGAGTGAGCTATGATTGAGAGTGAGTTATGATCGTACCACTGTACTCCAGGCTGGGCAACAGAGTGACACCCTATTTCTAAACACACACACACACACACACACACACACACACACACACACAGAGGCACAAAAACACACACATACACAGATATGTTTATGTCTGTGTGTATGCATATGTGTGTAGACAGAAAGAGCATGCAAGTGTTAACAACAGCTAAAAACTCCATTGTACTATTCTTTCAATTTGAAAGATTTTTACAATGATGAAAACTCAAGGACCCCTGAGCATAAGAATGCAAGATACTAAAATCCCAAAAATATAAACCAAAATATTCGCAATGCCTGCTAAGATAGAAGAAGGCAGATTTGGAGTAAATTTTTTCTATCCTCTATTTTTACATTTTGGCAATGTGCTTATACTACTTCAATAAGAACTTTTTTTTTTTTTTTGAGATGGAATTTCTCTCTTCTTGGCCAGGCTGGAGTACAGTGGCGTGATCTCGCCTCACCGCAACCTCTGCCTCCCAGGTTCAAGCGATTCTCCTGCCTCTGCCTCCCGAGTAGCTGGGATTACAGGTATGCACCACCACGCCTGGCTAATTTTTTGTATTTTTAGTAGAAACAGGGTTTCTCCATGTTGGTCAGGCTGGTCTTGAACTCCCAACCTCAGGTGATGCACCCACCTCAGCCCAGAACTTTTAAATGAATAAATAATAGCAAAACCAAAAGCCCTAATGGCTGCTGTGGAGTCTTCCACCCCCGTCAGGAAGAGCGGTGTCCCTCCCCGCCCCACCTGCCACAGATGAGGCAATGCCTAATGACTCACTCATCCCCGAGGCCTAGTTGGCTTGCTTACAACGTTCAGGTTCATAGATTTAAAAATGGGACTGGAAATTGATGTTTGGGGCTCACTTTATTTTTGAGCACCAACTCCATGCGAGGCAATTACAGTTGCGATGTTTTCCAGCTGCACTAGCTGGCCAGGGGCAAAGCTGGGATTGCTGGGTAAGTTAGATGTGGCCGGAGGAGCCCCGGTCCTCTCTGGCCCTTCACAAACACTTCTGGGAAGCTCTAACAAAAGGAATTTGTCTTCTTCCCAGGAAGCTGACCCAAATCTCAACAGCCTACCATGACCAATGTGTGCCAGCCACTGTGTGCCTGGTGCCATCAGCTGTGACGAGCAGCTGCAAGGAAGACAGCAGCCTGCCAGCTGTGAGGACAAGGCAAAGGGTCTCCAAGGATCTGGTGGAAGCCTGAAGTTGGGGTGAAAGTGGAGGACAGGGAGGAGAAATCGGAAAAAGAAAGGACTAGAAGACTCAATTTTCCCTACACAGCCTGGGACACCCACAGGAAGACAGGACCCAGGAGGCTGTCCTTTGTTCCACACAAGAGCTTGGAGGCAAATGGGAAGTCAGCACCAAACTGCAAATAACTTTCCAGACACCCTCACAGCCTTGTGAATGGAGGTGACACCCTCTTTCAAACTGGGAATTCTCAGCCCTCACAGCTGGCCCCACTTCCAGGAACAGGAATCTGCCTTGGCCTGGAAAATGCACCAGCGTTTGCTCCATTCCTGGGGCTGGGGGAAGGGGATGGGTGACGGAAGAATGCGGTCAGGCCACAGGCTGAGGAATGCCTAATGACAGCCCTGTCAGGCTTCTCAGGAAAAAACAACAAAACAAAGAAACCAACCAACTCAGAAGTAAGCCATCTGCCTCCCTGGAAGCCATAACCTGACAGGGAAAGTAATACCTCAGTGTGAATTAATTTACGATGAGTCAAGGAAGGATGGGGGCCCTAAGGGAAGAACAGTCCTCCCGGGTTGGGCAGGGGAGGAGGTAGCAGGGCCCCAGTGCTGAAGCTGAGGCGGAGGAGAGCAGATCTCTCACAGCCGAACTCCAGCCACAGATGCAAAATGGACGCAGCTCATGGAAACAGAGTGGGTTGGGGGCTCTGGGACAGCAGCCGCTGCCTCTCCTCCCACGTTCCTGGCCTTCTCTTCCAGGTCTAACATCTGCAGTAGCAGCTATGTGGCCAGTAGCAACTCCAGTCCTGTGGCACTGGATGTGGGGGGTGGCTGCTGATCTGAAGTTTTCAGAATGGACCCCCTCAGAGGTCAAGGCCAAACCACAAGGCTTCCCTGTCTAAAAGGCAAAGTTAAAGTGCCACACAGACAACAGTGATGACCACTGAGGGGACAGATGCCTTGAGAGTGGAGTCTGAGGGTGCGGGAGCTCAGGTTAAACCCTGATCCTGCCACCAACTCCATCAAATTACTAACATCTCTGTGCCTCAGTTTCCCCATTGTAAAATGGAGGTCATGTTATCACATACTTTATCACATACTTTAAAATGTTCTCATGAGAGCCAGGCGCAGTGGCTGACACCTGTAATCCCAGCACTTTGGGATGCCAAGGCAGATGGATCACTTGAGGCCTCCGGAGTTCAAGACTGGCCTGGCCAACATGGCAAAACCCTGTCTCTACTAAAAATACAAAAATCAGCCAGGCGTGGTGGCGCGCGCCTGTAAGCCCAGCTACTTGGGAAACTGAGGCAGGAGAATTGCTTGAACCCAGGAGGCGGAGGTTGCAGTTAGGGGCGATTGTGCCACTGCACTCCAGCCTGGGCGACAGAGCAAGACTCCATCACACAAACACACACACACACACACACACACCAATGTTCTCATGAGGATTAGAAGGGTTAATACATGCTAAATGCTTAGACTTTTGCCAGGCATGTAGTAAATGCTAGTGAATGTTAGCTATGATGATGAGGAGGAGTGTGACAATGATAAGGAGGGTGATAATAACTTTGGGGTGACTCCAGGGCTCTGTGATGGAGCATTACAAGGCATGACCAGGAAGTCTGGGTTTCTCCAGAGGTAGGATAGCTTCTGTAGGACTTGGAGGGCAGAAAGCCCCCATTAATGGTCATCTGGGGGAGTCAGTCAGCACCTGACTTTCATGGGGCCCAACAGAGGGGCCTGGGTCCTCTTCTTCTGTCCCTACCCCCATGATGCAGGCAGCCTCCATCTCTCTTAGGGTCTTGCCCATCACTGCTGCTGTCTTCCCTGGCTTCTCCTGCAATCTTTCCTGTTGTCTTCTTCTCCTCTCTGGAGCTGCCACTCACCCACAGACCAGCCAACAGCATTTCTACCTTTAAAACTCTGCTATTCAAGCCAGGCATGGTGGTGCACGCCTGCAGTCCCAGCCATTCGGGAGGCTGAGGCAGGAGGATCTCTTGAGCCCAGGCGTTCAAGGCTGCAGTACGCTATGACTGTGCCTGTGAATAGCCACTTTACTCCACCCTGGGCAATATAACAAAACCCCATCTTAAAAAACAAAAACAAACAAACAAAAAAACCTCTCGTGGTTCACGCCTATGATCCCTGCACTTTGGGAGGCTGAGGCAGGTGGATCACTTGAGGCCAGGAGTTTGGGACCAGCCTGGCCAACATGGTGAAACCCTGTCTCTACTTTAAAAAAAAAATTAATAATAATAATACAAAAATTGGCCAGGGGTGGTGGTGTGTGCCTGTAATCCAAGCTACTCGGGAGGCTGAGGCATGAGAATTGCTTGAGCCTGGGAGGTGGAGGCTGCAGTGAGCCGAGATCATGCCACTGTACTCCAGCCTGGGTGAGGGAGTGAGACCCTGTCTCAAAAAGAAAACAAATAAACAAATAAAAACTGTACTCTTCAGCTAGCAAGATAATAATTTAAAGAAGTAAAGAATTAAATTATATAAGCAATGAGAAAAAGGTAAATGTCAACAAGAGTGAAATGGGAAAGAAAGAGGAAGTTGGAGAAGTGGGGAAGAAGGGTACAATTTAAAATAAGATGAGCAGTCTGGCGTGGTGGCTCACACCTGTAATTTCAGCACTTTGGGAGCTCGAGGTTGGCGGGTTGCCTGAGCCCAGGAGTTCAAGAGCAGCCTGGGCAACATAATCAGACCCCATCTCTACAAAAAATACAAAAATTAGCTGGGTATGGTGACATGGGCCTGTAGTCCCAGGGCCTGTACTTAGAAGGCTGAGGCGAGAGGATGGAGTGAGCCTGGGAGTTCGAGGCTGCAGTGAGCCATGATCGTGCCACTGCACTTAAGCCTAGACAACAGAGTGAGATCTTGTCTCAAAATAAATAAATACAATAAAATGAAAAGCCTTATGACCATTGCAAGGGCTTTGGCTTCTACTCCAAATTAGTTGGGTTTTAAGCAGAGGAACAACATGCTTGAATTTGCAATAGTTTTAAAGGACTCTTCTGGCTGCTGTTTTGAGATTAGGTAATAAGGAATCAAGGTGGAGAATGGGGGAGAGCAGTTAGAAAGCAACTGGAAGAACCCAGGTGAGGGACGAGATGGCGCATGGGCCCTCGGGGGTGGTGTGGGATGTGCTAAGATCCATTCTGAAGGCAGCGATAAATCTGTTGTTGATGGGGAGTTTGAGGAAGGGGTCAAGAATGGCTCCCAGCTTCTGGTCTGAGTGACTGGAAGGATGGTGTTGCCATTTCCTGAGATAAAGAGGGCTGTGGAGGCACCGATGAAGGGCCAGGGGAGCTTGGTCTGGACCTGGAAAGTTGGAGATGCCCATTGCACCCCCAGGTGGAAACACTGAGTAGGCGGTTGGATCCAGGAGAGGAGGTGCTGGCTGGAGACAGAACACAGAAGTCCTGGATGCCAGGGGAAGAGACAGGCTCCAGGAAGGAGAGAGTGACCAGTTGTGCTGTTGGAAGAGGAACATTGAGAGTCGGCCATCGGGTTGGATCTGGAAGTTGCGTGTGACATTGTCGAGGGAAGCTTTGGTGAAGTGAGGGGGTGGGCAGCCTGCTGGCGGACAGGGATGGAGATGACAGGGAGAGTCAGTATTTTCAGGAGTTTCAGTCTATGGGGAAGCATAAAAATGGGGTGATGGCTGGAGGGGAGAGGGAAGGGATCAAGAGAGGGTTTTTTTAAATGGGAGAAATAACTGTATTTGCATGGTGATGAGAGTGATCCACTAGGGCGAGGGAAATTGGCAACGCAGTATTTACACTCAATTGTATTCTGCTCTAGATGGTCAGAGTATGGGTGATTTTTGTTTTCTCCTTGTGCTTTCCACTATTTTCCAAATTATCTAACATGAATATTTATTAATTTTGTAATCAGAAAAAAAGCCATTAAAAGCCACAGAGCTGATTGCTCAAGTGAAGTTTTTCCATGGTGACTCATCCTAGGGAAAAAATAAAAAAAAAAACCAAAGGGCTGAAAAGAACGAGGTGAAGAAAAATTAAATGCAAATAGAGCTCGCTCGGAATCAGATAATTTCTTGCCTGGCCCACTGCAATTTCCTCACCACCCTCCTGCCTGTCAGTCTCTCCCTGGTCCTGTCCCCAACTCAACACTGTCACTGTCAGGGTGGTGTTTCTGAAATGCAAATCTGATCATGTGAAAGCACCTCCCATGACTCCCCCCTAGTTGTCAGGATAAAATCCTGACCTCGTCACATGGTGGAGGGCACTCTTTGTGATGGGGTCTGGCTTCATCACCAATCGGGGTGGGGGCCCCCCTTCCTCTGGCCAGCCCCCCCTCACCTGCTCTTCAGCGCACCGTAATTACCGCCTTCTCAGAAGCACGGCGTGCAGTGCCTCTTGTATGCGCTCCCATAGCAACCGCCCTCACTCCATCAGTCGCTCATCCACTCCATTGTAACCACCGATTTACCCCCCTCCATCCCCGGCCCCCGCGACCCTCCAGCTGTCCTGGATACAGGGCCAAGTTTTTTATCTCTGTGTTTCCAGCCCCTTGCCCGATGCACAGCACACAGTAGGGCTCTCTGTGTCTGGGAGTGGAATGAATGGCCCTGCCTCATGTTTCTCAAGCATCCCTCTGATCACAGGGCAGAGGGAGGGAGAGATTCCAAAATCTCCCCTGCCTCTGGCCAAAGTAAAAACCAGCATCGAGGTTTTCCAGCCTGGTCCTAGCCACCAAACACGACCACTCCTCTTTCCTTTCCTCCTCCTAATGAATGTCTATTAGTTCCACTGACATTTATCAAGCCTCAACGAAGCAGCAGGTCCTATGGTAGGTACTGGGGTAGGAAGATTGACACGGAGCGTGGAGCTGAACCTTGGCTGAGGGGAGGGGGCCAGAGGAACAAAGACCCACATGTGAATAAGGTTGTGCCTGTCCTGAACTCCCCAACCGAGCAAGTCATTCAGCAGACAACCGCAGAGGGCCCACCCTGCAGGGGACATTGCCAAGTACTTGGCTGAGGGGATCCAGAGGACAGGGAGACAATCGGGCCCGTGCATCTGTATCTGAAATACAAGACTGGACGCCAGCAACCCAAGGGGTGCAAAGCTCTTCCCGTCCTGTTAGCAAATCTCAGCTTCCCTCCTCCTGGACCCCTCCCCATCATCAATCCCTCAACACATCAACACATCAGCCACCCCACCCCCAGCTCCCTCTAAGCCAAAATATGATCTCAAGTATGGCAGCGAGTGCTTGATCCCTGCAGGAAGAGCGAGTTGGTGAAAATCCTGCCTGGCTGGATCAAGGTTAAGAGGTCAGAGCATTTTCCTGAGAGGGAGGGCAAAGCCCTAGAGGGACTCGGGGCTGCGGATGTGGGGAGAGGACAGGCTAAATCCAGTGGGGGAGGCTCAGAGGGGACTCTGGGGCCGTCCCTGATGTGCAGAAATCAACAGAAAGTTTTTAGAGACCTCTGTGTGTCTGTTTGCCAAATGCTGCGGAGTTCCCAGGGTGGGGCTGAACCAGGGAAATGGAAACTTCAAAACAGAGGCCTGGCTAAAAATGAGAATTCAGTTCTATTTCTTTTGATGTGGTAGCCTCTTTTGTCTGCGGGAGTTTCCCCATTTTTGTTTGTGGGGGATTTCATTAGAGAAATATCCCACCCCCACACGTTGAGCGGGAAACAGATGTGCCTGATGAGGGATAAAGGTCTTTGAAAGGACCAAAGTTCCCCAGCCCTGTGCTCGCATGGGAACGGAATGCTGCCTGATGCGTTGATCCCCTGACATACGGTGTCAAGTGTGTGCGCTCCGGGAGGCTCTGTGTTCCCACAGTCGGAGCCCTTAGGGGAGATTAGCGCCATACAACAAGGTTGGGAATGAATCTTTATGGATACAGTTCCACAGGTACACGGCCAGCAGCAAGCAGCTGCAGAAAGATGCAGCCGGGGAGGCTTAACCAATGAGTGGTACCCACAAAGATCTCTAGGAAGGAGGCTGTGCTACCAGCACGTTTCAGGGGCTCTTTAGGATATACTGGAAAATAGAACAATTGAAATAGAATTTCATGACGTTCAGAAAAGATGCAGGGAAAGCAGCAGGGAGACTGGGGTGTCCAGGATGAAGGCTACCTTTGTCCTACCCAAGAGCAGGTCTGTAGCTGCTTCTCCCAAAGCGGTTCCTCTGGGAGAATGCTGCCTGGGGGGATGCCCCGTGCGGAGAGCCAAGCGGTGGAGGTTGGGGGAAGTGAACCACAGCAGTGCTCTGAACCACACAATGCTCTTTCACCATTTCCCAATCCTCTGAAGTAAAGCCGTTCCCCCAGGCATTGGATGGCTGAGACACAGCGGGAACAGGAGGGAGTGGTCAGATAAGCAAAGGAAGAAGCTATCCAGAGGCACCTTCCCACGGTGCCTGGGGAAGACCCCAGCTACATCCTCCTGTCTCCCTTCTCCCCGCACCTTTGCTGTTTATTAGCTGCAAATCCCTCCCCAGGAGGACTCATCACAGGCGTCCTCTCCACTCCCACACTGTGAGTGCTTCCCCCATGAATCCTGTCCTAGCTTCAGATTCTGAGAAGCGTGCGGCTCACTTCCTTCCACAGCATGTTCACAAACACGCTGATGGAGACCCAGAAACCACATGTCCACTTTTAGCCCCGAGAACATCTCCTCCATGTTGGGCCCCAACCAGAAAGGAAGGCGGAAGGCAGGGTCCCAGCTGGGGCAGGGCTTCACCTGGATGTCCTTTATCATGATGCTGTAAGCAAGTCCATGAGACTCCAGATAAGCTTTGATGTCTTTCAGTTCAGAGAAAGGAACTCTCATATCCACAGGGAGGCTGGGCCTGGCTGGGCCACGCCAGAAGTCCACCTTGTTCACCAAGGAAAGAGAGAGAGCTGCATTACTCCATGTCCTTCCACACAATCCTGTAGGTGACCACAGAGAGCCAGAGAATCTCTCAGCCAGTAGAGACCCTCTTTCTACGCAGGAGATGGGGACGGGGGTGTGATGTCCCAAAGCCCCTCAGCGGATGCCTGAAACAGCAGATAGTACTGAACCCTAGACTATGCTCTTTCCTATACAAACAGATTTGGGATACAGGTTTTTTTGTAATTTTTAATTTTTGTGGGTACGTAGTAGGTGTATATATTTCTGGGGTATATGGGATATTTTGATACAGGTATACAATGTGTAATGATCACATCAGGGCAAATGAGGTATCTATCACTCAAGCACGTATTCTTTGTGTTACAGACAATCCAAGTACTCCAAGTACACTCTTTTAGTTATTTTAAAATATACAATTAAATTATTATTGACAATAGTCACCCTGTTGTGCTATTAAATACTAGATTTTATTCACTCTTTCTATGTTTTTGACAGACCTATAATAAAGTTTAACTTATAAATTTTTTTTTTGAGATGGAGTTTCGCCCAGGCTGGGGTGCAATGGCATGATCTCAGCTCACCGCAATATTTGCCTCCCGGGTTCATGCCATTCTCCTACCTCAGCCTCCTGAGTAGCTGGAACTACAGGTGCACGCCACCACACCCAGCTAATTTTTGTATTTTTAGTAGAGACAGGGGTTTCACCATGTTGGCCAGGCTGGTCTTGAACTCCCGACCTCAGATGATCCACCCACCTTGGTCTCCCAAAGTGCTGGGATTGCAGGCATGAGCCACCACACCTGGCCCTAACTTATAAATTAGGCACAGTTAAAGATTAAAAACAATAGCTTAATAATAAAATAGAGCAATTATAACAAATGCCAGCATCACTACTCTTGCGCTTTGGGGCCATTATTAAGTCGAATAAGGGTTAGACGAACAGAAGCACTGCAACACCGCGACAGTCGGTCTGATGACCGAGATGGCCACTAAGTGACTCGCGGAGGGGAGTGTGGACAGCGTGCAGGTGCGAGACTTCATCACACTACTCAGAACAGCTTGCAATTTAAAACTTATGAGTTGTTTCTTTCTGGAATTTTCCGTTTAATGTTTTTGGTTGACTGCCAATCAGGAGGGACTACTGTACACCTAAACGGGCCCCAGTTCCGTAATGAAACCCTAAGGCTGAGTGGAAAGACTGGGACAAACAAAATCCCCAAGGCACTGAGGTTCTTTCCCTAATTCCAAGTCCTGTTGCCTCCACACCTCACTCATACTCATTGCAACTTCGTCAGGATCCAGAGAGCCCTAAAGAGTCCTCAAGGTGAGGCCGCTCATCATCTGGGACATGAACACAGACAAGAACCCTGGTCAGGAAAGGGAGGCATCATTGTTCCCATCCCCGCAGAAGTAGGAGAGGCCTAATCTGGGTCCCTAGGTCAGCCTTTTGCGATGCCTATTTTTCAATTAGTAAAATGGAGAGAATGATCATAAAGCATCATGAGTCCCAGTCGACGGGACACTCAGACAAGTAGGAGCAAGGGCTTTGACCACATCCAGGAATATCTGGTAGTTCCAATGGCCCCCTAACAAAACCCTTCTATGTAATAGTCAAAGTTAAAGAAAATGTTTTCCATTGTGAAAACCTGCAGAGGACAAATGTTCTCAGGAATGATGCTCAGGCTGACGGGGACGAACCCAGATAAAATACAGGTTTGCCAAGCTAAGCCGTTTCACTTGGGAGGCCAATGTATCCAACCTCCATGCTACGTGGCATCCCACCCAGAGACATTGTGCCCTCCCACCCGTGTGGCTTTAGGAAATTCCTGCTGTTTGGAGATTGGTGCCCTGATGGGTCATGTAGCAGCTCCCTATCCAGGAGAGAGTGGGTGGCTAGAAGAGACACAGACTAAAAAGGCAGCCCAAATTTCTGGGCAGGTGTTCCTGATTTTTCCTGAAGTGGAGCCACGTGTGATTTCCCACAGGTCTGTGCTCTTTGCAGGGACCTCAGGAGGGCAGGTTTGGGATAAAGGGGGGCAGGACAAGGAGCTAAATGTGTGAGCCACTGAGGAGGGGGTGGGGTTGTCCTCAAGCCTGAGGAGTCCTCACCTTCTGGGGTTTCAGGCCCTCCAGATCCCCGAGAAGTGAAAGCTGCTTCTCATCTTTGGCCAGGACTCGAAGAACCTGGTCCCTAGAAAAACACAGGGAGGGGCGGAGGAAGCTGCGGAGAAGGATCCCTGGAAGGCTGTGTCACTTGGAAGGGGCAGAGTGGAGCAGAGGCCCAGCTGAGGGCCAGGCGGGGAGGCCAGGAGGCACCGCATGAGTGGAGGCTGAAGGAGCCCTGAGCAGGCAGGACTCGCAGGCAGCTCTGAGAAGCACATGGTCCTTCAGTCTAGAGCCAGTGGGCTCTCCAGCCCCAAGGACAGACCACCCCGGGGGCTAAATAAAGCCTGTCAGTGCTACTGCTGGACTGAAGGCCAAGCCAGGGGAAGAAGGAAGGGAAAGGAATGGGGAGGGGGGCGATGTGTAAAATGAAAGGAATGAAGGGGAGAAAGGAATAGACACAGGGGCTGGGGGGACCAGTGTGGCCCCAAGGGCTCTTCGCGAGGGGGCCCCAAGGCCATGGTCTGTCTCGACGCCCGGAAGGTGAGATCAGACAACCTCACCCCACCTGACATGGAGGAAGCTGAGCTCCTTTCCTTCCCGATGGAGGTGAGTGGAGGTTGCGTATCCAAGAGGCCTGTGGTGTGGGCTCTGGGGTGCGACACCTGGGATGGGGTTGGTGCCCTCACAGGCTGGCTCTGAGACCGTGGGTGAGGAACCCCATCTCTACGCTCGCTGTGTCTCCTCTTCTCTACTGTGGAGCACTGTGGGGCATCCACCTGTGGACCTTGGAGAGGCTCAAAGTACATCCACAGAGGGCCTGGCGTGTAATACTAGAACTTCCTGTCATTCGAAGGAGAACGACACCCACATCCATTTTTGGTAGGGGTATGTAGTCTTGTGGGGGCTACAACTTCTCTGAGAATCGGAGGAAAGCTATGAATGCATCCTCCCCGAAGAAGCCCCTGTTGTATAGGAAAACTGTTGCATGTGGTTTCAGGGGATTCTTGGAGCCCCGGGGGCTTCCTCCTGGACTCTGGATTAAGAACTCTGGATTTGGGGAGGACCACCAACGAGCCAGCCCCGGAGCATGAAAGTGGGAGGCTGTGGAGCTGGAAGTGGGTTCAGGACAGGAACCCACATCCTGACTCTCCGCCTTGATCAGGCACCAGCAGGGCAGCCACCTCCTGCTGGGACACCCAGTCCCCTCCTCCCAGCCAGTCCTCCCTCCCACTGTGGAGCAGCCACTCACCCTGTGAAATTCATTTGGCCCAAAGCTGCTGCCAGGATAAAGCTGAAGACCAGGAGTGTCCGCCTGTCCACGGGGGATGGCCCAGGGCGCGTCCCGCCTCCAGGGGTGCCCTGCATGCTTCTTCCTCCTGGTGAGCTTCAGGGGCTTTCCTTGGGCACCATGGCCCAGGCCTCAGGACAGCACAGCACCTAGAGGCTGGAAAGCCCAGCCTGAGAAAGAGCATTAGGCTGTCTGGGGCACCCAGCATGTGGCTCCCACATGCCAGGCCTTGGGAGAGCTAGGGCTGCCCCTCCCCAACCCAGCACATCCTCTCCTGGGAAGGGGAGAGGGAAGAGAGAAGGAGGAAGACAGGCCTTAGCTTTTCTTTTCTCTCAGGAGGTTTGCCAGGGCAGCCCCTTGTGAGCATCAAAGCTTCCATCTCTGGAGAAAGACCAAAGTAGCCAGCAGCCCTGGGATACCCCTCCTTTCCTCCCTCCTCTACAGCATCTTCTCTTTCGCTCTTCTTCTCCGCCTAGCCCACTCATGCTTTCCCTGGGCCATATCCTCCTTACACATAAGGTGTGGATGCCATTGAAACACCGCTGGACTTAGAGACAGAGACTGGGTGCTCACTTCCCGTCTAAAATATCTGGGGCAGCTGCCCTAATCTCTAAATCTCAGTTTACTCATCCATCAAATGGGGTTAATCATACCTCCCCTCCCTACCTCACAGGGTTTGAAGGGGTATAGATGAGACAACTTGAGTGAATTGGCTTGGTAAAGCCTGCAAAATGCAATGTATTATTATTCAAAAGGCATTAACTTTTAGTCACAGCTGCATTTGAGATCAGTCCTCCAGTGGCGATGGGGAGAAGGGGAAGAGAAGAGAATGGAGAGGAGAACAAAGGAAATAACTATATATTGTATGAGAAGGAATTCAATCAAGATTCCCTTTTCTCTGTCTTCAGGTGGTCATCATTGTGCTAGCACAGACAGTGGGTTTTCTGCTAGACATGAAGGTCACCGCAGTCATTATTAGAGTTCTCAACAGACAGCAGAGTCAATTTCTCAGTCCTGCTGAAGCCCCACACAGTTCCCTTTATAGTTTGGGAATAGCAGGAGTAAAGCAGGGGCCAGCACACAAAGCAGTCATGTTGGAAGGAGAAAGTGAAAGATGATGCCTGAATGGCAAATGATGAATCTAACAGAAAATCCACAGGGGGTGGGGGTAAGGCAGAAGCTGAATCCAACCAAGTCGTTCAGCAGAGGACGTCAACAATAGGCCACTTAACTGTCACTGGCGATTCTCAGAAGCTCCCCCTCCCCATCCAAACTATCTCAGAATGGCCGATTAACTGGCTATGTGTGCAAAGAAGGGAGCTCGTTTATCGACAGAACGCCCTGCTCCCCCACCCACCTGCCCTACTCCATTATTTCGTAGTTCAGCTGTTCAGACAAGCCAGACTCTTCTAGTATCCTGGCTTCAGGGACTCTCAAACAGTAACATTATCAAAGGGTTTAAGGACATAGAAAAGAAAGCAGTTATGCTTTCCACCCAAGTAACATTCAGCTTCAGTAGCAATGGAGATAAAAGGGTGTACTGCTAAACAATAGCTCAGGAATTTAAAAGGAAAAAAACAGAGATAGTGCTAGTCACCAAAAGTACCCATGGGGCGTCTTCTTGTTCAAAAACATCATTTTAAGCCACCAATGATGAGACAACTATCCCTGTACTTGGCTTAAGGGTGGGAAAAGAGAGAGAGTGAGAGAGAAAGAATAAGAGTAAAAGAGAGAGAGAGAAGCAGTTAGGAAGTTTTGAGAATTCTATGACATAGCTTCCAATAGAACTTTCTGTGATAATGGAAATATTCTATGTCCACACCCCCCAGTAGGATAGCCACTAACCTCTTGAAATGTGGCTATTGTGGTTGAATATTGATTTTGGAGTTGTATTTAACTTTAATTAATTTAAATAAAATTTAAATAGCCACATGTGGCTAATGGCTACCATATTGGACAGCAGAGTTCTCTGGGAATTCACCAACCCTGAAAGCACCATCTCCAATGGCTGGATTTGTTTTTGGTTTTGCTTCTTCTAAGTTCATGTTAGACGGGTAATGTGCTGACGTCATAACAAGGTTTGAGGGTGACACATCTCACACACGCATGCGTGAGCACCCAATTATCATACTTATGAACTGCAATTATCAGCTTATGGCTGGATTTGAAGCGGAGACACATAGCTATGCTTGACCTAATACCTCATTTTGGCTTTTCACTTATAATTAATTACTCACCTAATCATTTACTCAGTAAATGTCCTCTGAATACCTGCTATGTTCCAGGCACTTGCTAAAGTCTGGAAACAAAATAGAAAGCAACACATATCTGGCCCTTACATTTCTAAAGGCGTAAGTAGAAAATTAATTTAAATAGCATGAAGATAATTGGTAAACCCAAGACATAATGGTAGCCCATCTCACTCCAGATAAGTGTAAAACTATAGATGGTGTTTGTGTTACAAGGGAAAGGCACATTGTACCATGAGGACGGGGAACATGGGCTCCACATAGACTGAAGGAGAGTTTCCCTAAATTAGAAATTTTTTTGGAGGACTTTTATTTCCTGCAGGTGGGGTGGGTTAGATACCTAAGCAATCTTGCCCAAATGAAAGAACTCAAATGCAGAAGAAAATATTTTTAGTAACAACTTTCTAAAGCCATTGCTGGGTTGGCACAAAAATAAGAATCTATAGATCCCAAAAAGAAGGAAAAGCCAGACAGACACCCAAGTGGTAAGCAAGTTTTGCCTCAGAGAACTTCTCAGAATGCTGGTGTTCTTGATTTTCCTACTGGATGCATGTACCATGTATCTAGAATCATCTTCCCTCTGCTTCAAATCTATCTTTTCAAACCTTCCTTTAGTTAAGGTTTCTGTTTTTACTTATTTGAAAATTTTTGGCCAGGTATGGCAGCTCACATCTGTAATCCCAGTGCTTTGGGAGGCCAAGGCAGGAGGAGCCCAGGAGTTCGCTTGAGCCCAGGAGTCCGAGACCAGCCTGGGCAAGTCAGGGAGACCCTATCTCTGCAAAAATAAAATAAAATTAGCTGGGCATGGTGAGGCACGCATCTGTAGTCCTAGCTACTCGGGAAGCAAGCAAGCAGATCAACTGAGCCCAGGACTTTGAGGCTGCAGAGAACCATACTCCAGCCTGGGTGACAGAACAAAAACCTATCTCAAAAAAAAAAAAAAGAAAAAAAGAAAAAGAAAAGAAATAAGGAAGGGAGGGAGGGAGGAAGAGAGGGAGGGAGGGAGAGAGGGAGGGAGCGAGGAAGGAAGGAAGGAAGGAAGGACAGACAGAAAAAAAAAGAAAGGAGAGAGGGAAAGAGAAAGAAAGGAAAAAAAAGAATAAAGAAAGAAGAAAGAAAAAAGAGAAAGAAAGAAAGAAAGAAAGAGAAGAAAGAAGGAAAGAAAAAGAAAGAAAAGAAGAAAGAAGAAGGAAGGAAGGAAGAAAGAAAGAAAGAAGAAGAAAGAAAGAAAGAAAGAGAAAAAGAAAGAAAGAAAGAAAGAATTATTTTGCTCTCATTCTTGAAAGGGTTTTTTGGGATAGAAATTCCAAGTTGATTACTGTTTTCCTCTCAACACATTGAAAATATTATCCCACAGTCTTCTGGCTTCCATTTTTGCTGCTAAAAGGTAATGTTTGTTGACTTACTGTTCTTCAGAAGGTGACCTCTCTTTGTTCCTGGTTTCTTTGAAGAGCTTCTCTTTGCTTTTGATGTTCCACAGTTTTATCATCGTAAGTCCAGGTATGGATTTTTTTTGTTTTGTCTTGCTTGAGAATCATTTGAATTCCTGTATCTGAGTGTCACTCGCTTTCTATTATTTTCCAAATTTCTCAGCCATTATATTTTTAAACATTGCCCCTTTTCCTCTCTATTACCTTCATCTGGAACTTTTGACTGGACCTCCTCATTCTAGCCCCCAAGACTCATAAGCATTCTGCTATATTTCCATTGTGTGGTCTCTCTGGGCTACATTCTGGATAATTTATTAGTAAAAAATATTTTTGTCTTTATTCCAGTTACCTGATTCTTCATTGGCTGAGTTTAATCTGCAATTTAATTGATCTGTGAAGTTTTACCTTTCAATTGCTACGGTTCATTGATTCTGCAACCTATTTTTTTCACATTTTTAACACTGCTAAAATCAGGATACATCTTACAATTGGTGGCATCTTGCAATGCTAAGGTGGCACATAAAATTATGGTGCATCTTATAAAATTGATCCTGTTTTATAGTCAATGCAATATGATATTCATTTTTCATTTTTGGAAGTTCTATTTGATTCTTTTTTTCTGATTCAAGCCCAAATGACTTGAATTTCTTATCTATTTTAGAATTTCTTATTTCTTTAAACGTATAAGACAGATATTTTATATTCTGTGTTAGATAATTACAATTCCTAGATGTTTTAAGTCTGTTTCTGCTGCCTATTCTTTCCGCTGGTTCTCACTCATGGTGCATTTTCTCTCATGCCACATACCTGTGAACCAATCATTTTCCTTGAACATTTATCTGTGAGAATCCCTTGAGGCCTGGGTTGAAGGTGGGTTCTTCCAGAAAAGATTTGCGTTTACTTCTGTAAGTTGCTGGGGACACTACCAACCTGCGACCACTCTAAATTAAATAATTTAAGATTTTTTTGGGGGACTGCATAGTTAGCATAAACTTAAACCACAAATTCATGTCGGGGGCTTACTTGTGGTTATGAAATCTCAGGAAATATTTTCCCCGGCATCATCTAACACCAAAGTTTTAAGTCCTGGACAAGAATAGCATGTTATCTGCAAGTGGGTCATCAGAGTTAAAGTGTCTTTAAGGTCCTGGAATTATTGGGAGAAAGGAGAGATATTGATAATTTTTTAGATTTTGGTAAATATGCGTGTTCAAATAGCTAGAGCAACAACTAGAAGAATAGGCCCAGTGCACATAACTTTCAAACTCCACTAAAAATACAAAAATTAGCTGGGCATGGTGGTGGGAGTCATCCCAGCTACTCGGGAGGCTGAGGTGGGAGAATTGCTTGAACCCAGGAGGCGGGGGTTGCAGTGAGCCAAGATCATGCCACGGCACTCCAATCTGGGCGACAGAGCAAGACTGTCTCAAAAAAAAAAAGAAAAAAATACTAGCTATATGGTTTCACAAGAGGCACTCTTAAAACATAAGAAGAAAGAGAGACTCAAAGTCAAGGATGGAAAAAAGATATTCCAAGTAAATACTAATAAAAGAAAGCATATAGCCACGTGCAGTGTCTCGTGCCTGTAATCCCAACAATTTGGGAGGCCAAGGAGGGACGATCACTTGAGGACAGCAGTTCAAGACCAGCCCAGGCAACATAGGGAGACCCTGTCCCTACAAAAAAATAGAAATAAGTTAGCCAGGCATGGTGGCATGCACCTGTGGTCTCAGCTACTTGGGACACCCCTTCTTAAAAAAAAAATCAGGAATAATTCTAACAAGCAATGTGCAATCCTCCCTGTTCTGAAGTAAGCAGGTATATGCAAACCTGCCCCCAAAGTCTTAGGAAGCTGAGAGGTCCAAGAAAGAGGCTGACAAATCTGTTTTTTAGAAAGAAACACTTAATAGGGACTTACAAGCAGAAGCCATGTCTGTGTCTCAGGTGTTGGTGAGACAAGCTGGTGGATTCCTGCACCATTACCGCCGAGACCCATGGCCCATACACCATAGGGACAGGATAACTCCAAAGGGATGTGTAGGACCTTTGAAGGGTGATAGCATCAAGCCTGTACCAACCCCAGGGCAGGATTCATGGCAAGCACATACTCCACTCAAGGAACAACGAACTGGAAATCCCAAGGCCTTCCCCGATCGGGGGGCAACCAGAAGTCAACATGGCAGATTAGCATCTAAGATGGAGTTGCTTTTGCCTCCATACTTCCTGGAGACAATTATAAAACTATTGGAAAATGCTAACATTCCAAACGAATCTAACAGTATACTCTATTCTTAAATAAGAAAACTCAATGTCATCACGCCACTGTGCTCCAACCTGGGTGACAGAGTGAGACCCCATCTCTACAAAAAGTTAAAATTAGCCAGGTGTGACGGTGTGCTCCTGTGGTCCCAGCTACTTCGGAGGCTGAGGTGGGAGGATGACCTGCACCTGGGAGGTAGAGGCTGCAGTGAGCTGTCATCGCACTACTGTACTCCAGCCTGGGTGACAGAGTGAGACCCTGTCTCAAAAAAAAAAAAAAAAAAAAAAAGAGAGAAACTCTTGCACATGTCACCAGAACATATGCACAAGATTGGCTGAATGAATGGAGACGTCATACAACAGAATACAAAGAGCAGAGAAAAGGAGTCAGCTACAGCGCCATGCATCCACATGGTTGAACCTCAAAAAATGTAATGTTGAGCGAAAGAAGCCAAGTCAGAACGCACTGTGTTTCCATTTATATACATCCACAAAACAGTATATTGTTTAGGAATATGTCCATATGCGGTAATTATAAGGAAAAGAAAGAAAATTATTAGCATGATTACTGGTTTTGTCTAGAAAAGGAAAGGGAGTACATTTGAGGGGCATGTGCAGGCTACTCGAATAATGTTACATTCTTGTTCTTAAGCTGAATGATAGGGTAAGAGTGTTAATTTAATTTTTTTTTTTTTTTTGGAGACAGAATCTCACTCCATCACCCAGGCTGGAGTGCAGTGGTGTGATCTTGGCTCACTGCAACCTCTGCCTCCCAAGTTCAAGCGATTCTCCTGCCTCAGCCTCCTAGTAGCTGGGATTACAGGCACCTGCCACCACACCTGGCTAATTTTGTATTTTTAGTAGAGATGGGGTTTCACCATGTTGGCTAGGCTGGTCTTGAACTCCTGACCTCAAGTGATCTGCCTGCCTCCGCCTCCCAAAGTGCTAGGATTACAGGTGTGATCCACCGCGCCCGGCTGTTAATTTTATTTTTAACAGCCACTGAAGTTTTATACAGGATCTTGTACGTATGATATACTTCACAATAAAACATATTTTAAAGGAAATATGGGGCAGTTAATTTACTTTTTATAGTGAGAATCAATCCAAAATGCCCAAAACTGAAAAATCAAGAAGTAGCAATGTAAGCACTTTACCTAGTCTTGTGAATGTTGAGCATCAAGGCTAGAAGAACTCAATGTGGTTATTGCCAGAGAGCAAGACCTGGCACGAAAGCGAGGAGCAGGACTCTGTTGCTTTTTATAACAAGTCTTGTAGAACTCTGACTCTTCATATGATGTGCTGTGTAACCCTTTAAATTAAAGAGAAGTTGTAAAAGTGGCATTTAATACCTAGAGTAGTCCAGCTTATAGAGACAGCAAGCAGAATGGTGGTTGCCAATGGGCAAATGGGAAGTTATTTAATGAGGATATAGTTTCAGTTTAGGAAGAGGAAAAAGTCCTGGAGATGGGTGGTGGTAATGGTTGCACAGCAGTGTAGATATACTTAATGCCACTGAACGCTACACTTAAAAACAAAATGGTACATTTTATGTTATGTATATTTTATCACATTACACAAAATTAAAGCTAAAAAAACCCAGCCAAACAGTAACATTTGAGCTGAGTTAGGTAAGATGTGAAGGAGTTAACTCGACTAAGCGTGATGGGGAGATTGCAGGAAATCTCATTCTAGCCCTGAATCCCTTCCTTGTTGAAGGTATTAATTCCCATGTCTGGCTGGGGACCACCCTGGGGGTCTCCAGAGATCGAATGAGGTGCTCCAACATCTGCAAACAAAACTTCCAAACTAAATTATGTTTTAGTCTCCAAAAGTCCCCTTTGAGTGTTTTAGGAAAATAAATACATCGAGTGTAATCTTTAAAAAAAGAACAACAGGAGCATCATCGTTCCCTTTCTAAAAGGATTCTTTGATTATTGAGAGGATTTGCCACTGTTTCTTAAAATGAAATCTCCCCTAGTGCACTCAAAATGTGATTTAATTAACAAAAAAACAGGCTTATCCCACCTTTCAGGAATATGCCAAGCAGGCGCTTTCAGGAAATGGAATATTAAAAATCCAAGAAAACAATGGAAGGCCTAAAAGGTAGGTTAATGCCGCTCTGGATTAGAGGTTTGAAATTTACTTTCTCATGCAAAATCCCAGTCTGGGGCCACCCACCACAGGGAACCTGAGCCTACTGACCACATCTCCCCAGTTTAGCTAATCATGCCTTGTGCCTCCATCACACACCATAGATTCTAATTCTTTACAGGCATCTGCAAACTCAAAACAAAGTCTTCGTGGGCTGGGGCTGTGTCATATTCATTTGCACCATCCCAGAAACCCTTTGTATAGCCAGGCCACTGCCCAGGACCTATTTGTTGACTGATTTGTTGATTTACTCATTCCAATGACTCCCCAAATCTTAGGGGAACAATCCTTCACATCCAGGACCTTCACCCTTGCCTGCTCCGCTCAGCTGTGCCTCCGTCAGCCCAGAGCTCCTAAACCTTTGCTCTGAGCTGCTCCCCATGTTTTGTTACTGGACCTCACTCTCACACCCCACAACCAGGGACCTACCTCCCCTGGCGTCATCCTCAAATGCAGGCCTCTAACACCAAGGTCTTGCCTCCCCCTCCCCCAGGACGTACGCCCCTGCCCAGATGTAGGCCCAGCAGCTGAAGATAGACTCTTGGGCAACCCTCCGCCACTTGGCTGTCTCCATCCGGGCACCCAGCTGGCCTCCTCTCAACTGTACTACACCACCCCTTCCCCACTAGCTGGGTGTTTGGATGGAGGCCAGACACCCCCCGACCAGCCACAGGGCAGCAAGAGCTATGGAACGGCTGGCCAGGACATGTCACTTGCCAAACCTCAGAGATACTGGGAGGAAGTGGGCTGGGGCTGCGGGCTCCCTGGGTGGGTGTCTAATGCCTGGTCATCTGGGACCTAGCTAATGACCACCATGAGGTGCCCAAGAGCACAGGCTGAGGGCCTGCTCCCAGTGAGACAGTAGGTTGGTAACCTACAGGCCAAGGAAGGGATGCAGCTGCAGCCAAGGCCAGCCCCTTGGGCCTGGAGAGCCACATTTACAGCCCTGTGCAGAGCTTCCAAAGGCCTCACCATGTAGAGGAAAGGTAAAGGTGACCCACATGCTTTCCCTGTCCAGGGGCCAACAAATTTTTTTCTGGAAAGGGCCAAAAAATAAATATTTTAGGCTTTGGGGTCCAGAAGGTAAGATAGAGCAACTGTTCTCACTGAAGAGTCTGTTTTTTTCTTTAATTAAAAAAAAAAAAAATTCATAGAGACAGGGTTTTGCTACGTTGCCCAAGCTGGTCTTGAACTCCTGGCTCAAGCTATCTCCCACCTCAGCCTTCCAAAGTGTTGGGGTTACAGGCACGAGCCACTGTGCCCAGCCTAAAGAGTCTTTTTACATTTAAAAATGTAAAAACCATTCTTAGCTTGGAGGCTATGGAGGCTAGATTTGATCTGCGGGCCATAGTTTGTCTATCCGGTCTACTTAAAGAGGCAGGCATTCATTTATGAGATTATTCAGATCTATTAGACAGCTCAAGGTAAGTCGGAGTCGAGAATTAGAAGCATTTTCAATCAAATCCAGTGATTTCCAAAGTGAGGCATTCATTCCTACCAGGGGGTAAAGGAAGAAACTATTAAGACTTATAAGCTATATTTTTATTCTGTCCTTTTTATTTTAATTTTTATGTTTTATAAAATATATAATATGAGTACAGTGGCATTTGTACAGAATTTATAAATATATAATTACATATGTTGGGTGTGACAAGCCAGATTTTTAAAAAATTATAGGAGTGCAGGATAAAAAAATCTGAAGAATTCTGCCTAGAGTTCTTACATCAGTTTATTTTGTAAACTTGCACACCACCGTGCCTTTGTTTCTATAAGTACCTCTTCTCTCACATAGTGCTGGATGGCACAATCTGATTTTTAAAATTAAAATTTATTTAAATTCACGTTGATAGATGTTGCAGAATTTCACTGTCCTTGAAAGCTATGTATTATGGAGCGAAAGGCTATTTACTGAGCACCACTATGAGCAAGGTTCTGCCTCTGTAACCTCATGTCTGGTTGGGAAAAAGTGGGCAAAAGTTTTACCACTTTTTGATCAAAGTTCACTTTTTTTTTTTTTTTTTGAGATAGGGTTGCGCTCTTGTTGCCCAGGCTGGAGTGCAATGGCACGATCTCAGCTCACCGCAACCTCCGCCTCTTGGGTTCAAGCGATTCTCCTGCCTCAGCGTCCAGAGTAGCTGGGATTACAGGCATGCGCCACCATGCCTGGCTAATTTTGTATTTTTTAGTAGAGACGGAGTTTCTCCATGTTGGTCAGGCTGGTCTACGAACTCCTGACCTTAGGTGATCCTGCCCGCCTCAGCCTCCCAGTGTTGGGATTACAGGCGTGAGCCACCACGCCTGGCCCAAAGTTCCCTTTGAAATAACACTAGACTATTTCACGTGTAGTGCAGGTACCTTATAACAAAGTATTCCCAATTTTTTTCCGCTGCCTCTTATGACATCGCTGAAATTTATTTCACTTATTCATATGTTATAATCACACAATACATTGCTACTATTATTGCTTTTAACAAATAGTTATCTTTTAGATAAATTAAGAATAAGAAAAATAAGATTTTATTTTACTTTCATTTATTCCTTCTTCCCTTTCTTTATGTAGATCTGAATTACTGATTTACTATTTTCCTACTCACTGAAATGCTTCTTTTAACATTTCTTGTAGAGCAGATATGCTGGTGATGAATTCCCTCAGTATTTGTCTGTCTGAGAAAATATTTATCCTTTACTCTTTTGTTTTGTTTTGTTTTTGAAGCAGAGTCTCGCTCTGTCACCCAGGCTGGGGTGCAGCGGTGCAGTGGCGTGATCTCAGCTCACTGCAACCTCCACCTTCTGGGTTCAAGCGAATCTCCTGCCTCAGCCTCCTGAGTAGCTGGGATTACAGGCGTGTACCACCCCGCCCAGCTAATTTTTGTATTTTTGGTAGAGACAGGGTTTCAGCATGTTGGCCAGGCTGGTCTCAAACTCCTGACCTCAGGTGATCCTCCTGCCTCAGCCTCCCAAAGTGTTGGGATTACAGGTGCGAGCCACTGCACCCAGCCGAGCCTTCACTCTTGAAGGATAATGTCACTGGGTATACAATTATAGGTTGGTGGGTTTTTTTCTTTCACCACTTTAAATATTTCCCCTCACTTTCTACTTGCATGCATAGTTTCTGACAAGAAGTCTGCTGCGGTTTTTATTCTTGTTCTCTATAGGTAAAGTGTTCCCTCTGGCTCTTTCCAGACTTCGATTTTTTTTTTTCAGTTTGATTATGTTGTGCCTAGGTATAGTTTCTTGATATTTATCTTTCTTGGTTTTCTCTGAACTTCCTAGATATGTGTTTGGTATCTATTAATTTTGGAAAATCCTCAAGAATATTACTTCAAATATTTATTTGGCTCTGTTCTCTCTTCTCCTTCTGGCATTCCAATTACTTGTACATTACACCTTTTGAAACCGTCCTACAGTTCTTGGGTGTTTTCTTCTGGGTTTTTTCATCTTTTCTCCTTTGCATTTCAATATGAGAAGTGTTTGTTTTCCCCCTTCAATTTCACTGATTCTTTCCTTGGCTGTGTCCAGTTTACCAATAATGAGCCCATCAAAGGCATTCTTTGTTTCTGTTACAGTGTTTCTGATTTATAACACTTTCCTTTGATTCTTTCTTAGAGTTTCCATCTTTCTGCTGCTTACATTACTCATCTGTCTTTTCCCTTAGAACAGTTAACACATTAATCATTGTTATTTTCTTTTTATTTATTTTACTTTTTTTCTAGAGACAGGGTCTCACTATGTTGCCCAGACTGGACTCAAACTCCTGGGCTCAAGCAATCTTCCTGCCTCAGCCTCCCAAGTAGCTGGAACTTAGGCATGAACCACCACACTCAGCTCTAATCATTGTTATTTTTAATTCTCTGTGTGATAATTCCAGAATCTATATCATGTTCAAGTTTGGTTTCTTTTTCTCTTCAGACAGCTTTTGCTTTGTTTTGTTTTGTTTCTCCAGAGACAAAGTCTTGTCCCGTTGCCCAGGCTGGAGCGCAACGGCACTATCATAGCTCACTGCAGCCTCGAACTCTTGGGCTCAAGCGATCCTCCCCAGCAGCCAGCTGAGTAGCTGGGACTATAGGCACGTGCCACCACACCCATTTACAGACAATGTTTTTGATTTTGGTTTTGGGTTGTGTTTTGTTTTGCCTTTTAACATACCTTGTAATTTTTTTTTTGAAAGCTGGACATGATATATTGACTAATAGAAACTGAGGTAAATAGGCTTTCAGTGTGGGACTTTATATTAGTCTGGCTAGGAGTTAGGCTGTGCTTAATGTTTTCTGTAGTTATTAGTGCCAGAGGCTTCCAATTCCTCAGGGGTCTTTGGTTTTCTCTCCCCAGTTGTCTTTTGGCTTCCCTAAGTACTCCTCCTCTGAGAAAGTCAGCATCTTCCAGTTCTTTCAGCTTTAATCCAGTTTCATTATACCTCTTGGTGTGGTGGTAAGATGTGGGAGGAGAAAATGTTCTATCGTCTTATGATTATGAGATGAGTAGGTCTCTGGGCTGTGACTTTCACAAGTGTTTCTTAGCTTTTCCCTCTCTCTCTAGGGTGAGATAGGAATATTAGAGGGGACTGGATTTCGATAATTTCCCTTCCCCCAAGTAGATAAGGCTCTGGTAAAGTCTTCTCCTAGCAGAGTAGGTCTTTGTTATGAAGAACACTCTGGGCATTTCAAAATGGTTACCTATCCTCCACCCTGCCAGAAACACCAGACAATTTTTCTTGGTTCTTCATTATGAGAACCTGGTGGAGTTCCTAGAGGTAAGATCCATAAACATATTGGAGGAGCCCCTAAGGCTACAGGCCCCCAGGAGTTTCTCACTCTCAGGCAGGTTCACACTCAGCCTCCAATTACATCAAAATTACCATGTACGTGTTTTTACCAGCTTATGGCTTTAACATCTTCTGCTCTCAGAAGGTTGGCCTGTCTCTCCAGATTTGGGGGTGGCAGGTACCTTGGGAGTTCAGTTCTCTGATGGGTCCAAGAAAAGTCATTAAGTTTCAGCGTATTCAGCTTATTTCTTGTTGAAAGAGTTTCCAAGAGTTTCCAAGCTCTTTACATGTCAGCACTAAAGCCAGAAGTCCCCAAACTTTTTATACTAGGCAGTGAGCCTAACTGCCCTTTGCTCTAGAAGGAACAGTAAAGAAATCTGCCCTTCACTCCAGAGGGAGATATTGTCTATCTTCCAAGGTTGTTTGTTATTCTAACAACCTTGAAAAGATCATCTGGAATAATCTAGATATGCAGAAATATAAAAGGCCCAAGGAGAGCTGTCTCCCAATGGATGTATAAAACATTGGGAAAATGGTGCCAGAAATAAAGTTTAAAACGGTAGTCCTCAACCTTGGCAGTCCGTTAGCACCACCTGGACGGATTTTTATAAAACCAATGCCCAGAGATACAGTTTCCATTGGTCTAGGGTAAAGCTCCAAGAGTCAGTAGTTTTTAAAAGCCCCTGTGTGATTTTAATGTATAGCCAAGGTGGAGACCACCTATCTAAAAGTTGATGAGGTGAGATATAATTAATAATATATTTTTTAGCTCAGTGCTTCCCAAGCTTTGCTGTGCATGTGAATTACCTGGAATTATGTTCAATGCAGATTCTGATGCAATAAGGTCTGGAGGAGGGCCAGAGATTCTGTTTCTGACAAGCTCCCTGGTTTTGCCTGATATTGTCATTCTATTTGAGCAGCAGGATTTTAGCTCACTGGAAACAGACTTCTCATTATAATCTGTGTCTACTGCTAGACTTGCATACTTAAGGCTTTATATAGATGTATATACATACATACAGATAGATGAATGATAGATAGATAGATGATAGATAGATAGATAGATAGATAGATGTATAGATATGTTCAGGAATGTATCATGTAGGGAAGAAGGTAGCCTGACTCTGGAAGATGATTCTTGCAATAAGAGTAAGGCCCACATGTATACATATGTAACAAACCTGCACGTTGTGCACATGTACCCTAGAACTTAAAGTATAATAAATAAATAAATAAATAAATAAATAAATAAATAAATAAAGAGTAAGGCCTATCCTTTCCCGGGACCACAGAAATACCCTGGGCATTGAGATCATGAGAAAGTTGAGAGATGCGTCAGGATGTTGAAAACAAAGATTTAGAACACAGGGCCGTCAAGTCCTAAGCAACAACTTCCCTCTGAGCTTTACCTTGCTCAAGTATCAATGGTAGCTGTTGGGGAAGAGTATTTGGATCCAAGTATCAGAGAAATAAAAAGTAAAATCTTAGTATTGCTGGAGTAAAAGCCGTTTCCAGTATGAGCGGCCCAGAAGAGCATTGATCAATGTTGTTCCTATTTCTTGCATTGGGAGTAAGGGAAACATCTCTGGCCATCCTCCTCCCGATCTCCTGATTTAATTTCCAAAGGTTATGATACAGTTGACCTCCACGACCGCAGAGCTGGTGTCTGGGCTTTCCCATCTCTCTGCAGTGCTGGCAGCAAGAGGGAAGGCCTCTTCCAGGGCCAGCACTGCTCATGAACAGGCCTTCCGTGGCCCAGCAAAATGTCCACTTTCCACCTTGAATGAGTCTCTTTCTAGCTACATGTGTCCTTCATTTGTTTTCCAAAGTAAACAGAAGACTCCTAGATAGGAGTCAGGTTCCAGAGAGCCCATAAGGACATACAGAGACATGCCTGTTAAGTACTGATTGTATTGGTGGCCCTGGCGCAGGAGGGAGGGAGGAAGATCTAGTGCCTTCTTCTTTAATGTCTCTTTAACCAAGTTAATACCTGTCCACCCGCCAGCTGCCTCTGGAAACATTTTAGAAATACCACTTCACAGTGAGGAAACAGGTTATCCTTTCCCACCGGGCCTGGGGTCTCTGAGTTTTCTAATACAGATTTGCTGAAATGGGAACAGAAGGTCTTTGCTTTTCCTGACCTCTGTGCTTCTCACATCCATCAGAAAGAACAATGCCATGGCGAGGTACTCAGAGCTGAGGGAGGAAGATTGCTGCAGCCAGTGAGCTAAGCGGAAAGAATATCCTGGGCTTCCTTGGGATCCGATGTGGACTTGGTCCAGCTGCAGGTAGTCATTCAATACCTCTTTATGATGCACCTTAGGTGCTGAGGATTCTAAATGAATAAAACCTTGGCTCTGCCCATGAAGGGCTTATAAGCCCAAAGCCGAGGTTAATGGTAAAGCTAGGCTGAATTGCTTAAATACTCAAACAGAATACATCTATTTGCTTGTTGAGAGAAGTGGACATTTTGTCATCCAAGGATGGAAGAGGCTAAATAAAGATGAGGATAGGTGGTTCTATGGGCTGTGAATCCCTATAAAAAGACATAAAGTCCCTTGGCCAGGCGCAGTGGCTCACGCCTGTAATCCCAACACTTTGGGAGGCCAAAGCGGGCGGATCACGAGGTCAAGAGATTGAGACCTCCTGGCTAATATGGTGAAACCCCTGTCTCTACTAAAAATGCAAAAATTAGCCGGGCATGGTGGTGAGCACCTGTAGTCCCAGCTACTCAGGAGGCTGAGGCAGGAGAATCACTTGAATCCAGGAGGCAGAGGTTGCAGTGAACCGAAATCACGCCATTGCACTCCAGCCTGGGTGACAGAGTGAGACTCCGTCTCAAAAAAAAAAAAAAAGACATAAAGTCCCTAAAGGTTGGAAATAGAGTCTTCAGCCCATTCCAGGTGTTTTGCATTAAAATATTAGCCATAACTCTCCTGATGACAATCCTGAGCCCACACCCTAGTGGGAGAGCCTGTAGGAACAGCAGGATGCCCCTCAACCAGTGAGGGAGACCTGGCTTTTGCTCCCTAAATTCCCTCTCATGAGTGCACAATTGAAAATTAAAAGGTTTCAGGAGCCAGGCACAAAATTCAAAAGTATGAGACCAGAAGGACTGCAAGAGCTATGTGTATTTTAAAGACATTCAAATTCAAAACCAAAGTCAGCAAAGCATCTCCTGCCCTCTTGCTACCTTAGCAACAATCCATAGAGCCGCTCTTGACAATCTGCTTCGCCATTTCCATCGCCTTAAGTCTGGGCATGTTCCTTTGCCTCTTCAGCACTTCAACTGCCTCAACAGTTAAATAAGGATTATAATACTCAGCCTGCATCTATCGCCAGGTGATTGAGATAATTTAATTATCCAATAGCTATAAAGTACTTTAAAACTATAAATCACTACAAAGCTGTAAGCAATTTAACCAATATCAAGCCTTCCTTATCTCTGAATATTTAATTTATGCTCTGTCTGTCTTAGAACTTAGGGATGTACATTCCAATATATTTTCCAAACTTCCACTGATAATATTGGTTGGAAAAAGTACTTTTTTCCTGTTGCTCTGACTTGTTGAGAGTACGGCTTCTGCAATTGTTACCCGGCTGCCCTGCAGCAAATCATATCAACAAATATTTACTAGCTGCTGAGCTAAGCCTTGTAGGAGATACAAAAAAGCATGAGATTCACTTTCTACACTAAAGGAGCAAATTGCCCAGCTGAACCACAGAACCTGTGTATTCTAGAGGAGGAAAAAACCGCCTGTGCTCCCTGGATGCCCCCAATATACCTGAAGCTTTACTTCAAATACAAGAAACAGCTGGTGTTTGTGATTTAAGGCTCAGTACAAATAGCAGAGAGAATTTATTTTACAAGCTGCCTGGGTTGGCAAAATTCCAGAATTCATCAAACAGAAAGATAAGGATGATGATGATAATGATAAAAATGATTCTGCGTAGTCTTTCTATAGTAACACAAAAGAAGTGCAATCTACATAGGACATTCCAGAGTTGGAACAGGCCGTCAACATTACCCAAAATTGATTTACAACAGGGCCTTTCCAAGACCTGTAAAACCCAGTGACCCCCTATGTTTGATGTGGTTGTGTTTGGAAGCTGGACCTATGAAGGTTTCAGGCAGTGATCCTTTGTCTTAATTTCGTAAAGGAAACTCGATACCTATAGAACCTGGGAAAGCTCCCAGAGAAAGAACCCCAATATTTCCAAACCCAAATAATAATAAAAATTACTTAACATCCAGCTAGTGTTTTTCTGTGATCTGTTGAGATCTTTGTTATTACATTTCATGAACAATCTGAAGCAAATAAGTCTATCACTTTAGGGAAAATGCTGAAGACCTGATTTATAAATGAATTTCCACCACTCAGTGAGAATAATTCTTTTTTGTTTGCTTGCTTGTTTGTTTTTGAGACAGGGTCTCACTCTGTCACCCAGGCTGGAGTGCAGTGGTGTGATCGTGGCTCATTGCAGCCTCAACCTCCTGGGCTCAAGCCATCTTCCCATCTCAGCCTCTTAAGTAGCTAGGACTGTAGGCACATGCCACCACACCTGGCTAATGTTTGTATTTTTTTGTAGAAACGGGGTCTTGCCCTTTTGCTCAGGCTGGTCTCAAACTCCTGGGCTCAAGCAGACTGCCCACCTTGGCCTCCCCAAATGCTGGGCTTACAGGTGTGTGAACCACCAGGCCCAGCTGAGAATAATTCTTTTATTTGTTTATTTTTATTTTTTTAATTTCACTTTAAGTTCCAGGATACATGTGCAGAATGTTCAGGTTTGTTGCATAGGTAAATGTGTGCCAGCTGAAAATAATTCTAACACATATCAAGAGCTTCTACTGCCAGGTAAATAACTGAATGCTTTAATATTCTCTTAGTTAATTCTCTTGATAAGTCATTGCAGATACTATCGTTATTCTTTTAAAGGTGAGAAACTGAGGAGCCAAGAGGTTATCTCATGGGCCAAAGTCATATGTGTCGGTGAAAAAGTTGGTCCATTCCACGGCTTTCCACCACCAGTGACCCAGAATACAGAAGTGGCTATGGTCTGCTCCCTGCCTTCAGGGGGTTACAGTCCAATGAAGGGCTCTGGTGTCAACTGGACAACAGCTAATCCCAAATATACCCCTCATTCTGTCAGCTACTTCACAAAGATCTTCTTTTGGGCCCCAAGAGAATTGGGTGCAACACCTGGAGGTGGCTCGGAGAAACCCATCCTCTCCATTACTGCAAAAAAGAGAACTCAAGACATTTTTCCCCATTATTGATAGACTATACTTTTTCCACCCTCCTTGATGTCTTACTGGTGGAAAATTCCCTACAGACTAATTTGATGAGGTATGAAAGCCTTTCAAACTTAAATGTGCTTCAGAAATTTAAGTCGCTGCCAGGCACGGTGGCTCATGCCTGTAATCCCAGCACTTTGGGAGGCCAAGGCAGGAGGATCACTTGAGCCCAGGAGTTTGAGACCAGTCTGGGCAACATGGAAAGACCCCATCTCTACAAAAGATTTTTTTTTAATTAGCCTAGCTACTCCAGAGGCTGAGGTAGGAGAATTGCTTGAGCCTAGAAGGTCAAGGCTGCAGTGAGCTGTGGTTGTGCCACTGCGTTCCAGTATGAGTGACAGAGGGGAGATCCTGTCTCAAAATAAAAAGTCTAGCCCACCTTTTTTACATGTTTTGAGGAAGTAAACAAAGAATACAGAGAATAAAGTTAAGAATAGTTTATAATACTATCTTCCCTAGCTTTCCAAATCTAGACGGGCTCCCCTACCACCCATCACTCTCCTGACAGCAGTCTGTTTTCTTTTATTTATCGCAGCTCTCCTCACCCAAATTAACTTCTTAATTTAGTTGTTTACTTGAGTACTTCCGGTCTTTCCAACTACAATGAAATTTCATGCAATAAAAGATTTGTCTTCTTCCTTGCAATAATAAAATAATAAAACTGTCTCAAGAGCCAGGTGTGGTGGCTCGTGCCTGTAATCCCAGCATTTTGGGAGGCTGAGGTAGGAGGATCGCTTGAGCCCAGGAGTTTGAGGCTACAGTGAGCTATGATTGCCCCACTGAACTCCAGCCTTGGTGACAGAGCCAGATCCTGCCTCTAAAAAAAGAAAAAAAAAACTGTCTCTAGCACATAGTAGGTACTCAATAAATGCATGTTGAATAGTACAATTTTTGTTTAAAATTAGTATCTTTGTAAACATTTTTAAAATTGGTTTTCAAGTCCATAGAAATAGATTAATTACAATCCATGGTTAGTGGCACACTCATCATTGATCTATGCATGGTCCTCTTTTTTTTTTTTTTTTTTTTTTTTTGAGACAGAGTCTCGCCGAGTCACCCAGTCTGGAGTGCAGTGGCATGATCTCCGCTTACTGGAAGCTCCACCTCCTGGGTTCACGCCATTCTCCTGCCTCAGCCTCCCTAGTAGCTGGGACTACAGGTGCCCGCCACCACACCTGGCTAATTTTTTTTCTATTTTTTTTTAGTAGAGACGGGGTTTCACCGTGTTAGCCAGGATGGTCTCGATCTCCTGACCTCGTGATCTGCCTGCCTCGGCCTACCAAAGTGCTGGGATTACAGGCGTGAGCCACCATGCCCAGCCGCATGGTCCTCTTTTAATTATTTATTTAGCTACTTAATTAGGTTTTTAAAAAAATCATATAATAGGCTGAGTGCAGTGGCTCACACCTGTAATCCCAGCACTTTGGGAGGCCAAGGCAGGAGAATTACTTGAGGCCAAGGGTTCAAGACTGACCTAAGCTACATAGGGAGACCCTTGTCTCTACTTTAAAAAAAAAAATCACGTAATAAACACCTGAAAAAGCAGAATCTAAGACAAAAGCTAAGCTTTGTCCTCTAACCATAGGGCCCTGTCCCTCTCTCATCCTCTACCTCTCCCCATTTGAAGGAATCATCATTCAGGAATCCCAGGTTCTCCATTTCCTGTTGTCTTAGTCTTCCTAAAAGCAGAACGCAAGATGGAGATTCTTATGCAAGTGATATGAAGGGGAGTTGTCTCAGGAGGAGAGTGAGGAAAACAGGTGGGGCAGGAAAAAAAGCTAAGCAAGGATGACTTGCCTGAAATCATCTGGAGCTCTAGCCCGACCCCATGGGAGCTCTGGAACACTTGTTGCGCCAAAGTGTTGATCCCACCTTGAAGCAAAGAGCTAGCTGTGTGTACGCCTGAGCCAGTCTGTCATGGGTGGACATTTGGGATGATGGTAAAAGAAAAGACAGGTGCACAGCCTCCTGGGTGAGGCAACCCCCATTTGGCCAAGAGCAATTCTTTAGAGAGGGATGTAGCCCTGAACATTGGCAGCCAATACTTAACAGCCACTGGGATCTGTGCATTCAGCCAGGAAGCGGGGTCTGGATATGTCCACTATGGCTTGCTTCTCTCTTTATATAGTTTCATCAAAATTTGTATATCTTCTATAAAAGTATGCATACATTTTTTTTCAGGTGTTTGGATCTTTCTAGAAGGGAAATCATACTAAATTTTGTTTTGACTGTTGTATAATATCTCAGTATGTGAATGTACCATACCTTTTTCACCCATTCTCCCACTGATGGTATTCTGAGTTATTTTTAGGTTTTTACTATTGTGAACAATGTTGCTGTGAACATTCTTGCCTATGTCTCCTGCTGTACAATTGCAAGAATTTCTTGAGGCCATGCCTAAGGTGGAATAGCTGGATCATAAGGTGTAAACTTGAGAAGATGTCAAACTGTTTTGTAAAGTAGTTTTACTAATTCAGCTGCCCACCAATAAGGTATGAGACTCTGCCATTCACATCCTCTCCAACTTTTTGATTTTTGTAAATTGAATGAGTATAAAATGGCATCTCATTGCAGTCTTGATTTGTGTGTCCTCAATCACTAATCATCCTTTCATATGTTGATCAGATATATCTGCTTCTTCTTTTTTTTTTTTTTTTTTTTTTTGGAGACAGGGTCTTACTCTGTCACCAAGGCTGAAGTGCAGTGGTTTGATCATAATTCACTACAGCCTCAAACTCCTGGGCTCAAGCAATCCTCCCACCTCAGCCTCCCAAGTAGCTGGGACTACAGGTGCACACCACCACACCCAGATAATCTTTTTCCTTTTCTTATAGAGACATTGGGGGCGGGGTCTTACTATGTTGCTGAAGCTGGTCTCAAACTCCTGGGCTCAAGTGATCCTTCCACCTCAGCTTCCTGAGTAGCTGAAACTATAGGTGCTTGCCACCACACTCAGCTAATTTTTTATTTTTATTTTGTTTTTATTTTTGTTGAAACAATGTCTCACTTTGTTGCCCAGGTTGGTCTCTAACTCCTGGGCTCAGGCAATCTTCCCACCTCGGCCTCCCAGAGTGTTGGGATTATAGGGATGTGCCACCATGCACGGCCTGTGCTTCCTCTTATGTGAAATGCTTCGTTATACCTTTGGTGCATTTTTCTATTGGGTTATCTGTGCTTTCTTTATTGATTTGTTGAAGTTCTTCATACATTCTTTGTCTGTTGTTTGTATTAGAAATATGGTGAACATCCTCTCCTGGCCTTTAACTTGTTTTCTCCGTTTCTATATCTTTTAATGAACAAAAGCTCTAATTTCATTATAGTATCTGGCATTTATGTCTCGTTTAAGCAGTCTTTCCCTTGGCCGGGTGTGGTGGCTCACATCTGTAATCCCAGCACTTTGGGAGGCCAAGGTTGGAGGATTGCTTGAGGCCAGGAGTTCAAGACCAGCCTGGGCAACATAGCAAGGCCCCATCTCTCTATAGAAAGAAATAATAATAAAATTTTAAAATAAATCTTTCCCTTAAGGAATCTGAAGGATAATCTGAGTCTGAGGGGAGTGATCACAATTAGGCCCAGGTCAGAGGCCAGTCACAGAGGCAAGCTTGTTTATGCTTACCGAGGCACAGCATAACTGTCTGAGGCAGTCCTGACCAGCCAGCACAAGCGGCCAGCTGGCTGACTGGCAGGTGTGCTCTGGCTATAGAACTGGATATATCATGCTATTAGAGCTGGGTGCTATTAAAAAGTCTAATCATAGACTTTAATTAACTTTCCTTGCTCTGACGCCCGCTCACTAAGCAACCTTCTGATTATAATTTGGCTTCCCATGTATCTTGCCTACAGGGAGAGAATGTACTGCTCAGGCCGACGTGAGGATCCAATCCACTCACCGGTTACATGCCACGATGTAAATTAATAAATTCGCATTCTGATTTTATCATCTGCCTCATCTGAGGTCTGTAGGCGTGAGTCAGCATCCCCTAGTTTAATCAACATGGACACTGAGACTATCAAGCTTTTGAGCTGAAAAGCTAAGAATTAGACCCAGGACCAGAGTGAAATCACCAAGGTAACATTGCCCTGGAGGCCCCTTGGCCTGATGAAGGAGGACTTCTTACATGTCATGCGATACAGACAGGGATTAAAGTCGACTTCTGACATTATAAAGAGTTGCATATTCAAAACTATAGCTTGGTTCCATTCAGGTGAAGGCAAAGAATAGGAGATGATCATGAAACTCACATTGAATATTTATTGGCTTATAAGCACACACCAGATGCTGTACAAATCCTAGGCAGGAGGTTAAGATTTACAGACATGTTTGGTAAAAGCAAAAAAACAAAAACAAAACAACAACAAAAGGACAGATGGTACGTGCTGAGGTGAAATGAAACAAGAGGCAGCTGGTTGATGAATTCTTGCTCTACTTAGGAACTTGTGGTCCAGGATACAAAATAGACAGACACACACACACAAACACACACACACACACACACACACACACACACACACACACAAACCAGGACAAGGAAACACAGGATACACCACAGCACAAATGGGAATGTGCCAGGGCAGTGAGATTATCCAGGCCAGATGAGTGATTTAGGACCTGTAAGATGAGGCCTAGATCTTTGAAGTGAGTTCAAAAGGCAAAGAGGAGGTAAGCCCATTAGGACAGATGGGGATAATTTCACCATCCTGCAATTTAGATGGTCACTTCACCCAGCCTTCCTGGGCACAGTACCTACAGTGACACAGATCCCCTCCCGCCATCCTGGTCACACTGAATAACAAAGGGAAGAGAGGAGTAAGAACTGTAGTATCTAGAAATTCTCAGCACAGTGAAGGAAAGTGATCTTCTACTTTGTATTCAGGCCTAAAAAAGGAGGGGACGGGCCCGGCACAGTGGCTCACACCTGTAATCCCAGCACTCTGGGAGGCCAAGGAGGGCAGATCACCTGAGGTTGGGAGTTTGAGACCAGCCTGACCAACATGGAGAAACCCTGTCTCTACTAAAAACACAAAATTAGCCAGGCATGGTGGCATGCGCCTATAAACCAAGCTACTCAAGAGGCTGAGGCAGGAGAATTGCTTGAACCCAGGAGGCAGAGGTTGTGGTGAGCCAAGATCGAGCCATCACACTCCAGCCTGGGCAACAAGAGCAAAACTCTGTCTCAAAAAAAAAAAAACAGGAGAGGAGGGAGGGAGAGACCTTCACTGATATCCCTACAAGATTTGCTGCTCAAAGGAAAATATTTTCCAGGAAGACTGCGAGAAATTAAAGGAAATTCTACATCATCTTTGAGACCCACCTAAAGACAAGTGGTGTCTCCCACAGTGCCACCAGAGCAAGGTCACTGGCTTGGCTAGATGTGGATGAGGGTAGAGAATCATCTCAGATGTTCTTTGGTTCTAAAAATGAGGTAGAGAGAGACATGCCACCCAGGAAGGGGTGATGCTGAGTGCAGCCGCCCAGCCAGCAGGGTGGAAGGAGAAACAGACAAAAGGCTCATCAAAAACAGCAGGACCAAAATTGAGCAGGCTGGCAGAACCAGTTCTTGCAGGGACACTGCCAGGACACACGACTCCAGGGAGCTGGCTGGAGAGGGGCAGGCCTGTGTGCTCCACAAACCCAGAGGGCTCTGACTCACACAGGTAGGAAAGAGCTCCTTTAACAATGGCCTCAGTGCGTGCACGTGTGGGTACAAATAAATGTAGACAGAGCAGAGCCATCGCCTAGTAGAGGTTGTCCCGCACATGCTCCATGATGGTCTTCAGCCCCAGCCACGTCTCCTCTGCAGTGGGGATGATCTGGTTAGCTGGCAGGAGGAAGCCATAGGTCCCGGTATCTCTCAACTCAAATGTGAATGCAAATTTGATGCCGTTGTCATATGCCCAGTCGATGCTGCTCCCGCTAGCTGGATCTGTAAGTCGGAGGACAAAACACTCTTGAAGCCCAGTTCCCTCCTGGGTTAGATGGGAAGGGGCCAAGAGCTCTGCCTGCCTGGGGTTCCTTAAGGAATCCAGAGTTTGCTCCTCAAGTCATCAGTCCTATGACAAAATCATCAGCCTGATCCCTATGTCTCAGGACATCCTGCATTGGCCTGAGGTGCACACTGGTCTCAAATCAAGAGATCTGAAACCCCTACTCCCACCTTATTACTAACGCTGTGTCCGTCCTGTAAGTCCCTCAAAACCAATCTCTATAGAGAGTATAGTAGGCAGCCTCCAAGATAGCCCCAATGATACTTGGATCCCACAAGTCAGGTCTTTGTGCAGCTCCCTCCTACATTAAATAGGGCTGACCTCACTAGTGTAACTGACAGGATGCTGCAGAAATGAAGCTGTCTGACTTTCAAGGCCAGGTCATAAAAGACACTGTGGCTTCTGCCTTGCTGTCTCTTGGATTACTCACTCTGGATAAGCCAGCTGTCATGGTGTAAGGACATTCAAGCAGGCCTCTACAGAGATTCATGATAGTGAGGAACTGAGGTAGTGAATGAAAAATGCAAGCTGATATGGTTTGGCTGTGTCCCCACCCAAATCTCATCTTGAATTGTAGCTCCCATAATTCTCATGTGTTGTGGGAGGGACCCAGTGGGAGATAATTGAATCATGGGAGTGGTTTCCCCCATACTGTTCTCGTGGTAGTGAATAAGTCTCATGAGATCTGATGGTTTTATAAGGGGAAACCCCTTTTGCTTAGTTCTCATTTGCTCTTTGCCCTGCTACCATGTAAGACATGCCTTTTGCCTTCTGCCATGATTGTGAGGCCTCACCAGCCACGTGGAACTGCGAGTCCATTAAACCTCTTTTTCTTTATAAATTACCCAGTCCCAGGTATGTCTTTATCAGCAGTGTGAAAATGGACAAATACACAAGCCTTAGGTTGACTGAGGCCCTGGAAGACATCTTGACTGCAGCCTCATGAAGGATCCTGAGCCAGAGCCATCTAGCTAAACCATTGAATTCCTGCCCTACAGAAACTAAGAAAATGGACGTTGATTGTTTTAAGCTGCTAAGTTTTAGGATTTTTTTTTTTAACATGGCAAGAGATAATGGATACGGAGAAGGGAGCACAGCCCTTGGGACTTACCTTTGCCAAAAGGCTTATGAAGGGCAAGAGGTCCATTTTTCTGCTTCTTACCAGTCAAACCCTACTAGCTCAGAAATTGCCTAAGATTACAAAGCATAGATAATTTTTTCTTTTTTCTTTTTGAGACAAGGTCTCAGTCTGTCACCCAGGCTGGAGTGCAGTGGCATAATCACAGCTTACTGCAGCCTTGACCTCCTAGGCTCAAGTGATCCTCACACCTCAGTCTCCCAAGTAGCTGGGACTACAGGCACATAGCACTATGCCCGGCTAATTTATTTATTTGCAGAGATGGGGTCTTACTATGCTGCCCAGCTGGTGTCAAACTCCTGGACTCAAGTGATCATCCCACCTCAGCCTCCCAAGGTGCTGGGATTAAAGGTGTGAATCCCACGCCTGGCCTGGATGACATTAAATAATAAAATGATGTCAGTAGCAGCTACCATCTGTTGAGCAGCTACTATGAGCCAGGCATTATATCAGACACTTCACACTTATGATCTACTAATCTTTAAAAACTCATTGAAGTAGGTTTTATTGTCCTTGTTTTACAGATGAGGAAATCCAAGCTCAGAATGGATAATTCACCTAAGGAAATACAGATGGAAAATGGCAGAGCTGCAATCTAAACCCAGGTCCATCTGATAATAAAGCCCAGGCTCTCCTCAACCAACTTCAGATCTAGTGAGTATATTAACAAGCCTGTTACATGGAAATATGGGTCCTTTGGCTTTTCCATGGTTCCTGAGAGCTGTGTGATTCCTGAATAGCATTTGTGATTTTTCTAGGGATGCTTCCAGTGAGACTCCGTGCTCCCTCCCTGTGTGGTTCCCATGGCCTTTCTTTACCTCAAGAAAATGCAGAGTGAAAAGCAATGGTAGCAGAAGTTTCTAGAAGTTACTTATATGGCAAGTGCAAGTATTTCAGAACACATTTGAGATTCAGGAAGGAGGCAAAAAGGCTTCTGCTGAGCAGTCAAAATGACGAAGTTTGTAAACTTCACTTTATTTGGGTCCCTGCTGAAAGTCTACCTACTCTTTAAAAACAATAACAACAACAAAAAATGGGAACACACTATTAACGCTGTTCTGCACATGTATTTTTCAATTAACAATTGGTGAGTATTCCCTTTTAGCGCACATAGATCTACCTCATTCATTTAAGGGCTCTGTAGTGCTGCATTGTGTGAATGCACCAAATGTGTATTTATCCTGCATTCTCTAGGTGGACATTTTAGACACTTACAAGGGTTGGGGCTCAGAAAGTGATATCCCAAAGGCTGATGTTTTGACATGCTGAGGGCCCTCAGAAGCCGCCCCCGAACCAAGGTCCCTCTAACTTCTTGTTCCCCATACCTGCCCCACCACCAAACACAGGGAGGGACTGTCTGTCTTTGGAAATTTCCTCATCTGACCAAGAAAGCATCTTTCCAAAAGAAATGCAATTGTCTTAAACACCCTCCCTAGAGGTCTCATCAAATAACCAAGAAAGATAAACCACCAGAAGAGATGAGACTGGGAATCATCACCACACCCAGACAGACTTCATCTATTCTTCTGAGAGCAGCTCCAAGAGATTGCCTGGAGGACTTTATCTGCTTAATAAGACAAGCTTTGTTCCTGTACAGCTCCGCCCCTCACCTTCCTGTAATATCTGCCTCCCACCTCCCCAGTCCATACATCTCCTCCCTCCTGTATGAAAAAGGGTATACAAGCTTCTGTGCCCCATTGGGTTATTGGGAAATCATTCTCCTGTGATTCCCCTGTGCCATGCACACTAAAATAAAATTTTGTATGCCTTTTCTCCTATCGATCTGCCTTTGGTCAGTTGATTTTTCAATGAACCTTCAGAAGGCAAAGGGGAAGTTTTCCCTTGGCCCCTGTACATGTCTTTTGTAACTATAGATAATGCTGTCATGAACACCCTTTCTTCCCCCATGTCTGATGGGTAACGCACCAACATTGTAACAAAATTGGAGGAAGGCATATGTCACACATGAGCGTGAAAACCCAATCACCACGCTTATGAACTACAAAAAGTACATGAAACTGTGTTATCCACAAGTCAGATGAACCCAAAGAACTTGTTTCCAAGCCCTTCCTGGAGCAGAATCAGTGAAGAGGAGGGGAAAGGGTTGCTAGAGGCTGTTGGCCTGAAGCAATACAAGCTACTGCTGACAGTCTGGCAGGAGAAAGGAGACACAAAACTCTACAAAGCAAACACAAGAAGGAAAACAGGCCAGGATCATTTAGCAGAAGGTCCAAACAGTCCAAGACGGCAGAGTAGGCCTTTAGCATATACGAACTGAGGTTGAGAAGTACACTTAACCATGAAAAAAGGGGCTTAAATCTCTTCTCCATGCTCTGTTTTAGAAGGCAGAAGAGTGTAAAATCCATTTTAGAATTATTTTCCTCTAAAATGGCGATCTAGGAAAAGGCCCAGCACTTGAAAGGACAAACGTCGACTGTGTATGTAGCACACACCATAACCTATGGCGTTGGATAGAGTGCTATTATACAAAAATTGATTGCTTTTTTTTTGAAAAAACAAGGACAGACAAGGCCTATAAAGAATATGGAAGATGGGCTCTTAGAAAAGGTGGACATTTTGGCCGGGTGCTGTGGCTCACGCCTGTAATCCCAGCACTTTGAGAGGCCGAGGCGGGCAGATCACCTGAGGTCGGGAGCTCAAGACCAGACTGACCAACATGGAGAAACCCCATCTCTACTAAAAATACAAAAATTAGCTGGGGGTGGGGCACATGCCTATAATCCCAGTTACTCGGGAGGCTGAGGCAGGGGAATCGCTTGAACCTGGGAGGCGGAAGTTGTGATGAGTGGAGATCACGCCATTGCACTCCAGCCTGGGCAACAAGAGCGAAACGAAACTCCATTTCAAAAAGAAAAGAAAAGGTAGAAATTTTATGTCTCCTGGACAGCCCTCGGGAGAGCCTTCCTCCTCTTCTGTTGGAGCAATCTGATGAGTATCTCCCAGTTTTGGCAGTTTATACTGTGGAGGAGAGAAAAGAATGTGTCTGATGCAGGAGGACAAGGCCATTATTCAAGCTGATGTTTGACCCACAGGCCAGGACCCTGGTGACCCCCAAAGATCTTTGGAGAGGACGTCCTCAGAGGGCACCTACCAAGTCTCTTTTAACTGTCTTTGGCCCCTCACTCCGTTCTAATTAAGCAGAGGATGCAGAAACTCTCCAGGTGTGTTGTCTGAAGAGTTCCCACTTAGCAACACTAATATCAAGAAACCATGAATTATTAATGGATTGTTGCTGCAATTAGCAACACAAACACCAACATCATCTGATGGCATCTGAAACAGAGACAAGACTGTTGAGATGGAGTCCAGAGGAGGGCCCGGGGGGTGGATGGAGAATCTTCCTAAAAGAGGGGGTCTGAAGTGAAGCCAGTTGAGAGTGAGTCAAGTTGGAGGGGAGAGTGGGCGGAGAATTGAAGAGGAAAGAAACAGCAGCGAGTTTGCAGGGGTTCTGAGGGTGGATCAACTATTGAGACACTATTATAGAAAAGCCAATAGAGGGGAAAGAAGGGCGAGGTGGCTCACGCCTGTAATCCCAGCACTTTGGGAGGCTGAGACAGACAGATTGCTTGAGCCCAGGAGTTTGAGACCAGTCTGAGCAACAGAATGAGACCCTTTCTCTACAAAAAAAAATACAAAAATTAGCTGGGCATGTTGGTGTATGCCTGTACTACCAGCTACTCAGGAGGCTGAAGTGGGAGGATCACCTGAGTTTGGGGAAGTCGAGGCTGCAGTGAGCCGAGATTGCACCAGTGCACTCCAGACTGGACCAGAGAGTGAGACCCTGTCTCATAAAATTTAGAGAAATAAAAGGAGGGCACCACCCTAAGGGGGATCAGAGTTGTGCCTTCCATGTTCATACAGCCATGCATCACTTCACAATGGAGGTATGTTTTCATCATCGTGCAATGTACTTACACAAACCTAGATGGTATAACATACTGCACACCTAGACTATATGGCATAGCCTATTGCTCCTAGGCTACAAGCCTGCACAGCATGTTACTGTACTGAACACTTGAAAGTTGTAACGCAATGGTGAGTATTTGTCTGTCTAAACAAATCTAAACATACGAAAGGTACAATAGGCCAGGTGCACTGGCTCGTGCCTGTCATCTCAACACTTTGGGAAGCTGACAAGAGAGGATTGCTTGAGCCCAGATAAAGATCCCTTCAGGTATTTTCTTCTCACAGTCTACAAGATATGCTCAGCCATAAGGCGCTCACCTCCATCTCATCCTTTCCATCCTCTCGCATGCAAGCCCTATATTCAATACTCTTTCAACCTTCTATCTCTCTTCATATATGCTACCCCCCAAATCCCACCAGTCTTTTATCTTCAATTTTTTTTTTTTTTTTTTTGAGACAGAGTTTCGCTCTTGTAGCCCAGGCTGGAGTGCAACCTCTGCCTCCCAGGTTCAAGTGATTCTCCTGACTCAGCCTTCCAAGTAGCTGGGATTACAGGCGCACACCACAATGCCCAGCTAAAGTATTTTAGTAGAGACGGGGTTTCACCATGTTGGCCAAGCTGGTCTCAAACTCCTGACCTCAGGTGATCCACCCGCCTCGGCCTCCCAAAGTGGGAGGATTACAGGCGTGAGCCAACGCGCCCAGCCTCAACACCAATTTTAAACCCCAACCAACACTCATGCTCTGATCTAATTACAAGTTCTCTCACCATGTTTCACCACCTTACTTCCACTCACATAAAGGGAGCCCCAAATTAGTTTATAAATGGCAGCACATCAAAAAACCCTCCCTCCAAGCAGGATATGCCATCTTTAAGGGATATCATAATGATACCCACTCTCTCCCACCTAAAAGAGTTGTAGAGGCTGCCCCCTTGCCTTTGGGCACATCCTCCCAACAAACAGAATTAGTTGCCCTAAGAGCCCTAACCCTAGCAAAAAACACACAATTTATACAGCGATTCTAAATATGCCTATAACATCATCCATTCCAATGCCCAAATTTGGAGCAAGCAGGGCTATCTCACAGCTGAGGGAACTCCTATCATTAATGGAAAACTAATCCATCATCTAAAGGCAGCTTTACTTCCAGAAAAGGTTGCAGTTATCCATTGCAAAGGACATCAATCACATTTCTTTAGGGAACTGTGAGGCTGACTATTGAGCAAAACACGTCTCAACCAATCATCCAATTCCCCAATACCTATTTCCCCTCATACAACATATCCCCTCCTTTTATCCTAAACACCAAATATAGCAACTAGTTATGGCGGGGGCACAATTCAAACCCCCATACTGGTTGATACGAACCAAATTAGTCCCACCTAACCCTGAAAAAACAACGCTTTTATGAGATATTCACAATCTCTTCCACAGTAGCCATTTACCTCTACAACATTTCATAAGTTCTCATATACACATAACCCCAGATATAAAGGAACAGTTAAAAGCCATTTCCCATCAATGCTCTATTTGCCACAAAGCGTCACCTTATTCCAACACTAAACCCCCTTCTTTCCCAACCTTTCGAGCCAGGGGACACCTTTCAGGACAAGACTGGCAAATTAATTTTACCCATATGCCCCAGTAAACAAGGTTCAATTTCTTTTAGTTCTGGCTAATACCTTGTCAGGATGGGTGGAGGCTTTTTCCATCCAACAATCGAATTTCTATTGTCGCCTCCAAATTAATAACATAAATCATCCCCAGGTTCGGGGTGCCTCTTTCTTTTCAATCTGATAATGGCCCTGAATTCATTTATCAAATTACTCAAACACTTGCACAGGCCCTACTAATCACCTGGAAGCCACACATCCCCTATCACCCTCAATCTTCAGGAAAGGTTAAAAAAATGAATAACATTCTAAAAAACACCCTCACCAAGTACTCACTCCAAACACATACAAACTGGGTTACACTTTTACCTTTGGCCCTTCTAAAAATTCAGGCACTCCCACCTAAACCTCCAATGCTCAGCCCCTTTAAACTCACGTCCAAAAGACCACTCACACCTTTTGTTCCACCTCAGAGTCAAGCCCTGCCTCCACCAACCCCTCTCGTTTCCCCTCTTCTACATACCATCTGCCATTTTATTTGGGAATATGCTAACAAATGCCTGCCACAACCCGTAACTGACTCCTCTAATCCCTTCCTACACCAGGACTGGGATCCCAGTCCTACCCCCAATTCCCCCCCTCACACCTAAGTGGAAGGGACCTTACCAGATCATCCTTACTACACCCACGGCAGCAAAACTCCAAGGACTCCCCAGCTGGTTTCATTATACTTCTCTCAAGAAAACAGACTTCCCTTCACCACATACCCAAACAACCAAGTCTAAAATCCCTCAGCCTTCTCTTGTGTCTCCATAGGACCCACTTCCCTTCACCTCACCCGAATCCCGAAGAAAAAGGAAGAGAAATCCACATAAGCCGCTTACATCTCTTTCTCTCCCAAACTTTCGTCGCTTCCTAACCAACCGCATTACAGCCCTTCAGTGGTACTCTTACAGAATTCCCATTATACATCCTGAACAGCTCCTTACTGTGCTATGGGACCTACGGCTTCGAGGAACTTTCCAGGACTTTACTCCTACCCAAATAACTGTTTTCTCTTTTTCTTGTTTCTTTCAGTATAAATTCCCTAATCACATCAACCTCACCAATACAACCACTCCTAACTGCTCTCAAACTAGAACTCTCTGTAAACCTTACACGATCCCTCTTGCTGCAAGCTAACTGTTCCTTTGCTCCGGAATGCTGAATGTGCTTATCGCTGTCTTCCTCAGCTTACGCAGCTCTTCCTACAACCCTTCATGACCTTTTAACAGGAAACATAACCCTAATTTATAAATTCCAGAAAGGAGCTTCCTTTGTTAAAAGAGCTGACACCCTGGTCAGCGATTATCCTGCTTCCAGGGCCAATCAGGCCAACAAATTATTTCAAACCTATTACGACTCCCTACAACACCTCAAGCCCCAAGGCCCTCCCATTAAAGGGCCCATAACTAAACACACCCCCGTTTTACAACAAACCTCACTTTACTTTTCAGCCTCTAAGGAAAATTTCCCTGTAGGGTCCTTAACACCTAACCAGTGCAACCGCTCTCATTATTATTAAACACCCCTCTGACCACCAAACTAACAAAGTTGACTACCAAGGATCACCAGAAGCAAACAGAGCATTTTTGCAACTGGCTCTTTTCACAGCCTCTCCCTCAACCAATGCCTCTGGCCCAACCTGTGTTGTCCCTGGTGCCCACATTTTTCCATGGTTGGATATCAATAGTGCAACATCTGACTGCAGTATTGTGTAAAAAATAATTCTTTCTATATCTCTACCATAGTGGGTGTCTCCCTGGCCTCCTCCTTGTCCACCTGGAGTAATGAACCACAAGAAAGAAAAAACACCCCGTCTTTAATTCACTTGTTTTCTTTCCATATCTCCACCTGTATTTACAACGAAGTCTTGTTCTTTTGGTGTGGCACCAACACATATCTTTGTCTCCGCACCAACTAAACTGGAACCTGTGTCCTAGTTTATCTTTCTCCCTCCATTAAACTAGTTCCTCCTAATCAACCTTTACCCATTCCATCTGTCCAATCTGTTTTAAAAAAGAGGGCCATCCACGTCATTCCTTTGATGGAGGCCTTAGGTGTAACCTCTATACTTGGATTGGGAGCAGGCAGATTGGCCACGTCTTTAACATACTTTAAAAAAACTCTTTCAACAGAACTACAGGGTTCTTTAAAAAATATAGCCCGAAGCCTTATAAAAGCCCAAGACCAACTAGACTCCTCAGCTGCAGTCCTCCAAAATAAATGGGGATTAAATCTTATAACAGCTGAAAAAGGGGGCCTCTGCCTCTCATTGGGTAAGAATCAGGCCTAGTAAGAAACACTGCTGAAAAACTTTTAAAAAGGGCTAAAAAGCTAAAGGAATAGCAAAACAACCAAATAACTTCTTGGTTTGGAAACAAAATCGTAACACAGGTCATCCCATTCCTGGGCTCTGTCCTAATAATATGCCTAGGACTAATGTTCTTACCCTGCCTAATCAACCTTTTTCAAAGATATTTAACTGACAGAATCCTGCCCATCTCACAGACTACTACCCAAAAACATCTACAGACAGCGTTACTCCTACAGTCAATCTGAGATCAAAAACTCTCCGTGCCCTCCTAAGAAGGAAGTAGCCAAAAAGAACATGCTGCCCTTCATCCTTTTATAACTATAAGGTCTGGATTGACAGAGCAGGAGCATCACCATCTTGGGCAAATACTGCCATTTTAAGTTCCCCTTGATTAAAAACTAGCCCCAAACATCAGCCTAGTGGGTAATGTCAGCGTGACCAGGAACATTCCAACTCTAAGATAAACCTCCCCTCCAACCAGAAACATGCCAACCCCAAGACAATCTCCGCTCTGATCAGAGATATTCCAACCCAGGAAATAAAACTCTCCTTCACACAGAAACATTCTGAGCCTGCGATAAGCTCCCCCTCCCTAAACCCTTAAATACCCTTAGTCTCTAAGACAGAACACTCCTGACTGAAATCAGCCAGAAGCCCCTCTCAGGTTTATTCCCAGAATAAACCTGTCTTTGACTGCTAAGCTGCTTTTTGTGTTTCTTTCCTCTTTCTTTAACTCTTACAAGAAGAGGGCTTGTGCTGGAAAACTCCTCCTTATAATAACCATCAGATCTCATGAGATTTACTCACTATCATGAGAACAGCACAGGAAAGACCTGCCCCCATGATTCAATTACCTCCCACCAGGTCCCTCCCACAACATGTGGGAATTCAAGATGAGAGCTGGGTGGGGACACAGCCAAACCATATCAGATGGGGTCTTGCTATGTTGTCCAGGCTCAATGTTTGTCCATCTCCTTTAGGAAGATGAGGGAGTCTCCCCCAACTCCACTACCACCATCAGTTTACCAACTGAAAGGTGGGTTTCCCTTGAAAATGAAGGGATGGGCATGAGGAATTTTTGATATGATGTTGATGAAGGGGACTGCATGCAACAGCTGTCACCACACAGGCATGATGTAGTTCAGTCTATTACCAACAACAAAAACAATCAGATGACAAGTAAGTCTAACTTACAGCCCTCCTCCCACTCCATTTCAAGTTTCCTCTCAAAGTGCTTTCTAAATAACTCATAAATAAGCGAGTACTTACAGACAGTGGTGCAGGTGGGACCCACTTGGTACTCAGTGCCCGACACAGAAGCCAGAGCTTTGGCCGCAAGCCTCGCCACCTTGTCCTGGGAAGGGGGAATCCGTGGAGTGAGAAAAAATCGATCCTGAAGCTTGACCTTCCTCAGCTGCTCTGCTCTGGGATGGTTTGGAAGATTCTCAGCCCCCCCCGATTTCCTTTCTGGTCCCTTGTTTCCCCTTCGCCCAGTGCCAAGGCCCAACTGTAAACTGAGGGAGGTGGCATGGTTCCTTCAACTCCTTCTCCCACCACACCCCCAGTTCTTGACTCCCAGTTTGGGGGAGGAGATGAGGAGGGAAGTGGAAGCCTGTGCATTATGTACTCAGATTGGAAGAGATGGGGGTTCTGGGGCTGCTCACTGACCCACTAGGAATCTAGTAAAGGCACCACCGTCTTCACCTATCCTGAGAAGGGAGACGTCATGCACACATGAGGGAGGGCCAAATATGCTCAAGAGAAAGCTCTCAAAGAGTTGGGTGTTGCAGAGTGGAGGAGGAGAAGGACCGCCATAGGTGGATGATCCCTGTGTAGAGTGCCTGCCTGAGAGGCCGGGTGGGGGTGGGGGAGCAGAATCAAGCCCGCACTTTGCCGTGAGCCTGGGAGGGGCTGCATCTGCCTGAGGTTTAAGGGCTGGCTGTGAGCCTGGGCAGCCACCTGCAGTCACCCTCCAGATGCCAGGCCTGCTCCTGATGGCCCACGTTCTGGATGAGACACAGAGCACCCCAGGCTGTGGCCTTCGCCCTCCTTAAACTCTTCTTTCACTAGAGTGAGGATCTCTCCCCCTTGCCCACCCAGGTGCCACCCACAGTCCTTGGCAAGCAGTGGGTCCACAATACATGGCAGTCAGAAAAACAAGGGAGACGGAAAGGCGGGGCAGGCACGGTTCTGGGAACTCATAGCAGACACAGAAATAAAGGGCACTGTTTTCCTGTCCCCAGCAGATGACAGCATATCCCAAAGGGCAGGGAGAGAAGATTGGACCTTCAATGAAACATGCCTAGGCTCCTGGACCCTCCCTATAAAGCTGCAGAGCTACCACCTTAGCAGCGCCAGGAGGGTCAGGCGGGCCCCAGGCTGGGTGGGAGGCAGCTGTGACTCACGAGTTCCTCGGCATCTGGGGCCTTTTTGACTGAGTACCCATATGGATACATCAGCAGCTGCGAGTAGCTGTGCAGGTCGATGAAGCCCTTGAAATTCCCATGTTTTTGGATGAAATCTACCACTGATTTCACCTCCACTTCCGAATTGGCGTGGGGTCCATGGTACACTTCGGAGCAAGGGTTGTCGCTGGCTCCCTTTCCTGTTGGGGATAGCCCAAGAACAAACATTAACTCATAGTCCAAGAACACAGAAATGCAAGACGCTCCACCTAGAGAGGGGCCGAAGGTATTGGGAATGGGCAGGCCATGGCGAGACGGCCCAGAGCACCTAGTCCATGGTGGGTGTGGACTGCAGAGAAGGCATGGAAGAGGGAGGGTTGGGTGTTGGGTCTGCTACAGCTGAGGAGAAAAACTGTTGGAGTTGACCTTGCCTTGTACCAATAGCAGTTGTCATAAATAATTAATATCACCCTTGAGAATGAGTTGTAATTAATAAGTAGACTAGATAATTAATATGAATACCAATAAATAATGAAAATGACTCCATTTATTCTGGTGTCAACTTATTCTCTGGTTGAGATCTTAAAGGCCAAGTGTGCCAGAAATAATCAATTGTTGTGGCTAAAATCTCTTGATTATTTGACAGGTATTTAGAAACACTGCCTTCTGTATTACTTCATAATATAGTTCCCTCGGGTTTCTAGGGTGTGTGTGTGCACACGTGCATACGTGTGTGTGTGCGTGTGTGTGTGTATGAATGTGACTGAAACCACCCCAGTGGTGGGAATATCTGACTTAACTTTGAAGCTCTGAGTTCCCACATTTGTATCAGTTCCTTTCCCACAGTCATTATTTTCCCCCAATGGTTTGTGTGGTATTTCTATACAAGTAAAAGAAGCACATTAAAAACAAACCATCGGGGCCGGGCACAGTGCCTCATGTCTATAATCCCAGCACTTTGAGAGGCTGAGGTGGAAGGATCACTTAAGCCCAGAAGTTCAAGACCAGTCTGGGCAACATGGCAAAACCCCATCTTCACAAAAAAATACAAAACTTAGCTCGGCATTGTGGCATGCGCCTATAGTCCCAGCTACCAGGGAGGCTGAGGTGGGAGGATTGCTTAAATCCAGGATGTCGAGGCTGCAGTGAGCCATGATCACGCCACTGCACTCCAGCCTGGATGACAGAGCACGACCGTGTCTCAACAAAACAAAACAAACAAACAACCCATCAGTACAGCCATGGGACAGTGAAAGAGAACTGTCTGGATTTGAAATTGGAAGCTGAGTTTAGATCAGAACTCTGTTCACCCATGTCATCTTGAGATTGTCTCTGAGCTTCCACCGTCTCATTTCAGATCATAAAATTCACTCGCTAGGTGAGAAGAATAAATATGATAAATACCGGAAGGTACTTAGTACACAGTCGGCACTTCTGTGGAGGGTGGTTTTTAAATCGCTGGCACTCAGAGCCCAGGTCTCCTAATTCTCTTTCCCTTTCCATGACAGCCAGCTGCTAAGGTTCATATCTACACATCTAAGGGTACTGGAGTGGAATTTTCACAGCACAGTCTTGCCCTTTGGGGTGACAGTGCTAATTCCTCTCTTCTGAGTTGCTGCCAGGAGTCCTTCCGCCTGCTCACAACTTGCCCAGGCAGGGCTGGTAGGGTCAGGGGTGAAGGTTCCCCGTTTTGTATGTCTTAGAAGAGAGTGTTTTTAAAATATTAGCATAGATGGCAATCTCAATGTAAGATGCTCTGTCCCACCATTCTCTCGGGAAGACAGACATCACTATCATTCCCTTTCAAAATCACAAAAATATATTTTAAAAAACAACAAACAGTCCGGATGCGATGGCTCATGCCTGTAATCCCAGCACTTTGGGAGGCTGAGGCGGGCAGATGACCTGAGTTCAGGAGTTCAAGACCAGCCTGGCCAACATGGCAAAACCCTGTCTCTACTAAAAATACAAAAATTAGCTGGGCATGGTGGCATGCACCTGTCATCCCAGGAGGCTGAGGCAGGAGAATCACTTGAACCCGGGAGGCGGAGGTTGCAGTGAGAGTGAGCCAAGATCCTGCCACTGCACTCCAGCCTGGGCGATGGAGCAAGACTCTGTCTCAAAAAAAAAAAAAAAGGCTGGGCTAGGTGGCTTACGGCTATACTCCCAGCACTTTGGAAGGCTGAAGCAGGTGGATCATGAGGTCAGGAGATCAAAACCATCCTGGCCAACATGGTGAAACCCCATCTCTACTGAAAAAAAATAGCCGGGCGTGGTGGCGTGCACCTGCAGTCCCAGCTACTCAGGAGGCTAAGGCAGGAGAATCACTTGAACCCAGGAGGCAGAGGTCGCGGTGAGCCAAGATCACGCCACTGCACTCCAGCCTGGGTGACAGAGTGAGATTCCATCTCAAAACAGCAACAACAAACAAAACACTAAGTCAGAGCCTAAGGAGTGCTCCTCAGTCTCTCAGTGACGCAGCAACGGAACCAAAGTGGAAACGCGCTCCGTCCCGGCCAGCTCAGAGCACTGGTAGACCAGGCGAGCCCAGGGACAGCAGGATTTGAGAACTGTCTCCCCACCGCCTACCTGCAAAACTAGCGTTCCAGTTTCTATTTGGGTCAGCACCAATGCAGGAGCTTCCAGGATTTCGGGACCGCGTCTTCCTCCATAATCGGTTCTGAAAAAGCCACCAAGGAGGGGACAAACAACCAGAGGCAGATCAGATCACCGAAGAGGGCTAGGGTGGAGATGACACGCAGGCAGGGCAGGCTGCTTGCAGTTCTGCCAGGAGGGCCCTGGGGCTCCTAGTCCTCATTGAGCAGTTGTCTCTCCTCCTGCAGAGAGAGGAGTATTTCCCCTTCCGGCTCTAAGAGAAGGACTTCTTCCAAATGTACTGATGAGACCTTTATATGCTAGAACCAGTCAGATACTGCCTGAATCCACTGAATAATTTTTGGCTTTGGCAGAAGTGGGCAAATGGACACTATATGCCTCGGTGATAATAGATGTAGCTGGAAGCGCACAGCCCCTGTTTCTTGCTTGCCTAAAAAATTCCCCTGAATCCAATCAAGCTCTAGACCTGGCAATCTATGAACAGGAAATACAGGGGATAAAGGAACAAACTAAATGGCATAACAAAGAAGCCATCAGCCAAATTCAGAATGTGAGACACTGTACAAGACAAATTACTTGGCTTCTCCCCTAAATGAGTGAGACTTTTAAAAGGTGTGTGTGGGAGCTGCTGTAGAATAAAAGAGGCTGCAGAGACACAGCACCAGGTGCATGCGCAGACCTTGCTGGGTCCTCACTTGAACAAATTGACTCTTAAAAACACTTTTTTTTTTTTTTTTTTCTGAGATGGAGTCTTGCCCTGTCGCCCAGGCTGGAGCAGTGGCGCCATCTCGGCTCACTGCAAGCTCCGCCTCCCGGGTTCACGTCATTCTCCTGCCTCAGCTTCCCAAGTAGCTGGGACTACAGGCACCCACCACCACACCCAGCCAATTTGTTTGTATTTTTAATAGAGATGTGGTTTCACCATGTTAGCCAGGATGGTCTCGATCTCCTGACCTCATGATCCGCCCACCTCGGCCTCCCAAAGTGCTGGGATTACAGGTGTGAGCCACCGCGCCTGGCCTCGGCCTCCATTTTTAAGGTAATCGGGGGTGTTAGATGATATTAAAGAACTTCCATTATTCCTTTAAAAGTGATAGTAGTGCCATAGGGTTTTTTAATTTTTTTTTTTCTATCGTCAGTTAGAGATGCGTACTAAAGTAGTTTAGGGTGAAATAACATAATGTGTTGAATATGTTTTAAATACGTCACGAAAAAATGTGTGGGAGGGCAAGAGATGAAAAGATTTGTAAAATGTTGGTCATTGTTAAGACTCATGATAGGGAGTTCATTAGACTATTTTCTCTAAGAAGAAATATCCCCTGGTGATTCTCAGCTCTGAGGATGACTAGAAGATGAAATCCCAAGGAAGCTCATAAGGTGCACATTTGTGGAAATTCTCTCCAAGATCAGACAATTAGTGGCAAAGCAAGGAATTCAACAGTCTGCAAGCCCAGCCCATTTGGGAATACTCACTTGAGTTTGAGTATACACATATCCATCAGGATTGGCCACAGGCAACAAGAAAATATCCATTTTCTCCAAGATGGAGGTGATAGCTGGATCCCTCTGGTAATCAGATACAATCTAAGCAGAGACAATATGCTTGTCAGCTATCCCATGGCAGGATGGGCCATTAGGGCTGAACCATGTATCTTCTCAAGATGCCCAGCAACCAGCTAGAATGAATGCTCCTAGAACAGCATCCACCCTCAAAAGCCTCCCTGCCACCCTCAGAGGCTCTGCTCTCTGCAAAGCCCTCTGAGCCCTTCAAAGCCTGGAGAGACACGGCTGCTTGGGGACATGGCTGCTAATGGCATCAACTGCAGTGAGTCCTGGGGTACGTGCTTTATTCCTTCCTTCCAGGAGGAGGGAGCCACACATTGTAATAGTTTTTAGGAATTTGAACCTCCAATGAAGAGGGAAGGAAGATGTGTCCTCCACATGCACCCCTCCTCCCCTCCCAGCAGACTTTCTTTCTTTCTTTTTTTAAGACAGAGTCTTGCTCTGTTGCCCAGGCTGGAGTGCAGTGGCGTGATCTTGGCTCAACGCAACCTCCGCCTCCTGGGTTCAAGGGATTCTCCTGCCTCAGCCTCCTGCTGCCCTCCCAGCAGCCTTTCTAGGAGATGGAGATGGCGTGAGGTCCCCGAGGGTCTATGGGGCCTTGTCTGGGTGTTGCTCTGCTCCCTTTCTGCGGAGTGGACTGCTCTCAGAGGCTCAGGCCCACCTCTGCTGCATATCAGCTTGTGCACCACCAGGAACGCAATCAATTTGGCCGCAGTGAGCTGACCAAGGGGTTTTGACCATTTGCTTCTCCAATCTGAAAAGGCCCCCCAGCCGACTGGGTCTTAGTAGAGAACCCTCCCACCTCGTGCCCCAGGCCCAGCCACATGGCATGCTGCAGGGGCACCCCGGCACCATCAGCATTCCTGGCTAATACCACGCAGCATGACCTTCCTTGCCGTCCAGATTGCAGTGGCCTGGGAGATCCACTCTCGGGAATGGATGCCTGCATTCAGCCAAACGGCCGGCCGCCTCACGCCTTTCCCAGTGCTGAACTGCAGAAGGGAGAAAAGGCTCGAAAATGACCGCCTGCCCGCATCTCTGCTCACTTCTCCTCTCTCCAGCTCTCTCCCATTCATTTAATTCATTTAAGATAATTCAGAGATCAAATGTTCCTAAGGGCACCATCTATTTATCGAGCTTATCCGTGACTTGGAAGCTTAATTGGTTGGCTGCGGGGCCAAGCTGCAGCTCCAGGCAGCCTGAACCTCTCCAGCATTAGGAGCAAATGGGAGGGGAAACAACCGTTACTGTGTTTTATGATGCCGGTGCCATTAGAGATAATGTTATGTCTCTTGAAAGACCTCAAATGGTATCCCAACAGCGAGAGACATAAGGGTACACAAACCAGGCTGTTTCGGTCGACATGATAAATGAATTTGGTTTTAAACTAAGAAGAAGGGGGGCTCGCTATAGCTCTTTGTAAATGGCAGCCATGAATCCTGGCTCCTGCCTTTGCCATAGTGTTGGGCCCCCTTGGGTCAGAGCTTGGTGCTAATGAAGCCAGGGTCTCCAACAGATTGGCAAAAATATTTAAATGTAATTATCCAGCTCCGTGGCAGGTCTCCTCTCCCACTGGTAATTTGCTTAGTGCTATAAGCCTGAGTTCTTTGGGACTTATACGAAGCTGAGGGTTTGGCAAATTCTTAGCACCATTGGTGTTCCATGGGTTATACGCCCAAATTCCTTCTTATTCATTCAACTGGATTTTTATGTAATTTATGTCATTATCATAGCTCTCTACCTCTTTGCCAATACAGTCTTGAATCTGTTAGAAATATTTGGAAATTAGGCTTTGTGCAACCAAGGATCAGAGGCTGGGCTTAAAATTACACCAACCCTCAAATTCACTTCCTAAGTTGATTTTCCAGTAAGTACCCCCTGAAAGCAGAATAGAAGTCAGGCCCACCCCAACCTGTCCTGCTATTTACAGAGGTGAGAATGAAAGTAAAAGACTGTCCCATCTGAGAGCTTTCTGGAATACTAATCACCTCCCTTTGATCCTGTCTTTCAGCCAAAACTTGGAATGGGATGTGCTCCTTCTAACTCCCCCTACATTAGACAAAAGCAAGGGGCTCTGTCAGACCAAGTTCCAGCCCAGGTACAATGTGTCCTGACCTCGCTTTCCTCCCTGAAGTCAAGGAGTTCAAAAAGCTACCCTTTTCAGAGGTCTGAGGCTGGGTCCTGGGCATGAGGACCCAGGAGACCCTTCCAAGTGCATGTGGCCTCACCTTCAGTACATACATCGGCCGGTTTTCAAACGAATGTCCAATCTTCACCCTCCTCGCCAGGTCAGGAAAGTCTGCGGCAATGTTGTCCATCTCGTGGTAAATCTGAAGCATGAAAGAGTGAATCCAGGGACATTTTAAAAATCTGCTTATCTATGGCTGGATATCTGTGATTTACCTTGTTGATCTTAACTATCTCTTCCGGGACCCTAATCTTGGAATTGACCATATTATCGGCATGGAAACGCTGATTATGAGACCTGCCTGAATAGTCCTTTTCTACAATTTTCTGGAGAGTAGCACACTTGTTTGTTCACAAAATTGTAGTCCACTAAACTAGAGTAGAGAGGCTTTTGCAATATTGCTCTAACACTGTGTCCTTTGTCACTGTACTAGACTGGACAGTCAAAGACAAGCGGCCAGGCACAGTGACTCATGCCTGTGATCCCAGCAATCTGGGAGACTGAGGCGGGAGGATTGCTTGAGGCCAGGAGTTTGAGACAGCCTGGGCAACATAGTGAGACCCCATCTCTACAAGAAACATTTAAAAATAAAAATAGTTCATAAAAAATATGGAAGAGGGAAGGAAAGAAAGAAATTTTAAAATTTAAGAATAGTAATAATAAAATAAAATAAAAACAAGCCAGGTGCAGTGGCTCATGCCTATAATCCCAACACTTTGGGAGGCCAAGGTGGGAGAATCACTTGAGCCCAGGAGTTCGAGACCAGCCTGGGCAACGTAAGGAGACTCCCCAGCTCTACAAATAATGAAACAAAAAAAAAAAAAATAGGCAGCTGCGGTGGCGTGTATCTGTGGTCCCAGCTACTCAGGAAGCTGAGGTGGGAGAATTGTTCAAGCCTGGGAGGTTTAGGCTACAGTGAGCCACGAATGCACCACTGCACTCCAGCCTGGGCAACAAGTGAGACCCTGTCTGAAAAATAAAAAATAAAAAGAAAGAGCTCCAAGGCTCTTAAAACAGTACTCTCCAAAATTCTGTGATGACTTTCTCTACTCAAAAATAATAAAAAATTAGCATGCACCATATACATGTACACACACACAGACACACACACAATGATACAAATATATTGTGTACATTATTAAACAATTGAAATGGTTGTATTAATAATAAACAGAAATATATGTAGAAATATAAATAGAAGTTGTAATTGTTTCTTCCTTCATCCCAGTGGACTATCTTGCTTACATCCTGTGGATACATGTGCCCCCCTTTGGAGATAATTTCTCTAAAGGCTTTGTGAGTGCAAGTGAAGAAAGGTAAATAAACGGCTAAAAATACCCTTATTTGCTTTCAGGAAAAAAGTTCGATTTAAATAGAATTTATCCATCTTAGTTTTCAAACCACTTGAGGGCCAAAAGAAAATAAACAAATGTATTTGTTTCAGCCTTAAGACTGGAAGAAGGAACTATACAGAGGAGGAAAATGTGTAATTAATATAGAACAAAGTCAAGCTTAAAGGGTTTATCAGACTTGCCGTCAATACGGTAGACCGAACAGAAGCAAGAAACCACCTCCAAATACATAGGCAAACCAGGTAAAATACAAGGAAAATGATTCACAGCCAAGTTTAAAAGCTAAACAAGAGGAAATTGTAGGTGCCAGAAACAAAGAAGGAACTAACTAGGAGGGTGGAGGGTGGGAGATGATGCCACAGAGCCCCATCTCTGCCTTGGGTGCTACAGGCTTAGGCAAACCTGGACTAGGAGGAGAGCCATAGGACCCAGCATGGCACAAGGAGCTGGAACTTGAGAGCTAGGAATGGGCAATTTGGGCCACAAAAAGGGCCTGGAAATTCTACCCACTCTACCCACTGACCCTAGGGAGTGGAGGAAAAGCAGGATAGCTGCCTTGAGCTTTGAGAGAAAAGAGAGTCATCCAGGAAAAGTTAAAACACCAAGCTGTGTCCAGGTGTGGAGTGCAAATTCACACTGCCCACCACTACCACAACACAGACAATGGCTTTGGAACCAGAAACTCTGGCAGAGACAAACATGAAATTCCCACTAGAGACCTAAGAAAGCCTAAGTGGTTGCGTGAGCCAATATGAGCGCTCTTTTTTTTTTTTTTTTTTGAGACAGAGTCTCGCTCAGTCACCCAGGCTGGAGTGCAGTGGTGCAATCTTGGCTCACTGCAACCTCCGCCTCCCGGTTTCAAGTGATTCTCCTGCCTCAGCTTCCCAAGTAGCTGGGACTACAGGTGCCTGCCACCACGCCCAGCTAATTTTTGTATTTTTTTAGTTGAGACGGGGTTTCACCATGTTAGCCAGGCTGGTCCTGAACTACTGACCTCAAGTGATCTGCCCACCTCGGCCTCCCAAAGTTCTGGGATTACAGGTGTGAGCCACCATGCCCAGCCTAGAATACGAGTTCTTTAGCTGTTTTTAGAAAGAACTGTATATGACTGAGCTAGGAGGGTGGTGGCACACCAATCCACAGTGGAGGGTGTCACAGTGAGGACAAGATTGCTGTAAGCCAGGCTGCAAAGGGCGCCTCAAACCAGAGAAATCAGTGGTAAGCCAGTGAGACAGTGAGGCTCCAGCAGTCGGCAGGTGAGGGGATGGCCCCTCCAGGGTCTTGGGTGACATTTGCAACTGGTTAGCTCAGCTGGCGAGGGCCCCATGTTCATGAGGCTGATTTCATGGGCTTGATCCCTGTGTGGGCTCTGAGCTCTGCTTTCGTCCATGGCCCAAGACTGAACTTCTAACTTTATCCAGCTGTTTTGCAGATGTATGTCACTGGTCACAAGAGGGATCAAGGGGCAGTGCCGTTGGAAGTATATACAATAAACAAAGCTACCGACAAGCATGGGAAAGAAGTGGAAATAGTCAACCTTTGAAATCCTCCCTCAAGAAGAGAAACGACTCAAAGTATACGCCTTGTGAAATGCATGCCAACAACACCATGTCTGTATATCAAGAACAACATGTATTAAGGTACACCAGGGGGAATACTAATTTAGATGTGGGGGAGTGATCCTGAGCTAGTTGTCTGCAGATGAATGAAGGAGACACTGAGGGGTGTAAGAGAACTGTACCGCATTCATGGTACAGTTCTATTCTACAGCCTCTCTTGATTTCTTAAGTCCCAGTATCCTAGGAAATTATTCTGCTTCAAGTTTTTCATTTGAAGGTTTGGCTTACCTTGAAAGTCAGCCATCTATATCAAGTGGTTTCTAGCTAAACACAGCACCAAAATGCATGATGGAACAAATATATACATTATAAGTAGTCATGATAAATGAGTGGAAATATTTGGTTAACCTTCGAAATCATCATTTGTCTACTTGCCTGGAATAAGTAACATTTTATTCTGGGTGAGTAAAATAGAGGGATTATGGTAGGGTAGAAGAAGGTTGAATTACAAGGACTAGAAATGATTGCAATTATTTTCATGGTATTCTGAAAGAGTTGCTTAAGGAGAGAAGGATGGTTGAGGGAGGAAATAGCCAGGCTGTATTTCATGACACTCTGAGGTGCTGGTAGGAGTTCAGCAATCCAAGAATTAGAAAGGAATTGAAGTGTACACATTTTAGCCCCTCAGTGAGGGGATATTGTGCTGAAGACTAATGTCTCCTGGAAGTAAGGAGAGAGGTTACAAAATTCAGGAGGCAGAGAACCTTGATCTTAACCCACTCTGAAACACTTACAGCTTCCAGGGAATGGTAAGCCCCGTAGTTGAAGTTATTACTGCTCCGTTCTTGCCCTTCATTGTGTTGCATTTCATCATCTTCATTGTCTAAAAGGGCCTGAAAACACACAGCAATGTTGTGAAGTGATCCATTGCAGACGCAGGTTTATGTTTTTTCTGCCATATCTTTGCATATGGGTCAGCCAAGATGGCGGCCCTTTCAGCATATCAAGCAGCACAAATGTCAAGGTTTAAAAGGGGGTTAGATTTCTTTCATATCTTTATAAAATTTTATTTCTTGGCTGGGCAGGGTGGCTCATGTCTGTAATCCCAGCACTTTGGGAGGCTGAGGCGGGCGGATCACGAGGTCAGGAGATCGAGACCATCCTGGCCAACATGGTGAGACCCTGTCTCTACTAAAAATACAAAAATTTGCTGGGCGTGGTGGTGCGTGCCTGTAGTCCCAGCTACTTGGGAGGCTGAGGCAGGAGAATCGCTTGAACCAGGGAGTCAGAGGTTGCAGTGAGCCGAGATTGCACCATTATACTCTAGCCTGGCGAAAGAGAGAGACTCCATCTCAAAAAAAAAAAAAAAAAAAAATTTACTTCTTGGGGCCCAATTTACATGGCCTCATTCAAAACCCACTTACTCCCTGGAAGCAACATATGCGCTCTTTGGCTATCCTATAGTATGAACTCTGTAGACATCAGCCCGCATCTGGTATCCAGTGCCTCTGAAATACACAGCTTGGGAAACCATTCAGAAACAAAGAAATTCTTATAACCACTCGTGCTTTGAAGGTTCCTGGCAGATGTCTGTGACATGTGAGGATGATTAATAAGCTCATAGCTGCTAACGCCATCAGGAAACTCCCAGGCCAGATCACCAATTAGTCCATAACCCACCTCGGTGAAGGAGAGAGCATGAGCCAGACCCTGTCCTGATGTTCAGATACAGGTCGTGAGGCCAGAGGACGGCATTCCCTCTGCTGGGGCTATCCATGACATTCCCCCTGTCTCAAAGGGTGCCTCTGTGGCTGGTCCCCAACACCCTCCCTCATCTCTGCTCTTGCCACCTGGAAGGACTTCAAAGAAGGAAAGAAAGAGGGACTTATGACTTAATGGCAGACGTAGGATATGCCAGGCACTGTTAGACATTTTACATACATTTAATCCTGAGTCTTCTCAACAAATCACATGACGAAGGTCTCACTATCACCATTTTACTGATGAAGAAACGGAGGCTCAGCGGGTTAATAACTTGTCCAAAGACACAGCACATAGCACTAGTAGTTAGCAAAATCAGGATTTGGATCCAAATCTGTGTGGTTCCCTGGCCTATTTATGCCCTTTCTACTACAAAATGTTGTTCCTCTAACAAGTCACTGCACTTTACTTCCATTTGCCTCCATTTCCTGGTCTATAAAATAGAAAAGGATAAAACCAGAACTTGCAAATCACTCCGGTCTACTCTGGACTGGCTGCCTGGTCCTATGCAAGAGCAGGAGGCAGGAGGCATAGTCTACCTACCTGCAGGTCCTCAATTGTCACTGCGTACTCTAAGCCCTGGGATCTCAGGAAGGATTTAAATGCCTGCAGACTGACAGATGGGACCAGGACATCCACAGGCCGATTGAAGGAGGAGGGAGATTTCCAGAAATTGAGCTGAAGGGAACAGAAATGAAACCAGGTTAAAGGACCGTTCAGGTAAAATGCACAATGAGGTTATTCTTCTAGAACACTGCCAAAAGCCAGGGTGATCCCTGAGAGGCTAGGCTCTGCCCAAGGGCAAAGTTTGCCCATTTCACAATTGTGTCTGGTTGGACCTGCCCAACAAGCAGTATCTGGCAGAGACCAAGAGTCATAAGTGGATGGCAGCTAGAAGGATGGAGCCTATACTGTTCAAGCATCCCCTCTCCCAGGACACCACAGCTGTGATGTGCTCCCTCTCTCCCATCAGCCCCCTCAATTGTATAAATGGCAAGTGGACTCCCACAGGATTATATTCAGAGACTCCTCAGAAATAAAAATAATAATGCCAGTAGAGCAAGAGTCTTCTCCCAGCAAAGTTAGAAAACACTCAGGAGAGCTAAAAAGAACCAGGTACCTTCAAGTTGTTTGAATTCACTAGTTGACTCAATTTGCTGATCTCGTCTCCATTTCTGACATTAATCCTCAAAACTTGGTCCCTGGGGAAGAAGCGAAAAGGAAAAAAGAGCAAAAGATAATGATGAGCTTTCAGCTGGCAAAGAAACCCCCAAGCCTCCTATCCCAGACGTAACCAGGCCAAAAGAAAGGAAATGGTCTAGTCTTTGGTTTTAATGTATGGCCATTAAAAATGAGGCTACATGGCAACTATGAAAAAGTGCTTATGGCATAACTTTAAGGGAAATATTAAGTGAAAGAGCAGGACACAAAATTGTATGTATGCCATGATTATAAGTATGGAAAAAGCAGATGCATTGGAAGAAAAACAGACAGCGGAAATATACCAAATGCTGACAGCCCTTATGTTCGGGTCGTGGGATTATGGATGACTTACTTTTTTCCCCCTTGTATCTGTTTTCTGTAATGTGATCATATTACTTTATAATGAAAAACACATATATTTTACAGGAAGGAATGTGCCTGAGTTACACGCAAAGCTAACTCAAGACATAAAGAAGCACTTCTTCACTGTCAGGGCTGAGGACTGAAACCCTGACGGAACCTCCATGCTGGAAAGAAAACAGCATCTCCATGCTGGGAGGGTGAGCTGTGCCGTCTTAAAACAGGCGAGGCTGGGTGCTCGCTCAGTCCCTTCCAGCTCCAGAACCCCACACAGAGGCTCGTTTGGGTGGAAACTGACTATGGCCCATGGTGCTGAGGCTGGATGTAGGATCCACTCCTCCCTACGGGGTGAGAGGGGACCCTTAAAGGACACAGACGGGGCCGGCCAGTCTCAGTCCCCTTTGTCGTTTGTCCTGAGCTTGCTTCATATACGTGATTTAGCTTCTGCAGCGGCGGCAGGGGTAGTGGCCCCCGAAGTCCTGTGTGTGGGTGGGAGAAAGCAGGGCCTGAAATGCTGCCTTTATGCTCTCAGCTGGCTGGGGGAGATGGGAGCCATTAGGCTGTTGCTAGGTGACAGCTCCAAAGAATCCTCACTCGATGTTGTCACTGTGTCATCTCTTTGACACAAGTGAATGCAAAGAGAGCCGCTGTGGGCTCAAGGACCTGTTGAGAGTGAATGGCTGTCACAGGGAGCTGAGTGTGCAGCCTCATGGGGCAGCTCCTCATCAGAAAACCGGTTTCATCCAGATGGCTCTTCAGGGTTTTGCTGGGTTCTGGAAGGTTCTAGGGGCTCTCCAGTGGGTCTAGGCCAGACTTAAGGAGTCAAGGTCCACTGCAGAGCCACTCCTGCTGCAGGTGGCTGGTCTGGAGGAGATGACAGTGCTGAAGGTTCCCTTTCTCCCAACCCACCTGGTCCCCAAAGGGTCCTGGAGGTCAGCGGGTAACTGCACCCTGTGGGCACTGCCGAGGGCCCTGAAGAGATACCACTGGGTGGGCAGGTCTCAGTCTGAACCCAACAGGCTTGCCAAGAGTTGGACCTACCGCCCTGGGAAGATGAGGCATCAAACCTGATCGTTCCCTGACCTCGGCAAGCACCATTGAAAAAAAGGGACCGATGTAAGACAGAATGGAGCCAGGCACCGTGGCTCACACTTGTGATCCCAGTGCTTCAGGAAACCAAGGTGAGAGGATTGCTTGAGGCCAGGAGGTCAAGATCATCCTGGACAAAATAGTGAGACTTTGCCTCTACAAAAAAATGAAAAACAATTAGCTGGGCGTGGTGGTTCACACCTGTAGGCCAGCTACTCAGGAGGCTGAGGCAGGAGGATCGCTGGAGCCCAGGAGTTCAACGCTGCAGTGAGCTATGATCACACCTCTGCACTCTAACCTGGGCAATAGAGCAAGACTCCCATCTCAAAAAACTAAAATTAAAAATAAATAAATTTAAAAAACAGAAAGGAAATCTTTACTCCTGGATGGGGACAAGGGCCCGTCCGCTGAACTCACGCTCTATCATAACCTACCTCCAACACTCCAAAGAGGGGGTATCTTTAAAGTGGGGATTCTATACTTGGGAGGCTAAGGCAGGAGGATTGCTTGAGCCCAGGAGTTCAAAAGCTGCAGTGAGCTATGATTGCATCACCGCACTCCAGTCTGGTTGACAGAACAAGACCCTGTCTCAAAAAAAAAAAAAAAAAAAAAAAAAGTGAGGGGAGCTGCTAGAAAGATCTTGTGTGGTGACATATTTATTAGCACAGTTAAGCGTGTGTAAAATGCAGCACTGGCTACAGCAATCACAAAGAGGAAAAGGAGAAAGAAGGGACAGGAGGAGAAAAAAGGAGGACATAAGAATAAGAAGCTCTTTGAGTATGAAAATCATGTTACGCATTCACCCAACACATGCGTTTTAGTTTTTCCAAAGTGGTGACTTCACAACAGAACTTGTAGACATTCCTGGGCGCAGTCCCAGGACAATGGGACACCGTGTCTCTGACTGGCCCTGAGGATGATTAAATCCACAAACCCATTTCATCCTGCTCTAATCAGCCAAGCTACAGAGGTCAACAAAATATCTGTAGCATGCAAAGCGGCAGGGCAGAAGAGCGGGTGCCGAGTGAAGCCCGTTCCATCTGTCTCTTCTTCACCTCTCCCTTCTGCCCCATCTCGGACCCAGCCCAAACTCACCGCGTACTTTTGTATGCTTTTGTACACGCTGTTCCCACTGCCTGCAATCCATCCTTTTTCTCATCTGTCAGGCCCATCTAGTCCCATCTAATCTTTAGGACCAACTCACATCACCCATGAAGCTTTTCCTGACCAGAGGAAGCAAAGTCCTAACAGTCTTCAGATAGTGCTGAACATTGGCGGTTGTGGTAGTGGGTAGCATTATCCTTTTTTTTCAGATGGAGTTTTTGCTCTTGTTGCCTTGCCCAGGCTGGAGTGCAATAGCACGATCTCAGCTCACTGCAATCTCCGCCTCCGGGGTTCAAGTGATTCTCCTGCCTCAGCCTCCCAAGTAGCTGGGATTGCAGGCATGCACCTCCACGCCCAGCTAATTTTGTATTTTTAGTAGAGGCGGGGTTTCTCTATGTTGGTCAGGCTGGTCTCGAACTCCCGACCTCAGGTGATCCACCTGCCTCAGCCTCCCAAAGTGCTGGGATTACAGGTGTGAGCCACTGCACCCAGCGGTAGCATTATCCTTATGAACAGAAGCACAGCAACACCTGAAAGGAGGGAGGACATTGCGGGGTGCAATGCGAAGGGCAGCCTTTTTCTTGCCCTCACTGTCCTTGTCTGTATTTGAAAAATGCCCTCGTCAGTTCATGAGGCTCAAGATGGTGGAGCACATCCTATCTCCACTATCCAGAAATTCACTCAAAGACCTTGAGCTCTTTCTGAAGATGGAAATTGGCCTGGGAGGGGGACGTGTTGGGATTCACAGGTGGCCATGTCTGCCCCTCCTGCTCCACACAGGTGTTCTCACAGCTCCTCTTAACTTGATCCTCTCCAATAGACAGGGCGTCCAGCTGCTGCCATTGCAATGGCTGGCACTCCCACTCCCTCACCCTCACAGGAGTCTGTGCTTTGGACAGTCAATACCCACTTTGGTGACTGAGCATCTATCCCTCCCCTTTCACCATGCTGACAGCCAAGTGGCCCGTCCTTTGTGCCTTTCTCATCTGCCTCCCTAGCCAGGCTTAGCAGCCACCACAAAGAATATTAAGAGATGGTTTCATAGAACTCTTAGATGCCTGCCAGCTACTGTTGATGCTGTAACCAGCTCTGCAACTGGTTCCTGTTCTCTGCCTGCCTGGTGCCTCTAGGCATCCTGGCCATTGTCCCATCCTGAAGATCTCTGAAGACCAGGGCAGAAGACTCCAGTAGAGCAAGAGAGACTGGGGAGATAGGTGAGGCAGATGGAAGGGAGGGGAATGGGTGGTGGGTGGTGGGGAGAAACCATCATCCTCATCTTCAGCAGCCAATCCAGAGCCTGGCTTCCCAACCACTTGAATGCTCAGAGGCCAGCTTCCCCTTGCTCTAAATGTTCCCCTTGCTCTAAAAGCTGGGTGTCTGGGACACCTCTAGAGAGCCCAGGAAGAATTCCACTACCTTTGCTAGGTTTCCTACTATGGCGTGAGAATGGATTTGGGGATGAGAATGACACTATCAGTTCAAACCATCTGCAGTCAGCTCAGGCACACAGCTTTTTCTGTGCAAAATTCCTGCAGAGAGCATTCTAGGGCCTGGCCCAGCTGTCGCAGCCCAGGTGCCCACCACATTGCAAGAGAGGTCTGTATCTTGCGAAATAGAGATTTTTCAGCCACATGAATAGCTGCAGTGGGAGCCTGACAGTTCCATGCGTCAGCCCACACGGCAGCAAGTCTAGTCACTACACACCTACTGCTGAGCCGCCTGTGGGAAAATCTTCCCTGGCCACCTGCCACTCCTAACCCCTCTGAGCTATTTGGCAACAGAGACACAGGTGTGAACAGAAGTCATCATCATAAAACTTAGTCAATCTCATATAAGTAATTACCTCAAAAAACAACCCCAAAGTCTCATTAGCCAGATAGTAAAATAGAAAGAAAACTAAGAGACAGATCCAAGAGATATAGGATTTTATTTGGAGATGAACTTGTGTTATAGCAAAAGGGTACGAGTTTTACGTTCAGAGTTCCAGCTCCCCTGCTTCCCAGCTAAGTGGCCTTGAGCGCGTTCCTTAACATTCTAAGGCTGATTTTTTTCATGTTTAAGTGGAAGAAAATAACACCCCTGCCTGGCAAAGTTGTTGTGTGATCAAAAAGATAATGTACATGAAAGCTCTTTGCAAATGGTAAAGTATTATGCAGTAATGAGTTATTATAATTCAGTCTTCTAACAGGGCACCATGGTATCCCTTTTATCTCTCCTACCACCCAAATGTCCTCTCCCCTGCAAACCTCAAAGTATTCTGCATGGAGCGTGTTGAGCACGTGTGTGTGTGCACACACACACGCGCACACACACACGGTGTTCAGGCATGTGTCTCTGCATGTCATTTTCATAGCTGTGTCTAGGCAAGACCTGTGAAATCTCCACGTCCCAGAAGCCAGTAAGAAAGCACCAGCTCAGAAGAGGGTGTAGCTCAGGGGTAGAGCATTAAACTGCAGATCAAGAGAAGGCACCAGCTCTGCAAAGCCTTCGCCATTAACAAAGAAGTGAAACCAACAAGCTTGAGACCCAGGGTTTCCCTTTATGCATGGCGGAAATTGGAAACAAACCATTTCTGGTAACCAGTAACTCTTAGTAATTAATAACGTAGCTCTTAGTAACCAGTAACTCTTAGTAATTAATAAGGTAGGAGTAAGAAAGTAGATGCCTGGAACTGACCTTATAAGTAAGAACTAGGCAGAAAAAGAACTGGCAGGAGATGAGGGAGCTGGGGAGAGACTGCAATGATCATCTAGTCCTGATTTCACAGATGAAATGGGGTCTCAGAGAAGAGAGTGGACTTGTCCAGGATGACACAGGGGCAAAGCTGGAACAAGAGCCCAGGTCTTCTTCCTCCATGTGAGCTATTATCAGCCATTCATTTTCAGTTCCATTTGGCTCCCATATTTCTGAAATAACCAAATAATAAGTCCAAAAGGAACTTACCCAAAAAATTTTTCTTGGCCACAGATGCTGGACCCAATAAGGGCCCCAATGAACAGTATCCACCTCATGTCCCCGGGGAGTCAGTCATACAGTGGCTGAGTCAAGCTGTATTTATAAAGAGTCTGAGAGTGACTCAAGTCCTCAAAAATGCTAATGTGATTCCCAAGCACCCTTGCAACTCTGACTGTGACAGGCAGGCCCTACCAATGCCTCTCCCATTCCTTTCAAGTGATAAAGGTTGAGCATCTCAATTTACAAGGTCAGGAACTTGCTCCAGGAGCTGAAAAAGTCTGTGCCAAGGGTACCATATTGCTCATCACTTGGCATTTAAATAGTGTTTTTTCAGTGAATAAGCTAATTCCACAGTGTTGGATGGAATTTATCCTGATAGGAGAGGTCAGATTATAAACCTGGCATAGAATTACCTCTAGAATAATAATAAAAAAGTTAAGACTATCAAAGCAAGACTGAGCTGGCTCCAAGACCACATGCTTGACAAGCCCTGCCAGAGAATTTCACCAGGGCAGGTCAGGATGAGGAAAGAGGTTTGGGGCCTCTTTTATGTATCTGAAGCCTAATTCTTCTGACTCCACTAAGGAAATAGAAATGTATCAGGCAAATGATATAGAAAGGATGTTTTAGTCTGAATAAATTATCAGTGTTCCTTGGGGTCTGATCTATGGGGAAGGCTTAATGGTTTTATCAATAATAAGATTTTCAGCCGGGCGAGGTGGCTCATGCCTGTAATCCTAGCACTTTGGGAGGCCGAGGTGGGCGGATCACGAGGTCAGGAGATTGAGACCATCCTGGCTATCACAGTGAAACCTCGTCTCTACTAAAAATACAAAAAATTAGCCGGGCGTGGTGGCGGACGCCTGTAGTCCCAGCTACTCAGGAGAATGGCGTGAACCTGGGAGGCGGAGCTTGCAGTGAGCCGAGATCGCACCACTGCACTCCAGCCTGGGCGACAGAGTGAGACTCCATCTCAAATAAATAAATAAATAAATAATAAGATTTTCTTATACTTCCTAGACTGTGGGTCTGGTGTCCTTTCCGCCAAGTCACAGCTGAATAAATGGAAGACACTCATATCTCCATAACGCCTTCAGGGGCTCTGGGACCTTTGAGTCTGTCCTGGGAGCCCCAGTTCCCACAGCCTTTCCCATCCCACCCTCCCTACGGTCTACATGCTTTCCACACCCACTCAAAGGGAGTGGACACAACCAAGGGTCATAGTTGAGAGAGTTAAAGAAAAACTATCCTGACCTGTGTTAAAATGTAAGACCTAATTCAAGATTATTATGATTAGGACCATGGCTATTTCAGTAGGAAAGACTTACTGTGCTTAACACTGAATACGGCAAAGAAAACAGAGAGGATCAGTGGGATTACTAAGAGAAGACATCAAGGTAGGGGGATTCTTGCTAAAAGCAGGCCAAGGACTTATACATCAAAGTCCCCATCAAAGGTGGGGATGAGGAACTTGATCAGATATCAAGGTGGGAGGGATGACTTCGCAGGATCTTTGCTCAGGCTGGCTTAGCCAGGGCTCAAGAACCAGCCTAATCAAAAGGAGGGTGCAGAATCTCAAGTGTGGTCCCAGAGAGAGCCTTTGTTAGGAGCTGTGGAGCTAGGGGCCATCATCTCCTCTTGCTCCCTCAGGGTCCTTTTGTCCTCTCAACACTTCAACTGAATTCCTACACCCACCCTGTCCACCACAAAGCGTGGGCTCAGCGTCACTGAGATCGATGTCAGCTTTGAAGTCAGCAACAAGAACAACTGAGACCCAAATCTGTAAGAGATGTGAAGTGGGAGAATCAAGGACCAAGCATTCTAGGCAAGCTGAAATTTAGTTCCTACCTTTTCTCCCAGGGAAAATCATCCACATGAAGAAAACCTAAATCCCTAATGGGAGTCAATATCTAAAGAGAAACTGTGTGCAACCTGAGACCGAGGCTTGATAGGGCAACCAGGAAAAAGGAATGTCATTGGCTTGGGTCCCCACCATTTGTGTGTTTGTTTTTTTTGAGACAGAGTTTCACTCTGTCGACCAGGCTGGAGTACAGTGGTGCGACCATAGCTCACTGAAGTCTCAAACTCTTGGGCTCGAGTGATCCTCCCAACTTAGCCTCCCAAGCAGCTGAGACTAAAGATGTTTGCCACCATGACGGGTGCTTTGTTTTGTTTTTGTACAGACGGGGTCTCACTGTGTTGCTCAGGCTGATCTCAAACTCCTGATCCTCCCACCTCAGCCTTCCAAAGTGCTGAGATCACGGGCCTGAGTCACCATGCCCTGCCCCACAAGTCTTCATAAAGCAGCACACCAGGAAAGGAAAAACCAAAGGCAACAATGGAACCAGGTATAGCACCTGGCACGAGGCCTGGCACAGTGCAGTTGCTTCATGAGTATTTATTGAATACATGAACTTGAAAGTCCATTGCTAGCCCTAAAATGCTACACTCTTACGATGAAGCAGTGACACATGCTACACCATGGATGAACCTTGAAAACATTATATTAACCAAAAAAAAAAAAAAAAATGCTAGCCACAAAAGGGCAAATACTGTTTAATTCCGCTTATACGAAATACCTAGAATAGGCTAATTCGTAGAGACAGAAAGTAGCTAGTAGTTGCCAGGGGCTGAAGGGCAAGAGGAATGGGGAGTTATGGTTTAATGGGGAAGAGTTTCAGTCTGGGATGATAGGAAAGTTCTGGAGATGGATGATGGTGATGGTGGCATAACGTTGTGAATGTACTTAATGCCAATGAATTGTACACTTAAAAATGGTCAAAATTGTAAGTTTTGTGTATAATTTAACACAATAAAAAACTGTCAAATGGGGCCAGGCACGGTGGCTCACGCCTGTAATCCCAGCACTTTGGGAGGCCGAGGCGAGTGGATCACTTCAGGTCAGGAGTTCAAGACCAGCCTGGCCAAAATGGTGAAACCCTGTCTCTACTAAAACTACAAAAATTAGCCAGGCATGGTGGCAGGTGCCTGTAATCCCAGCTACTTGAGAGGCTGAGGCAGGAGAATTGCTTGAACCTGGGAGGCAGAAGTTGCAGTGAGCCGAGATCGCGCCATTGCACTCCAGCCTGGGTGACAGAGTGAGACTCTGTCTCAAAAGGAAAACAAAAACAAAAACTGTCAAATGATGTTGGGAGCACTCTGCTCCGGATGGATTTTTTTTTTTAATATTATTCTTTTTAGAGATGGGGTCTCCCCATGTTGCCCAGGCTGATCTCAAACTCCTGGGCTCAAGCAGTCGTCCCACCTCAGCCTCCCAAAGTGCTGGGATTTCAGGTGAGCCACCACGCCTGGCCCCAGGATGGATTTTCTAAAAGATGAAGGGGTACAATGCCATGACTTGTTGTGTTTGAGGGCAGCAGAAACTGGAGAAACGGTGCTGCCAGATCAGGCTTAGAAAAATAAACAACACAACCCAACTTTGCTTCAAACCAAAGAGATTTTAATGGCTCTTGTTTCTTCCCCAGGGCCCTAATAGGGGTGGTCTCGCACATGCTCCATGATTGCCTTCAAGCCAAGCCAGGTCTCCTCGGCTGTGGGCAGGATCTGACGGGCTGGCAAGAGGAAGCCGTAGCGCCCTGTGTCTCTCAGTTCAAAGGCAAATGAGTACTTGATGCCATAATCATAGGACCAGTCAATGCTTCCTCCACTGGCTTGGTCTGAAGTGCAAACGAGAATAAAGTTTGGTTACACGACTACCACTAGCCTTCACGCAATGGAACCTCTATATTAAATTCTACTATCATAGGTAAGCCAGGCCCCTAGGTGTGAACTGTAAGAGGGGGGAGAGTTTAGTAGAGGGTCACATTTATGAAAAAACACAATAATTTGAAAAGCAAAAGGTGTTATTCAGCGGACACTGAACTGAGCCTTCCTTCAGTGCTCTTAGGAGCCCACGCCATCCTAAGTGGCCTCTTCTCCACCTTAGGTAGGCCACACCACTTCCTTCTTTAGAAGGCACAGACATGGTTTTCTCTAGTGGGAGTGGAGGGATTACAAATGCAGTAAGAGATTTGGTCCCTACCCTCAGGGGACTTTGAGCATTAAGGGTGGAGCACTCTCTGCTCTGCTATCAAATTGCAGGTACAGCACCTCTGTGTGGTGGGTTCAGCCAACACAGTAATGTGCACCTGAGATCTGTGTGGCCGCTGATGTGACAGATGAAGAAGGAAGATGGCATTAACTTACAAGTCAGTCATGACTCAGAAAAGCCGAGCAATGGACCGGCCCTGTGGCCCCTCCCAGGAAGGGCAGTTAGAGGTCACAGGAGGACTCGGCTGAGGCACAGATGTCGGAAGCTACCTAGTCCCTAAGAATGGGGCTGGAAAGACCAGGGAGGTTGTACCAGAAAAGAGTAGGGCTAGAGGTTAATATTGTGAATTAATATTGTCAACGCCCATGATTTTTGTCTTTGCCTTCACCCAGCAGAGCAGCTTGGAAATTAATGCCTGGTAAATAATAAATACTAAATGGTTGCTGATTTGAACTGAATCTTCCCTGGACCAAAATTACCAACTCATACCTTTTGGTGTGTCTACATGACACAGCCAATCACACTAAGAGGTCAACTGTAGACAGAATACTGGTCTCAGATAGAATCCCAACCCTACAAATCATTATCTGAGTGACCTAAAGCAAGTCATCTATTTCCAGATGCTTCACCTGTCACATAGGGATGATATTACTACTTGTTTCACAGGGGAGTGAGAATTAAATGGCATAATGGTTGTGATGACACTATTGGCTGTGTCAATGTGCTAGGCACTATGTTAAACTGGTTGTGAATCTCTAGGTAGGTACTAGCATTATTCCCATTTTACAGATGAGGAAACTGAGATTAAGAGATTAAGTGGCAAGGCATCGTGGATCTCTGCCAACACTTTGGGGACCAAGGCAGGAGGATCACTTGAGCCCAGGAGTTTGAGACCAGCCTGGGCAACATAGCGAGACCCTGTCGCTACAAAAAAATTTTTTAAAAAATGAACTAGATGTGGTGGCACATGCCTGTGGTCCCAGCTACTCAGGAGGCTGAGGCGGGAGGGCTGCTGGAGCACAGGAGGTCCAGGCTACAGTGAGCCATGATCCTGTCACTGTATTCCAGCCTGGGCAGCAGAGTGAGACCCTGTCTCTAAAAAACTAAATAAAATAATAAAATAAAAACAGGGATATTAAGTGAAGGAGCTAGGATAATGTATGTAGAATAAGCATTCAATAAATGTCAGTTATGTTTGTAACTATCATTGTCAATAAATGACCAGGATCCAATAAAAAAAAGTTAGGCCACGTTAAGGACTGGAGTTATCTGTGGGAGAGCATTCACCAGGAAACTAACAATCAACGTTTACATAGTGCTGTAGAATTAGGGAACACTTGTATTCCACATAATAGCTTTTGAGCCTCTCAACAACCTATTCCACAGATATAAGAAACCAAGGGAGAATAAGTGACTGGACCATGGCTACTTGGTTCCAAAGTGGCAGTGCTATAACTCAAACCCAGGGCTCTGTACCCAAGCTATGTGGGTTTTTTTGTTTTGTTTTGTTTTTTGGTTTTTGTTTTGCCCCCCTATGCCTCTCTGAGAAAGAATTCAAAGAATAACTAACTTCTGGGCCAGGTGTGGTGGCTCATTCCTATAATCTCAGCACTTAGGGAGGCCAAGGTGGGTGAATCACCTGAGGTTAGGAGTTCAAGACCAGCCCGGCCAACATGGTGAAACCCCATCTCTACTAAAAATACAAAAATTAGCCAGGCATGATGGCATGCACCTGTAATCCCGGCTACTCAGGGGGCTGAGGCAGGAGAACTGCTTGAACCCGGGAGGTGGAGGTTGCAGTGAGCCAAGATCGCCCCATTGCACTCCAGCCTAGTGACAGAGCAAGACTCTGTTTCAAAAAAAAAAAAATTTTTTTTTAAAAAAAGAACAACTTCTGAACCAAACACCTACTGTAGCACAGCTCCTCAAAGCCCTTTCCAGATGGGAAGCTGCCCAGGAAATATCTCACCCACTACAACCATACAGCCATCTCTTGGGTGGAGTGAGGCAGGTGTTCTGCCCAGAGCTGCATACTGACCTGGGGCAGGAAGCAAAAAGTGCTGAGTTAAAACTAGTCCTTAGAGGTAGAGCTTGTCCAAGCTGGAATGAGGCCAGGATAAGAGTCAGCTGTGGACAATGATGTGGCTAGAACTTGGTGGGCCATTCACAGTCGGGCTCCAAAAGATCATACAGCAAATCCTACACCTGCTTATTGGAAATCTCTTCCATTTCTGTGACCTCACCAAAGAAAACATACCAAACCTCAGCCTTCCAAGGTCTATCTTACTAGTAAATACCTCCAGATAAGGTGGATGAAAAGCTAGATTCCTTGTAATAAAATGGCTGAGACCTATGTAGGGGTCTCGGGGATACACAATGCTATTCGGCTGACACTCTGAACTCAAGCCTCCACTCAAAGGCTGCCAAGCAAAAGCATTCATTCCTCAGTATTAAGCTGCCATCATGTCTCAAGCTAGGTCCATCCTCTGTCCCCACTGCCACCACTCAGAAGGCCCTTCTCCCTGGGGGTATCCCTGATGAAAGTGAGGACAATCTCATGTGGAACATGGTTAAAAAAGTCTCAGCAACTGTGAGCAGATCAGTCTTCCCAGAGAACCGCCTAAAAAATATGTAACAAGAGGCCGGGCACGGTGCCTCATGCCTGTAATCCCAGCACTTTGGGAGGCCAAAGAGGGCAGATTACAAGGTCAGGAGTTTGAGACCAGCCTGACCAACATAGTGAAACCCTGCCTCTACTAAAAATACAAAAATTAGCCAGGCGTGGTGGCACGTGCCTGTAATCCCAGCTACTCAGGAGGCTGAGGCAGGAGAACTGCTTGAACCCAGGAGGCGGAGGTTACAGTGAGCCAAGATCACGCCACTGCACTCCAGCTCGGGCGACAGAGCAAGACTCCATCTCAAAAAAAAAAAAAAAGCAACATGAGCGCCAAAGCTGTTCATTCCATTTAACTTGACAATCTTGCCTCAGGAATATATTCCAAAAAGATCATCTAAGAGAAAAAGGAGTTGGTACAAACATGTTTATAGTAGCACTGTTTAGCATAAAGATGAAACAATCCAAAGATTCAATAACTGGGATATAGCAACATCATGGAATAACAAAAAACTAGAATGTAAATTCATAAAACTTTACAGGAAATGATGTTAATTTTTTTTTTTTTTTTTTTTTTTTGAGACGGAGTCTCGCTCTGTCGCCCAGGCCGGACTGCGGACTGCAGTGGCGCAATCTCGGCTCACTGCAAGCTCCGCTTCCCGGGTTCACGCCATTCTCCTGCCTCAGCCTCCCGAGTAGCTGGGACTACAGGCGCCCGCCACAGCGCCTGGCTAATTTTTTGTATTTTTAGTAGAGACGGGGTTTCACCTTGTTAGCCAGGATGGTCTCAATCTCCTGACCTCATGATCCACGCGCCTCGGCCTCCCAAAGTGCTGGGATTACAGGCGTGAGCCACCGCGCCCGGCCGAAATGATGTTAATTTTAAAAAGCTGAACATACCAGTAATCCCAGCACTTTGGGAGGCCGAGGTGGGTGGATCGCTTGAGGCCAGGAGTTCAACACCAGCCTGGCCAACATGGCAAAACCCCATCTATACTAAAAATACAAAAATTAGCCTCACGTGGTGGCACACACCTGTAATCTCAGCTACTTGGGAATCTGAGGCAGGAGAATCTCTTGAAGCCAGGAGGCGGAGGTGGCAGTGAGCCAAGATTGCGCCACTGCACTCCAGCCTGGGTGACAGAGCGAGACTCTGTCTCAAAAAAAGAAAATCATGACTAGCACGGGTGCATTCCCGTGATTCCCGCCATCACCCCTCCTATGGCTGTGGCTATATCCATGCCCACAACACATTCAAAGACATGCTCCTCTCATTCCATCCTGAGCCACAGCTTCTGCCCACCTCTGCTCGTCCTCCTGTCCCCAGCTCTGGAACCTCACTGCACTGGTCATTTCTTCTCTCTCCTGTATGTTCCACCTCTCCCTCTTTATTTGCTCTTTCCCACAGTCAATAAATATATCTCTTATCTCAAAAAGAAAAAAGGCTTCCATTCTGCTCTCCTTCCCTTATCCACTCTTCTGAAACTGCTCTGGGTTAAGGTCACCAATAAGCTAGTGATGAAAATTCACTGGAAAATGTCTTGTCCTTATCTTAGTTGACTTTTCATGGCCTTCACCATTGTTGACCGCTGCCTCCTTTTTATTTTTTTCTTTTTCTTTTTTTTTTTTGAGACGGAGTCTCGCTGTCGCCCAGGCTGGAGTGCAGTGGCACGATCTTGGCTCACTGCAGGCTCCACCCCCCGGGGTTCACGCCATTCTCCTGCCTCAGCCTGTAGCTGGGACTACAGGCGCCCGCCACCTCGCCTGGCTAATTTTTTGTATTTTTAGTAGAGACAGGGTTTCACTGTGTTAGCCAGGATGGTCTTGATCTCCTGACCTCGTGATCCACCCGCCTCAGCCTCCCAAAGTGCTGGGATTACAGGCGTGAGCCACCGCGCCCGGCCTGCCTCCTTTTTAATAATTACTTCTCCCCTGGTTTCTGACATCCAGGGTTCTCTGCCTTTCTGCCCAGCCCTTGCTGCTAACCCCTTCTGCTGCCTAACACCTTGCTCCCTGCTTTGCCCAGGGTTCCTCTCACTCCAAATGTTCCCCCTGCTCTACTGGTCCAACCACCCACTCTATGCCAACTCTTCCCAAATCTCTCTCTGCACAGAATCCCAGGGCATGTAGTCCAAAACCTACAGACCATCTCCATTTGAATACCCTACAAGGAGCTCAGCCTCAATATGTCCACAGCTGAACTCATTATCTTTGCAACCTCACCCCTCTTTCACCTTCCTGGACTTCTCCCTCAGTGAGTGGCACCAATGACTTTCAGTGAGGACCTCTCCCCATCCAATAAATGACAAAGCTTCTTGGCTTTATCTCCTAAATCTCTTCCATCGTCACTGGACCTGCTGTAGTTTGGGCCATTGTCTCTCACCTGAACTCCTCCTCCTCTTCCTATGGGATGTCTCTACTGCAGTCCCTCATCACTCCATCCACACTGCTGCTATGTTTTAGCTAAACACAATGCCTCAATTCCCTCACCGTCCTGCTGAAAACCCCCCGATGGCTTTTAGAATCCTCTGGATTAAACCTAAACTCCTTACCACGGCACACAAAACCCTGAACTTCCCCAACTCCCTTTTCTTCCTCTTTCATTTCAGCGATCTCAACCTACTTGTAGCTCCCAGAACCCATCACGCAATTTTATACTTCTATGCCTTTGCATATGCTGTTGGCTATGAGAATGCCCCATCCTTTTTCTCCTTCTCTAGCTACCTGGCAACCAGTCTTTACAACCCTACCCTCCTCTTACATGAAGTTTTTCCTGACTCCACTTCCATCGGATCCCCCGACTTTCTAATACTTCTGTACCATGTATAGCCTACTATTGCACACATCATACAAAAGTTCATTTGCCTTCCTGTTCATCTCTTCTATTAAAGAGTTCTGTGTGGGCACATTATGTCTCCAGTGCTTGGCATAATGCTTAACATATAATAGATACTTAATTTAAAAGTCTGTTAGAATGGGTGGCCAGGCATGGTGGCTCACGTCTGTAATCCCGGCACTTTAGGAGACAGAGGCAGACAGATCACTTGAGGTCAGGAATTCGAGACCAGTCTGGCCAATGTGGTGAAACCCTCTCTCTACTAAAAATACAAATAAATAAATAAATAAATAAGCTGGGTGTGGTAGCGGGCACCTGTAATCCCAGCTACTCCAGAGGCTGAGGCACAAGAATCCCTTGAACCTGGGAGTTGGAGATTGTAATGAGCCAAGATGGTGCTACTGCACTCCAACCTGGGTGACAGAGCAAAACTCCATCTCCAAAAAAAAAAGAAAAACAGAATGGGTGCCTATTAAAGGCATTGGTTTCCAAAGGATCCTTGGGCATGGAAGCACTAGGGAACTCCTGGGCATGGAACTGTGTGGTCCTGAGTTTCCAGCTTTGTCCATAAGGAAAGGAGCGTGCCTTTGAAGGATTCAGAACCTGCACAAGGGTGCACTGGGATTTCCCAAAGCACTGTAGTAGTTTCTTGTTTTTATCTCAATCAACTAGGGAAGAGGAGGGCCTAGAACGTCTGACGGCAGGCTCCCCAGACTTATTCCTCACACTGCCGCTATTCCTGACTTCTCCTTCTCCATCTCCACATACTCTGCATCAACACATGGCTGCAGCAGAGTCTATCCACGGAACCACCTGGGTCCTCTTCAAGAGTCACACCCATTCTGCCCCCGCAGTCCATGGAATTCTCAGGGCATGAACCCCTCTTAGCCTGGAAAGGGAAGATAATAAAAGAGCCAGGTCTTAGGCCAGGCACAGCGGCTCGTGCCTGTAATCCTAGCACTTTGGGAGGCCGAGGTGGGCAGATCACCTGAGGTCAGAAGTTCGAGACCAGCCTGACCAATGTAGTGAAACTCCGTCTCTATTAAAAATACAAAAATTAGCTGGGCATGGTGGCACACACCTGTAGTCCCAGCTACTTGGGAGGCTGAGACAGGAGAAGTGCTTGAACCCAGGAGGTAGAGGTTGCAGTGAGCTGAGATCAAGCCACTGCATTCCAGCCTGGGCAACAGAGTGAGACTCCATCTCAAAAAAAAGAAAAAGAAAAAAAAAACAAAGAGCCAGGTCTTGATAAAGGCTTATTTTTAGATAAACAAATTCTACAGAATGAGAGTGAGCTGTAAGGATCTGAACAAGCACAGGAGAGGGCACAAAACATATACTTAGGGAGTTCTTTGTTCTGGCCATCACACAGTAAGTATCTCATGGAGGAGACTAGATTCACTGAGGGAAATTGGGGAAGGTTGGGTTCCATGCATGAAGACCTATCCCTTTCAATAAAGGTATTTAAAAGTTTTGGCTCAAACTCACACGGTGCCTGCCATCTTAGTGGGTCATTTGTAAAAACTTCCAGCACATTGGATACTTACAGATGACAGAGCAGATTGGTCCCACTTTGTACTTGGTGCCATGCAGGCTTCTCAGAGATTGGGCAGCCTTTTGGGCCACTTCACTCTAGAGTAAGAGAACCAAAGAAAGGTAGACAGATAACACTTGTCTCTTGGGAGATCAGTTGCCCGACAGCAGAACATAGAATGCTCTAACTAGACTGTCTAGTTAATTGAGGTGAAGGCACAACACCCTTTTTATTTGAACCATTTTCACTGTGAAGTAAGCTTACTTCTCCAATAGAAGTAAGTTCACTTCTATTGGCTTTGAAAATACAACGTGAAGGTCCTCATTGTCTATTTGATCATCCTGGTGTTTGCAACACTCAAGGATTCATTATTTTGCCACCAGTTCTCTTTGTTCAGGAGTGTGGCTAAAATTAGGGTAGATTTAAGGGGTCTAAAGAGAATGTGGACTGACCCCAGGACATATGTGGGAAGTTGACTTTTCTTTTACTAGATCCCTACATTGGCTTATTTCCCTATGGCTGTCTCTTTTTCCAAAAAGTAGAGCTCAGAAAAATATTTTCCATTATTTGAGGGTTCCAATTTTGACTGATTGAGGCTTTACTGTCCTTGTCAGGGATAAATGTAAGGTCTTGAACTTGGGTCCAGGAAAACAACTGTACAATTACCAGATGGGGGAAACCTGGCTTGGTAGAATCCTTGGAGAGCCTGGGGGTTACTCTTGTCAATGAGCCCAACATGAGTCAACATCACAGGGCTACTGCCAAAAAACTAATGTGATCCTCAACTGAATGTGCAGAAGTGCACGGTCTGGCTGAGGGTAGTTATGGTCACACCCTGCTCTGTGCTGGGTAACCCACAATACTGATTTCACATTCACTTCTGGGAGCTACCTGCTATAGTTTGGATATGTATTCCCCTCAAGCCTCATGTTGAAATCTGATCCCCAAGATTGGCGGTGAGGCCTAATGGGAGGTGTCTGGATCATGGGAATAGATCCCTCATGAATGGCTTGGTGCAGTCCTCACAGTTAGGAGTGAGTACTTGCTCTATTAATTCTCTCGAAAGCTGGTTGTTAAAGAGTCCGGCACCTCCCGACTCTCTCTCTTGCTTCCTCCCTCACCGTGTGATCTCTGCACACGCCAGCTCCCATTTGCCTTCCATGAGTGGGAAGCAGCCTGAAGCTCTCACCAGATGCCCAATCTTCCAGCCAGCAGAATCATAATCCAAATAAAACTTTTTCCTTAATAAATTACCTAGTCTTAGGTATTTCTTTACAGCAATGCAAACAGATTAAGACACTACCCTTGAAGAAGCATATTCAGAAAACAGCGACCAGAATAGTAAGGGAACTTGGGCCCATAATATGAATGCTTGAAGGAACTGAGGTTATTTAGGAGTAAGAGCTAGGAGAAGCAGGCTGGTGGTCTTCAAGTAATTAGTGGATTCACCTCTCAAAGGGAAATAAACTTGCTCAGTAGAACCAGATGATAAACCAGGGCTGATAGGTGAAAACCATACAAAGATTTCGCTCTCTATAAAGAAGAACACTAACAACCTTCCCCAACACAGAATAGGCTCCCCTGAAGGCAGGAAGCCATCTAATCATAGCCTAGATTGACTATCTGCTAGAGGTTTGAGCACAGGTTTAGATAATTTAAGGTCATCTAGGTCTAAAAAAAGAACATTTTAGAACATTCTTTTTCCCTGATATGACCTTGAATGGTAATACTGACCATCAAAACCTCACAGCGCTCAAATCTAACTGATGAGATGAAAGGCATACTTGAATTGGAATAATCTAATCTATTTCTGCATGAGGCTGCTGACAATAATCTACTTGAAGGTAAATTGACAAAAAGGTCCCAACTCTGGGCTTATTTCTAACATATGGGTTTCATAAACCAAGCCTAAAAGCCAAATTAGAAATAATTTGCACATTCTTTTTAGCTGGGGATAGCTCTTGCTCAGTTGTGAACAGCCTCCTGAGATGTCACCATCTGATCTAAGGCTGGGGCCAGTTGGCTTATTCCTGAAACAGGAAGGGTGACAGAAGGTATCAAGTTAGGGAAGTGAGTGTTTTACCCCCAACATCATACACCAGTGCATCGTCATGGTAGATCACAGAGCCAAAGATCCCAGAAAAGTATAAGACAAGTTGCTGAGAAGCAGAATTGCTCAGCTTGGAGCATTTGACTACCAATCCAAAAGCCTCATATCCAAATCCAAGGGTTTTTTCCCCCATATGCAACAGAAAAGCATGTTCTGGGAATTTATGCTCAAACCAGGCTCCTGCTCATCTAGACTAAGGTAACAATAACTTCATGAATTCTATTTCCCAAAGAAACTTAATATAGGAAAGTTCAAAATCAGTCTTTCAAACCTTTGGCTGCATCATAATCTTCTCGGTGGTTGAACTTATGTTTCATTCATTGCTGTAATGGTACACCTCCACCTTAGGGCATGACTTTATGCCTGAAACTTACTTGACCACACAATGGATGTTTGTTGCTTGGCTGAAATTAAGTTTCAGAAACTCACCAGCTCATCAAAGTCATCTAACTTGGTACATTTGTACCCATAGGGGAACATCAGCAGCTGGGAATAGCTGTGGAGGGTAATGAAGGCCTTGACTTTTCCATGACTCTTGATGAAGTCCACTATGGATTTCACTTCAACTTCAGAGTTGGCACTGGGTCCGTGGTATGAATCAGAGCAAGGGTTGCTGCTGGCTCCAGGTCCTGGGGAGATGCAGAAGTAGCCCAGTGAGGACAGTGAGCTCTAAGAAGACACTGTAGGGAGGAGGTCACCATGCATCACTAATTTTCTCCTCTGGAAGTCGGGGCAAGATTGTCATTGTGTTAGATCAAGTCTCTTCCAAAGGTTATAGTCAGAAAGCCTAACTGAAGTGATTCTGGACACATCTCTTCTTCAAAAAATATGGTTCCTCTATACAGTAGAAAGAGCCATCTAATTAGATCATCTCCTCTCTGTAGGAGTTATTGGAAGAAAAGCTAGATTTAATATTATGGATGGAATTCCTGCATTGGGTGGGAGTTTAGCAAGTTCATTTTCTGGGATCTCATCCAATTCTTAGAGTCCAACAGTAGAAGATTCTATGCATCTGTAATTCCAAGGCACAAAGCCAGAAATGCAAGGAACCTCTGACACCCTTTCTGCAATGAGGAAATCATGACTACATTTGACAACAAGGCCACCTTTGGCCTTGATTTTCTCAGCAACTAGAGTGGCTCAAGACCACTGAAATGGGTCCATTGTAGGCCTGGCCAGGGCTCTCACTGCTAGAGAAACTTCCAGGGGATGAGTAGGGGTCAGGATTCCCTAGGCTCCCCATGTGATACAGACAAAACGTCACCTTATTTTAAAATTATTTAATGAAAATAATATCGGGGGGATTGACATTGAACTGTGGGCCATTGCTCAGTATTGTGCTTTAATTATTTTTCCACTACACTAAAAAAAAAAGAAGAAGAATTGTCAAAGCAATGAATGAAGTTGCCACTCATCCATATCCTGTAGCAGTTCTCTACAGTCCTGTCTTAGTTCCATAACTCTAATTAATTAATTTGTCTTACAAATACATAGTGATTACCTTCTGCGTTGCAGACACTGTGCTAGGTGTTAGGAATACTACAGTGAAAAAGACACAGCTCCTGACCTCAATTTTATCATAGCCTAGTGAGGGGGAAAAAATTTAATTCTATGGTTACTGAAACATAAGGGGTTTTCACCAGTACCTGAGGCCATAAAGGAGCCCCTAACTAGCCTGACACGGAACTCCAAAACATAAGCGCTGTCACAAAGCCAGGGCAGCAAGCTCACATTTTATATTTGAATCTGTTTTGAAAGTCAGTTTCTCCATCCTGTGTGTATGTACTTCTTTTTAGTTTTCTTTCTCGAAGCATCCATAGATGATGTAATGCTTCTCCTTGGAATAGATCCTATCCCCCTCTAGTGGCTGGCTCAGGGCTTCCCGAGTCCTCCCGCCACTGTGCAAAGTCTTGCTCCCGCTGCACAGAAGGCTAACCGGGCGACAGCTTGTGGGAAAACCAAGATGTGAGACAAAATATATTAAATGCTGCTCAGAGCTCTGTGACAGCACTGTGCTCCTGTGAAGGGAATTTAGTTAAGTGTTTTTCAAAGAGGTTTTTAAATGGCTTAAATCCTGGATGGGCTTAGCCAGCTGATGCACTGCAGGGCCATTTGAACCAGCTTGTGGGCCAGACCACGGGCTGACCATCCCTGGGGGCAAGTCCCTGCGCTCACCTCCAAAACCTGCATCCCAGTTCCGGTTAGGATCCACACCAACACAGAGGCTTCCAGATACCTTGGACCGGGTCTTCCGCCACATACGATTCTTTCAGATCCCACCCAAAAAGCACATGGAAAAAAAGAAAGAGGGTCATTCAGCCTGATCAGAAGGTTCCTTTAGAATTCTGTCAATTTCCCTAGTTCTCTGGGACACTCCTTTCCCTTGGCTTGGGGAGGTGTTGGACAGTCCTCATACAGGTTCTGCTAGGAGTTTCTCTGCCATCTCACCAAAGTGAGACATGAATACGCCCCCATCTCCTCAAATGAACGCCTGCCAAACACGTGCCATGGAACCCTAGTTCTGTCCAAGGCCAACAGCAAGAACCAAAAGCAGAAGAGAGGGTTCTGCAATGAGCCTATTTGGGGAAAATATGGAGCTAACTTGGTAAACTTACTTCAGAACTTCTAAGGATTGTTAATGCCTTGTTTTTTATAAACCTCTAAGAAACGGATACGGTGGGCGGTGTTTCCTGGTCTTGACAATGGAACCCTTGATTCATATGGTATCTCATGGGATGAGTACTAGTATTAGTATCAGTTTCTTTGAAAATGTCTTTGAAAACGCTACCGTAGTTAGCTCTTTCTAAAAATAAACTTGAAGCTGTCATTCATCTTGAATATATGTGGGGTCATGGTTGCTACAATAGTGTATTGTAATGAGATTTTAAGGGAAAAAAAAAACCATGTAACTCTTTTAAGTGATATTATGGAGGATTTCTCCCACAGATTTTAAGTAAAATGCTAGATGTACTGTACTGCCCACCTAAATCCTACTGCAATCTAATTGTCAGCAGGTAACATCCGCCTCCTCTTTTCTATCAATCCTACCACAAAAAATTGCAGAGATAATTGGAACAAATCTCCTAGATGACTCATGGTGAACACTGAGCTCTAATAGCCCAGCCTAACAGCTGAAATGGGCTCTGGCTGAGGCAACATATAAAGACATCATGTGTTGGAATAAGAAGTGATTATAACCACTTCTCTAACCCTCATTTCCGGGTGACTACTGAGAAATTAGACATTCCATTTAGAGTAAATCAAGAAAAGAATGAGTATTTTTATTTTGCTTTTGAAGTTCCTACACATCTCCTTAGGTCCTTGTTGAAGAAGGGAACAAAATCCAGGCTTACTTTGGTTTGAGAGAACACGTATCCATCAGGGTTTGTGACTGGCAGGAGGAAGATATCCAGGGCATCCAGAATGGAAGTGATGGATGGGTCCTTTCCATAATCAGAAACAATCTGAGCAAAGACAAGATACATGTCAACCTCACACACCGCTTTTGTTGGGAACACAGGACAGAATAGTAAGGTAGTGTTTTTTCCAGATGTGAACCAGGGATCACTATTGATCAAGGAAAGTCTTCTAGGCATCCAGCAGTCCGGTCTCCTGCAATGTTAATGTGTTGAATATGCTAGCGTCTATACTTTTATTTCTAATCAGAATAATTTACTTCTATTGAGTAAAAATCAGATATCATATATCTACTCTTTCAAAAGCAGTAACATTCTTCCTATCCATCCCAGTGAGACATTTTGCAATAGTGAGCAGTGATATATGTGACTTATGTGGACCTATGCACCAAAGAAATTTTGTTTGGTATTCCTTAATCCCTACATGAGATAACTTTCCAAAAGAACTCACAACAAACATCAGATTACTTAAATATGCAGAGACATTGCTAAAGACACAGAGAACAAGTTAAATTCCATTTGGGGAATTACATTTTTACTTGCCATTAACCGCAGTTGAGTTGAAGTTTCTGCTGGATTAAAATTTATTCATTTCCTGTGCTCAGCCATCCTAAGGCATTATTATTCAACTGTTAAATATCCATTTCATAATACCCTAAAGGTAACCGCATTTTAATTGAAGGGAAAAATGTATCAGTCGGTATGCACGTGGTTGCACATGCTTGAATGATCTGATGTGGATTGATTTCCTCTGCTCGTGAATTAACATTCTGATTTATAGCATGTCATTTTTGAATTACCTAAGAAATACCAGACTAGGTCATACCCAGCCCCATTTCCTGACTCTAATGCCAACAAACTTGTGGAAGAGAGATCTTACTACACCCTACCTTCAAAATCAAATTTGGGAAATTTTCAGAACAACCCAAACACCCTTAGCCAACTCCACTTTGGATCTGTGGGTTAACTCTTCTTGCGCCTGTTTGTATTTTCCAGGTGACCCCCTTTCATGATTTTATAAATTTCTAGCATATCACACCTCAGCCCTCAGGGTTCCAGGCAGCAAAGTGATTTTTCTCTAGTCGGTTCTTTTGCTGAAATCTGGCTCCCAAGGGTCCTCCCTGGCCACCCGTTCAATCTCTTTAGCTTACTGAGTCTTTTTTTTTTTCCCCTCTCTCTCACTCAACAGCAATCATCACATCGCTGTGCCTTTTAACACAGCGCACAGTGGCCTGCCCAAGGGGAGGAGCCTGGGGTGCTGGATGGGGCAATACCAAAAAAGTCTGGATGGGTTGACTGCCAGCCCGTGTGACAAGAGAAGGGTTTTGTCTGAGAGCGCCAGCCATCAGGACCACTGGGACTGTCATGGATTTTGGTGGGCCTGACCCCAGAAAGGCAAAATAAGCAAGGAATATTAGGCAAAATGACCTTATTTGCTGTCCAAAGTGCCGTAGCTTGTGTAACCCACTCTCGAGCATGGATCCCAGCATCCAGCCAGATAGCTGGCTTGTCTCCTCCGGTGCTGAACTGCAAAAGCAAGTGTGGCAATGTGAACGGCTCCACTGCCGTGGCACCTGGTTGCCTCCTTTCTACCCTAGACCATCCTTCTCTGTCCCTCTCTCTATTCTTGATGTGATTGACAGAGAAGGAAATACAGACAGTGATGCTGTCGACTAACTCTCATTTAAGGAGAATTTTCTTTTGTCCCCTTCTTCGAATGCAAGTGTAAACACAGACTGAGGGGCATAGACAATTCTCCTCTGATGTTTGTAAAAAATCGTTGTAGATGATGACATGAAAATATCTTCATATGCTGAAAATTGGAAAAAAATGGATTACAAGATTTCATTTTTATTTTTAAAGAAACTAGTTCATTTATACATACACATACATATGAGAAAAAAGGAAAAGGAGAAGGAGGAAGAGAGAAAAGGAAAAAGAAAAGAGAGAAAAAAGTAGAAAAATATACAACAGATTGTTAATAGCTATTATCCTATAGTTGTGGAATTAGAATTATGAGGATTTTTTTTTCTTTTTTCTTTTCTCTATTTTCCAAATGTATGCAATAATAGTGTTTTGTTATAAAAATGCTTGTGATAACCTTTTGAGACCTTCATAAAAACAGGATAGCAAGCCTCCGGAGGTACTTTCCAGAGTTTAAATTTTATGATCTAAGTGACTTAGTTTTATTTGAAACAGTGGCTTTGCCAATTGGATCAGTAAATGGAGAGGAAAAGATTATTTTTGCACCATCAACTTCTATCTCTGTGCAGCATTCTAAACACAGCAGATAAGGTAAATGAGAAATGCAAATCCTTGCTAAAAATTACAGTTCATGGGTTCTAGGAGTTTTAGTTAAAAGTGTTTTGTGCCTTTTCCTCCAAAGAGCTCAAATGTAAAAAGCAGGGAACTTTCAAAAACACAACATCCTCCACCGCCGAACCACGCAGGAAAAGGGAAGGCCAGGGAAGACCAAGGTGGAAGAGAATCTGGGGTTTTCTGATCCAACTCGGCGCGGGGAGGGGGGGTGCGGGTAGACGAAATAAAAAGAAAGAAGGGAGGTAAACATTAGCAAATGTATCCTAGTGGTATAAAGTAGGCAAATCACTCCTCTCAGGCCTGCTTTGGGAAAAACGCTCTGGAGAAATCCATCTGTCCCAGTTAGTCAGTTGGTTCCCAGCCATAACGTTTCCAAATTTAGCGAGGAGTTGTGACATTACCTCTTTTTGGTTTTTTTTTCTCTTAAAAAACTCTTTCTAGGAAATCTGGGGAAATAATTTTCACTGTTTTTGAGGACAAAGTGCAAAGCTTGAAATTATGTGCACAAAGACTTCAGAGGTTACGAGATGGCGTAAAACCCTAACCTTTTTTCATCTATATCCTTTTTCAAAAGATCTTCGTTCAGGGCGTTTGTCTTTGCGGTTTAGGGTTTAGTTGTCCATCATCCTTCTGCATACGACCAGAACTCTTCTTTAAAAAACAAAAAAAAAAAAAAAAAAGAAAAAGAAAAAAATGCAGCTTAGGCAATTAGTGCTTTTTCTTTTTTAACTGGTGTGCGTGTGTGTGTGCGCGTGTATGTGTGTGTGTGTGTGTGTGTTTAAAGAGGAAAGAAAAAAAAGAGAAGGGGAGGGGAGGCAGAGAACTCCCAGCTTGAATTACAGCCCCCAGCCCCCAACCTCCCCCGGCCCGCACCTCCCCCTTCCTCGGCTCCTATTGGCGCATTTGCCCCGGTTCCCCAGGAGCTCATCTCTCAGGACGTGAGCATTAATTCACTCCTGCAGACCTGCGTCAGCTTGCTCAGGAACAGAGAGAAAGAAAAAGAAGGGGGCGGGGGTGGGGGAGTGGATACTCAAAACCAGCAAGGACCGGTTAGGAGGAAAAGAAAAAAAAAGTAATAAAAAGGAGCCTCTCTGTAGCACAAGCTGGGACTGCCGGCTAGCCTGGGAGGAGGGAGATTCTAGAAACATCGAGAGGAAGAACCGTCCCTGCACCGTGTACCTTGAGCACGTTCATAGGCCGGTTCTCAAAAGAAGAGCCAATATTCACTTTGCTCACTAGACCAGGGTGCTCAGCCACGAGGTTATCCATTTCTTGGGAAATCTGAAATGTTTCAAGTGAATAAATAGACATTTGCGAGTGAACCATCTGTTGCATGAGATCTGATCCCCTGGTGATTTTCCCCATTCCCTTGGGACACAGCGGAGGGGGCAGCGCGGCCCGAGCTGTAGGGTCGGAGGGTTTGGATCCAGCTGAGTGCTGCTGAGTCCGACGGTGTCTGCAGGGGCTGCAGCCCAGCCGGCTCTTTGCAGTTTTGTGCAAAGCAAAATGGCACACTTCCCTGAGGTACTTGTGGCTTTTGGCGACCCCAGCCCTGAGGTGGGGTTTCTCGCCCTTGTTAGCAGAGGAACACAAATGGTAGTGCCCCCTCAACCCCAAAATGGATGTAGAGGCGATCGCTACAAAATGTCTCCCGGCTAAATCAGGCCCAGGGACAATGGGGTTTCTGCTGCAGACGCACTAAGGCCACCGGCTACTCCAGCTCCTATTTTCAAGGCGATTGAAATTTTGTGCATCTGGAGAACCCAAGCTGTGTCCATTGCTGGGATTGAGACGTGTCCGGGCGCGTCTGGAGAGCTAGCGGGAGGAAGTCAGTCCCTCCAGCTGTTGCCAGTATTTGCACTCTGTAGGAGACAGACATCAGTTTGTCTGGGAGAGCGGGAGGGCATCTTGTTTGCTTCACTTCCTTTTCTTTCTTATTCTCTGTGCTGGTCCACAGTCCCCTATCTGAAACCCTTGAGGCCATATATATTTCAAATAAGATATTTTTTTCAGGGGAGAATTTTAGAAGGGTAATAGGAAGTATATATTATTACACACGGGACATTGCTCCGTATTCAAGCACATTAATATTATTTCTGGCAGTGAAACAAATGAGCAGTGAGGCAATTCAGGTCAGATTTTGCTCCCAAATGAGTTTAGGTTAAATCAGGTTTTTCCATCACATAAATTAGGAGAAAAAAATGTTTAAAGCTTTTTGCATTTAAAAACTGCCAACTTGGAGACTTGGTGCCTACCAGATACCTCTTCTCTGGCTCTTTCGTACTCCCCATGCCACCCCTTGGCCCTACAACCTCCATCCCCTCCGGCCCCTTTCCATCCCTCGACTCTTAAGTCAGTGCAGATAGATTCCCGTGGGCCTGGAGAAGAGCTCTGTGCCACAGAAGTAAATGCAGCACTGCCCAGGATCCCCACAGCAGCATGGAGTAGCAGATGCAGGAAGGGGATAGTCTCCACAGAAACAACAAAGCCCAAGAAAGACAGCAGAGACTTCATGAGGCTTTGCTGCCATGAGGTCTTAGAGAGCACATCCCTGTGAGGCAGAAGAATAGGGTCTGGAGGCAGGGAACCCAAGGCCAATTCAGGCTGACTCCCTAGAACTAAATCAAAAAGAAAACTCCAACTTTCCACGCCCAAGTAACAAAAGGACCAGAGGCTACTCCCTTTGCACCAACCCCCGCTTCTTGGCACGGCAGATGAAAAATTGAAAGTACCTCTGATTGGTCCCCTCCTGCAACCAATCAGATTGGTTGCAAGCCAAGTCTTCATTTGCATAGGAGTATAATTTTGTAACTTCACTTCAGCCTCTGACTGGCCACCTTCTGCAACCAATCACACTGATCGCAGGCTACTGCTTCATTTACGTAGGGTGTACACCAAGTAACCAATGGGAAACCTCTAAAGAGTATTTAAATCCCAGAAAATTCTGTAATGGGCTCTTGGGCCCCTATGCTCGGGCTGCTCCCAACCTGTGGAGTGTACTTTTGTTTTCAATAAATATATGCTTTTGTTGCTTCATTCCTTCCTTGTTTTGTTTGTGCGTTTTGTCCAATTATTTGTTCAAGACGCCAAGAACCTGGACACCCTCCACCAGTAACACTTGGATGGAAGTCAGAGGCGTCAAGGTGGTCCCTGATTCCATCATCAGTGGCAGCCCGGAAGCACATCTCTCACCTGGCTCTGTGCCCCGATTGCATCGTCAGTGGCAGCCATGATGGCTTCCCTGGCTTTGTGGGCAGCACAGGTCAGAAGTCAGTAAGGGGGCTTAGGGCAAGAGCACCAGCCTGAGGGAGCTGCTTGTGGGTACCCTTTAGACACTCCACAGTGGGTGGCTGTTGAGATGGGCAAGTGGACTTCAGGCCCTACATGAAGCAGGAGTAGGTGTGAAGCCAGTGATACTGGTACTGGCTGTGAAATCCTAAGGAAACTTGGAGAAGTTAGAAAATAATAGAATAATTTCTAGGCCATTAAATCACCACGTGGAAGTATGAGCTTTGTCCTTAGAGGAGAGAATGGCCCGTCTCCGTGATGTTCATTTTGAAACACCTACCTCTTCCAGGGTATGGTAGGCCCCAAAATTGAAGTTACCACTCCGTTCTCTTCTCCTATTAAAAAGCATTTCTTCATTCTCTTTGTCCAACAGGACCTAAGATAAAACAATTCTATCTATGACTGGTTTACAGCAATGCATTTCAGTCTGTAATTGTGAAGGAAAGGGTAACACTCGGGTCCCCAGTACCAAGCTTTCCTCTTCTTGTCCTGTAGGCTTTGAGGTCATGACTTTCCCTTATTCTGGCCCCACTGTGAAAGGGGATGGAGCATTCATGGGACTTCCTACCAGCCAGATGCTGCAGGTGTGCCAGGGTAGGTTTGCAGGCACAGTCTTATGGCTCATCCTACCTTTCTGGGAGCTCAGGGCCTGTGTTAAGAGTTAACCTCTAAACAAAAACTAAATCAGGCCAGAGTCGGTGGCTCACACCTGTAATCCCAGCACTTTGGGAGGCCGAGGCGGGCAGATCACTTGAGGCCAGGAGTTTGAGATCAGCCTGGGCAACACAGTGAAACCCCACCTCTACTAAAAATACAAAAACTAGCTGGGCGTGATGGTGCATGCCTGTAGTCCCAGCTACTGGAGAGGCTGAGGCTGGAGAATCGCTTGAGCCTGGGAGACAGAGGTTGCAGTGAGCCAAGATCGTGCCACTGCACTCCAGCCTGGGCAACAGAATGAGAGTCCTTCTCCTCCTTCTTCTGCCTAACATCCTTTGGTTTGCACTTTATATTTCATGCTGTAGGCTGTCTTTTGCCCTTTCCCTTAAATTCTTTGTTACCATATTCTGCATGTGCCAAATGCAAAAGAGAGAGAGACAGTGCCCTCCTACCCACCTTGCAAGGGGAGCCCAGACTGCTGGAAGGTCCTAGTGGCACCCACAGGTCCCTTCCCTGCAGAGAGTACTCAAGCATAAAAGAAGATGGAACTGAGCTGACGTTCATGTGGCCCAGCAAGCTGCAGGAAGGCGAGTCCATGGCATAATTACCTGCACGTCTTCAATCATGATGGAATAGGCAATTCCCTGGGACTCCAAGAACACTTTGACTGCCTGGACGTTGACGAAGGGAACTCGGACGTGGGCTGTCTCCCCTGGGGTGGTGGGTGATTTCCAAAAATCAAGCTGAAAGGGATAAAAGTCCAAGCCAAGGAAATGAATGGGCTGTTCTGGGGAATGGACAGTTCAGCACTGATAGATTTCTAGGAATCAATTTGCATCCACTTTATCTTGAGCCCACAAGTTTTGGAATCATTGTGGAATCACTATGATATTGCAACAAGGGCTTTTAAATATCCATGTGTCAGCAAATCCATTATATTGTTTCCCCTGCCCCTATGGCTAGATATTAAAACTGGCAGAAGGAAAAGATTATTAAAACGATGGCAGTTTTTTTAAGCTGGGATTCTAGCAATCCAATTCATTTAATAATGGGATATAAATGCTATAAATTATTTTATAAGGGAAATATGCACTAAAGGTGTTTAATTTTTGAAAGTAACTTTCACATTTGATATCTCTTCTCATTCTTACAATAAACCTGAGAGATAGAAGAACGGCATATTTATCGCCATTACTCTGAGTGAGAAAATGAGACACAGGGAAGGTAGGTGGCTTGCCCAATGTCCTGTAGTTGGGACTAGAGCCCAGGTTTTCAGAACCCCAGCTGCATGAGTTAGCATTTCACACTATGTCATGGGAGTCAGAATACAGTCGAAAATAGAGCTCAATCATGTTTAACTGTATTCATTCTGGGAACAGCAACTCCCACTAGATCAAATACCTGGAGATGTTCTTGAGCCTCCAATTGTAGCAGATTTTTAATTTGTTCTTCATTGCTTGGTACAATCTCAAGAACTTGGTCTCTAAAGAAAATTAACCACAAATATGACCTTAAAAGCAAAACCTGGACACTGTTTCCTGTTGCTTTCTGCACCTGTTAGTCTCTGCGTATAACAGATTAATGCAACAGTCAATAATCTCTGTGACAATCCAGAAACTAATAAATAGTATACTAAACCCACATCGCCAGAATGAGAAGGTGATAGAATGGCGTTATTTCCTCCCAGGAAATGTTATCTAAATAATAATGAATAGGTGTACCTGCTCCTAGCAGGAAGCCTGCCATTAAAGTTACCTTTCCCATAGCTAATGAGTCAAATAAAACCTGCTGCTTGTGGAGTGTTATAGCTTTTAATACTTGCCTGTTCCTGTTGTTCAGAAGTAAGTTTTTAAAAAGTGGAATAATTTGGTGCTTGTAAGAGGAAACAATTCATATGTGGGTAGTCCTAAGATTTTGTTTTTAATGGTTTTGGGGGTTTTGTTTGTTCTTTGATTTTGTCAACTGAAAATGTATCAAGGTTCCATCCCCAGACCCCATTCATGGGGCCCAAACATGGGGCATGGCCAGAGATAGTTGGGACCCTGACAAATTATGTGCCGTGCCTCTCTTTACAAACACACACACACACACACACACACACACACACACACACACCCCCTTAATAGGGAATGAAGGATGAACAGGAAAGAGAAATCTCAAAACAATCAAGCACATCTCTTTAGGAAGAGTTCCCTTGGTGACAGAGTTTCCCCTTCTAGCCTTTCTCCACGTAGGCAGACTTCCTAAGTCACTGCCCCAACTGTTTGTGCAGTGGGGAAGGAATCAATACAATGAGCCATGTACAGGGACCAGAATATGGGTCTTCTGAAACCAAGCTCCATGCAATTTCCTACGAACTCCAGTGGAATACAGAAGTGATGGAATGTGAGCTCTTCGAGGCTCACCTGCCACAAATGGTCTGAAAATTCTTCCATTTAAGTCTCATTATTTTCGGTTAATGCATGGACTCCCAGGAGTCCTCCTTTAAAATGGGAAGGCACTGAGAAAAGTAATACAACAGGGTCATATTTCCTGGTGTGTGTTCTAAAGAATAGTAGTTCTTTGAGTTACTCAGTGAAAGAAAGAAAGAAAGAAAGAAAGAAAGAAAGAAAGAAAGAAAGAAAGAAAGAAAGAAAGAGAAAGAAAGAAAGAAAGAGAAAGAGAAAGAAAGAAAGGGCAAGCTGGGAGCAGTAGGTAGTTTATGATTAAAAAAAAGAGTACATGCTGCAACCTAGATCCCCTCTTATAGATTTATAATGCACACTGATTTAGCCAAGGCTCCTAGAAATCCTATAGTTTGTTTAATCCTCTGATTCCCACATTTATTTGACCAGTGGCTTTTTGGGACCAAACTTATTTGATTGCTTTCTTAGCTCCCTGGACCACTCTTCAAAAAATGCTGCCTGAAACCCTTCATAGAATCATGAAGCAAAGTACTTTGGAGCAAAGATGAGTCCTCCAAAGCCAGGAGAGGAGGAGTTGAGCTGAAATCTATAGCCCTGGCCTTTCTACTTCATGAGGTTCCACCACCTAGGTGCTGAATCTAAAGATCGGGGGTTAGGGCACAAGGGCTAACGTGGATGGTAAAGCCCAGAAGAGCAGGAGGAGGTGGGAGAGTAGCATTGACACCCGCTGAGTTGCCTGGAACAAATGGCCACACAGCTGTATTTTCCCTGATGTCTATCATCCCTACAGTCTGATCACTGGAGGGAAAAATGAGTAAGGACAGAGAGAAATAGGGTTATGTGTGTTCAGTTTTCACTTTTGTCTTTTCCTTTAAATGTCATTCACCTCCTTTTTGATCATCCACTCCTTTTTTTCACACTATTGACTTATCCCCAAATCTAAGAGAACTTCTCTGAAAACACTGAACACTTATACCCATTTACTCTGTAACAATCAAAGCCTCCATCAATCAGGTAAGTAAAATTCAAAGAAGCACCAGAAAGCATAACTTACCCCACAAATGTTTCTAGACAGTAGATATGCCCAAAAAGGGCACCAAAAAACAGGATCAACCTCATGGCCATGGGTTTTCCTGGAGTCCAGAATTCAGAGTCCTTCCTGAACTTTATTTGTAGGGATGGCAGCTGAGGGTGATCTGCTGGCCTTCTGAGAACTCACGTGAATTCCCACATGGGAAAATTCCCACCTGCATGTGAAATTCTCAAGGTTGTAGACATCCACCTGTGTGATATCACCAATGTGTACATGTTCCATTCCTAGGATAAGATAACAAACTTTGATGGAAAGAGAACAAAATTGCTAGAGCATACCAAGGGCAATATAGTTATGATTGAGACCATAAAACGCCACTAGCTACCCTGTGATAGAAGCCAGATTAATAGACCTAGAGGTTAAAGTCTTTTCTGGGTCTCTGACACACACACAAAAAAAAGGCCAGAGCATTTATAGTAATTACTCAGGCATCCTGTCTATCACATTCCATTAGTTTGCTCATTTGTTTATTTTTATAATGTTTACCTTGAAACACTGCAGTCACTCAGTCCACATCTGCTGAGTGTCCCTGTAGATGTGGCCCATTCCAATCCTCACTCTACATTAAAACAAAACAGAAGGCCTTTTAATATTCAATTTTGCACTTTCTCGAAAGTGATCCATCTGCATTTGCACCAAATTGATATCCCTCTTTCTGTGCTTTTTCCCAAAATGAAAATGTCTTTCTGATGACATTTCCTATAACAAGCAACAATGAAGTTGCTTGTTATAAAAAGTGTGAATTAAAAGAAAGTGTTTTCTTTAACCATCAATAATTCTTCCATCCAAAGAAAACCATTTGGCATATGTCTTTCCAAATTTCTTTCTCTGCTTTCGAGTTTTTTTCTTAAACAAAGATTAGACCATATCACGTATACTGTTCTTTAAACAAAGGTGATCTTTTCTTGTTCATAAACATAGATCTACATTAATCTGACTTTGTTCTTCATTGCTTAAGAAGAAAATATAACTGCTTATTTTTAGAAACCATAGTTTATTTAATTTTAGTTGTTCATACACGTTATATTAAGCCTAGAAAGCCTCAACCACAACAAGCAGCAAGGAAATTTTCGTCTGTCCTTTGTGTGTCAAATTTATCAGCACACACTTTAAATCTCTGGGTTTGCATTCTCAAATATCTGCTTTAAGGGGAAAGGTATATACACAGTGTTTCTGATTTTAAGAATGACTGGATTAACTTGGTTTTTCATTCTCCTGGGAGTCAGAGAGAAGACAGAAACCAAAAGGCAGAGGCCATAATTCATCCTCATGTCTCCAGCACCTATCAAATAAACAGTAGTTCAATAAACTGGAAGTATGTACTTGGAGAATCAATAAAAGCTTCCTGGAAAAAATCAAGTTTCAGGCTGGGCTCAGTGGCTCACGCCTGTAATCCCAGCACTTTGGGAGGCCAAGGCAGGTGGATCACGAGGTCAGGAGATCGAGACCATCCTGGCTAGCATGGTGAAACTCCGTCTCTACTAAAAATACAAAAAGTTAGCCGGGTGTGGTGGCGGGAGCCTGTAGTCCCAGCTACTCAGGAGGCTGAGGCAGGAGAATGGTGTGAACCCGGGAGGCAGAGCTTGCAGTGAGCCCAGATGGCACCACTGCGCTCCAGCCTAGGCAACAGAGTGAGACTCCGTCTCAAAAAAAAAAAAAAAAAAATGGAGTTTGAGCTGAGCCTTTGTGCCAAGGCAAATGTGAAAAGAGCCTGGATTTCTGGTGGTAAGAAAATATAAGCTAGACAGGGAACCAGGGGAGAGCACATGATACACAGCTGGGTTAAGGAGGAAACTTAGCCTAGCAGAGCAGAGACTTGAACCTGGGAGTGGTGGGGAAGGTAAAATACCAGAAGGTGGGCTAGAGGGCAAAGGATCTCACAATCCAAACAGAGGAGTACACACCAGATGATATGGAGAGCCTTGGAAGGTTTCTAAGCAGGTAACTGATTGATGAGGGCAATGCTGAAAATGGTGAACCTTGCAGGATGGTGCCTGGCAGAGATCCTCTAAGCAGGGAGCCAAATATGAGCCTCTTGGGGAAACCGAGATTTAGGATGCTACATCTGGACTTGTGGATGGCAGAGGAAATGTCTGAGATGGCCTTGAAGAGAGATTTCAGTGGAAGAAACACAAGCCTGTGGTGAGTAATTGGTGCATGACTGGATATAGAAGGAGAAGGTGGGGAAAGGAAGTTCCAGCCCGTGTTAAAGGAGGGATAGGTAGCCACCTCCATGGTTGCCCCCACAACATCTCCCCATCCATTGTGACACTGGGTGAAGTTCCACTGTAAGAATTTGTTTTGATTATCTCCCCTACTGTTAAGCTTTCAAAAAGGAATTTCTGCTGAGAAGTGCTACTCAATGATTGAATCCACTCTCAGTGCTAGGAACATGATAGCTCTCTTTCCTTGCTGGGAAGAACAATGGAAGGGGGTGTTGAGCCTAGAGCTATAATGGGGGTCCAAAAGATGCCTCGCCCCCACCTCACTCCTGAGTCCAAAGGACTCAAAGATGATGCCTGAGTGAGAAAAATAAACATTCCCTGGATGGATGTGCCAAATAAAAATTATAGAAGGCCATTATTTTGGACTAAGCTTCCATACCAGACCCCAGCAGACCAGACTAAAAATCAAAGCAGAGCCACCCATGCTAAGGACCCAAGATAGGTTGTTAACTGACCTGAGAAATCAGGAGAAAGAGATAACAGGCAATTTCCCAAACAGGCCAGTTTAAATCTTCAATAGGCACGATAATGAATCTCTTTTGCTTTAATCCTTACACAAAAAATGTGGCCTGAAGTCACCTGATGTTAACCAACCACTTATTTTTCTATTGTGGTGTCTCACTGTCCCCACCTTAAAAGAAAAGTAGCTTTGGAAAGACTAACAGTCTTTGTTTTTTGCTTCTGCGTTATCCAGCCCGTCTTTGTCTGTAAGGCCAAGCCCTTCTGCTTAGCTCATGAGAATACTCACTGTGTTTTATGGGATGAAGTGTTACCCTATTCTAGAATCGCAAATAAAGCCAACTGAGATCTTTAAACTGAATTTGATGTAATTTTGTCTTTTGAAAGGTGAAAATTGTAATTTTATAAAATAAATAGAGGAAGTTAGAGAAGGAGAAAGCACAAGCCTTCGAAGGAGGTTGTAGGAAAAACTTAAGAAAGCTCTGTTTTCTGTTTCTGACAATATAAACTGATACATATCAGAATAGGGCATTGTCATTTCTACCTCCTCACCACCATACAAGCTGGGTGAAATCTATTTTTTTAAACAGTCATATTGAGGTATACATGACATATAATAAACGGCATATGTTTATTTTTAAATTTGTATCATTCTCTTAAGAAACTCAGTCTATAAACTACATATATTTAAGACATGCAATTTGACATGTTTTGACATAGGTATACATCCATGATGAAATCATCACCACAATCAATATCACATATCACAGATCTATCATCCCCAGTAAAATCTGTTTCTGAGAATCATTAAGAAAATCTCCAGCCAGAAAGAGATCATTGAAGCCTCCTTGCTTTGCAGAGGAGGAAATGAGGCCCCCAGAGGGGAAGCGACTTACACAAAGCCCCAGGGCTGATCTGGGCTAGAGCAGGCACCAGGAGCTCCAGCCTCAGACCCTGGTTCATTGCTTCATCCAATTAACCAAGGTAATTCTACTCAGCTCTAGGAAAAGACCATTTTAGGCCAAATGCTTCTTCATCAACCTATCCCCCAGGAAGCCGTAATTCAGAAAGAGAAAGATGATAGCTCTCTTTAGAAAAGTGCTTTAATAGCATATTACTCCCTATGAAGATGATGTTAGGCACAATTCGACTTTCTCGCCATTTAACCCCAGAAGGTGAGATAGCCTAACGGTAGGGTGAGTAGGCCACTATATGGGACCATAAGAGAAAGAACCACAGATTGAAGCCTTCAGTAGAGATACCAGATTCTAAAGCACTTCAAACTCAAAACTCTGAATGCCTTTGCCTGTAGAAACGGGGTTATTTGTAGTGCTTTTTGTCCCCCTGCCTCGGGTTTATTTGTACAAATAGCACTGGAGGACATCAGCCCCGTGCAGAGGGCAGCCCAGGGGTCACACTAGTCCTTCTGTTCTCACATTGGCAGACAGAGGTCTCTACTCTGGAGCCTTTGTGAGAGCCTGGGCACCTTTTGGAGCCTAAGCTGGAACTGAAGCTGGAGCTGCAGCCTGAGCCTTGCTTCAATACTTGGCTTTGGCCTTTGGCTGGCAGAGTCTGAGACCCTTGGCAATGCAGGCACAAGCACAATTCCCAAGCTTGTGTTGCAGAATTTTTGCTCCTCAGTTCAGCTAAAACTGGCTTCTTGTCACACAACCAGGAAAGATTAGGCACGCAGACACATTGAAGGGTGAGTAGAGTGGAGTTTACTGGGCAAAAAAGAAAAAAACTCTCAGCAAAGTGAGAGGGGGTCCTGCTAACAGGCCCCCACCTCACAGATTGATTTCAGGCCACCACTCATGAGCTGAAGAGGCCAGGTTCTTCCCCCGACACAAGGTGTGAACTTCCCATGGCACCACCCCATCCTCCCAGTGCACAGGCAGGTCCCCAGTCTGTTGCGGGCAGGTGCAGACAAGACCCTGGGCAGGTTCCCTCATCTGCACAAAAGCATCTGATGTAAACACTTGTGGGGCAGCTCGGAGATTCTCCAGGGACCCCTCCCCATATCTGCCTCCTGCATCTATTATTTCCCCCTCTAAAGAAGTCCATCTAACTGCCTTTAGAATAAGGATAAAGATAAAGATAAGGGGCCGGGTGCAGTGGCTCACGCCTGTAATCCCAGCACTTTGAGAGGCCGAGGTGGGTGGATCACAAGGTCAGGAGATCGAGACCATCTTGGCTTACACAGTGAAACCCCGTCTCTACTAAAAATACAAAAAAATAGCCTGGCGTGGTGGTGGGCACCTGTAGTCCCACCTACTCAGGAGGCTCAGGCAAGAGAATGGCGTGTACCCGGGAAGCAGAGCAAGCAGTGAGCCAAGATCACACCACTGCATTCCAGCTTGGGCGGCAGAGGGAGACTCCATCTCAAAAAAACCAAACAAAACAAACAAACAAAGATAAGGATAAGGATGAAGACCAATCTTAACTGCTTCATGCTGACAGGGGGTGCTGTTTTAGGAAAACGGCAGTCAGATCTCCCTCAGAGGCCTATCTAAGGGTCCCCAGGAAAAGGGGAAATCGTCCAAGTCCCAAGTTGCACGATCCTTTGGAGCTTGAGGGCCTGAAGGTGAGAAGAGACAACCTGGGTTATTAGAAAACATGTATCAAAATGAAATAAAGGAGGGTAAGAACAGTGCAAAAACCAAAAGGCCTTTTACCAGTTTGCACAAGGAGAGGCAGGCCAAAAGCCAGACTGATAATAAAAAGGTTTTACCCTTTTGCCAGCATGTCAGGCTTCTGGGTTCTCATCCCCCAAGCCCAGTCCTAAGCCAATGAGTTTAAGGTTTGGCAAATAACTTTTTCCAGTTTGGAAGATGTATCCAAGGAGAGTATATCGTAGTACAGAGACACAATTACCTATCAGTGAAGACAGCACAGAGAAGGAAAAAGGAAAAAAGAAGGCTTTCTTTTTTTTCAAAGGAGCCCCAGGGGTTCAGGATGCATTTGAAAGTGGTGCAGACTGAAGATGAATGGCTACTCATCTAGAAAGAGGGGAGCGAGGCATCCCAGGTTCCCTTCTCTTCCTAGAAAATATCCAGGGTACATAAGGGAGAGAGAAAGTGAGGTGTTCCTCCTGGCAACTGTGACAGAGTGCCACCCATGGGTGTCAAAGTGGCTTTCACTCATGTTAACGGGGGGCCTAGGGGGTGGCAATATCCGCTCTTACCAACATATGCCCTATCTCATCTGCTGTCAGTAGTCTTCAAGTTTTCTAGACCTCATTTATGCCATGGATACTAACATAACCTTTATCCATCAAACAGGAAGCTTGGATTAATCAGCAGGAATCAGTCACACTCTGCTGTGCCTTTTAACTTCCATTATCATCTGCCTCTGGATCCCTCAGACCCAGTTTTATTTCCTAGGGCTTCAATCCAAAGCTCGGAGTTGAGTTTGGGACAAAAATGTGTCTCTGGAAGGGGGAGGCAGTGTTGCATGGACTCCTTATCATAAGTTGAATGCTAAGGTGAAACTATGGAATCAAGCCCTCCTCGAACAAGGGAGAGAAAAGGATGTCCTGTGACATGCCCAGATAATTGGTGGCTATAGTTATGCTTGCTGAGATTTAGGTATGTGGGGCTTGGCTTTAGTTAACTCCCTTGGTCTTACTTTCCCAAAAAGGAAATCTCTGGTTGATGGGCATTCTATTTATTCCCATCACCTGGCAGGATTCACAGAATAATTGCTCAGAACTAGAGTATTGATCCAGATTTTTACATCATCCATCCCTTTTGTCCTTTCTGAGCTGCAGCCAGGGATTTCTGGTTAGTTCACAAGAAAAAGCAAGGTTAGTATAAAATGTAGGCAAGAACTTAAAAACAACTAATGAGTCTAGAATTTAATGACAAATATATGATAAATTTTAAAACATAATTTCTCTCTCTTCAGTCCTCATCTTGTTAAAAACATATCAAGATAGGACTGAGTTGTTTGCAAAATAGACTTTAGTCTGATACTTGGCCTGATTATTTGCATAAAATGCAACAAGAATAATTATTTTTGTATAACCCTTTTAGACTGGTTTTGTTGGAACTCTGTTCCACAAGGAATCTCAGAAAGGACTTTCTAAAGCTGAGCCCAGCCATGGGTTTGTACCTTCAAATACCTGTGAGTTGGGTAAACTCCTCCCTTCTTGAGGTCCCAAGAACATGTGGTTCCTGGGCCTGTTGGAATGCGACATTCTTTACTCACCACAGGTTAGGAACCCTGTACAGGGAATGTGTAGACAAGGTATGAGGCCAGTTTTCCCAAGGGGCTTTTATCAGCTCTGCAAGTTGAGCGTGATTCCTTAAAGGGAAGCATACTCATCCAATCAAAGCTTTGGTAAAACAACCAGTTTCTCCAATCGCATCCTGTTGCAAAAGAAAATGGATTCCTATTGCACTGAGGCAAACAACTATATTGCCATAAGTTAAAAATACTCACAACTAGTTTCCAAATCCTAGGCCTGGCACAGTGGCTCATGCCTGTAATCCCAGCATTTTGGGAGGCCAAGGTGGGTGGATCACCTAAGGTCAGGAGTTCAAGACCAGCCTAGCCAACATGGTGAAATCCCATCTCTACTAAAAATACAAAAATTAGCTGGGCATGGTGGCAGGTGCCTGCAATCCCAGCTACTTGGGAGGCTGAGGCAAGAGAATCACTTGAACCCAGGAGGTGGAGGTTGCAGTGAGCTGAGATCATGCCATTGCACTCCAGCCTGGGCAACAACAGCAAAACTCCATCTCCAACAGAAAAAAACAAAACCAAATTCCAGAGAAGCCAGGCAGAGAAAGGGAGACAAACATGCTCCAAATTTTGTTCACAGGAGGATAGCTTACTGAATTATTAAAGGCCATAAATAGTTCAAAATAAGTTTCCTTGACTCTGAGAAAACAAGGATCAGCAATTTTCCAAGCAAAAGTCAAAAAGATTATTTTAATTCTCTATTAGTTTAGTCAATTTGGTTAATTCTTTTTTTGCTTGATATTCGTGAACATTTCGGCTCTTCATGAGTCCTGTATGTTTTTCCTTTATTCCAATGTCATAATGTCCAAAGTTATCAGAAACCTCCATTTGAGAGCACCTGTCAAAATTCTATAGCTGATTATAATCATCTTTTGAAGAGGATCAAAACAAGACAAAATCGTCTGTGAATAACAAAATGTCCAGGGTAGTTACAGTCAGAAACATGATTGACAAAGAAATTTGGTTATCCCCGTGATTTACAATACATAACAACCTTAATTGTGATTGATAGCATATACTCAGACATTAGAATTTTTAAAATCCCACATAATTTTGGAACATGTATTAATATTATGTCCTAAAATATAACTTGAAGAAGATTGAACATCAATTTGGAAATCCCATGTACCTAAACATGTCAACTAATCCTGTTTACCTCTCTTCTGAATGCTCCAGGGGCCCTCTGTAGCATCCAAAAGCTAGGTATCAGGAAAGACAATTTTGAAACTGAAGTTTGATTTTGGGAAGCCTGTTAAATATGTTAGAGGTTTAAAACACTTGATGTTATAAAACAGAATTCCAGATTACCATAAGTTATTTATTTTGTCAAAATGGTGACTCAAAAATTTTTAAAAAATCAAAAACCTTTTATAACCCTTTTGAATGTAGTCAGTGTTCACACACAGAATTTATTTTGCAAGATTAATTTTTTAGAAACCTTCCATAACTTGTTTAAACTTTTAGTTTTATCTTACCTAATTCAAAACAATCCTATAACCCCAGGCAAAAATTTACATTTTGACAATATCTACATTTTACCAATAATCTTTAAGGCTGTTTTTATTTCTCAAAGATTAAAGTCACATGAACTAAAAGGTACTACAGCTTTTATCTTCCCTTTAAAAACTATTTGATCCAAGTCTTTATCCTTCTTTAAGTCAATAAATTAGAGCTCTTTTTGTAGACATCACATACACAATACCTGTATTACTAAACAGAGAGGTAAAAGAAAATCCAGTAGCCATAAGATTTTTCATTTGCCATCTCCTAAATAGATTATTGGCCTCTGGGTGGAGCCCTTTAAGAACAAGGCTAGGAAAATATGCCATTTTTAGGGCCTAATAAACAAATACAGCTGGAAGGCAAAAACAGATTTTGACAGGGATCCATTTGCCTTTAATTCCTGGGGATCCATGAGGAAAACAGAAGCCTCTCCCCTCTCATGCATGCATTAAGAGTGGCAAGGCAAATGGAGAAAAATATTTCAGTTAATAAGAAAAAACCATTTTCCAGCAAAACAAGATTCAAGAAGAGAAAAACACAGCTGGGCATGGTGGTTCACACCTATAATCCCAGCACTTTGGGAGGCCAAGAAGGGTGGATCACCTGAGGTCAAGAGTTTGAGACCAGCCTGACCAACATGGAGAAAACTCATCTCTACTAAAAATACAAAATTAGCTGGGTGTGGTGGCACATACCTGTAATCCCAGCTACTCAGGAGGCTGAGGCAGGAAAATCGCTTGAACCCAGGAGGTGGAGGTTGCAGTGAGCTGAGATCATGCCATTGCACTCCAGCCTGGGCAACAAGAGTGAAACTCCATCTCAAAAAAAAAAAAAAAAAAAAAAAAGAAGAAGAAGAGAAAAACATAAAGGCATTTTAAATATACTCATAACTTGGATATCCACTTTTAATTAAGATGAGCACTCTTTAAGAAAGTCCTTTTAAATCCCTTGTTATCCAACTTTAGCCATGCCAAGCAGCCAATATTTCTGGCTTTCAAACTTTATTAAAAGCTCAGAGAAAGGAAAATCCAAGGCAGTTCATGGAGGGGAAGAGAATCAACAAATGGCAAAAAAGTAATGCAGACGTCAAACCAGAAAGAACTCACTCCCTAAGCCAGGATTGAACCTAGGCTGCCATTGTAAAATGGCAGATGCTAAAATAAAGCATTGTCTTGTGGTTACAGGTCACACTTCCAAGGATGTAAAACAAGATGGAGACCTGCAGCAAAGTTTGCTAGTGACCATACAGAAAGATATGCAAAGCACACCAAATTGGCTACAGCTTAAGACAAACCTCACAAATCCTTTTTCATAATTAAAACTTTACAGAGAATATTAGCTGTGTTAGTTGGGGTCCTGGCCTAGTAAAATGTCCTCTAAAAAGAATAAAAAAGCCTCACTTAAAAGTTAACTCCTGACCTGGTGGAGAAAAACAAAACAAAACAAAACAAAAAAAGCTTAAATGCAGGGCTATGTTAACTGCTGACAGGGTGGAGAAAAGAAAAAGATGCCTTGGGAGGAACCTTTTATTCTTATGCAAATGGATTCCTGCAACAGGGAGAGAAACTTAATTGCTGTCTGATGGAGCTGGACCCCTTGGCCAGGGAAGAGGAAGACTCCATGGATGCGTAGCAGGGAAGGCTGGCCAGCCTGCCATGCAGAACCCTTGGGAGCCCCAGCCCCAGCCAGGAAGGGAGCAGGGAGCTGCTATTCACCCATCCATCCTGCACGAGCCTGCAGCCACTGGGGTCAGGTGGTGCACAGTTGCCTCTACCCTCAGAAGAAGTCTGAGGACAAAAAGGCTTAGAAGCAAAAGGGAAAAAGATTTTTTGGTTCGCATCTTACCCTCCCTCAAGTCCCTGTTCAGGCACCAAAATGTTGCAGAATTTTTGCTTCTTAGTTCAGCTAAAACCAGGTTCTTGTCACAAGACTGGGAAAGATTAGGCATGCAGGCACATTGAATGGTGAGTAAAGTGGAATGTATTGAGCTAAAAGAAAAAAAAACTTTCAGCAAAGCAAGAGGGGTCCTGCTAACAGGCCCCCATGTCACAAATTGATTCCTTGCCACCACATGAGCTGAAGAGGCCAGGCTCCTCCCCGCTACACAAGGTGCGAAATTCCCATGGCTCTACCCCATTCTCCCAGTGCACAGGTGGGTCCCCAGTCCGTTGCAGGCATACACAGACAAGACCCTGGGCAGGTTCCCTCATCTGCACAAAAGCATCTGATGTAAACACTTGTGGGGCGGGTCAGAGGTTCTCTAGGGACCTCCTTATCTGCCTCCTGCATCTATCACTTGGGGTGGGTAGTGATAGATGTAGGCAAGTCGATTGAGCTCGCAGCTGATGCCCTTTGGGATCTTGGGCTTAACCTCCTTGGGCTTTACAAGGGCCTTGATAGCCTTGGCACGTGCATCTTCTTTAGGACCTTCTTGTGCTTCTTGGAAAAGCACGTGTTCCTCAGGAACATGGGGTCCATCCCCTTAAAAGATGCATATCTTTATGATGAGGGTTTCCTGATACCATTTCTGTGCCATTTTCAGGACTGGTTGTGTGTGGTATGGTTGTTGGACTTGGCCATGTCTGCACCATAACCTGTGGCTCCCGAAGTGATTGGCACTGGAGGAGAAAAGCTACTTGTAGTAAAATGAGTTCTACAGCACTATTAATAAACTATTAATGATATGTTTCAAAAGATTATGAATTAAATAGACTTTGGTACTCTCACAGGGAAATACATAAACTCATGGTTGGTGGAAGTAGGATGAACCTAGGAGGCAGAGGTGCAGTGAGCCAAGATCAAAGTTTAATCAACCAAATTTTAAACAAAATTTTTCATCACAGGAAGATGAAGGTTGTATCAGTTTCTTAATTCTCTGGAACCATGAACAAGGCTCGATTCTCTGGAACCATGAATATTTAAAACCTTATGGGATTTTTTTTGTTTTGACAAATGTACCAAGGCCATGTAAGATGTTAACATTAGGGGATCCTTGGTGATCTAGTGGCTGGGAAAAAAAAATTACTGGTAGCTGGGTGAAGGTATACAGGAACTCTCTGTATTATGTTGGCAACTTTTCTGAAAATCTAAAATTATTCCAAAGATTATTTCAAAATAGAAAGTTTATTTTATAAAATAAAACTTTCTGAAAAACCACATGCCAAAAACAATGAAAAGGCAAATAATGTACAAGGGGAAATATTTACAGCATGTATAATAAAGGGTTAATATCCTTACTATGTAGAAACCACCTACAAAACTCTATAAGAAAAATCTTGTAAAAAATAAATAATGAGTCTCTGTTCCAAGATGGCCGAACAGGAACAGCTCTGGTCTGCAGCTCCCACCGTGATCAACGCAGAAGATGGGTGATTTCTGCATTTCTAACTGAGGTATCTGGTTCATCTCACTGGACTGGTTGGACAGTGGGTGCAGCCCACAGAGGGCAAGCCAAAGCAGGGCAGGGCATCGCCTCACTCGGGAAGTGCAAGGGGTCAGGAGATTTCCCTTTCCTAGCCAAGGGAAGCCATGACAGACTGTACCTGGAAACACAGGACACTTCTGCCCAAATGCTGCGCTTTCCCCGTGGTCTTAGCAACTGGCAGACAAGGAGATTCTCTCCCGTGCCTGGCTCAGTGGGTCCTGTGCCCATGGAGCCTTGCTCACTGCTAGCGCAGAAGTCTGAGATCGACCTACAAGGCTGCAGCCAGGCTGGGGGAGGGGCGTCTGCCATTGCTGAGGCTTGAGTAGGTAAACAAAGCAGCCAGGAAGCTGGAACTGGGCAGAGCCCAACACAGCTCAGCAAGGGCTACTGCCTCTATAGACTTCACCTCTGTGGGCATGGCATAGCTGAACAAAAGACAGCAGACAACTTCTGAAGACTTAAAAGTCCCTGTCTGACAGCTCTGAAGAGAGCAGTGGTTCTCCCAGCATGGCGTTTGAGCTCTGAGAACAGTCAGACTGCCTCCTCAAGTGGGTGCCTGACCCCCGTGTAGCCTAACTGGGAGACACCTCCCAGTAGGGGCTGACAGACACCTCATACAGGCGGGAGCCCCTCTGGGACAAAGCTTCCAGAGGAAGGATCAGGCAGCAATATTTGCTGTTCTGCAATATTTGCAATTCTGCAGCCTCCGCTGGTGATACCCAGGCAAGCAGCGTCTGAAGCAGACCTCCAGCAAACTCCAACAGACCTGCAGCTGAGGGACCTGACTGTTAGAAGGAAAACTAACAAACAGAAAAGAATAGCATCAACATCATCAAAAAGGACATCCACACCAAAACCCCGTCTGTAGGTCACCAACATAAACAACCAAAGGTAGATAAAACCACAAAAATGGGGAGAAACCAGAGCAGAAAAGCTGAAAATTCTAAAATCCAGAGCACCTCTTCTCCTCCAAAGGGTCGCAGCTCCTCACCAGCAATGGAACAAAGCTGGACGGAGAATGATTTTGACAAGTTGACAGAAGTAGGCTTCAGAAGGTCGGTAATAACAAACTTCTCCGAACTAAAAGAGCATGTTCTAACCCATCACAAGGAAGCTAAAAACCTTGAATAAAGGTTAGATGAATGGCTAACTGAATAAACAGTGTAGAGAAGACCTTAAATGATCTGATGGAGCTGAAAACCATGGCACAAGAACTTCATGACACATGCACAAGCTTCAATAGCCAATTCGATCAAGTGGAAGAAAGAGTATCAGTGATTGAAGATCAAATTAATGAAATAAAGTGAGAAGATACATTTAGAGAAAAAAGAGTAAAAAGAAATGAACAAAGCCTCCAAGAAATATGGGACTATGTGGAAAGAACAAATCTACATTTGATTGGTATACCTGAAAGTGATGGGAAGAATGGAACCAAGTTGGAAAACACTCTTCAGGATATTATCCAGGAGAACTTCCCCAACCTAGCCAAGGCAGGCCAACATTCAAATTCAGGAAATACAGAGAACATCACAAAGATACTCCTCGAGGAGAGCAACCCCAAGATACATAATCGTCAGATTCACCAAGGTTGAAATAAAGGAAAAAAAGTTAAGGGCAGCCAGAGAGAAAGGTTGGGTTACCCACAAAGGGAAACCCGTCAGACTAACAGTGGATCTCTCAGCAGAAACCCTACAAGCCAGAAGACAGTGGGGGCCAATATTCAACATTCTTAAAGAAAGGAATTTTCAACCCAGAATTTCATATCCAGCCAAACTAACATTCATTAGTGAAGGAGAAATAAAATCCTTTACAGACAAGCAAATGTTGAGAGATTTTGTCACCACCAGGCCTGCCTTACAAGAGCTCCTGAAGGAAGGACTAAACCTGGAAAGGAACAACTGGTACCAGCCACTACAAAAACATGCCAAACTGTAAAGACCATTGATGCTATGAAGAAACTGCATCAATTAATGGGCAAAATAAACAGCTAACATCATAATGACAGGATCAAATTCACACATAACAATATTAACCTTAAATGTAAATGGGCTAAATGCGCCAATTAAAAGACACAGACTGGCAAATTGGATAAAGAGTCAAGACCCATCTGTGTGCTATATTCAGGAGACCCATCTCACATGCAGAGACACACATAGGCTCAAAATAAAGGGATGAAGGAAGATCTACCAAGCAAATGGAAAGCAAAAAAAAGCAGGAGTTGCAAACCTAGTCTCTGATAAAACAGACTTTAAATCAACAAAGATCAAAAGACACAAAGAAGGCCATTACATAATGGTAAAGGAATCGATTCAACAAGAAGAGCTAACTATCCTAAATATATATGCACCCAATACAGGAGCACCCAGATTCATAAAGCAAGTCCTTAGAGATCTACAAAGAGACTTAGACTCCCACACAATAGTAATGGGAGACTTTAACACCCCACTGTCAATATTAGACAGATCAATGAGACAGAAGGTTAACGAGGATATCCAGGACTTGAACTCAGCTCTGCACCAAGTGGACCTAACAGACATCTACAGAACTCTCCACCCCAAATCAATAGAATATACATTCTTCACAGCACCACATCGCACTTATTCTAAAATTCACCACATAATTGGAAGTAAAGCACTCTTCAGCAAACGTAAAAGAACAGAAATCACAACAAACTGTCTCTCAGACCACAGTGCAATCAAATTAGAACTCAGGATTAAGAAACTCACTCAAAACTGCACAACTACAGGGAAACTGAACAACCTGCTCTTGAATGACTACTGAGTAAATAACAAAATGAAGACAGAAATAAAGATATTCTTTGAAACCAATGACAACAAAGACACAACATACCAGAATCTCCGGGACACATTTAAAACAGTTTGTAGAGGGAAATTTATAGCACTAAATTCCCACAAGAGAAAGCAGGAAAGACCTAAAATCAACATCCTAACACCACAATTAAAAGAACTAGAGAAGCTACAGCAAACAAACTCAAAAGCTAGCAGAAGGCATGACATAACTAAGATCAGAGCAGAATTGAAGGCAATAGAGACACAAAAAACCTTCAAAAAATCAATGAATCCAGGAGCTGGTTTTTTGAAAAGATCAACGAAATTGATAGACCCCTAGACAGACTAATAAAGAAGAAAAGAGAAGAATCAAATAGACACAATAAAAAATGATAAAGGGGATACCACCAATCCCACAGAAATACAAACTACCATCAGAGAATACTATGAACACCTCTACGCAAATAAACTAGAAAATCTAGAAGAAATGGATAAAGTCCTGGACATATACACCCTCCCAAGACTAAACCAGGAAGAAACTGAATCTCTGAATAGACCAATAACAGGCTCTGAAAGTGAGGCAATAATCAATAGCCTACCAACCAAAAAAAAGTCCAGGACCAGAAAGATTCACAGCCAAATTCTACCAGAAGTACAAGAGGAGCTGGTACCATTCCTTCTGAAACTATTCCAATCAGTAGAAAAAGAGGGAATCCTCCCTAACTCATTTTATGAGGCCAGCATCATCCTGATACCAAAGCCTGGCAGAGACACAACAAAAAAAAGAGAATTTTAGACCAACATCCCTGAAGAACATCGATGCGAAAATCCTCAATAAAATACTGGCAAACCTAATCCAGCAGCACATCAAAAAGCTTATCCACCATGATCAAGTCGGCTTCATCCCTGGGATGCAAGGCTGGTTCAACATACGCGAATCAATAAACGTAATCCATCACATAAACAGAACCAGCGACAAAAACTACATGATTATCTCAATAGATGCAGAAAAGGCCTTCAACAAAATTCAACACCCTTCATGCTAAAAACTCTCAATAAACTAGGTATTGATAGAACATATCTCAAAACAATAAGAGCTGTTTATGACAAACCCACAGCCAATATCATACTGAATGGGCAAAAACTGGAAGCATTCCCTTTGAAAACTGGCATAAGACAAGATGCCCTCTCTCACCACTCCTATTCAACATAGTGTTGGAAGTTCTGGCCAGGGCAATCAGGCAAGAGGAAGAAATAAAGGGTATTCAGTTAGGAAAAGAGGAAGTCAAATTGTCCCTGTTTGCAGATGACATGATTGTATATCTAGAAAACCCCACTGTCTCAGCCCAAAATCTCCTTAAGCTGATAAGCAACTTCAGCAAAGTCTCAGGATACAAAATCAATGTGCAAAAATCACAAGCATTCCTAGACACCAATAACAGACAAACAGAGAGCCAAATCATGAGTGAACTCCCATTCACAATTACTACAAAGAGAATAAAATACCTAGGAATCCAGCTTACAAGGGATGTGAAAGATCTCTTCAGGGAGAACTACAAACCACTGCTCAATGAAATAAAAGAAGACACAAACAAATGGAAGAACATTCCATGCTCAAGGATAGGAAGAATCAATATCGTGAAAACAGCCATACTGCCCAAGGTAATTTATAGATGCAATGCCATCCCCATCAAGCTACCAATGACTTTTTTCACAGAATTGGAAAAAATTACTTTAACGTTCATATGGAACCAAAAAAGAGCCCACATGGCCAAGACAATCCTAAGCAAAAAGAACAAAGCTGGAGGCATCACGCTACCTGACTTCAAACTCTACTACAAGGCTACAGTAACCAAAACAGCATGGTACTGCTACCGAAACAGATATATAGACCAATGGAACAGAACAGAGGTCTCAGAAATAACACCACACATCTACAACCATCTGATCTTTGACAAACCTGACAAAAACAAGAAATGGGGAACGGATTTCTTGTTTAATAAATGGTGCTGGTAAAACTGGCTAGCCATATGTGGAAAGCTGAAACTGGATCCCTTCTTTACACCTTATACAAGAATTAATTTGAGATGGATTAAAGACTTAAATGTTAGACCTAAAACCATAAAAACCCTAGAAGAAAACCTAGGCAATACCATTTAGGACATTGGCCTGGGCAAGGACTTCGTGACTAAAACACCAAAAGCAATGGCAACAAAAGCCAAAATTGACAAATGGGATCTAATTAAACTAAAGAGCTTCTGCACAGCAAAAGAAACTACCATCAGACTGAATAGGCAACCTACAGAATGGGAGAAAATTTTTGCAATCTACCCCTCTGACAAAGGGCTAATATCCAGAATCTATAAAGAACTTAAACAAATTTACAAGAAAAAAAACAAGCAACCCATCAAAAAGTGGGCAAAGGATATGAACAGACATTTCTCAAAGGAAGACATTTATGCAGCCAACAGACACATGAAAAAATGCTCATCATCACTGGTCATCAGAGAAATGCAAATCAAAACCACAATGAGATACCATCTCACGCCAGTTAAAATGGCGATCATTAAAAAGTCAGGAAACAACAGAGGCTGGAGAGGATGTGGAGAAATAGGAACGCTTTTACACTGTTGGTGGGAGTGTAAATTAGTTCAACCATTGTGGAAGACAGTGTGGTGATTCCTCAAGGATCTAGAACTAGAAATACCATTTGATCCAGCTATCCCATTAATGGGTATATACCCAAAGGATTATAAATCATGCTCCTATAAAGACATATGCACATGTATATTTATTGCGGCACTATTAACAATAGCAAAGACTTGGAACCAACCCAAATGTCCATCAATGACAGACTGGATTAAGAAAATGTGGCACAGGCCAGGCACGGTGGCTCACGCCTGTAATCCCAGCACTTTGGGAGGCTGAATTGGGCGGATCATCTGAGGTCGGAAGTTCGAGACCAGCCTGACCAACATGGGGAAACCCCGTCTCTACTAAAAGTACAAAATTAGCCGGGCATGGTGGCACATGCCTGTAACCCCCAGCTACTCAGGAAGGCTGAGGTAGGAGAATCGCTTGAACCCAGGATGCAGAGGTTGCGGTGAGTCGAGATCTTGCCACTGCACTCCAGCCTAGGCAACAAGAGCAAAACTCGGTCTAAAAAAAAAAAAAGAAAAGAAAATGTGGCACATATACACCATGGAATACTATGCAGCCATAAAAAAGGATGAGTTCATGTCCTTTGCAGGGTCATGGATGAAGCTGGAAATCATCATTCACAGCAAACTATCACAAGGACAGAAAACCAAACACCGCATGTTCTCACTCATAGGTGGGAATTGAACAATGAGAACACTTGGACACAGGGTGGGGAACATCACACACTGGGGCCTGTCAGGGGGTGGGGGCTGGGGGAGAGATAGCATTAGGAGAAATACCTAATGTAAATGACGAGTTAATGGGTGCAGCACACCAACATGGCACATGCATATGTATGTAACAAACCTGCACATTGTGCACATGAACCCTAGAACTTAAAGTATAATAAATAAATAAATAAATAACCTATAAAAAAAGAAAAAAAATAATTCTTTTGGATTGAAATTACTTCTATAAAACGTCATTCATTAAAAATTGCTTGTTTCATTTGACCAATCCTAAAAAAAAAAAAATGAATAATGACAAAAATAAGCAGCTCTCTCTCTCCCACAGAGAGAGAGAGAGAGAGAGACAGAGAGAGATGACCAAACTCTTTTTTAAGTTCAATACCTGCAGTAATCACAGAAATGATATTTCAAAAAATAAGGTGCCATTTTTTTTCACCAATCAGGTTAGTAAAGTTGTTAGGTTTTTTGTTTTTTGTTTTGTTTTGTTTTTTTGCTGTGGTAGGTTGTTTTTGAGGGAGGTTTTCTGTTTGTTTGTTTGTGTTTGTTTGTTTCTTTTGAGACAGAGTCTTGCTCTGTCACCCAGGCTGGAGTGCAGTGGCACAATTTCGGCTTACTGCACCTCTGCCTCCCAGGTTCAAGCAATTCTCCTGCCTCGGCTTCCCGAGTAGCTGGGATTACAGGCACATGCCACCATACCTGGCTAATTTTTGCATTTTTAGTAGAGACAGGGTTTCACCGTGTTGGCCAGGCTGGTCTCAAACACCTGATCTCAAGAGATCTGCCCTCCTTGGCCTCCCAAAGTGCTGGGATTACAGGAGTGAGCCACCATACCCAGCCAATGTGGTAGGCTGTTTTTTGTTTGTTTGTTTTTAATACTACCCAGAGTTGGTGAGGGTTTGAGGAAATGAGCAGTACAGAAGTGTGTACACTATTACAGCTGTTCCAAGAGTGGGATTTGGCAATTCAAAGGCAAAAACTTACAGATATGTGCCTACTATTCTACTTTCAGAAATTTATTCTAAGGAAAATCACCATGGATACACACAAAGATGTACCTAGGATTTATGCTGTTTAAACTGATGAAAAATTAGAAAAATCCTAGTGTCTTCTAATTGCCAGTTGGTTAAATCAAGCAGAGCAAATTCACACCGGACATAAGGCTACCATTAGAAATGATATATATAAGAGCCAGCCATGCATGGTGACACACTCCTGTAGTCCCAGCTACTGGGAAAGCTGAGATGGAAGGGTCCCATCCCTTGAGCCCAGGAATTCAAGTCCCTCCTGGGCAACATAGCAACAAGATCTTACCTCTTTAGGAAAAAAAAAAAAAAAAAGTATATAAGAATGCTAAGAAATCTGGCCAGGCAGGGTGGCTCACACCTGTAATCTCAGCATTTTGGGAGGCTGAGGCAGGAGGGTCATGTGAGCCCAGGAGTTTGAGACAAGCCCTGGCAACATAGCAAGACCCTAACTCTACAAAAATTACAAAAATTAGCCAGGCGTGGTGGCAAGCACCTGTGGTCCCAGCTACTTGGGAGGCTGAGGTAAGAGGATCCCTTGAGTCTAGGAGGTCGAGGCTCCAGTGAGCCATGGGCGTACCACTGCACTCCAGCCTGGGTGACAGAGAGAGACATTGTCTCCAAAAAAAAAAAGAAAGGAAGGAAAGAAAAGGAAAGGAAAGGAAAGCAAAGGAAAGAAAGGAAAGAGAAAGAAGGAAGGAAGGAAGGAAGGGAGGAAGGAAGGAAGGAAGGATACTAAGAAATTCAAAGATGTGAAAAGATATTCACAGAATATTAAATTGTTTGGGGTTTTGTTGTTTTTAACTTTTAAGTTCAGGGGTTGATGTGCAGGTTTGTTAAATAGGTAGACTCGTGTCATGGGGGTTTGTTGTACAGATTATTTTGTCACCTAGGTATTAAGCCTAGTACTCATTAGTTATTTTTCCTGATCCTCTCCCTTTTCGCACCCTCCAACCTCCAGTAGGCCCCAGTGTTCTCTTCTATGTGCCATATGTTCTCATCATTTAGTTTCCACTTATTAAATATAAGTGAGAACATGAGGTATTTGGTTTTCTGTTCCTGCAGTAGTTTGCTAAGGATTATGGCCTCTAGCTCAATCCAAGTTCCTGCAAAGGACATGATCTCATTCTTTTTTCTGGCTGCATAGTATTCCATGGTGTATATGCACCACATTTTCTTTATCCAGTCTGCCACTGATGGGCATTTAGGTTGATTTTGTGTCTTTGCTATTGTGAATAGTGCTGCAATGAGCATGCAAATGCATGTCTTTATGATAAATGATTTCTATTCCTTTGGGTATATACCCAATAATGGGATTGCTGGGTTGAATGGTAGTTCTGTTTTTAGCTCTTTGAAGAATCGCCACAGTGCTTTCTACAATGGTCGAACTAATTTACACTCCCACCAACAATGTATAAGTGTTCCTTTTTCTCCACAACTTTGCCAGCATCTGTTATTTTTTGACTTTTTAGTAATAGCCATTCTGACTGGTGTGAGATGGTATCTCATTGTAGCTTTGATTTGCATTTCTCTAATGGTCAGTGATGCTGAGCTTTTTTTCATATGCTTGTTGCCTACATGTAGGTCCTCTTTTGAGAAGTGTCTGTTCATGTCCTTTGCCCACTTTTTAATGGGTTTTTTTTTCTTGTAAATTTGTATAAGTTCTTTATAGATGCCGGATATTAGACCTTTGTCAGATGCATAGTTTGCAAAATTTTTCTCCTATTCTGTAGGTTGTCTGTTTATTGATAGTTTCTTTTGCTGTGCAGGAGCTCTTTAATTTAATTAGATCCCATTGTCAATTTATTTCTTTTCTTTGTTAATCAATAAGGCTTCCAGTCAATGTCATTTTTTGTTTTTGTTGCAATTGCTTTTGGCATCTTCATCACGAAACCTTTGCCCGTTTCAACATCCAGAATGGTATTGACTAGGTTGTCTTCCAGAGTTCTTACAGTCTGGGATTTTACACTGAAGTCTTTAACCCGTCTTGAGTTGATTTTTGTATATGGTGTAAGGAAAGGGTCCAGTTTCAATCTTCTGCATATGGTTAGTCAGTTCTCCCAGCACCATTTATTAAATAGAGGGTCCTTTCCCCATTGCTTGTTTTTGTCAGCTTTGTCGAAGATTAGATGGCTGTAGGTATGTGGCCTTATTTCTGGGCTCTCTATTCTGTTCCATGGGTCTATGTATCTGTCTTTGTAAGTACCATGCTGTTTTGGTTACTGTAGACCTGTAGTATAAAGTCAGGTAGCATGATGCCTCCAGCTTTGTTCTCTTTGCTTAGGGTTGCCTTAGCTATTCAGGCTCTTTTTTGGTTCAATATGAATTTTAAAACAGTTTTTTGCTAATTCTGTGAAGAATGTCATCAGTAGTTTGACAGGAATAGCATTAAATCTATAAATTGCTTTGGGCAGTATGGCCATCTTAACAATGTTAATTCTTGCTATCCATGAACTTGGAATGTTTTTCCATTTGTTTGTGTCATCTCTGATTTCTTTGAGCTGTATTTTGTAGTTCTCATTGTAGAGATCTTTCACCTCCCTGGTTAGGTGTATTTCTAGGTATTTTATTCTTTCTGTGGCAATTGTGAATGGGATTGCATTCCTGATTGGCTCTCAGATTGACTGTTGTTGGTGTATAGGAATGCTACTGATTTTTTGTACATTGATTTTGTATCCCAAGACTTTGCTGAAGTTGTTTATCAGCTTAAGGAGCTTTTGAGCTGAGACCATGGGGTTTTCTAGACATAGGATCATGTCACCTGCAAACAGGGATATTTTGACTTACTCTCTTTCTATGTGGATGCCCATTATTTCTTTCTCTTGCCTGATTGCTCTGGCCAGGACTTCCAATACTATATTGAATAGGAGTGATGAGAGAGGTCATAGAGAAAAATCTACCAAGCAAACAGAAAACAGAAAAAAGCAGAGGTTGCAATCCTAACTTCAGACAAAACAGACTTTAAACCAGCAAAGATCAAAAAGACAAAGATGGGCATTACATATTGGTAAAGGGTTAAATTCAACAAGAAGACCTAACTCTCTTAAATATATATGCGCCCAACATAGGAGCACCCAGATTCATAAAGTAAGTTCTTAGAGACCTTCAAAGAGACTTAGACTCCCACACAATAATAGCGGGGAATTTTAACACTCCACTGACAGTATTGGATCACCCAGGCAAAAAATTAACAGAGATATTCAGAACCTAAACTCAGCACAGGATCAAACAGACCTGATAGACATCTACGGAACTCTCTACCCCAAAAACAACAGAATATACATTCTTCTCATTGCCACATGGCACATACTCTAAATTCAATTACATAATCAGATGTAAAAGACTCCTCAGCAAATACAAAGGAACTGAAATCATAACAACCACTCTCTCAGACCACAGTGCAATTAAAATAGAATTCAAGACTAAGAAAATAGCTTAAAATTACACAATTGCATGGAAATTGAATAATCTGCTCCTGAATGATTTTTGGGTAAATAATGAAATTAAGCAGAAATCTAGAAGTTCTTTGAAACTAATGAGACCAAAGATACAACACACCAGAATCTCTGGGACACAGCTAAGGCAATGTTAAGAGGAAAATGTATAGCACTAAATGCCCACATCAAAAAGTTAGAAAGATCTCAGTTTAACAACCTAACATCACAACTAAAAGAACTAGAGAACCAAGAGTAAATCAACCCCAAAGCTAGCAGAAGACAACAAATAACCAAAATCAAAGCTAAGCTGAAGGATATTGAGACTTGAAAAACCAAAAAAGATCCAAATAAAAGAAATTAGAAAAGGCAAAGGGGATATTACCACCGACGCCACAGAAATACAAACAACAATCAGAGAATATTATGAACACCTCTGTGTACACAAACTAGAAAATCTAGAAGAAATAGATAAATTCCTGGACACATACACCCTCCCAAGACCGAACCAGGAAGAAATTGGATCCCTGAACAGACCAATAACTAGCTCTGAAATTGAATCAGTGATAAATAGACTACCAACCAAAAAAAGCCCAGGACCAGATGGATTCACAGCCAGATTCTACCAGATGTACAAAGAAGAGCTGGTCCATTCCTACTGAAATTATTCCAAAAAATTGAGGAGGAGGGACTCCTCCCTAATTCATTCTATGAGGCCAGCATCATACTGAAACCAAAACTTGGCAGAGAAACAACAAAAAACGAAACTTCAGGCCAGATGAACATCAATGCAAAAATCCTCAACAAAATACTGGCAAACCAAATCCAGCAACACACCAAAAAGCTTATCCACTACAATCAAGCAGGCTTTATCCCTGGGATGCAAGGTTAGTTTAACATATGCAAATCAGAAAATGTGATTCATTACATAAACAGAACTTAAAGACAAAAATTATATGGTCATCTCAATAGATGCAGAAAAGGCTTTTGATAAAATTCAGCACCCCTTCATATTAAAAACTCTCAATAAGCTAGGTATTAAAGGCACATATCTCAAATAATAAGAGTCATCTATGATAAACCTACAGCCAACATTATATACTGAATGGGCAAAAGCTAGACGCATTCCCCTTGAAACCCAGAATTAGACAAAAAAAATTTTAAGGAGCTTATAAAACAAAACATGTATTCAAAATGATTATTATTTTGGAAGGAAATACACCAAAAAGTTAACTCAGGGATTTGGCTATACAAATTGCTAAAAATTCTGTGTGGTAAACAGCAATTTTAATTTTCTTTTTTTATTATTTAAAAAAAATAGAGATGGGGTCTCACTATGTTGCTCAGGCTTGTTTCAAACTCCCGGCCTCAAATGATTCTTCTGCCTTAGCCTCCCAAAGTGTTGGGATTACAGGCATGAGCCACCACACTTGGCCAATTTTCTTCATTTTGTTTATAATTTAAGTAGAAAGAAAGTAAAGGTCAAATCTCCTACTGAAGTGATAAGGGAAACCACAGATTCACAGCATATTTTCTTATACATTGATTCCATCCTGGCTTGGCTTTCTAGCCTGGCTTTCCTTTTGATCTATGAGTTTGTGATTTGGGTTCACCCTAACAGTCCATTTTCCCACTCATCCATCATCTTTTGGGTTCCCCGGAGCCAACCACCCTGGTGGCTCTCTGCTGCCCCCTCCTGCCCCCAGCAGACAACCACTGTGTCAGTCCCCTGGTCCCAAGGTACACCGGGTTCCCGCCTTGTACCAAAGACAATCTTGAGTCTAAAATTCCATCATACAAATTCTTTTTTATATTAAGTCAGTTGGGAAGAACAAATAGATTCCACAAATAATTTGCTGTCTGCAACACCAAAATCCCTCCACGTATATTAACTATTTGTCCTGCTCAGGAGGAGGTAAATAGGGCCATCCATGGCCATGTTGTGAAGGTGTGTCTTTTCACCCTTAATCAGTGTGCTGCTCATGATGATCTCAGTCCCAGATCTATGAATGAGTTCTTCATTTATGGCGTTCCTACTGTGTAACAGGCACTGTTAAGTCATAGAGCCCTGAAGATGAGTAAGAGATTGTATCTGCCTGGAGCTCAATGTCTAGACCACAGCTGTACAGTGGAATGTTCTATATCTACACTCCCCAATGCTGTAGCCACCAGCCACTTGTGGCTATGGAGTACCTGAAATGTGCAAGTGTGACTGGTCACACTAGTGACGTTTTAAATTAATTTTAACTTACATTTAAAAACTGAAGCAGAGTGAAATATTTTTCCTTTAAATGCATACATACCTTATTGTTTTGGTAGGACAACATTTTAACTGTTGAAAATTTAGCACTCAAATTGAAATATGCTGTAAGTAGAACACACACCAGATTTAAAAGACTTAGTGTGGAAATTAGAATGTAAAATATCTCATTAATAATTTTTATATCCATTACATGTTCACATGATAATATTTTGGATATATTGGGTTAATAAAATATAGTATTAAAATTAATTGCACCTGCTCTTTTTAAAATGTAGTTACTAGAAAATTTAAAGTTACATATGTAGCTTGCAATAAATTTCTATTGGAGAGCATTGGTCTAGAGGGAAAAAAATGATATCTGCACAGTCTACTTGTATCATAATAGGTTCCTGGAAATGCATAGGAAAGCCTAATGCATAAAAATTAAACAATAGGGCCGGGCGCAGTGGCTCACACCTGTAATCCCAGCACTTTGGGAGGCCGAGGCCAGTGGATCACCTTAGGTCAGGAGTTTAAGACCAGCATGGCCAACATGGCGAAACCCCATCCCTACTAAAAATACAAAAATCAGCCGGGTGCAGTGGCGCATGCCTGTAATCCCAGCTACTCGGGAGGCTGAGGCAAGAGAATCACTTGAACCCAGAAGGCGGAGGTTGCGGTGAGCCAAGATCAAGCCACCACACTCCAGCCTGGGCTACAGAGCGAGACTCCATCTCAAAAAAATAAATAAATAAAAATAAACAATAGACTTACCTGATATAACAGGGTGAGGTAGTTGCTTCTCAAGAGCTAGACAAAAATCATAAAATTCCCAGTTTCAACCAGCATTAAATAATAACCTTTTATCTCAACTGTAAAAGTAATTCACGTGGCATATTGACAATTACAATATTATAGACATTACTAAGAAAGTTAAAATATTCCTAGAGATAATTAACAGTTTGATCTATATAAAGGCATATTGTTGTTATTGGTTACTTTTTTTTTCTTTCTTTTTTTTTTTTTTTTTTGAGACAGAGTCTTGCTCTGTCGCCAGGCTGGAGGGCAGTGGCACGATCTCAGCTCACTGCAACCTCCACCTCCCTGGTTCAAGTGATTCTCCTGACTCAGCCTCCTGAGTAGCTGGGATTACAGGCGCCCACCATCACACCCAGCTAATTTTTGTATTTTTAGTAAAGATGGGGTTTTACCATGTTGGTTATTTTTCTCTGTGTGGGATTACACTGTATTTTGGGGAGAGCTCAATTGTATTCCACTATGTGAGTATACTGTATTTAACCAATCCCTTATTTACTGCACTCAATTTTTCACTATTTCAAAGTATCTTAAAAAGAATATTCATGTATATGCTGTTAAATAAAATTTGTGGGAGGTCCTTGTTTTGGACTGAGCTCCTGCCCTAGGCCCCAACAGACCAGACCAAACCAGAATGGCGTCACTCATGCTAGGTGCCACATAATCAAACTAAATTTAGAAACCAGCTGGTTTTCCAAAGAACAAGAGATTCACAGCATTTAATCCAAAGGGGCCAGTCAACCTGAGTTGGCATGATATGAAAATCCCCTCTGCTTTAACCCTATAAGGAAAGTAACTTTGAAATGATCAATGCACTTTTTCCTCCTTGTTTTTGCTCTTTTCAGCCTTTTTCTGCCTACATAACCAACCCTCTCTGCTTGGCTCTCACCAAAGCACCTTTCTGTTTCATAGATGAGATGCTGCCCAATTCATAAATCACTAATAAAAGCCGATCAGATTTTTAAAGCTCTATTTGGTGAAATATTGTTCCTTGACAGTACCTTTGTGTGCTTTTATTTTTTTCTGCTTCTAAAATAATATTTTCATAGTAAAACCATTCAAACATCACTGAAAAATATAACCCCCCAAAAAATGATTATTGTCCCCCTCTCCTGTCTCAATCTGTACCTCTGATGATAGCAGTTGGGGCTGGGCACGGTGGCTCACACCTGCAATCCCAGCACTTTGGGAGGCCTAGGTTAGTGGATCACCTGAGGTCAGGAGTTCGAGACCAGCCTAACCAATATGGTGAAACCCTGTCTCTACTAAAAATACAAAAATTAGCCTGGCGTGGTGGCGTGCGCCTGTAGTCCCAGCTACTCAAGAGACTGAGACAGAATTTCTTGAACACAGGAGGTGGAGGTTGCAGTGAGCCCAGATCGTGCCACTGCACTCCAGCCTGGGCGACAGAGTGAGACTTCATCTCTAAATAGATAGATAGATGATAGATAGATAGAGAGATAGATAGATAGATAGATAGGTAGATAGATAGATAAATAGCAGTTGGAAGTATATTTCACCAGAATTTTTTTCTGTGTATATATTAACCAGCTTATCCTTTTAAAATAGACTATACATATGGTCCAATTTACTTTTTAACTTAAAAATATTTGGACACCTTTCCATGTCAATACATATACTTAGGCTACCAATAAATTATCATCAATAAGAAACCAGTTAAATTATGTTATAGCTGTACAATGGTACTATGCAGCCATTAAAAAGAAACGCGATAGATCTTTTTTACTTTTGTTTTTAGAGACAGGGCTTCACTCTGTTATCCAGGCTGGAATGCAGTGATGTTGATCATAACTCACTGCAGCCTCCAACTCCTGGGCTCAAGTGATCCTCCTGCCTCAGCCTCCCAAATACTTGGGACTACAGGCGTGCATCATCACACCCAGCTAATTTTTGTATTTTTTGTAGAGATGGGGTATTGCCATGTTACCCAGGCTAGTCTCAAACTCCTGGACTCAACCAATCCTCCTGCCTTGGCCTCCCAAAAAAGTGCTGGAATTACAGGCATCAACCACAATGCCCAGCTGAGATAGATCTTTATGAACTAACATTGAATGATGTATAAAATATATTTGTAAGGAAAAAAAGGCAAGCTGTTGAATAGTGTATGTTACAGTTTAACTTTTGTAGAAGAAAAAATATTTATCCAGTTATCCTTGGATCTCAAATCTATTTCTAAATTGAGACACCAAGAGATAAAGTTTGAGAACTGAATTCAGATAGTGAAGGATATTAGTTTTTGCAATGTATTCAGCTTATACGTTTTAAATAGCACATAGTGAGCATTTGGATGAGGATAAATTGTATCTCAAAATATTTATCTGAATCTAGTTATAAGATTTGGAAAGCTTAAATTCATATTACTGCATGTATTTATGTACAAAAATGGTCCGGAAATAATATGCATTAAACTGTTAGTAGTAATTATATTTGGGGGTGGAATTTTCTTTCTAATTTAACATAACCATTTTATTTGAATTTCTTACAATGCACATGGGTGCTTCTAATCAGAAAACAACATAACACAAATGTCAGTTTTGAAAAACAGACTCAGAATCTGGAAACCTAAGCACAGACAATACTATAGTGAATGTCCTTAGCTGTGTATCTAATTTTTTGTGTATGCTACTAAAAGGATATTTCTGTTGGACAAATTCTTTTTTTTTTTTTTTTGAGATGGAGTCTCACTCTGTTGGTGCAGGCTGGAGTGCAGTGGTGCGATCTTGGCTTACTGCAACCTCCACCTCCTTGACTCAAGCAATTCTCCTGCCTCAGCCTCCTAAATAGCTGAGATTACAGGCACCCACCACCACACCTGGCTAATTTTTGTATTTTTGCTTTTGTTAGAGATGAGGATTCATTACATTGGCCAGACTGGTCTCAAACTCCTGACCTCAAGTGATCTGCCCACCTCGGCCTCCCAAAATGCTGGGATTACAGGCATGAGCCACCACGCCGGCATGGTGGACAAATTCTGAATAGTGGAATTGCTGGGTCACAGAGTGTGTGAACATTTTTAGTATTCCTAGACTGCCTTCCAAAGAAATTATAACAATTTTCTTTCCTACCAGCAATGCTTTTGAGAGGACATCTTCCTGATACTGGTATCATCAAAAATTGGATCTATGCCAATCTAAAATAAGAAAAATATTTCATTATTTTATATTTATTTGTAAAGTTGACCATTTTTCATGTATTTATTAGTTATTTGGAATTCCTCTTCCATGAACTTTCTATTCATATATTCTGACCATTTTTCTACTAAGTTATGTGGCTTTATCTTATTGAGATGGGGTGTCACTCTGTCATCCAGGCTGCAGTGCAGTGGCACAATCATAGCTCACTGCAGCCTCTGTGTCCTAGGCTCAAATGATCGTTTGCCTAATTCTCTCAGGTAGCCAGGACTACAGGCACTTCATCTTATTTTTAAAGCTCTTTATATATAAGGAAAATGAAGGCTTGTGTTCCAACATTTTTTTCAACTTTTTACTTTATTTACTGAGTTGTTTTTTTTCTATTGTGCTACAGAAGTTTAAATATTTTTATGCAGTGCAAATATCAGTCTTTTCCTTTAAGGCTTCTGGATTTTATTTATATTATGCTTGGAAAAGTCTTTCCTACTTTTGAGTGAGATTAAGAAAATTTTTCTAGTGCTTTTTTTCTAGTACTGTTATGGTTTCCTTGTTTTATCTCTCAATTTTGTTCCATCTGGAATTAATTTTTATATGAGGAATTAGTTCATGTCACCTTTCAGATATACTCTTCAGGAATATATTTTTCAGCATTTTATATGTGCTCTTTAACTTTTTTTTTTCACAAACAGAATCAACAGGCCTAAGCCCACCCAAATATGTGATCATTGTTAAAATGCACCCCTTCCAGCATGTCTAATGATTTCCAGCTTTGTCCCAACTGAACTATGTTTAGGACTTACTCTTCTTATAACTAACATCAACACATTCTTTTTCCATGTATATATATTCAAATCATGTTCAAATACCAATGCACAGAGATATTGGTGCTTTTGGAACTAAACAATGCAGCCATTTGAAATGTTCATTCATGAGCTCAAGTACAAAAATCAAAATTCTGGGGGGTTTAGTGGTGTCGGTGTATAATGTCCAAAAACTCTATTTGAACACCACACTGACGAGAGGAGAGACTGCTGTCAGTCAATTGCATAAAATGAGATCAATGCTACAACAGGGGTCTGAACCATGAAAGCAGCTTTCCTGAGAAAGCCATAGAAAATGTTAGAGGTTGGTTAGAAAGACCAACCTAAAAGCTTGGTCTTAAAATTGAAGAGGGCTTTAAGAATTTATTTGAAGATTTGGTGTCTTTATTGAGGCAGAGAACCAAGTGTGTGTGCAGCTGGCCAGCCTAGAAGACGCTCCCTGCAGACCTTGACACCATCCTTCTCTACCCCTTCCAATCTCCCCTCATCAAAGAAGGGAAGGATCTGCTGCCAGCCACGTGAGCCTTGCTAATAATTGATTATTTGCCTTCATTCACAATAAAAATATTACTCCCATTCTGAATATGCATTCTATACCTTGTCTTTAATTGTGTAACAAAAGGTTTTCTGGCTGGGTGCAGTGGCTCACATCTGTAATCCCAGCACTTTGAGAGGCCAAGGCAGGAAGATCACTTGAGGTCAGGAGTTTGAGATCAGCCTGGTCAACATGGTGAAACCTCATCTCTACTAAAAATACAAAAATTAGCCGGGTGTCATGCATGCCTGTAATCCCAGCTACTTGGCAGACCGAGGCATGAGAATCACTTGAATCCAGGAGGCTGCAGAGAGGGAAGTTTGGGCCACTGCACTCCAGCCTGGGCGACAGAGCAAGACGGTCTCAAAAAAAAAAAAAGAAAAGAAAAGAAAAAGAAAAAAGGGTTTTCTGTCCTTAAAGGAACTTCAGACAAAAGCAAAGCAGGTCAGGAGATCTAACATGAGATGGCCCAGTGAACTGAGTTAGTGTTTTGTTTGGTAGCTGGGGGTTTCAGGTAGCCTGGAAGGCTGCTCCTCACCTGAAGAAGGTAATCCTGTCCTTTTAGTCAAGGTCTGGAGACTTCCTTCGCAGAGGCCACCTTCTTCCACATCTTCCCAGTTGCATTTACAGCTAGTTTTCCTTCCTCAGCCCCTTACCTCCCTCCCATTCCCAATACACATAAAAGCATTATTATACAACAAAAGTATTTTTTCAATATGATTTAAGAGCTTAGTCTTATTTCTTCTACTCCCTGAGCCCCAAGTCTCTGCACATTTGAAACTAATTAAAAGATTAGTAGACCAGAATTCCTAACTTAGCAACCATCAGTATACGTCCCTGAACCTCCTATATAACTGAGAAGTGTGTGTCAAAAGACATAATTATAACAAATTGAGGCTAAAGATCTCAGCTAGCTTTATTTGCAAGTCTAGGATCAGGCAACACTTCATTCCATAAGACAGAATAAGTGTTCCAATGAATTGAGCTTGTATTAGTCAGGGTTCTCCAGAAGGACAGAACTAATAGGATAGATATACATATAAAGGGGAGTTTATTAAATATTAACTCATGGCTGGGCGTGGTGGCTCACACCTGTAATCTCAACACTTTGGGAGGCTGAGGCAGGTGGATCACGCAGTGAGGAGTTCGAGACCAGCCTGGCCAACATGGTGAAACCCCATCTGTACTAAAAATACAAAAAATTAGCCGGGCGGGCGTGGTGGCACACACCTGTAATCCCAGCTACTTGGGAGGCTGAGGCAGGAGAATCGCTTGACCCCAGGAGGTGGAGGTTGCAGTGAGTTGAGATCACGCCATTGCACTCCAGCCTGGGCAACAGAGCAAGACTCCATCTCGAGAAAAAAAATTAAATATTAACTCGCATGATCACAAGGTCCCACGATAGGCTGCCTGCAAGCTGAGGAGCAAGGAGAGCCAGTCCCAGTCCCAAAACTGAAGAACTTGGAATCCAATGTTCAAAGGAAGGAAGCATCCAGCATGGGAGAAAGTTGTAGGCCAGGAGGCTAGGCCAGTCTCATCTTTTCACATTTTTCTGCCTGCTTTATATTCTAGCCACACTGGCAGCTGATTAGATGGTGCCCACCCAGATTAAGGGTGGGTCTGCCTTTCCCAGCCCATTGACTCAAATGTTAATCTCCTTTGGCAACACCCTCACAGACACACCCAGGATCAATACTTTGTATCCTTCAATCCAATCAAGTTGACAGTATTAACCATCACAGAGCTGAAGAAAGCAAAGAACAAAGAGTATATTCGTTACTTTTACACAGAACAATAGAAAAACAACTGATCAGTCAATGTCAGGTTACTTCAGGTTACTTTTTTTGTGTAAGGTTTAGAGAGATAACTGCATTATCCAGCCTATTGAAGATTTTTAACTGGCCTGTTTGGGAAATTGGCTGTTATCTCTTTCTCTTTATTTCTCTGAAGGTCAGATAACAACTTAGTGTAGGCTGGGTGACCTGGAACTTTAGCATGAATGATTCCATTTTGGTCTTAGGTCTGGTCTGTTGGGGCCTACAGCAGAAACTTAGTCCAAAACAATGGCTTTCCATAATTAGTATTTAATATGGGTTATGTGTTGTGTTCTTTAGCCAGTGGTGTGCTAGAGCCACCTCCCACCAGCTCACCAAAACCAATGTGCTTGTTGCAGCGGGTAGCGACTATTTGGGGCCAGTGGCACAGGTGGTAAAGGAATTTACCTAGACAGTTTTAGGTAAAGAAAGGCAGATTACAGAAGGTATGAAAACATGCTTCAAGGTTGCAACAGGCAGCACAGCAGAGAAGGGGCTGTCTGCAAAGAGGCGGACTAAAGGGAAGTTTTATAGGGTCATGATGGAAGGGGCTACATGCGGAACAAGGTCGTGCTGCTGGGACTACGAACAGAAGAGGTAGCTGTGTCCATGGAGGTCATTGTGCCTGGGGGTTGTTTGTGATTAGCTGTCTCTCAGAAAAATTGTTCATTGTTCTTCTCCACCTGGGGCCCTCCTCCACCTGGGGCCCCTTCCTCACTGTGGCTCACTTATCAGGACTCCACAGTTGTCTCAGCCCAACTCCACCTTCATGCTGCCACTTGAGAGAAGTGATAGTGGGAGTATTTATATTATGGAAATCAACAGGTGTTGTAAAATCAGGGCTGTTAACAATCAGAGCCAATTGTTAAACATTTACCAGCACACCACTACCTTAAGGATTTTTTTGGTTTCTAGTAATACAATCCCACTTGAACTAGCATAAGTGAAAAGGGGGGTTTATTATAAAAATCTGCTAGCAAAGTGTCATGGTGCCTATGAGTGTGTAAACAGATGGGCCTTAGAAATGACCTAGAATCAGGGATTTGAAAAACATCAGAACTGGCCGGGCACGGTGGCTCCCACCTGTAATCCCAGCACTTTGGGAGGCCGAGGCAGGTGGATCACGAGGTCAGGAGATTGAGACCATCCTGGCTAACATGGTGAAACCCCATCTCTACGAAAAATACAAAAAATTAGCCAGGTGTGGTGGTGGTCACCTGTGGTCCCAGCTACTTGAGAGGCTGAGGCAGGAGAATGGCCTGAACCCAGGAGGCGGAGCTTGCAGTGAGCCAAGATCACGCCACTGCACTCCAGCCTGGGCAACAGAGCAAGACTCAGTCTCAAAAAAAAAAAAAAAGAAAGAAAGAAAAACATCAGAACATTCCATCTCCTCTGCTTCTTTTTTTTTTTTTTTTTTTAAAGAGGCAGGGTCTGGCAAGGCATAGTGGCTCACACTTGTAATCCCAGCACTTTGGGAGGCTGAGGTGGGCAGATCCCTTGAGACCAGGAGTTCAAGATCAGCCTAGGCAACATGGTAAAATTCCATCTCTACAAAAAACAAAAAAGTAGGCCAGACACAGTGGCTCACGCCTATCATCTCAACACTTTGGGAGGCCAAGGCGAACGGATCACTTGAGGTCAGGAGTTCAAGACCAGCCTGGCCAACATGGCGAAACCCCATCTCTACTAAAAATACAAAAATTAGCTGGGCGTGTTGGCAGGCGCCTGTACTCCCAGCTACTCAGGTGGCTGAGAAACAAGAATCACTTGACCTGGGAGGCAGCGGTTGCAGTGAGCTGAGCTCATGCCACTGCACTCCAGCCTGGGCAACAGAGTGAAACTCTGTCTCAAAATAAAAACAAAAACAAAAATTAGCCAAGTATGGTGGCATGTGCCTGTAGTCCCAGCTACTCAGGAGGCTGAGGTGGGAGGTTGCTTCAGCACAGGAGGTGGAGGTTTCAGTGAGCTGAGATTGCACCACTGCACTCCAGCCTGGGCAACAGAGTGAGACTCCATCTGGGGGAAAAAAGAAAGGTAGAGTCTTGAACTCCTGGCTTCAATCCATCCCTCCCCCATGGCCTCTCAAACTTCTAGGATTACAGGCATAAGCCACCATGCTTGGTCCTGTTTCTTTTTTTCTTTCAGTAATAATCTGCTTTTTCTGTTTCCCAATCTACATGGAGGGAAATGTAGAGCCTGAAAACCTGTTCTAGTTGCAGTCACCCAGAGACTGATCTCTTTCCTGGTCCCAATTCCAACTTCTCAGGAAGCATCTCAGATTGGAAGAGAGTCCTACTGCAGTCTATGCTTGGTCAAGGTGAAGGTGAGGTGGTAGAGAGCAGCATCACACTGTGTCAACATTCATGAGAACTGGAAGAAGTGGTGGCTCCTGGAAAAGAAAAGGGAGGAGACAGGCAACATGAAAAAGTCCAAAACATTTACAAAAACCTTCCCTCAGCTATTAATAGCTCTCGGCATCGATATAGGTTGGATCTGTGTCCCCATCCAAATCTCATTTTGAATTGTAATCCCCACTGTTGGAGAAGTGGCCTGATGGAAGGTGATTGTGATAGGGACAGGAGGCAGGGAAATTCTGGGCAGAAAAGGGCAGGTCCCCAGTGAGGGCCCCACCCTCAAGACAAACAGCCTGAAACAGCAGCCCAAAGTGAGAACTTACATTCCCATTTTCCTGCTTGAAAGTTGTATTTTCCAAAACTACCCATGGCCTGCCCTACCCCAAATCCTGTGCCCATAAAAATCCCTGAGAAGCAGCTGTACCTCAGAGACTATGGTTGGATGTTGGAGAGAAGCAGCTTGACTTCAGAGGGACAGTCTGACAGTGTAATTTCAGAGAAGAATCCAGCCAGAGATGGCCAGACTCCAGGGGAAAATTACCTGCCCACCCCATCCCTTATTCAGCTCCCCTTCTCACTGAGAGTCACTTTCATCAGCAGTAAAATTCCCCACATTTACCATCCTTCAATTTGTTCATGTGACCTCGTTTCTCCTGGATGCTGGACAAGAATTCAGGAGCCAAGAGTGAGGACGTAAAAGGCTGTCACACTGACCCTTTATTCTCACTGGCGGAAGGCAGCCGCCTCATGCAAAAAGGCAGAGGGCCCTCTGAGTTGATAACACTTCAGCCATCCATGGATGGCAGAGCTAAAAGAGCACTGTAACACACCTTCTGGGTCTTCAGGGGTCGCAAGCACCCCCATAGACGCTGCCATGGGACCAGCAAGAAGTTGGCTCCTACTGGCCCCCCAAAGCACTTGCCCCAGCTCCTGCACCCATTCACCTGCACACCCCCTCCAGCAAGGGGTAGAATTCAGTGGGTCTGAGTGGAGTTCACTCCTGCTGGCACCAGAGTAGCCAGCTGACTCCAGTGCTCATGTTCTCCAGTTCCTGTCTCGTTCACCCATGCACTCCCTTCCACAAGGAGTTGGGAGCTGTGGGCTGAGTAAACAGGGCACCCCCTTCATGAGTCCTGCAAAGGAGTCAGGGAAATATCCTACTTCAATTGGATCGTGGGGGTGTATTTCCTCCTTGCTGTTCTCATGACAGTGAGTTCTCACAAGATCAGGTTGTTTAAAAGTATGTAGCACCTCCCACTTCACTCTCTTTCTCCTGCTCCAGGCATGTAAGACGTTCCTGCTTCCTCTTCGCCTTCCACCATGATTGAAAGTTTCCTGAGGCCTCCTCAGCCATGCTTCCTGTATAGCCAGCAGAACTGTGAGCCAATTAAACCTCTTTTCTTTATAAATTACCCAGTCTCAGGTATTTCTTTAATAGCAGCGCGAGAACGGACTAATACAGTGTCCGGAATTGGTGGGTTCTTGGTCTCACTGACTTCAAGAATGAAGCCGCGGATCCTCGTGGTGAGTGTTACAGCTCTTAAGGTGGCACGTCTGGAGTCTGTTCCTTCTGATGTTCGGATGTGTTAGGAGTTTCTTCCTTCTGGTGGGTTCGTGGTCTCGCTGTCTCAGGAGTGAAGCTGCAGACCTTCCCGATGAGTGTTACAGCTCTCAAGGCAGCGCGTCTGGAGTTGTTCGTTCCTTCTGGTGGGCTCATGGGCTCGCTGGCTTCAGGACAGAAGCTGCAGATCTTCATGGTGAGTGTTACAGCTCATAAAAGCAGTGTGGATCCGAAGAGTGAGCAGTAGCAAGATTTATCACAAAGAGCAAAAGAACAAAACTTCCACAGTGTGGAAGGGTACCCAAGCGTGTTGCCACTGCTGGCTCTGGCAGCCTGCTTTTATTGTCTTATCTGGCCCCACCCACATCCTGCTGATTGGTAGAGCCGAGTGGCCTGTTTTGTCAGGGCACTGATTGGTGCGTTTACAATCCCTGAGCTAGATACAAAGGTTCTCCACGTCCCCATCAGATTAGTTAGATACAGAGTTTCCACACACAGGTTCTCCAAAGCCCCACCAGAGCAGCTAGATACAGAGTGTTGATTGGTGCACTCACAAACCTTGAGCTAAACACAGGGTGCTGATTGGTGTATTTACAATCCCTGAGCTAGACGTAAAGACTCTCCACGTCCCCACCAGACTCAGGAGCCCAGCTGGCTTCACCTAGTGGATCCCGCACAGGGGCTGCAGGTGGAGCTGCCTGCTAGTCCCGCGCCGTGCGCTCGCACTCCTCAGCCCTTGGGTGGTCGATGGGACTGGGCGCCGTGGAGCAGGGGGTGGTGCTCGTTGGGGAGGCTCGGGCTGCACAGGAGACCATGGAGTGGGTGGGAGGCTCAGGCATGGCGGGCTGCAGGTCCCGAGCCCTGCCCCGCCGGGAGGCAGCTAAGGCTCGGTGAGAAATCGAGCGCAGCACCGGTGGGCTGGCACTGCTGGGGGACCCAGTACACCCTCCGCAGCCACTGGCCCAGGTGCTAAGTCTCTCATTGCCCAGAGCCGGCAGGGCCGGCCGGCTGCTCCGAGTGCAGGGCCCGCCAAGCCCACGCCCACCCGGAACTCCAGCTGGCCTGCAAGCGCCGCACGCAGCCCCGGTTCCCGCTCGCGCCTCTCCCTCCACACCTACCTGCAAGTTGAGGGAGTGGGCTCCAGCCGTGGCCAGCCCAGAAAGGGGCTCCCACAGGGCAGTGGTGGGCTGAAGGGCTCCTCAAATGCCGCCAAAGTGGGAGCCCAGGCAGAGGAGGTGCCGAGAGAAAGCGAGGGCTCTGAGGACTGCCAGCACGCTGTCACCTCTCAATACGATCATAATCACCACACACGCAAAGCCATGGGCCCCCCCATCAAAGAAGCACGCATACTTTTTTCTTTAACAATTTAGGCATCATAGAGCACCTTCCAGGCAAAAGAAGCTGCTCTAGAAATTATAGAACATAAGAAGATGACTAAGACCCTGTATCAACTGCAAGTCACAGAAAAACCAACTTACAATAGGGATTATTTTGCCTAGCAACAAATCTAAAAGTAGGATGTTTCCAGAATTTGTTAATTCAGCAGCTCAGGACCTAGTCTTTTCCATATTTCCACACTGTCATACTCAGGCGAATGCCCCTATGGACACGAGCTGGCTGTCACACAGTTCCAGTCATCACGTGCAGACTTGCTAGCAACCACCAAAAGAAAAAGGACTATTTCTCTTCTCCACATGTCTTTTTAAAGAAAGACTGAACAAACTTTTTTCTCTGAATGCTCCCCCCAGCAAACTTCCCTTCCCAGAATGAGATTACATGCCCACCCTTGAGCCACTCATGGACCAGGAGAATGGCACCACCAGGCTTGGCTTAGACCAATCAGAACTTAACCGTAAATCATGTAAGAGAGCAGGAACAATGGAACAAAATGGAAGAAAGGAAAAGAATCAACATAGGCTACTTCAGACCCTTTCTGTATCTGAAGGGGTACAATCAGAGAAAAGAGACAAAAAGACGCTGACCCTAAGTGGCATTTCTCCAAGCCCTTTCGTCTCTTCCTCAATCCTCTGACCTGCCAGTCAGTCTTACTAACCCTGGCTGTAGACCCTTCCACTAGGACCTGGTTTTTATCTCTCCACTTCTCCTTTTGTGATTTACACTAATTAGTAGCAGAGTTAGCTCTCAGCCTGGTGTTCTCACTGCTAAATCAAGATTTGAACACGTGAAACTTCATGGTGACAGAGGGCCCTAATAAACAAAGACAATTAGAGACAACAGGCCCCTGCAATAAGGCGGCTTGAGGAACAGCTTGTGAAAAAGGCCGAGCTCAGAAGATGAAAGAACTGGAAAACAGTATTGCTCAGGATCATAAAATTTTTGTTTAAAAAAAGGATTTCATGCATTATCCCTTTGTGCACTGAGTGGAAATTTGCAATAAGAAATAACGAGAAAGGACAAGTATAATTTATTTATAATGCATCTTTCTCTTGCCAACTTCCCTGGGCCTCTCCAATAACTGCCAGTCTACATACAAAAAAGGTCAGCTTTCTATTTTCATCTGAGGTTTTGTTAAATTTAGATGGTAAGTGCAACTCTTCTTTACACCAAAAAGTGCCTATTATTTAAGATTCAGTTGGTATGTAATAGATATTTGGGGGGGAAAAAAGCATTTTCTTCCTTTTGTCTTCCTCTAATAGTATAGGAATGTATGGGCCTGATTTATATTTCCCCCACCCTCCCACCCACCTCTTTGACCTCTATCTTTTCCTGACAGATAGAGAATATCCAGGTGGCCTGGTACTTGGAAACTTGTCAGATGTTATTCAAAGCAATAAAAAACACATCATGCAAGTCTTCGGCATATTGTTACAAGGAAACCCTGTTTAGAATCCACTAATTGGGAATTTGTGATAATTTGAGGAAGGGTTTGCTGAAGTTAACCTTTGTACTATCTATGAAAAAAAAAGTTCACTGAAGTTCTGAATAGTAGTGTAAACAAGATTGGAAGGGGAATAATTATCTGCTTAAAAGAACCAGTTGTTTTGAAAAGCTTTAGAAGTATTCTTTTACATACAAACAGGGTAATTATGATTTAAACAAAGGCTGGCCTGTTTCTTAGGCTTCTTTGAAATGTCAATTACAAATAACTCTTGTCTATTCACCAAGCCAAAACCCACCCCTGTGTACCAGGCAACAGTTGGTTAGCTTGCTTCCACTTTTTGTATTTGAAAATAATAAACCTGAAGTTCTTTTAAAGTAGTATAATTTAATTCAAGCTTTTCACTAATTGAGACGGTCCATCCTATAGTGTGGGTGAGGATTTACTAATTCCTAGCAGACAATTGGGAAAGCATGGAGTGATAGTGCCTTCACTAATTTAGTGGTATTGCTAGATGATACAGGAAAATCTACAAAGAAAACTACTCTAGAGCAGTGACTTTTGTTTTTATCTTTTTTTTTTCTATTTTTAAATATTTTTCTAGAGACAGGGGTCTCACTATGTTGCCCAGGCTGGTCTCTAATTCCTGGGCTCAAGTGATCCTCCTGCCTCAGCTTCCTAAAATGCTGAGATTATAGGTGTGAGCCACTGTGCTCAGCCCTTTTCTCTTATCACACATAATAAGAAATACATTTTACATTGCAATTCAGTACACACACACTTAATAATACTTACCCTTGTTATGTGTGATATGCTATTACTTTCTATTATTTTTATTTATTTATTTTTTTTAGACAGAGTCTTGCTCTGTTGCCCAGGCTGGAGTGCAATGGCATGATCTCAGCTCACTGCAACCTCTGCCTCTCAAGTTCAAATGATTCTCCTGCCTCAGCCTCCCAAGCAACTGGGATTACAGGCGTGTGCCACCATGTCCGGCTAATTTTTGTATTTTTAATAGAGACAGAGTTTCGCCATGTTGGCCAGGTTGGTCTCGAACTTCTGGCCTCAAGTAATCCGCCCACCTTGGCCTCCCAAAGTGTTGGGATTATAGGCGTAAGCCACCACACCCAACCAACTTTCTGTTTATTATTTAATAAATGCGAATCATGACCCACTAAATTTATTTCACAATCTGCTAATGGGTTGTCATTTTCAAAGTACTACTTCTAGAATGTGTTGGAAGATAGCACTCCTTCATTAGATAAAGGAGTGGCACTGGGGAAGAGTCGTAGTTGCTATCAGGTTTTCTTGATGGTGTTCAGCTTGGTGTAGAGCCCACACCAGACTCTGCACAAAAGCAACATCCAGCCATGACTAGTGTCTGCAGTCCCACTTTCATAACCGTCTCTTCTCACCAGATCTGTACCTGACCATGGTTTTGCTCCTCTTTCTATGGTTCACCATGTCCTGGGATGATGGAGCAAGGTAGCCCACTCACATCAGAGTTCTTACTCCCCATGCGGTCTGAACCCAGATCCCCTCCTCCTTTTCCTCCACTCAAACCCTTGGCCATCAACCTCACTGTTTTAGTTCCTACTGTCCCTTGTTTCTCAACAGTCAGTGCAAAGTTCATTTCTATCCTCACCAGCTAAGTCTCCATTTCTCCCTTTTTGTCTTAAGCTGGCCAGGCTTAACCCCTGCAGAGGAGGCAAGCTGATGTCATAAGGTGGAAACCGCCTTTGCAAAGATTATGATGATGAGACAAATCCAGCATGGCTGACTCCATCTTGCTTCTAGCTTTATGAGCTGGCTGGCCTTGCTCATTCCTAGGTGGAGGAATTTATTTTATAGTTTAACTTTGAAGCAAGGATGATAATAGTTTCTCCCTAAAACTAACTCTATCCTTGCTCAGGGACTGAAATCTTCTTTGTAAAACTAATAAAAGGCCATGAAAATTAGGACTATTGTAACTTCCCAGTGGATTCACCTGGCCTGCTGCCTAGACAGAACCAATTTATCAAGACAGGGGAATTGCAATAGAGAAATAGTAATTCACACGGAGCTGGGTATGCAGGAGACCAAAGTATTATTATTACTCAAATCAGTATCCCCGAGCATTCAGAGATCAGAGTTTTTTTGTTGTTTTTGTTTTGTTTTGTTTTGTTTTTTGAGACGGAGTTTTGCTCTGTTGCCGAGGCTGGAGTGCAATGGCACGATCTTAGCTCACTGCAACCTCCGCCTCCCAGGTTCAAGCGATTCTCCTGCCTCAGCCTCTTGAGTAGCTGGGATTACAGGCATGTGCCACCATGCTCAGCTAATTTTTTGTTTTGCTTTTTTTTTTTGAGATGAAGTCTCGCTCTGTCGCTCAGGCTGGAGTGCACTGGTGTGATCCCGGCTCACTGCAAGCTCCGCCTCCCGGGTTCACCCCATTCTCCTGCCTCAGCCTGCCAAGTAGCTGGCATTATAGGCACCCACCAACACGCCTGGCTAATTTTTTATATTTTTATTAGAGACGGGGTTTCACCGTGTTAGCCAGGATGGTCTTGATCTCCTGACCTTGTGATCTGCCTGAAATTTTTTTTTTTTTTTTGAGACAGAGTCTCGCTCTGTCGCCCAGGCTGGAGTGCAGTGGCGCAATCTCGGCTGACTGCAACCTCCGCCTCCCGGGTTCACGCCATTCTCCGGCCTCAGCCTCCTGAGTAGCTGGGACTACAGGCGCCCGGGACCACGCCTGGCTAAATTTTTTTGTATTTTTAGTAGAGACGGGGTTTCACCGTGTTAGCCAGGACGGTCTCGATCTCCTGACCTCATGATCCACCCACCTCAGCCTCCCAAAGTGCTGGGATTACAGGCGTGAGCCACAGCGCCCGGCCCTGCCCGAACTTTTTGTATTTTTGAGTACAGACAGGATTTCACCATGTTAGTCAGGCTGGTTTCAAACTCCTGACCTCAGATGATCTGCCCGCCTTGGCCTCCCAAAGTGCTGGGATTACAAGCGTGAGCCACTGCACCTGGCCAGGGGATCAGAGTTTTTAAGGACAACTTAGTGGGTGCAGGGAAGCCAGTGAGCCGGGAGTGCTGACTGGTCAGAGATGAAATCATAGGGAGTTGAAGCTGTCTTCTTGTGCTTAGTCAGTTCCTGGATAGGGGCCACAAGATCAGATGAGCCAGTTTATTGATCTGGGTGGTGCCAGCTGATCCATCAAGTGCAGGGGCTGCAAAATATCTCAAGCACTTATCTTAGGAGGAATTTAGGGAGGGACAAAATCTTGTAGCCTCCAGCTGCACGACTCCTAAACCATAATTTCTAATCTTGTGACTAATTTCTTAGTCCTACAAAGGCAGTCTAGTCCCCAGACAAGGAGGAGGTTTGTTTTGGGAAAGGGCTGTTATCGTCTTTGTTTTAAACTGTAAACTATAAGCTGGGTACAGTGGCTCACACCCGTAATGCCAGCACTTTGGGAGGCTGAGGCAGGCGGATCACAAGGTCAGGAGTTCAAGACCAGCCTGGCCAATATGGTGAAATCCTGTCTCTACTAAAAATACAAAAATTAACCGGGTGTGGTGGCAGGTGCCTGTAGTCCCAGCTACTCAGAAGGCTGCGGCACGAGAATCACTTGAACCCGGGAGGCGGAGGTTGCAGTGAGCCGAGATCATGTCACTGCAGAGTGAGACTCTGTCTCAAAAGAAAAAAAAAAAAAAAGGAAAGAAAAACTATAAACTATAAACTATGAACTAAGTTCCTCCCAAAGTTAGTTCAGCCTACGCCCAACAAGGACAGCTTGGAGGTTAGAAGCAAGGTGTAGTCAGTTAGATTAGATCTCTTTCACTATCTCAGTCATAATTTTGCAAAAGCGGTTTTATTATGGGAGGAGCCTGAATTCTGCTAAAATGTAGGCATAGTTTCTACAATCCTTTACTGCTTAGGAGTCATGTGACCAGAGGTCACAAGATCTGTGACTTCCCCGATGCTCCTATAGATAACATCACTATTGTAGAACTTAAGATTGGTCTTTTGAGGTGTTTTTCAGGCTTTTGAATTCTGGCAACCGACTGACCCCACAGACTCCTGACTCGTGACTCAACGGGTCCTGTGGTCCCCCCACCCAGAGGCAGACTCAACACTCAAGGACCATTCTTCACACCCCTGTGATTTCATCCCCAGCCAATCAGTAGTACCTGTTCCCTAACCCCCTGTCCACCAAATTGTCCATAAAAACCCTAGCATCTGAGTTCTTGGAGAGACTGATTTGAGTGATAACTCCAGTCCTGCCTCTTGGCTGCCTTGCATTAATTAAACTCTTTCTTTACTGCAATCCCACAGTCTCAGTGAATTGGTTTTGTCTGTGCAGTGGGCAGGAAGAACCTGTCAGGTGATTGCAAGGCCTCACCACCACACGGTGTGAAACCTCTCCAGGTTACTTCTGCTTCTAACTCTGCTCAGCCTCTGACTCTTGGCTCTGTTTTCCATTAATAGTCCTCTGCTCTCTCAGGACTTGGTTTGGTATTTGGTATGTGGTGTCCCAAGTTTTTATCAGTTGCTCTTCATTAAGAATTTGGATAATAGGCCAGGTGCAGTGGCTCACACCTGCAATCTCAGCACTTTGGGAGATCAAGGCAAGAGGACTGCCTGAGGCCCAGAGTTTTTGTTTTGCTTTTTTTGAGACAGTCTCACTCTGTCGCCCAGGCTGGAGTGCAGTGGTGCGATCTCAGCTCACTGAAACCTCTGCATCCCAGGTTCAAGTGATCCTCCTACCTCAGCCTCCAGAGTAGCTGGGATCACAGGCATATGCTACCACAACTGGCTAATTTTTATATTTTTAGTAGAGATGGGATTTCGCCACATTGGCCAGGCTGTTCTCCAACTCCTGGCCTCAAGTGATCCACCTGCCTCAGCCTCCCAAAATGTTGGGATTACAGGCATGAGCCACCGCACCTGGCCTCCCTGAGGCCCAGAGTTTGACATTAGCCTGGGCAACAAAGCAAGACCCCATCTCTAAAAATAAAAAATAAAAAATAAATTTTTTAATGGATAATGTTCTATCATGGTAAAACAACACAAAAAAATATTTGTGGTCAGACAAGACCAAGGCCCAGCTCCCCATTTACCAACTGTATGACCTGGAGTATGTTATTTAATTACTCCAAGCCTTACTTTTATCACCTGTAAAATTGAAATATCTATCTTGCAGGATTGTGAAGGATAAATAATCTTTATAAATTGCTTGCCTTGTGCCTGGCATATGACAAGCAATCTCTAAATCAGCAGTCCCCAACCTTTTTGGCACCAGGGACAGGTTTTATGGAAGACAATTTTTCCATGGATTGGAGGGGTGGGGGGCTGGGCGGGTGGTTTGGGGATGAAACCCCAGATCATCAGGCATTAGATTCACCTCATATCATCAGGGATTAGATTCTCATAAGGAGCATGCAACTGAGATCCCTCGCACGTGCAGTCCACAATAGGGTTCGCGCTCCTATGAGAACCTAATGCCGTTGCTGATCTGACAGGAGGTGGAGGCAGAGCTCAAGCAGTAATGCTGGCTTGCCTGCTGCTCACCTCCTGTTGTGCAGCCCAGTTCCTAACAGGCCACGGACTAGTACCGCACCATGGTCTAGGTGTTGGGTACCCCTGCTCTAAATGTTACTCGTTTCCAATATTGCTATTATTGTTGCTGCTGTTATTGGTAAGATTTAACCTACTGGCTCATCTCTCCTCCCACCAAAGCCACACCACCCCATCCTGGAGGGCAGATACTGGTTTGGACTGTGACCTTTCTCTACCTCCCATAGTTCCCTGCATCCCAGTTCCTGATAAGGATTGTGATACCTGGCCGAGCACGGTGGCTCACGCCTATAATCCCAACATTTTGAGAGGCCAAGGTGGGAGGGATCACCTGAGGTCAGGAGATCGAGACCAGCCTGACCAACATGGAGAAGCCCCATCTCTACTAAAAATATAAAATTAGCTGGGCATGGTGGTGCACACCTGTGATCCCAGCTACTTGCGAGGCTGAGGCAGGAGAATCGCTTGAACCCGGGAAGTGGAGGTTGCGGTAAGCCAAGATCATGCCATTGCATTCCAGCCTGGGCAACAAGAGGGAAACTCCATCTAAAAAAAAAAAAAAGAATCGTGATACTTAACGTAGCTGGACATCGCCACAGAGGTCATTCTGATGCTCAGCTGCATGGATGGGCCACAGAGAGGAGGCCAGTCTGAGAATCTTATGCCTCCCTCAAGCAAACCACCCAAACAGGTTACAGGCTTTGACCATGAAAGCCAGAGAAGGCCTACTTTATCCCAACCAGCAAGGAATGACTGAAGAGGGGACTGTTATGCAACCCAGGGACCCCACCCTAAGAACCCACACCAGACTGCACAAAAGCAGCAACAGCTGTGACTAGTATTAGCAGCCCTAGTTTTTTTTTTTTTTTTTTTCTTTTTTTGAGACCGAGTCTCACTCTGTAGCCCAGGCTGGAGTGCAATGGCTCAATCTCAGCTCACTGCAACCTCCGCCTCCCAGGTTCAAGTGATTCTCCTGCCTCATCCTCCCTAATAGCTGGGATTATAGGCATGTGCTACCATGCCCAGCTAATTTTGTATTTTTAGTAGAGATGGGGCTTCACCATGCTGGCCAGGCTGGTTTCAAACTGCTGACCTCAGGTGATCCACACTCCTTAGCTTCCCAAAGTGCTGGGATTACAGGCATGAGCCACCATGCCCAGCCAGCAGCTCTAGTTTCATGAGCCAGCTCCCACCTGACCAGTTGTGCACCTTGTTCACTGATCCAGTCCCAAAGCACCTGGCTATGCTTTTGCTTCTCATCCTATCATGTTTCTGCCTTGTCCATTTGATTTGGTGCAATTCTCTCCTTGGCTTTGGATAATCCTCCCAACTATGTTTAGCCTGTTTTTGGTTTCACGTACTCACAGATTATCCTGGCTAACCCCATACTATAGGATTTATAATACCCCCATACTTAACTCAATCCTGATTCCCTTTTCCTAAAGACAGCCATCTTCAGCCCCCCAACTCTTCCAGTCCTATGAATAAGACTAGGAAAAGTGACTCTTTGGGTAATAGTGTCATTGGTTTCTATTCTATCTACAAGCAAAACATTTGGGTGCATGGGCCCTTACTCTGTTATTTGGAAAATCGCCATTGTCCATATCTTCCAATAGATCCTGGTGAGGTTGTATCTGCTTAGACATCATTTATGACTGTGGGGGAAGTGGTGATTAACTTACCTTGGAATCATACCTTCTATCTTCAGATAATGATTAAGGTCATAGCAATTAAGAGCCCAAACTCTGAAGCAAGATGACTTGGGTCTAAATCCTTCCTCTGCAACTTACTGCTATATTTTAAACTTGGTTCTTTTGTTGCTGCTGTTTGGAGGGAGGGTACTACTTAGGATAATTTAAGCACCTTGATCATATCAAGCTGGAAATAGAATTATTCACTGAATTGTGGATACTGGCCCCTGCCCTGGTTCCTCTACCTCTGATTCCCCAGCTCCCCTAACCACCACTTTACATTCAGGAATCTCTTTGTATAATATATTGATTCAACTGCATTGTTTATCTGTCATGTTGTCTGGCACTGTGCTAGGCTACAGAGATACAAAGATAACAAATCATGGACTCTACCTTAAAGGGTGGATAAGCATATGTTGGGGACAGAGACTTGCAAACAAATGCATTCATCAAAATGTTAAAGATGGCCAGGCGCAGTGGCTCATGCTTGTTAATCCCAGCACTTCGGGAGGCTGAGGTGGGTGGATCATGAGGTCAGGAATTCGAGACCAGCCTGGCCAACATGGTGAAACCCCGTCTCTACTAAAAATGCAAAAATTAGCCAGGCATGGTGGCATGCACCTGTAATCCCAGCTACTCAGGAGTCTGAGGCAGGAGAATCGCTTGACCCTGGGAGGCGAAGTTTACAGTAAGCCAAGATCGCGCCACTGCACTCCAGCCTAGGTGACAGAGCAAGACTTCATCTCAAAAAAAAGATAAAGGCGCTGAGAAAGAACTTTTCAGGGCACACTGGAGGATGAGGGAGGGCAAAGTGAGTTCTGCCTGAGAGAACAAAGTGGAGGAGGGTGTCAAGGAGCAAGGAAAGTTTTTGTGGAAAAGGTCGATGCTTGAACTACTGAATCTTGAAGTTGTTCTGCTGTAACCATAATAGGTCTCCTGCCTGATAAGCTCGCGTTCACCCAACAGGTTCTTCCTGCTTGCCGCCTAGACAAAATCAATTCACTAAGACCACGGCATTGCAGTAAAGAGTTTGACACGAGGCTGGCCACGCAGAAGAACTGGAGTTATCACTCAAATCAGTCTCCACAAAGGCTCGGGGGCTAGGGTTTTTATAGGTAAATTGGTGGGCAAGGGTCTAGGGAATGAGTGCTGCCAATTGAGTGGGGATGAAATCACAGGGGTGTGGAAAATGGTCCTCATGCACCCAGTCTGCTTCTGTATGGGGCCACAGGACCAATTGAGTCATGCGCCACAGGTCTGGGTGGGGTCAGTCTGAAAGACATCTCAAAAAACCAATTTTAGGTTCTACAATGGTGATGTTATCTATAGGAGCAACTGGGGATAATACAAACCTTGTCATCTCAGGCCACATGACTCCTGAGCAGTAAGGGTTTACAGAAACTATGCTTACATCTTCTCAGAATTCAGGATCCTCTCATAATCCTAATTTTGTGGTCTTTCATTAGTTTTACAAAGGTGGTTTAGTTTGGGGAAGGGGTATTGTCATCCTTGCTTTAAGGTTAAACTGTAAATTCCTCCCAAAGTTAGCTTGGCCTATGCCCAGGAATGGCCAAGGACAGCTTAAAGGTCAGAAGCAAGATGGAGTCAACTAGGTCAGATTTCTCTTACTGTCATGATTTTGCAAAGGCAGTTTCATGCACAACAAGTCAATACATTGAGACCCCAGGCTGCAGCAGAGAAAGGTTTAATCATAGGTCTGCCAAATGAACAGATGACAGGAAACCTCAAATCCATCTCCCTGAGGATTTGGCGGCTGGGTTTTTCAGGATTATAGAGTGGGCCAAAGTGTGGAGATCACTGAGGGGTCAAAGAGTGCAGCGTGAAGTCATGGACAGGGAGATGGGTTCTTCAAACTGGTTAACATTAGCTGTTTCCTTAGAATCTGGGATCTGAAAAACATCTTAAGCAGCTCTTAAACAAAAGACTTATAATTCTAATGTCAAAAATCCCATCTGTAGGAACAATGGGGATACAAATGGTCAGGATCTAGTGACTTTGGGTTACAAGGAAGTGGGTCAAAGTACAGCCTGATTAGTGCTTATTTATAACTATATTTCTGTCTAGACTTCTTGTTAACTCTGTGAGGACAGCTTCACTGCTTCTCACCTGTGCCTTCAGACCTGTTCTAATCCTTTTTTTTTTTTTTGAGACGAAGTCTCACTCTGTCCCCCAGGCTGGAGTGCAGTGGCGTGATCTCGGCTCATTGCAAGCTCCGCCTCCTGGGTTCACGCCATTCTCCTGCCTCGGCCTCCCAAGTAGCTGGGATTACAGGCGCCTGACACCACGCCCAGCCCAGCTAATTTTTTGTATTTTTTTAGTAGAGAGGGGGTTTCACCATGTTAGCCAGGATGGTCTCGATCTCCTGACCTCATGATCCGCCCCCCTCAGCCTCCCAAAGTGCTGGGATTACAGGCGTGAGCCACCGCGCCGGGCCCAGACCTGTTCTAATCCTGAGGCAATCTGAATAAGACAAAGCCTCCACAAATAGGCTGAGAAATGTTACCCTGTTTCGTGGATTCTAGTGGCCTAGTCCCAGTGGTTGGGACTCCCTCATTGCCTCCCAAGGATCTTTGTTGTATTCAGTTGAGGAATCTGCTCTTATCAGGAATGACTCATGGGCCCAAAGTCACAGCTCTCTGGTCTCTGTCCCCATCCCCTACCTGTCTCCATGAAAGGCTCAGTCCTTAGTATTAGCCTGTAGTCTTAACCATACATAGTACCCAAGTCCTTACCCAAGACCTTTTTTTTTTTTTTCAATAGAGACAAGGTCTCACCATTTTGCCCAGGCTGGTTTCGAATTCCTGGGCTCAAGTGATCCTCCTGCCAGCCTCGCAAGGTGCTGGGATTACAGGCATGAGCCACTGCACCCAGCTTTCCTCAAGACTTAGGCCCTGCTTTGAACTGTAGCTGCATGATAAGGGTCCCTGCTGCTTCATCTTGTCCTTGCCAGCCCTCTCCTCTGGGATCTGCGCCTTGTTTTCTATCACAGCTGGGGTCCTGCTATCCATGCTATTTCCCATTTCTATTCTGGTAAGATGATCTCCAGATTGACCACCCATTTACTTCGGCCTGCTTACATTCCCCACACCTGGGGGCCCCACTTAACTAGAAAACCTAGCCCCAACTGTGCCTGGATTGTGCCTAACTTGTGACAAAGACTCTCTGTTTGGCCAAACTTTAGTCAGGCTCCTCTGAGCCCTCTTCTCAAATAGGCCTCAATCTTGACTCCATTCTGTCTTTGACCTGCCCAACCCAATTTTGGCAAGAATCCTACTGGATAAGTTTATCGAGGATCTCCCCATCCTTAATAACTAATCAAATTCCTCATCCTCCACTTTTTTTTTTTTTTTTTTTAAACAGAGTCTCACTCTATTGCCCAGGCTGGAGTGCAGTGGCACAATCTCAGCTCACTGCAACCTCCACCTCCTGGGTTCAAGCTTTTCTTGTGCCTCAGCCTCCCGAGTAGCTGGGACTCCAGGCATGTGCCACCACACCTGGCTAATTTTTGTATTTTTAGTAGAGGTGGGGTTTCACCACATTGGCCAGGCTGGTCTCAAATTCCTGACCTCAGGTGATCCGCCTGCCTTGGCCTCCCAAAGTGCCGGGATTACAGGCATGAGCCACCACGCCTGGCCTCATTCTCCACTTTTGATGTGTAAGTCCTTGGCCTGCCTTTAGCATGAATCCTGTTAGGTCACTTTATCAGGAATACTCCTATGTTTGATGTCTCTCTTTGGTAATTTCCCATCCTGTGATGTCCTCCTCCTGCTCCTGGCTATAAATCCCCACTTGTCCTTGTTGTATTCAGAGTGGAGCTCAATTTCTACTCTCTATTGCAATAGAGTCTTGAATGAAGTCCTCCTGGCCATTTTAACAAGTGTCAGAATAATTTTTCCTTTAACATTTGCCATGCACTTTGTGGATGACAACCGTGGGTAGCCCACTGCCAACTGCCTTCTGGGTCATGCTGCCTCTCCTCCCTACTCCAGGAATCAGATCTTATTCCAGCCTCTTGAGCTCCTCTTCCACACCAGCCCCTAGCTGACATGTGTGGCAATACAGTTCTTGTAGGGTCAAACCTAGAGAGGATGGGGCAATTCTATTCCAACCAACTTCACCTAGTTCATTCAGTCAGTCAGATAAGCAAAACATCTGAATACATTTAAGTGGTTTCTCAACATAAATAATACATTTTCAAAGAGCTTTCTTATTCATATTACAGACATAAACAAAATACATACACTCAAGGCACAAAATATATACACTCAAGGCACAAAATATCTGTCTTGTGCTATTTCAAATAAAAAAATCATAGCAGATATAGATCTTTGGTGTTCCAATGGTGCCATAAACACGTGATGGCCTTTTTTTTTTTGAACGAAGAATTGTGTGAGATTTTACCTCTTGGGTTCCAAGTATGTTTTTGTTTGTTGGTAGAGAGACTTTGTTGTAAAAGTCTCCTCACCTATAGCTCTGGTGATTTTTCATGTTTTATTCATCTCTTTCATTTGGCTTCAAGTGAAGGAAGAACGTGATAAAATTCAAAATTTACTAAATTTCTTGTTAATGTCAGATATGGAACTTTCCTCTTGACTGTCTCTTTTCATTGGCGGTGTTACTGAAGGCTTCTGTCGGGAATGGTGCGCCAACCATTCGTTGGTTCTCAAGGCTTTGCAGTGGAGGCAGTGCCTTTCGCTCATTTGGTAACTTCCCAGATTCCTTTGCCTCTGAGCCATTTTTCTCCTCTTAATACTGTCTGGTGATGGGTGGTGTTCACTTTCACTCTCCTTCCACGAGGAGGCTTCTGAGTTAGACTCTTCACTGCCATACTCCGTAGTATCACTGTCATGTTGGTTCTGGTTCACCTCATTGAACTGAGACTGGCGCCTGGCTCGTCTTTGTTCAGGATAGGCATTGACCAAAGCCACTTCTGAGTTGGTTACAGGGGTAAGTTGGTTCTGCTTTGGTTTCTTCATTGTTTGTGAGGGATCCCAGGCACTGTCTTTGCTTTGCCGCTTACAGGAAGTCTCTTTGCTTGCTAACAACCAATGAAACATATCAAGTTAGTAATATTGTTGGTTACTATGAATTCCTATTACTTAAGAAGCCTGTGCACGTGTGAGCTCACTCTTAGTGGCCAGTTGTCAAGCCATTGCTTTTCTCCAGTCACCTGCAAGTGTTGGCAGCTGACTGCATTTTCTAGTACCATATCCCAACTCCTGCAGACCAGAGAGCTTAGATAGATGCTTGACATATCACCATATCACTTTTGAAGTTTTGTGGATGCTAAACATAAGGTCAAAGGAAAAGATCTCTAAACTTTTCCAGGGAAGAACTCTTTTTTCCCTTTGAAAATTGAAGTCTTACAGATTCAAGCAGGTATATGAATGTGATTTGGGGAGCAGGAACTAAGAAGGATCTTTCCTTTACGTAGTGGTGTGAGGAAGTTGGCTTGTACCTGCTCAGAAGAGCTGATAAACTTTCAGGAATTTTGAGAGATGGTTAAACATAGCCATTATTAAAAATTAAATTATACCAACTTACAATAAATTAAGTTACTAAAAATAGAGGTAATACTCAAAACCCATCACTTCCTAATTATCTTACTACATTTGTTTATGCTATGTGCTCTTCTGGTTTTTTATGTCCGTTGTATTTGGATGCTGGAAACTCTATGCTGTTTTTTTGTTTTGTTTTTTTTTGTTTTTGAGATGGAGTCTCGCTCTGTTGCCCAGGCTAGAGTGCAGTGGCACGATCTCGGCTCACTGCAATGTCTGTCTCCCAGGTTCAAGTGATCCTCCTGCCTCAGCCCCCCAGCAGCTGGGATTATAGGCACGTGCCACCATGCACAGCTAATTTTTTTGTATTTTTAGTAGAGACAGGGTTTTGCCATGTTGGCCAGGCTGGTCTCGAACTCCTGACCTCAGGAGATCCACCCTCCTTGGCCACCCAAAGTGCTGAGATTACAGGCGTGAGCCACCACGCCCGGCGGAAATTCTATGTTAAGGGTGCACTACTGCACATCTCCTCCCAACTCCATGTTCAATGACATGAGGTGGATAGCTTAAAATCAGCTTTGGTGGAAGTATTTATACCACGAAAATCAGCAGACACTAAACATCAGGGCTTGATGTATGGCTTTGTTGATTGTCTAGGCTTAAGAAAATGATGGAGAACATGTTACTAATGCAGATTACATATTACATTTCAGTATCATCCCTGTAGCCACTACATTGTGACTAACCCTGCAAAATGAGGAAATATTCTTCCAGTATTTTAGAACTATTATCCATTCCAGCAAAGAAGTCACTCACATCACTGACAACCAAGTTAAGTTCCAACATACATCTATCTTCTGCTTCATTTTCATCTCACTCCTTAACTTAGAGGAAAATAACATTCACGCTGGAACTATACTTGTTCATCAATTGCAGCCATGGTTGGCTAAGGTGCAAGGGTCTGGCAAAAATGAAGGAGAGCGTTTTGTGAGAATCAGTTGTCTATATGAAATTGGCCATAAGGAGTATTGTATATTTTATTATTTTAAATGGTGTGATATATATTTATTTATTTTTATTTATTTATTTATTAAATTTTTAGAGTCAGGGACTCACTGTGCCGCCCAGGCTGGAGTGTAGTGGCATGATTATGCCTCACTGGCAGCCTCGAACTCCTGGGCTCAAGTGATTCTGTTGCCTCAGCCTCCTGAGTAGCTGAGACCGCAGGTGCGAACAACCATGCCAGCTAATTTTCTTTTTTAAAAAGACAGGGTTTTGCTATGTTCTCCAGGCTGATCTTGAACTCCTGGCCTCAAGCAGTTCTCCTGCTTCAGCCTCTGGAGGTGCTGAGATGACGTGCAACCTTTATATCAGTAAAATTTTTAGTAAGCATATGTACACACAGGAGTTTTGGAGAACCAGTTGTTAAACATTTACCAGTGCACCACTGCTTATAGGTTATTGAAAAAGATGTCATAGACAGTTCATAATCCTGTAATAGCACTAACCATGAGGATGTGGGAAGGGCAAGCAATGTGAAGGGAGAGAGCTAAGGAGTGAAAAAAGAACTTGAGTTCCACCTCCCAGTAATTCATAGCTTCTTGCTAAGCAGCTAAACTGTCCCTCTGCACTAGGGAGTCCAAAGCAAAAACTCACCCAACCCCAATGGGCCTCCTCTAGTGTGCAAAGTCTTACAATGCTGTTGGCTGTTCATCTCTGTTTTTTGCTTTCCACACTCAGCACAAATTTCTTTCTTTGTCTTTATTTCATTTTTCTTTTTTTCTTTTTCTTTTCTTTTCTTTTTTTTTTTTTTTTTTTTTTGGTACTGGGTCTCACTATGTTCTCAAGCTGTGGTCTTGAACTGCTTAGCTCAAGCAATCCTCCTGCCTCAGCCTTCTGAGTAGCTGGGACTACAGGCATGCAACACCACACATATTCTTCCCCTCATAGTCCAACACCAAATATGCACTGGTTCTCACCTTTCCTTACTGAAGTACTTGTCCCACTGCCTTCATCCTTTTTATCCTCAGACATCTGTTTCAGAAACATAGGTTAGTAAGAGTGATCTCAGTTGTTTTTTGATAATATGTACTTGTTATAAAACACTATTGCTGAGGCCCATTTATAATGTCTGGTTTTATTTTTTTATTATTTTATTTATTTATTTTTGGAGAGTCTCACTCTGTTGCCCAGGCTGGAGTGCAGTGGCATGATCTCAGCTCACTGCAACCTCTATCTTCCGGGTTCAAGTGATTCTCCTGCCTCGGCCTCCCAAGTAGCTGGGATTACAGGTGCCCGCTACCACGCCCGGCTAATTTTTGTATTTTTAGTAGAGACAGGGTTTCACCATGTTGGCCAGGCTGGTCTTGAACTCCTGACCTCAAGTGATCTGCCCACCTTGGCCTCCGAAAGTGCTGGGATTACAGGTATGAGCCACTGGGCCTGGCCTGACAATGTCTAATTTTAAACATTCAGTTTAAACAAGTACTTACTGAGTTAAATAATAAGCTAATTCAGTATGTATTGAGTTCCTGTTATAGTGATCCTACTTCCACTTCCCATTAAGACTATGCTTTGATAGCAGCATCTACCAAAATGTTTTGGACCAAACAAAATGGAACAGACTTGAGAGAAAATAACACTGACAAGGAGCTATAGCTTATAAAGCTTTCCTGTACCCATTTACATTACAGAGAAGTAGTGTTTTTAAAAAATTTGATAGTACTCAGATTAGTTTAGTTGTTGTTTTTTTGTTTTGTTTTTTTGTTTTTGTTTTTGTTTTTTTTTTGAGACGGAGTCTTGCTCTGTATGCCCAGGCTAGAGTACAATGGTGCGATCTCAGCTCACTGAAATCTCCGCCTCCCAGGTTCAAGTGATTCTCCCGTCTCAGCCTCCCGAGTAGCTGGGATTACCGACATGCACCACCACGCCCGGCTAATTTTGTATTTTTAGTAGAGACAGGGTTTCTCCATGTTGAAAAGGCTGGTCTCGAACTCCTGATCTCAGGTGATCCACCTGCCTCAGCCTCCCAAAGTGCTGGGATTACGGATGTAAGCCACCGCGCCTGGCCCAGATTAGTTTAGTTCTTAAAGGACACTTGATCAGGGTACATTACTGATAGTTCTTTAAGACAGAAGACATCTACCATACACAAAGATCTTTACCGAATTCATGAACTTAATATCTCCTTAATCCCTCCGAAAGTTTCCTCCAAAATGTAATCATGATATATTATTTGTGAATACAGCAACCAAAAGAAATGGATTTCTTTGAATAGTTTCAATTTCAAATATTCTGCCCCCCAATACTCCATAAATATATTTGTCCCATTTTTCAGATTAGTGTCCCACTTTCTAATGCTGAAAGTGATTTTGCCAAAAGACACAGATATAAACCAACTCTTTCAGAAAATAACAAAAACTAGAAATTTTCATTAACACCTTTGACATATAATTCTCTCTCCAGGAATCTATCAGCAAGAAATAACCCTCAGAAGAAAGAAAGCTTTGTCCACAGAAACATTCATCACAGTATAATTAGGATAATAGAAAATTCAAAAGTAGACAATGGTTTAAGTAAATTATGGTACAATTATATAATAAACAGTTGTAAAATTATTATAATAAAAGTATGTCATAACATGAGGAAATAAGTGTGCTACCATACTGGGTTAAACATCAAGATGCAAATTTGTATATACAGCTTGAGCGACAAATTAGCTTAAAATATGAAAAAAAAGACTTTAAGGAGCATATAAAAGTGATAGCTATGGTTGGCTTTAAGTGGTGAAATGGACTTTTTCTCTTCTAATTTTTTCAAATTGTCTACAATTAGGAAAAAAATGAGTTTATGTGGAAGTCCAGTTTCTTTGGGATGAAAAGTGCCATAGTTCGGTATTTATAACTGCAATCTAAGATCCTCAGCTCATTCTTAATATCTGATCTCTGCAATGGTAGGCAAGCATCTTTAATGAGGTGCCTTTTTGTTTTCTGGGTTACAGCAATCATTCTCCAAAAATCTTGAAAGCGGAGTTCACTTTTAAGATACCACTTTCTGGCCAGACACGGTGGCTCATGCCTGTAATCCCAGCACTTTGGGAGGCTGAGGCGGGCAGATCACAAGGTCAGGAGATCGAGACCATCCTGGCTAACACGGTGAAACCCTGTCTCTACTTAAAATACAAAAAAAATTAGCCGGGTGTGGTGGTGGGTGCCTGTAGTCCCAGCTACTCAGGAGGCTGAGGCAGGAGAATGGTGTGAACCTGAGAGGCGGAGCTTGCAGTGAGCAGAGATTGCACCACTGCACTCCAGCTTGGGTGACAGCGAGACTCTGTCTCAAAAAAAAAAAAAAAAAGATACCACTTTATAAAAAATGCTTTTGGAAGAGGCTTAAATATTTTAAATTTAATATGTATCACTTAGGTTATAGAAAAGGAAAAAAATAAATTTAATATATGTAAAGAAAATCAAAATAATTGGAAGTTTATAAACCTAAAAGTTAACAGTAGTTGGTTATTTCTACATAATCTGGAGTGATTTTTATTTTATTTTGTCTTCTGCCCTATAATTTCCACATTTTCTATATAATGTGTACTTTTGTAATAGACAGGAGAAGGTATTTAAAAACACTTATTAGGCTTATATCATTTCCACAGAAAGCTCTCACATTTGATGTCAAATCAAAACATAGCCACAAAATCAAAAGAAAGATTTTGCATTAAACTAAGTGGGATCATATGAACTGTGGTTACGAAAAGCATTTTATTAACTGTCTTTGTGACTCAGTGAGTGAAAACAGCAGGAGTGCCTGCCCTGAGGGGCAGAGTAGAAAATGTGGGCCGTGGCTCTCTTTCTGCCACTAACAACTCTTGATTTTTCCAAGCCACTTAACACCTCTTAAGCTCAGTTTCCACATAAGCAAAATAAGGTGTTTGGATTACCATTGTCCAGAAAAATACCAGCACTAGCAATCTGAATAAACACAAAATAAAAATATAAACTAAATATAGTATTTATAGTCTGAAAGCAAAAGGGTAAATGCCACTTTAAAAAGTGGCAAATTCAGAGGAAATCAGCGTGCTTCATGTTGGAGGATAATTACCACCACATTTCCATCGTGCTTTTACCATTACTTCAAGGTTTGTAAATAAAGCCTCATAGTTTAGCAGAGAAAATGAAGAAGTTCAAAGTGAAGGAAAAATTCCATCCTCCTTTACTAGCTCTCATATTGTTCTCAGATTTCAAATCTGGGACCCTTCAGAAGAAGCAGTCTAGCTGATTGTAGCTGCCACAAGGGTACAAAGTGAAAAACGAAACCTCTAAAATAATTAAGGTTTTAATCAGGACTGAGTAGATCTAAGTGGACATTTCAAACTATGCTTTGAAGCAAACAAATAATTTGACAGGAAATCTGGGTATATTCCCCTTCTGTCACTAACACTTTTGTGACATTGGACAAGTCACTTAATTTACTTGGGGCTTATCAATAAAAAAATGAGTGGGGGAGGGATAATGATAACTTACTTGCCTACAAACAGAAGGCTGGACCACATGCTCTCTTGAGGTCCTGGAAGCTCAAGGCTGTATGACTCCCAAGAGCTGATGCAAGCAAGGGAGCAGAAAAAATAGCTTAGACTGGGCCAGGCGTGGTGGCTCACGCCTGTAATGCCAGCACTTTGGGAGGCCGAGGCGGGTGGATCACGAGGTCAGGAGTTCGACACCAGCCTGGCCAACATGGTGAAACTCCATCTCTACTAAAAATACAAAAATTAGCTGCGCGTGGAGATGCACGCCTATAATCCCAGCTACTCAGGAGGCTGAGGCAGGAGAATCACTGGAACCCAGGAGGCTGAGGTTGCAGTGAGCCAAGATCGTGCCATTGCACTCCAGCCTGGGCAACAGGGCGAGACTCCGTCTCAAAAAATAAAAATAAAAAAAATAGCTTAGACCTCTTAATTCATGATGAAATTTTTTTGGTAATTTTCTAAAGTAGCTTTGCTTGCCAGGCCAAATTCAATATACTTAGCTAGGGAGTCTAAGACACATATAAGCTATCATTATTCTAAATCTCCTTTTGGCAAAGTATTTACCTTAAGAAGCATTTAGACTTTAGATGAAAGTTCTTCACCAGGAGGTGGTGGTTATCAAAGAGTCTTTGATTAGAATGGAATCCAGCTGGCATGGACATAACAAACCTTCTCCACCCCATCCGAGCTCATAGAGCATTAAGTCTTACCACTGCCAGCCCAGGCCTATGGCTATAATGCTAAATGATGGTGGTTTTCTTAATCATCAGCCTGGTATTAATGGCCAGCAAGGATATCATGTCAGCAAATTATAAGAGCTTGGTTACGGCTGGGCGCGGTGGCTCATGCCTGTAATCCCAGCACTTTGGGAGGCCAAAGCGGGCAGACTACTTGAGGTCAGGAGTTTGAGACCAGCCTGGCCAACATGGTGAAACCCCATCTGTACTAAAAATACAGAAGTTAGCAGAGCGTGGTGGCTTGCGCCTGTGGTCCCAGCTACAAGGGAGGCTGAGGCAGGAGAGTCACTTGAATCCGGGAGGCGGAGGTTGTAGTGAGCCAAGATTGCACCACTTCACTCCAGCCTGGGTGACAGAGCAAGACTCCATCTCAAGAAAAAAAAAAAAGAGCTTGGTTACTCATAATATGTTGGAAGCATCACAGTCCTGATAAAGTGGGATATCTCATTCTTAAGACGATGGCATTTTAGTGGTGACTTTAGTTCTGTTTAGTCTAGTTCTGCTTATTCTGTGCAGAAAGCGTATTGCTTCATTCTAAAAACCCCAAAATCCTACAGCATGTATCCTATCAATATGACAACTTTCATATCTTTGATTAGAATCACATGGCTAGAAAAGGGATTTGGAAGTCATTAACCAGCAGGGAGGTTTATGCCAGCATTACATAGCAGATGGATAAACTGTAAACAATCTGAATGTTTCAAACTTGCACAATTTTTTGGTGCAATCAAAATATAGAAAATTATGCAGTCATTAAAAGTGCTGCTGAGTGAATATAATTTAAAGAAGTATTTCTGATATATTATTAAGCTTAAAAAGCAGGATATGAAAATATATGCAATATAATGCCAACCATGTAAGATCAAAGATAGAGAAATGGAGAGAGATATATTGGGAAAGGCAGAGAAAAAAACCAAACTGGAAGAACATACTCCAAAATGTTAACAGTGGTTATCTCTGGGAAAGAGGATAACTGTAGCTTTATATTTTCCTCTTCATCCTTTTCCATATTCCTGGATTCTCCAGAATAAGATTGCATTATTTTTAAAACTAAACAACTTTTAAAAGTAGTTTCATCAAAGTATAGTAAATGTATTTTATGGAAATTTTCCTAGTGTACAGTAAACATATTATTTAAAATGAAAAAAAGATATCCTACCCAGACAGAAGCCCTAGAGAAGAACATCAGGACAAATACGATAACAAAATACCAAAGCAGGAAGCTCCCTATGGTTCCACAAGAGTCATCCTTCCAGCATTCATAATCCTGATTTGGAATGGCACAATTTACAGGTATTGGGGGAGGATCTACCTCCCAAAATAAGGAAAAAAGGTCTCCCATGATGACTCCTTGCTCAGAAAATAAACCATGCTTAAAGGGATAAAGATGACTGGGAACTACTTCACTCCCTCTATGATGTATGACAATTTCCTTGGCAACCTATTATGACACATACTTAAGCAACTGTTCTAGGAACTGACAAATGCTTCTTGGACTTCTAAGTTTGTGGAAGGTTATTCAAATTACTCCTCTGAATGTTTATGTTATTTTCCCCCATACCTCAATATGGTGCATTCTGCCTTAATTTTTTTTCCTAAAACTTGTATATGCTATATTTTCCTATCTTCACGTCTAAGTGTTTAATGTATCCACTCATTTTAATTCAGTCTCTTTTATATGTATCATGCCATTGCAAATTATCATAGACAGTTCTAATGTATTACCGATCAAACTGTGTTCCCTAAAATTCATATGTTGAAGCCCTCACCTCCAGTGTGACTCTATTTGGAGACAGGGCCTTTAAGGAGGTAATTAAAGTTAAATGAGGTCATAAGGGCCCTAATCCAATACAATTGGTATCCTTACAAGAAGACAGCAAGGATTCACGAGCACAGAAATCAAGGTCACAATACAAGGGGGCCGTCTGCAAGGAGACCCGCCTCAGGAGAAACCAACCCTGCTGACAATTTGATCTTAGACTTCCAGCCTCCAAAATTATGAAAAAAATAATTTCTGTTGTTTAAGCCACCTGTCTGTGATATTGCGTTATGGCAGCCCTAATACATAATGCTGTCATTTGGTCAGTGGTGTTCTTTTTTAAGCCTTGAATAAATGCACAACAGCTTATAGATTAAGAGGGAAAAACACAGATGTGCCCGTTATGAACTACTATGAACTACATCAAATGCATACAATTTCTTCTTAGGAAAGAGTCACATATGGAGGGGGTGGGAAACCGGTATTCTAATTTTTTTTTTTTTTTTTTTTAGCAGGGTCTCACTCTGTCGCCCAGACTGGAATGCAGTGGCACCATCTTGGCTCACCGCAACCTCGGCTTCCCAGGCTCAAGTGATTCTCCTGCCTCAGCCTCCAGAGTAATTGGGATTACAGGCGCATGCCACCACGCCCTACTAATTTTTTGTCTTTTTAGTAGAGACAGGGTTTCAGCGTCTTGGCCAGGCTGGTCTCCATCTCCTGACCTCGTGATCCGCCCGCCTCGGCCTCCCAAAGTGTTGGGATTACAGGCGTGAGCCACCGCGCCCGGCCGGTATTCTAATTTTGATTGCACCTTGAGCCCTTTCACTTTGAACAATTTTCCAGTTAGTTCATCTCTAAATCTAAAACTAGAGCAAAACAACATTGCTGCTAAAGCAATCTAAAAATGATAAAACTTAACAGCTCTTCAAGAGCACAGCATACCTGCCGATTTTCATTAATATACAATACCACGTGGTATTAATCTTAGGATCATTTTAGGAAAAACTTTGGCCATTGGACATACATGATGTAATCCACTAGCTTACTGTGGCATGGCTTAATGTTTTTATTAGGAGGCACACTTCAGAACAAGTCCCCAGGCCCTGGGTTTCTGGCTGTGGACTCTAACGCGTCATCTCCTCCAGGAAGCTCGCGAGAGCTGGGGCTGGGCTGGATGCGCCTCCTTGGGGAGCACTGCATCCACCTCACCTGCCACCGAAATGCATCTGTGGGCCTCCGCTGGGGTTGAGCTCCTCTGGGTAATAACCAGGAAGGTCTTATTTTCTATATCCGTGCGCCTGGCTCAGCGGCACACTTGTAGGTATTTGTGCTAAATAAAACAAAGCTCAACCTTTTCCTCAGGATGAGCAGCTCTTCCAAAAAATACATACGAAAATGTGTTATTATTTTTAACCTCAAAACCACTAGCAACTTCAATAAAACAAATTTTGGGTGTGCTTGTTATTGCTGCACCCTATTAAACAGATTAAGAATTTAGGCCGGGCGCGGTGGGCCACGCCTGTAATCCCAAAAGGCGGTGGGAGGCCAGCAGGCGTTTGGGAGGCTGAGGCGGGCGGATCCCTTGAGGTTAGGAAATCGAGACCAGACTGGCCAACATGGCGAAACCCTGTCTCTACCAAAAAAAAAATTACATGGGGTCAGGACTCTTGACATAGATACTTTAACACAGGGGAAAGAAATGCTTTGTCACTGATGGTGTCTGGCCACTTTATCACGCCACTCTATCCTACGGTGAGCCGCCCTACTTAATCAGTTTACACATGTGAGTCCATAAATGCCCTAGGGAAGCTAAAATTATATTAATAGATACAAAATTCAGCTTGTTACAATTATTACTTTTTACTGCGGGTTCAGAGCCTGGTCTGAATTTTGCTGCTTAGCTTTCTCCCGCAGCTGAGTGGGAGCCGCAAAACCGAGACCTGTTTCCCTGGTAACGCTCCGAGCGCCTGGGCCTGCGACCCCTCCCTTTCTCGCGAGAAGAGACTACCTAGTTCTTCCGGTAACTTTAGAGCCGCTTGCCGGTGGCCTCCCGCTTGAGCTTGGCTTTGCGCATGCCCAGAGAGAGTGGCGCGAGCCTGCGTTTTCCGGCCAGAGGACATGGTGCGTTTTCGGGGTCGTGTTTGTGCTTCCTGTCTTGGAATCTACGCGGGTTGTGGGAGTTCCGCGCCTGCTGATCTGTCCTGGGTTCAGCCAAGGGGGATGTGGCTAGGCGTTCCGCCTCTCTAGGGGAAGGGAAGAAAGAAGCAATAGGGTTGCTGAAGTTCGTGCCCAGGAGCCGGGGAGGGAAGCTCTGGACTGGGAAATTGGGACGCGGGGGCTGAGTGGCGCGAAAGCTATTGCTCTGTCCTCTGTGGGATACGACTGCTTGTCGCTGGAACAAGTTTTGCACGGTCTGTAAGAGTTGAGCCTAGCTGAAGAAAGGAGGAATTATAAATCCCAAATGTGGACCAAAACAATGCACGTTTTCCCCTCTCTCCCTCTTACTCCGCTCACCACCCCATCATAAGTACGTGCCCTTCTAAAACTTGGATCCTTGTCCTTTATCCACACACAAAAGGGAGAGCCCTGGAGTACAGCTGTCCAAGTGCAGAGTTGTTGAGATAGTAATGGCGTCTGCATGAGGATGTACAACAGTCTTTATGACTTACAGCAGATATGGAATATAGTCTCCCAAAACTTGACATTTTGAGTTTCTGAAGTTAGCCTTTTGCCTAGTCCGTGTAACATACCCCAAAGACAAAATACAAAGTATTTCTAGACATAACCCTTAAATTACAAAATAAGACATTTTTATGTATTGGAAGTATTAAATTGTTCTTAAATAACCAGCCACGGCTGGGCGCGGTGGCTCACGCCTGTAATCCCAACACTTTGGGAGGCCGAGGCGGGTGGATCACAAGGTCAGGAGTTCGAGACCAGCCTGGCCAAAATGTTGAAATCCCGTCTCTACTAAAAATACAAAAATCAGTCGGACGCGGTGGCGGGCGTCTGTAATCCCAGCTACTCGGGAGTCTGAGGCAGGAGAATCGCTTGAACCCGGGAGGCGGAGGTTGCAGTGAGTCGAGATCGCGCCACTGCATTCTAGCCTGGGAGACAGCAAGACTCCGTCTCAAAACAAATAAATAGATAAATAACCAGCCACTTCTCTGTTGATTACACTGTGATGCCAATTAAGTTACATATAATTTTGGGTTCCCTTTTCATATACTGATATTAAAATGGAAGAAGTTTTGATAAAACATTTTAAAGATGAGAGAAGGTATATGCGGTTTCAGTTACCTTTATAAGGGATGCAAAATTTGGTTTTTAAATGGAGCAATAGTTTCTTCTGGTTAATTCCTGTGCTTTTTGTTTTTTCATAGATGCAGGGGGAGGCACACCCTAGTGCTTCCCTTATTGACAGAACCATCAAGATGAGAAAAGAAACAGAGGCTAGGAAAGTGGTCTTAGCCTGGGGACTCCTAAATGTATCTATGGCTGGAATGATATATACTGAAATGTAAGTGAATCAGTCCAAAAAAAGTGAAACTTTAAGAAGCCAGTGGCTGGTTCCACAGGTTTTTGTGTTTGTTTTTGATTTTTGGTGTTTTTAGGTTCACTGGAAAGCCTTTCTAATTTTTTTTCAGGACTGGAAAATTGATTAGTTCATACTACAATGTGACATACTGGCCCCTCTGGTATATTGGTAAGTAAGTAATTTTCACTGTAACTTACATTTACCAATAAAAAACTGCCTTCAGGTTTAATTCAGCTTAGTATACATTTCCTTATTCAACAAGTATTTGACTGCCTGCTGGGTTGTAAAAACTGGGAATACAGCAGAAAGGGAGCAAGGTAAATCCCTGCTATTATGAAAGGAACATTCTGTTAGACAATCAGATTAATAACACTTCAGGTAATTATGAGTTCTGTGAAGAAAAATAAGTTTAGAGGTTAGTGAGATTTGTTTTTATTACTCTCCTGAAATGCGCTTTCTGTGTCTCTACCTTTTTACTTTTCAAGACCAGCCCAGATTTCTGCTCCATTGATGCCTTCCTCAGTTTTCACATTCTTTCCTCTCTTCTTGTCTGCTCTTCCATAGTCATTGGGTATAAAGAGTCTTTATGGATGTTAAAGTAAATTTCATAGTCTATACACATTAAAGTCTTTCACAGGGAGATAGTGTGCCAAGTTGGGAGAGCAAGGGATTTGCAATCAGCAGACCTCAGTTAGAATCATGGCTTCACTAACTAACTCTCTACTCTTGTAAGAGTCACTTGGCTTCTGAATAATGTTGGTTTATATTTAAAATGAAGGTGAAAATATTTATTGTACAGGGTTGCTAGGATTAGTGCTATTTTGAAACTCACTAGTAAATTACCTACACATAATTTTTTTTTTTTTTGAGAAGGAGTCTCACTCTGTCACCCAGGCTGGAGTACAGTGGCACAATCTCAGCTCACTGCAACCTCCACCTCCCAGGTTCAAGCAATTCTCCTGCCTCAGCCTCCCAAGTAGCTGAGACTACAGGTGTGCGTCACCACACCTGGCTAATTTTTATATTTTTAGTAGAGATGGGGTTTCACTATGTTGGCCAGGCTGGTCTCAAACTCCCGACCTCAGGTGATCCACTCGCCTCAGCCTCCCAGAGTGCTGCAATTATGGGTGTGAGCCACCATGCCCAGCCACCCTACACATAACATTCATTAAATTATAGTTTTTATGAGGAATAAGAAGGTAATTTTAGTTTGCTAAGTATAGAGGGTTTTTGTGTTCTCCAATAGATGCCCTCCTCACCCCCCTTATTAAAAAAAAATTGTTCTCTTCCAGAGCTTGCCCTTGCATCTCTCTTCAGCCTTAATGCCTTATTTGATTTTTGGAGATATTTCAAATATACTGTGGCACCAACAAGTCTGGTTGTTAGTCCTGGACAGCAAACACTTTTAGGGTTGAAAACAGCTGGTGAGTGTTTTATATCTCTTGCAAAGGTGGGGAAAAGGTTGGCAATAAATCTTTCTCAGTTTAATTTTCCCATTTCGTAGACTCAAAGCTGGAAGGGACATCAGCTATCTTAAGCAGGATACAATAAATTGTCTTATGACCAATGATTATCATTCCTACTTGTATACATTCAGCTATTTCATGGAAGTTTGTTCCATTGTTCAGGTGCAATTAAAATTAAATGACTAACTTGCTGAGTTGAAACCAGTTTCTAATTTTGCACTCTGGAAATGGTAAACACGTAATTTGTGTCCTTTGGTAATAATACATTCTGTGATTTAACAACCAAGTAACTCTGTTAACTTTTTTCCCTTAAGAGAAAGACTTAGTTGCTTAAATATATTTTCGTATAATTTTATTTGAAGGTACATACACATATGTTGCTTTTTTTTTCCTTCTAGTTGTACAGACTACGCCTCCACATGATCTGGCAGCAACCCAAATCCCTCCCGCTCCACCTTCCCCTTCAATTCAGGGTCAGAGTGTGTTGAGTTATAGCCCTTCTCGTTCGCCCAGTACCAGTCCCAAGTTCACCACCAGCTGTATGACTGGTTACAGCCCTCAGCTGCAAGGTCTGTCCTCAGGTGGCAGTGGTTCTTATAGCCCTGGAGTGACCTACTCGCCCGTCAGTGGTTATAATAAGGTAATGACTCTCTTCTCTTGTCTAGTCACATTATTTTAGAATTGAGAGGTATACTAAAAATCATCTAATGAGTCAAAACTTATCAGTGAGCAAACTGAGAGTTGATTTGCCCAGAACACCCATTTAAAAACCGAGAATAGAACATAATATCTTAAACACAACATCTTAAAATGAAAGAGAAAAAATTAGCATTTACAGAGATAACAAACTTAGTGCACCATCTACGATCTTTCAGCTGTCTTTAAAACAAGTTGAAACAAGGATAATTTTTTACTTTAGTTGCTTTTACTCCTGTTTTCCCTCTTGCTTTCCTTCTTCATGTGAGGCCTTTGTATACCTTTTTAGAGTTTTAGTGTGGTTTATCATGTTGGAGTGTCTTCTAAGCTAAAAGCTGAGATTGTCACATAGTTTCTTTTTTTTTTCCAATGAGTACAAATGATTCTTGAATATGGACGCTTTCCATGGAATAGTAGGAACCTTCATTTCCACTCCCACAGTAATGTGAAATTTTGTTCTAATTTTTAGGATTAATAGAAACAGGATTGACAAATTGAAATTTTGACTCCTTCTTGAAGCATAAAACTATTAATATAAGGGGGCGTTGAAAGAAGAGTGGTCATTTCAGATGCTGTCGCTACTGTGTTCGACTAACATCTCTGTAGCTGCTAGTTAAAAGAGGAGTCTCTGGAGATGAAACTGACACATTGTCTGCCCTTATCCATTTACATATTTCTTTTTTTTTTTTTTTTTTTTTTTTTTTTGAGACAGAGTCTCGCTCTGTTGCCTAGACTGGAGTGCAGTGGCGTGATCTCAGCTCACTGCAAACTCCGCCTCCCGGGCTCATGCCATTCTCCTGCCTCAGCCTCCCGAGTAGCTGGGACTACAGGCGTCCACCACCGTGCCCGGCTAATTTTTTGTACTTTCAGTAGAGACGGGGTTTCGCCATGTTAGCCAGGATGGTCTCGATCTCCTGACCTTGCGATCTGCCCTCCTCGACCTCCCAAACATTTACACATTTCTTTGTAATGAAATTCCATACTACTGGTTATCCAATATTAAAATTAATTTTGGCAGGTAATAGAATTTTGAAAATTTTGTACAAGTTAAATTTTTATGAGAAAGTATATATGTAGTGAAAATTAATAACTCATAGGTAAATGTGACTTTTAAAAATAATTTTTCACAAGATGATACTATATGATCCTTATAGAAAATTGGAAAAGTAAAACAGAAGGAAAATTATTATAGTCCTGCCACACAAAAATAATCTGTTTAATGGCTATTTAATACTCATCTAATGGATATACCATAATTTACTCTTGAATGTTTAAGTCATTTTCATTTATAAAAAAACTTTTTAATGTATACTAAATAGCCCTGTACATAAAATTATTGATAAATTTGGGATGGGAGTGTCGATCCAAAAGAATTGTACCAATTTACATTGTCACAGAAATGTAGAAGAGTGTTTGTTTTACCACACTGTTGACCATCAAGTTAATTTTTTAAAAAAATAAATCTCTGCTAATAAGAAACATGACAATAGTCTATCGTAACTTTTAACATACATTTATTTCAAAGCCGCATAGCTAAATCAGGAAGTTCTCGTGCTTTACTCGCTTGTCTTTTGGGTCTGTATCCTCTGATTTTTTTTCTTGGGTTGCTGTTTAATTATAGAGTTTAATATATATATATATAGAGAGAGAGAAACTTTAAATGTTTAATAGTCCTATCTGTTTATCTCCTTGTGGTTTGCTCTGTTTTTAAATTTAGAAATTTTCTTACTTTCAGAATTGATTCCCCTCCCCACCATAATATAAGATGATAATTTTCTCATTTTTGTTTTTTGCTAAAATTGATAACTAGTTGTCCCAATATTATAAATTATTTTTACCTTGATTGACTTGGAGCCTCCTTTGAATTACATGTGATTTGTCTTTTTCGGGGTGATTCTGTTCACTTGCTGTGTTTTTAGTGCTGTGTGTAGCAGTTTCATTGTGGACTGACTGTTAGAAGAGTTAACAAAAAATGTTAAATACTATTGCATTTTTGCTTCAAAAACAGATAAATCATAGCTTATGTTCTATTTGTACAAAAGAAGTGACACCACCAAAATATAATTTTTATTTTTAAAGAAATAATTTTTTTCTTATGTTAACTCTCCCTTTGTACCCACTCTTTTCCAGTCATTTCTTCTGCCTTGTACATCTTTGTATTTATAAGTTAGAGGGAAAAAATAATGAGTTGAGTTTTTTTTACCTTAGTAATCTTTCTTTTTTTAAAATCTTAAAAGATATGTCAGGAAATTATCAAAAGAAAGTAAAGGTGACGGCTGGGCGCAGCGGGTCACGCCTGTAATCCCAGCACTTTGGGAGGCCGAGGCAGGCGGGTCACAAGGTCAGGAGATCAAGACCATCCTGGCTAACATGTTGAAACCCTGTCTCTACTAAACAAAATACAAAAAATTAGCCAGGTGTGGTGGCGGGCGCCTGTAGTCGCAGCTACTCGGGAGGCTGAGGCAGGAGAATGGCGTGAACCAGGAAGGCGGAGCTTTCAGTGAGCCGAGATGGCTCGCTGCACTCCAGCCTGGGCGACACAGCAAGACTCTGTCTCAAAAAAAAAATAAAAAAATTAAAAAGGTGACAAAGGCATATCAGGAAAGCATAAAAATAAGGTGGTAGTATTAACAATGAATAACTTTAGAGGAGGAAGAATTATATGAGACAAAAGGTCATTTTAAGTTGATGGAAGAAATAATAAAATAATAGTTAGATTCACAATCCCTGTATATTGAATAATACAGCATCATAAAATGTAAAACAAAAACCTTTAGAAACATGAAATCAATAAACACAATTGTATTGGAAGACTTTAGCATTATCAATGTCTGATAAAGTAGGCAACAAATAAGGACACAAAAGATTGGAACAGTAAAATTTAATAAGACAACCTCCATAAGAATACTATTGAATATTGTACCTTTCTATTTGAGATGTTCATGAAATTGTACACATTGTATTTTCTGACCAAAACAAAAATAAAACTAGAAATTAAAAATAAAGGTTTGAAAAACACCACTAAAATGTTTAAAAATACTCACCAAAATATTAGGTTAAATTAAAATTAGGAAAACAAGAATGCTTCAGTATCAGAATTTATGAATATAGTAAAAGCTATTTGCAGTGGTAAATTCTTAACCTTAAATGGTTTCATTTTTGTTTTTTGGGGGGGTTTTTTTGAGACAGAGTTTCACTCTTATCACCCAGGCTGGAGTGCAGTGGTGTGATCTCGGCTCACTGCAGCGTCTGCCTCCCGGGTTGAAGGGATTCTCCTGCCTTAGCCTCCTGAGCAGCTATGATTATAGGGGCCCACCAGCATGCCCAGCTAATTTTTTTATTTTTAGTAGAGACGGGGTTTCACCATGTTGGCCAGGCTGGTCTCCAACTCTTGACCTCGAGTGATCCGCCCACCTCAGCCTCCCAAAGTGCTGGGATTACAGGCATGAGCCACCTCGCCCTACCCATTTTTGTTTTAAAAAATAAAAATAGATGTACCCAGAATTCAGGTCAAAGTTAGGAGAGTACAACAAGGAGGATACAGAAAAAATGATAGGTGTATGGTACAACATGGATGAGTCCTGAAAACACTATGCTAATGAAAGAAACCAGTCACAAAAGACCACATATTATATGATTCTAGTTACATGAAATGTTCAGAATGGGCAAATCTATAAAGACAGGAAGATTAGTGGTTATCTAAAGTTGGGGTGGGAAGGAAGGAGAAAAGGGGATTGATTTTAGTGGAAGAACAAGAATGTTCTGAAATTGATTGTGATGGCTGTATAATCCTGTGAATATACTAAAACATTGAGTTGTGCACTTTACATGAGTGAATTGTGTGGTATGTGAATTTATATCTCAATAAAGCTATTTTTAAAATGATAAAAGCAAATGTTAATGAACTGTTATCTAAGAGCTTTTTTCTGTGTGCATGGGAAATCCCATAAAATAGACAAATCTGTCAAATCAGCAGAGCAAATAAGACATAGACTTAAGGAGAAATTGAAATGGAAGATTTAGAAAAGGATACAGAGAAGTGTAAACCAAAATGAATATTTTTACATTTTATGGTAAGAGCAGAGAATAGCTATTACCATAATGTTTCATGTGTCTGTGTTGTTACTGATCTTTTTAAGTTATTCTGTCTGCTGAAAACACTCTTAATATCATCCTTTGTTTAATGATGATAAAACATACCATTTTTAAGTGCATAGTTCAGTAGCATTAAATGCATTCAAATTGTGCAGCTGTCACCATCATCCGTCTCTAGAACTTATCATCTCCCCACTGAAACAATGTGCCTACTGAACAATTAACTCTCTTTTTCCACCCCCTAAGTCTCTGGCAACCACTGTTCTGTCTCTGAATTTGATACTGTAAGTACATCATGTAAGTGGAATCATACAGTATTTGTCCTTTAACTGGCCTATTTCACTAGCGTAATGTCCTCAGAGTTCATCCATGTTGCAGCATGTGTTATAATTCCCTTCCTTTTTAAGGCTGAATAATATTCCATTGTATGTATACACCACATTTTGTTTATCCACTCATATGTTGATGGCTTCCACCTTTTGGCTTTTGGGAATAGCGAATGCTGCAGTGTACATGGCTGTACAGCTTATCTGTTTGAGTCCCTGCTTTCAGTTCTGGGTATATATCAAGAAGTAGAGTTTATGTATCAATTTTTAATTTTTTGAGGAAACACTGTGTGGTGTTTGTTTGTTTTGGTAGAGATGGGGTCTTGCTATGTTGCCTGGGTTGGTCTCAAACTTCTAGACTCAAGCAATCTTCCTGCCTCAGCCTCCCAAAGTGCTGGGATTACAGGCATGAGCCACCACACCTGGCCCCATACCATGGTTTGTAGCCACTATGCCATCTTACATTCCCACCTTAGAATATTTGCATAATGATATACCAAACGAAGCATAGTATTTTAAAATAATTGCTTGTATTAGTCTGCTTGGGCTGCCATTAAAAAATGCCACAGGCTTTGTGGCCTGACAGAAATTATTTTCTCATAGTTCTGAATGCTAGAAGTCTAAGATCAAGGTCCCTGCTAGTTTGGTTTCTGGTAAGGGCTCTTTGTAGTTTACGGACAGCCACTTTGCCCTGCCATGGCCTTTCTGGTATCTCTTCATATGGCACTGAGCCTGTCAGAACAAGGCCCCACTCCAATGACCTCACTTAGGTTAATTACCCCTTTACTTCAAAAACAGCCACATTGGGGGTTAGGGCTTCAACATATGAATTTGGGGAAGACACAGACATTCAGTCTATAATAATGTTCACTTTTTTCCCTCTAGACTGTAACCCTCTTGAGCACAGGATTATGTTTTTATTCATCTTTGTTTCCTTAGCACAATATATGGAATATAGATGCTACCTACATCAGTGTCTGTTGAACCAAACTAATAACTTAGAAAAGTTAATGAAATACATTACTTTTCTTGGAAAAAAAAAAAAAGCCAAAAATTGGCTAAGAAGTAGAAAACCAAAATGAGAGGGAAAATTTAAAAACAATATATCGAATACATCCCCAGAAGACTGTAGGGCCCTTAAGTTTTATTATTGAGTTCTTTTAAACTTTGAAGAAACAGTTACTTTATAGACTTTTTATTATGGAAAATCTCAAACTCACAAAAGTGAAGAGACCAGTTTTAATATAGTAAACTCCTGTGTATCTTTTACCCATCTTCTAAAAGTTATTAATATTTTGCTGGGGTATGAACAGCTAATTCTAATCCAGTAAAACAACATGTTAACATAAACTTGAGTTAGAAAACAGGATTGAAATCCTGGTGTGATCTTCAGCAAGTTACCTAAACTCATAAGGCGAATATAGTAATCATATGTACCTGTTATTGAAAAGATAAAATAAGACAATGTATATATTAAGTGTAATTAGCACATTGCCTAACATATATAATGACTGCCTAAATACTTGGTATTCAATATGAATTATTACCAAATGCAGAAAAGATGAGAACACCACTACCTATTTCACTTTACAGAATGTAATAAAACTTAAAGCACAAAATAGTTCTCCCTGGGATCTGTAAAAAACAAACCGAAAAAACATAAAAACAAATAGGACAATGTGAAAGTTGTAAATTAAATAATGGTTTGAATTCACAGAAATTAACAACTTTTTTTTTTTTTCCAAATAACTTTTAAGGAATAATTGATGACCAGGTAAAATTTATCCTAACAATGCAAGAATTCTATTAATACATTATATTCAAGAGTTCATTTAAAACCTAAAGTTCGAAAAGCTGTTTCCTAAAAACATCCATTTTAATATTAAAAACTTTGGTTAAGTGGCTGGATACACAGTAAATATCCAAAATCAATAGCTTACAGTCATATATATGCCAGCATTATTCAATTAGATCCAATAGGAGTTTCAAAATTCCTTTCATAATTGATTAAAAAACATAAGATTCCAAGATTGAGCTTTAGAAGTAAAGTGGGGCCAAAATATTGCCAAGAAATAATAAGAGATGCTAGATGAAGAGGGATGAAATGTTCTTGGATAAAAAGATACTGTTATAAAGATTTTCTCCCTACATGCTAATGTATAAGGTGTATGCAATTCTAATCAGTCCCAGTCTACCATTTTTAAAGAATAGATTTATGCAAGTTACTCATTGATTTTAAAGTTAATAAAGAAAAACAAATGAGCCAAGAAAATTTTGAGTAACAGGATACTTCCCCATAGACATTAAAACTTAATAAGTAAAATATTATGGCCCGTAAGCAAAAATAGGCCAATTAATGCAATAATAGCCCAGATATAGTGTATATAATTATGTAATATGTTAATTTTAAAAATAAAAGAGAAATCTGTGTGGAAGAGGATTAACCTTTTTATTTTCAAACAGCATTTAACAATTACAAGACTGGTTAATCTTTAACTTATTGCAAACTAATACGAAGTGATAATAAGACCCCAATAGAAAAATATTATAAATGTACTTGAGTAAACATTTAAATAAAATAAGTAATCCAAGTGACCAGTAATTGTATTTTTTAAGTGTTCAATGTCATAAATATAGGGAAATGCAAATTAAATGTCCAATTTTTAAAATTCTTGTATATCAAGTAAATGTTAATATGCTTTCACCAAATAATTTCAGTTTTAGGCATCTGTTAAAGAAGCCATCAGAAATTCAGTCAAAGATTTATGTACAGCTATCTTCATTGTAACATTGACAAAGCTATGTATATTTTAGAGATTTTAAAATACATAAAATATGAAAAAGGATTATATTATCTCTGGGTGGCAAAGTTACAGATGTTTATACTTTCTATTTTTAAAAATATGCATGTGTTACTTGTTTTTTTAAGAGATAGGGTCTTGCTCTTTATCACCCAGGCTGGAATGCAGTGGCACAGTCGTGGCTCACCATAGCCTCTAACTCCTGGGCTCCATGAGTTACCTTTTTTTTTTTTGATGGACTTTATTTTTTAGAGCAGTTTTGAGTTCACAGCAAAATCAAGAGATCTCATGTACATCCCCTGTCCTAACATGCATAGCCTCCCCCATGATCAGTATACCCCCTCACAGTGGTATATTTCTTTTTTTTTTTTTTGAGACGGAGTCTCGCTCTGTCACCCAGGCTGGAGTGCGGTGGTGCAATCTCGGCTCACTGCAAGCTCCGCCTCCCGGATTCCTGCCATTCTCCTGCCTCAGCCTCCCGAGTAGCTGGGACTACAGGTGCCCGCCACCACACCCAGCTAATTTTTTTGTACTTTTAGTAGAGACGGGGTTTCACCATGTTAGCCAGGATGGTCTCGATCTCCTGACCCCGTGATTCGCCCACCTAGACCTCCCAAAGTGCTGGGACTACAAGCGTGAGTCACCGCACCCGGCCTCACAGTGGTTTATTTCTTACAGCTGATGAACCTGCATTGACACGTCATTATCACCCAAAGTGCATAGTTTACATTAGGGTTCACTCTTGGTGTTGTACGTTCTATGGGTTTGGACAAATGTGTAATGACATGTTCACAATTATAGTATCATACAGAATGAAACTGCACCATTTATTCATTCATCTTTTCCTCCAAATTCCTGTTAACCAGTGTTTTTTTTTAATTGCCGCCATAGTTTTGCCTTTTCTAGAACGTCATGTACTTAGAATCATACCCGTGTAGCTTTTCGGATTGGCTTCTTTCACTTAACAATATGCATTTAAGATTGCTTTATGTCTTTTCGTAGCTTGATAGCTCACTTTTTTTTTTTTCTTTTGAGATGGAGTTTCGCTTTTATTGTCCAGGCTGGAGTGCAGTCGCGCGATCTTGGCTCGCCACAACCTCCGCCTCCCGGGGTTTAAGCGATTCTCCTGCCTCAGCCTCCCGAGTAGCTGGGATTATAGGCATGCACCACCACGCCCAGCTAATTTTGTATTTTAAGTAGACACAGGGTTTCTCCATGTTGGTCAGGCTGGTCACCGACCTCAGGTGATCCGCCCACCTCAGCCTCCAAAAGTGCTGGGATTATAGGTGTGAGCCACCGTGCCCAGCAATAGCTCACTTCTTTTTAGTGCTAATACTCCATTACCTAATTTTGCCAGTTTATTTACTCGTTCACCTACTGAAGGGCATCTTGGTTGCTTTCAAGTTTTGGCCATTAGGAATAAAGCTGCCATAAACATACAGGTTTGTGTGTGGCCGTAAGTTTTCAACTCCTTGGGTAATACTAAGGAGCACAATTACTAGTTCGTATGGTAAGATAATATTTACTTTTGTAAGAAACAGCCAGACTGTTTCAAAGTGGCTGTATCATTTTGCATTCCCACCAGCAAAGAATGAGAGATTCTGTTGTTCCACAACCTCATCAGCGTTTGATGTTGTCAGTATTGTGGATTTTCGCCATTCTACTAGGTGTTTTACTTAAGTCAAAAACCAAAACAAAATGAATTTCAATTAAAGAAAAATAAAGTAAAGATCTTTTATTTTGTATAGTTGGCGAGCTTTAGCCCCTCTCCTCCTTCTCCGTACCCTACCACTGTTGGACCAGTGGAGAGCAGTGGATTGAGATCTCGCTACCGTTCTTCACCTACCGTCTACAACTCACCTACTGACAAAGAAGACTACATGACCGACCTACGAACTTTGGATACTTTTCTCAGAAGTGAAGAGGAGAAACAGCATAGGGTTAAGCTGGGTACATATATATTTCTGTATATCTACTATACATATTTTTGGTGTCAATCCTTAACCTACTATTTTCATTATTTTAATATCCATACTAACATACTTTATTAGCTTAGCATGTTTTGTTTTACTTTATATGTAACATTATTTTATGCAGTTAGAATTAAGTTCACTAAATTTAGGAAGTGAAATATAGCTAAACTAAGAAATCTCAAACCTACAATAAGATTGAAAGCTTTTTCGTATAATGTAAGTTACAATTTCTATTTAAAGTTGAGGCTACAAAATAATGTTTTGAAGCAGTGCGTAGTGAACTTACTCAAATTATAGCTGTCTCTTTTCAAGTAGTCTTTTGGAAGGTTGGTGTGGCAGAGCAGGCTGAAAGAGAGAACATGTATTTACTCGAGAAGCGCTGCTGTTTTTCATAACATTTTAAAACTTGCGTTTTAGTATTTCCTGAAAGCCTATAGTTTACCTTGGGAAAGAGTGTTAGCAAATCTTAATCTGTTTGGGGTGAATTTGATTATTACAGAGTCAATTATTTGAAACCAAATTAGGTTATTGAACTGAGTAATGATTTTTCCCCCGTCAGGAACTTTCACGAAAGCATATTAGGCGCTAATACTCAGCTGTGGCGAGGAAGCCGGTTATTGGACCATGACTCTTTGTGTCGCTTGGAGTCTCACCAGTGATTTCTAATTTCATTTTGCCTGAAAGTGCCACAGATGTTACAGAAACCAGTCAATACTATCTTCTTATTTTTGATACATGCTTTTTGAAAAAAATTTGAAATATTTTGAGTCTACTGAAACTTTAATACAGAGTATAATACAAAGAACCTATGTATCCTTGGCACATCTTTGTAATACCCAGATATTTTCTGACTTCACTTTTATTCTTTATCCCAGTAGGAGCTATTTAGAAGTAATATTATTATTGTTTGGAAGTGTTATTGGTGTTGCTTTTAATTTTCAAGCCTGAAAAGGCTTGGTTACCTTTTTTTTCTCCTAAGTTAATTTTACTGTGGTTAGAGAATCTGATCTGTACCTATCAATTTTGTGTTTGTTTGTTTGAGACTTGCTTTTAGGTCTACTATGTGATCACTTTTCTGTAAATGGCTTTGGTATATTGAACAGAATGCAGAGTCTCTAAATTTGGGGCTCTATATTTGTTCACTGTCACACTTCTTGATGGTATTCTTAAATACTTTATCTTACTAATTTTTATCTGCTTTATCTATTGGTTATTAAGAAAGTGTGCCAAAAGCTCCCGTTGATTGTCTTCCATTAAATGTTTTCTTGCAATTCTGTCAGATTTGCTAAGTATACATACGAGATTACGTTAAATGCATGTAAATTCAGAATTGTGAATATCATTCTGGTGAATTATGCCACTTATCTTTATCTCTTAGGCTTTTTGCCTTAAAGTCTATTTTGTCTGACATTGACACATCTATATTAATTTCCTTTTGGTTAGTATCTGGCTGGTATATCTATCTCTATCCCTATACTTTTAGCCCTTCTATACCCATGGGTTTTCGAAAATTAAGTATTTTGTGCAAATTAATAAATGATTAATAAGTATTTTGTGGGAAGCTACTGATCTAAAACTATATAGTTATTTGGTCCCCATCAAACTTTTTTTTTTTTTTTGAGACTAGGTCTCACTGTTGCAGTGGTGCAGTCTTGGCTCGCTGCAGCCTTGAATTCAGCGCTCAGGTGCCTCTCCCACCTCAGCCTCCTGAGTAGCTGGGACTACAGATGCATGCCACCATGCCATGCTAATTTTTGTGTTTTTAGTAGAGACCGGGTTTTGCCATGTTGCCCAGGCTGGTCTCGAACTCCTGAGCTCACACAATCCACCCACTTTGGCCTCCAAAAGTGCTGGGATTATAGGCGTAAGCCATTGTGCCTGACCCCATCAAACTTTGACTTACTAGTTCTAACATCCTTTTAAGATTATTTTCAAAATTATTACTATGTTGGTTGTCATGGAGCTTTCCAATTTCATCATTTCTTCTATGTTTATTCCTTTAACATTTTTCCTTTTTTTTTTTTACTGTAATACAGTATACATAAAATTTACAATATTAGCCTTTTTTTTTTCTTTTTTTGAGATGGAGTCTTGGCTCTGTCGCCCAGGCTGGAGTGCAGTGGTGCGATCTCGGCTTACTGCAACTTCTGCCTCCCAGGTTCAAGCGATTCTCCTGCCTCAGCTTTCCAAGTAGCTAGGATTACAGGCATCTGCCACCATGCCTGGCTAATTTTTGTATTTTTAGTAGAGACAGGGTTTCCCCTTGTTGGCCAGGCTGGTCTCAAACTCCTGACCTCAGGTGATCTGCCCGCCTCGGCCTCCAAAGTGCTGGGAATTACAGCCGTGAGCCACCGCGCCTGGCCCAATATTAGCCATTTGAAGTGTTTAATTAAGTGGTGGTAAGTACATTTACATTATTGTGCAGCTGCCTTTTACATTTATTTGTTGGTATTCTGTAAGATAAAGGTTTCTTCTCCCTAATCATTCACTTATGTTGACGATTTGATTGTCTCAGATTGGGCTAGTGGGATCCTCTGTAAGCTGACTTCTCTGTTCTTTTGACATGACACTATCATTCTTTGAGCTAATCCCCCTGCCCGCGCCACCTTTCTAGCACCACAAAATAGGTCAGGCTCATTTTGTGTTTTCCCTGGCTAGCTCCAGAGTCAGTCTGTTTCTCTAAGAGCCCTGATTCCTTTTAATGGAGAATGATACTTAGAAATTATTATCTGGGCACTGGGCACACTGTTATTATTGAGGTATCATTACTCCAGGTCCTCTAGGAAATATTTGTATGGACATATACACAGATATATGTACACACACACATCTATATGTGTTATTCTATGTTTTTAAAAAACCATGAGTTTATAATGTTACTTCTAGTTCCAGTCCAGCTATACAGTTTATTCTGTCCTCCCCACTTTTCGTATTTGTAACTTTCTCCAGTAGTGAAAAACCAGGCCCTCATATTCTCTCTCTCATGCACACTTTTTTGCTGAATCATTTGAAAGGAAGTTGCGGGCATCATTCCACTTCATTCCTGAATATTTCACATGCATCTCCTAAGACCAAGACATCTTCCTTTATAACTACAATATGGGCTGGGCTCAGTGGCTCACGCTTGTAATCCCAGCACTTTGGGAGGCTGAGGCAGGTGGATCATGAGGTCAGGATTTTGAGACCAGGTCAGGATTTTCTGACCAACATGGTGAAACCCCACCTCTACTAAAAAATTAGCGAGGCTTGGTGACGCGAGCCTGTATCCCAGCCACTCTGGAGGCTGGGGCAGGAGAATCGCTTGAATCCGGGAGGCGGAGGTTGCAGTGAACCGAGATCACACCACTGCACTCCAGCCTGGGTGACAGAGTGAGACTCTGTCTCAAAGAAAAAATAAATAAATGAATAATGACAATATGATTGTCATGCTTAAGATACTATGGGTGTTCATATTCACATTTCCCCAGTTGACCCAATACTGACCCTTGTAGTGCTTTTTTTTTCTTTTATTGATGCAGGATCCAATCAGGTATCACATATTGCATTTACTTGTGCTTCTGTTGTCTCCTTAAATCGAAACCATTTGGATAGTGTGGGTTTTGTGGGATTTTTTGTTTTGTTTTCTTTTATGACATTTACATTTTGAAGAGATGAGGCTGTTGTTTTGAAAATTCAGATTTGTTTGATCATTTTGTTACTGTTAGATTCCGTTTAAATATTATTTTCTGGCAAGAATACAACATGGGTGGTGGCATGTCCTTTTCAGTGTATCACATCAGGAGATACGTGATGCTGCTTTGTCTCTTTGTCGGTAATATATAATAAAATAGGATCACTTGGTTAAGTTGATAGCAACTGGATTTCTTCATGATTTTCCCTTTATGTCCTGTTTCCTTAACAGCCTTTTACCCAGTGATTTTAGCATCTGTTGATGATCCTTGTCCTTGATAAAGTGGTGATTATAAAGTAGAGATTTTCTTTTTTTTTTTTTTTTTTTTTTTTTGATACGGAGTCTCACTCTGTCACCCCGGCTGGAGTGCAGTGGTGTGATCTCGGCTCGCTGCAAGCTCCGCCTCCCGGGTTCATGCCATTCTCCTGCTTCAGCCTCCCGAGTAGCTGGGACTACAGGTGCCTGCCACCACGCCTGGCTAATTTTTTGTATTTTTAGTAGAGACGGGGTTTCACCATGTTAGCCAGGATGGTCTCGATCTCCTGACCTTGTGATCCGCCCGCCTTGGCCTCCCAAAGTGCTGGGATTACAAGTGTGAGTCACTGCGCCTGGCCAAAGTGGAGATTTTCTAATTATTTATTTCTACACTTCATAGTTTGGCATTCTTCTCTAAAGAGGAGCATTCTGTTTTACCCCCACCCCAGCTTTTTTGGTTTAGTCACTGTGGACTCATCAGCTCTTTCTTTAGTAATGTCTAAACTGTTATTTAACTAATTCATTGAGTTTTTTAATTTCAGCCACTTGTTCTCATTTTATAGTTTTATTTGGTCCTTTTCAATTATGCCAGGTTTTTGTAGAATATTTTTTATTCTTATGTTTTCAGTTCCTTTTTCTATCTCAGTTGCTTAAACACACTTTTTAAATGTTATTTGTCCAATAGTTCAATTATCTAAAGTTCTTGGAGGTTAAATACTGACCATTTTTGTCTTGTTGGTTGTTAGGACTGCAGTCTTGTTTCCTTGTGATTGATGTAATTTCTGTTTGTTTCTGGTAAGCTTATCTTGGCTGGATGGAAGCCTTGTCTCTTCCTAGCTGTTTTGTATTTGCCTCTGTCAGGTGCCTTAGGAGTATTATTGACTTTGAGCTAACTTAAGTAATTTCTAAGCTTGGAGATTCCTGGACCTCACAGGTAATATAAATGGGCACTCTAAACCCATGTGAAGATATATCTATAATTTTTAAATCTCAGGGTGTTGTTTTTCTTTTTTTTTTTTTTTAAGTCTCCCAACAACCTATGACAGACAAGCTTTCATTATCTCCTGGTCCCATTGAACAGATTTTTTTCTTATCTACTCTGAATGTGGCCCTTTGAGATTCCTGGTCCTCTACCAGGACCAGGGACTAGGGGTAGGAGAAAGGTGTCAGCCCAACTCTCTGCCTCTTAAGGGCCCAAATCCTTATCTCCGTTTCCCACTTGGGCAATGAATCCAAGCTGATAGATTTCTCAAGGCCTACAAAATTCTCTAGAGCAGCCACGCCACAGCAGCCTCTTACAGGCTATTTAGATTTTTAATTCTCTTTTCATTTTTAACCACTGGCTATTCATAGCCTTACTTTTTTGCAAGCTCCATTATTCATCTTAATAATGTTGTTTTTTTTTTTGAGATCGAGGTTTTTTTTGTTTTTGAGATAGAGTCTAGCTCTGTTGCTCAGGCTGGAGTGCAGTGGGGTGATCTCGGCTCACTGAAACCTCCGCTTCCCGGGTTCAAGCAATTCTCCTGCCTTAGCCTCCTGAGTAGCTGGGATTACAGGCATGCACCACCATACCTGGCTAATTTTTGTATTTTTAGTAGAGACAGGGTTTCACCATGTTGGCCAGGCTTGTCTCGAGCTCCTGACCTCAAGTGATCTGCCCGCCTCGGCCTCCCAAAGTGCTGGGATTACAGGCGTGAGCCACCGCGCACTGGCCTAAAGAATGTATTTTATTTAATAAATGTTTTTAGATATTTATAGTGGGAGATGTTTTAGGTTGTCTGGTTTCCTGTGTTGCCCAGATTTCCAAATCTCCATGTGCTTTGACTCTTAGGTCTTTGAGGTTCTCCAGCTATAGATTGTGTGCTGTTGTTGTGGTGGTGGTGGTGGTGGTGATGGTGGTGTTCATCATGGAAAGGCCCTATTTTGTCATTACTTGCTATGTACATTTTTTCTTTGCTTTGACTAATGCCCAGAGGTACTAGAACTTCCTATTTCTATTCATTGTCTAAAGCCAGTCCTCAATGAAATTTTACTCAAATACAAGTTTTTTCATAGAAAACTTACGTTTCTTAAAGTTAATAATCGCAATGATTAATCAAATAGGATAACTTTATGCTCTGTTATGACCATGTTTTTACTTTCCATTTCTGTTCTCTATTTATTAAATCATTTATGTTGGTTGACAACTGCTTTTCTTGACATTAATTCATTCCTAAAGTCAGTTTTGCCAGAATTTCATACAGTGTGATGTTTCTTTACTGTATATAACTTTTTATGCCAGCATGAAACATTCACCAACGCTAACAAAACTAGCTAACCATCAAAATTTTGATGAATTATATTGCTACATACCCGTTTGATGATTCCTAATTCTTTGTACCCGTAAGCATAAGGAAAATGAGTTTTATTATTTTCTAGTCATTCCTTTTAGAATTCTGCTAAGATTAAAAAAAATTGTTTCTATTTATAAGTTTTGTTTGAGGGTATAAAGTACCAATTGATATTTTTTATATCAGTTAAACTCCGAAAATATAAGCCCTTCATAAATACCATATAATTGTTGTCAAAAACTTGCTTATTTATTCAGGCGCTATGCTAGATGCTAGGGAAAAAAAATGCTCCCTGCTTTCAAGGAGCTCAAATTCTATTTGGGAAAACAGACAAAAACTATAACCCGGAAGTGTGATTAATATCCTGGTTCAGAGGCCTCTGTAGGAGTACATTCCTAAATAGAACTTTTTTTTACATTTCTTAAAAGTAAATTTATAAATTTAGAAGGATAACCATCAGATAGTCTTTTAGTACAACTCAGGAATTACCACAGGCTGTTAAGTAAAACACAGTGAAGTACAGGGACAAATAAGTTTAGCTTGTTACCAGGAGAGTAATCTTTTAGTAGGAGGCTATAGTTATCCCTTTTAGAAAGAGCTTCTAGAAATTTCAAATAAAGAACTTGCTTGGCCTATTTATTTCCTAAAGAAATTTGTCTTTTGTTTGTTTCTTACTAAATGATTTAAAAGTCTTAGAGAATGAAACGAGCTTAACTTTTCAACAGAACTAGACAGATGCCTTTGACTGCTTATTGTTTTTATGACTGTTAAATTGATATGGCTCAGAAAATACTATTTAAAATTTTTAATCACAAGCAGACTGTGATCTCTAAAGAGAAAATTATGTTGGGGAGAAGAGAATCTCCTTGAGGGTTGGTCTTCTGATTCCTGGATTGCCATTGCCTAGATATAAGTGTTAACTGTAGATGTCAGAATTGCTACAACACACTGATACTGTTTATCTTAACAATTGTAGGGAGCCCAGATTCTACCTCTCCTTCCAGCAGTCCTACTTTCTGGAACTATAGTCGTTCTATGGGGGATTATGCACAAACTTTAAAGAAGTTTCAGTATCAGCTTGCCTGTAGGTCTCAGGCCCCATGTGCTAACAAAGATGAAGCCGATCTCAGCTCTAAACAAGCCGCAGAAGAGGTAAGTGGAAAATAAAAGTGACTTAATATTTATGATTTATGCATTGTTAGAAAGTCTTCTACTTCTGGAACATTTTTTCTGTAATCTTCCATTCTGTTGGACAGAAATGTAAATCTGGCACACATTAGGCAGTGGGAAAGCTCCTGTCTTACTTTGTGTGCCTAAAACTAAAAACTAAATTATATCATACATTTTACTCTGTGACACACAGTTCACCTTAGCGCCCTGCCTGAAACATATTTTTACATTGATTATAAAAAGGCTCTCAGGTATATAATTGTACTTAACACATACAGAAGTCTTGCTTTTAAAATATATTTGGATTAGAATATTTGTCAGTAATTTCGTCACTTTAATACCAAATATGGAATTTTTATTTTGTTCTTAAAAGCAAGAAAAATGGGCTGGGCACAGTGGCTCACGCCTGTAATCCCAGCACTTTGGGAGGCAGAGGCGGGTGGATCACGAGGTCAGGAGATTGAGACCATCTGGCCAACATGGTGAAACCCTGTCTCTACTAAAGTTACAAAAATTAGCCCAGCATGGTGGCGTGTGCCTGTGGTCCCAGCTACTCAGGAGGCTGAGGCGGGAGGATTGCTTGAACCTGGGAGGCAGAGGTTGCAGTGAGCTAAGATTGCGTCACTGTGTTCCAGCCTGGACAACAGAGAGAGACTCCATCTCAAAAAAAAAAAAAAAAGCAAGAAAAATGTTCTTTACACATACCAATGTAAGGAACTTTTAAAGATAAATCTGTGTGTGAACAGCATTTATAAGTGAGTAATAAGAAAATTACTGAATATTAATTAGATGAATATTGATGTTTGGGAAATTTTTTTTCAAAGTTCATTAAATATTTTTTAGGATGGGAGAAAGAATGATGATTTCTATCAAGATTTTTCCTCACTGATTGTTCATTTTAAACATGAATTTTTATAGGTCTGGGCAAGAGTGGCTATGAATAGACAACTTCTTGATCATATGGATTCATGGACAGCTAAATTTAGAAATGTAAGTTCTGACATTACTCTTTGGACAATATTAGTGCCTCTTAATATGCAAAGCATGTTATTAGAATATCATTTAGAGTTCATTATAAATTAGAATATTAGTTATAAAGGTACAGTATGAATGGTACATATATAAGGATAAACATGACTGTTACTATATGGTATTTATTTTCATGAGATTTTTTTCTTCCTCCATATTTAGTGAATTGTTATGTTTTGAGAAGATAAAGGAATAATATGTTTAGTTATTGAGATCCTCCCTTTTCAGTTCTCAGTTTTATTTTCCAAAGAGCTTTTCTATTGGAGCCTTTTATTTACCTAGAATTGTGAGGGGAAACAAAAATGAGGTCCTTGCCCTCAGAAAACTTAAAGAGTTAGAGAGATAAGACAACATATGCTTGAAGCTATTTCAAAGTAGATTATGATTTCTGTTTTTCTAGAGAAGAACCCTCTAATCTTGGGCCAACTTTTCCATATACAGAGTGAGTGAGTTCCCTATTTCCAACTCCACGTCTTCCTCCCACCTTCTCTAGTACCTGTGTGTTCTGGGTTCTGTTAGGCATATGGACTTCCCCTTCCACTATACGGAGCTCCACTTAGCTCTGAAGGGGCTACTACTTCTGTTGTTTCATCCTTCAACATTCATCCATCCACTCTGCATCTTCTAGAACTATTTTGAAATCACTTGTGCTCATTTTTTATCCTTTTACTCTTATTTAAATAGGGCATCAAAATAGAGGGGCAAAAAATGGTAGCCTACTTTATTGAAACAGAAACCTGGATGGCATTTTATGGATAATTCCTGAACCCAATCCTAGACTTACTCAATTAGAATTTATAAGGGTGGGGCCTAGACCTCTCTCTGGGACACGTTAGGTAATTTTGTTACAGCCAAAGAGTACAGCTGTACTCTTTTGTACCATTTGTCACAGCTGGCAAATTAAGATGCATGTAGTAAATGTTGGAAGGATGAATGAGTCAAATCATCTCCTGAAACTGGAGTTTGTTGTAGTTTCTGTTATAGGCTAGTCTAAAAATGCTAACATGTTTAAAATATGAAGTCTTAGTCAGACAGAGTATTAGCTACTTAGAAGAAATACAAATACATTTCCTCATCTGAAGTCCCTAGGTGACCATGTGCTATAAAATTTAGAGTTTTTGGATTTTTTTAAGCAATACATGTATACCTGTACCGTATAATTTATAACACCAGAGTCTAGTTAACACTCAGTAATCAACCACATTAATACTTCTGCAGAAAAACATATGAATAGTCACACTCAGTGGGATAAAGCCTATAAATAGCTTCATGTGAATTCAGTTCAAGTCTTGCCAGTATATCAAAATTTGCTTCCTTACATGGATTACAAGAAATCTTTTAAGTTCCCAGAAGGTTTTTGTTTCAGTTGTTTATAATATTGTATTTCATTGGAAACATTTTTTCATCCTTTTATTTTATGGATAAACAAAAGCATGGAAACAGAAGTGGTAATTGAAGTTGCTACAAACACATACACAAAATAATAACACACAAACCAGATGGGATGTATCCTTAGTCTTTTCACATCCCAGCATTAGTTTTATATTAGCCATGGAAAAGGCATTTGAAAGTCCCAGTCCTAAAGTAATATTGTAATATTCAAAAGCCAGTTTCAAATGTAATAAGTCTCTGTTTTTCCACATGGTTAGGGAATTGGGTGAGCCTGCTGAGAGTTAGGCAGTTATGTTAGTTTGAAAAACTATCTTACTGATTGCAAACCAATATAAACACTACATTAATAAATGTGTGAATAGTTACCCTACAAATGTAAACTGAAGATTATCCTTTTAGCTAAACATAATAATCAGAAAATTTTAAGAAAAATTTAACATATAGCTAAAAGTTTTATATTTTTTTTTCAGGAAAAAAAATAAAAACATGTTATTTAAGAATGTAATTTAGTTGCCAGGCGCAGTGGCTCACGCCTGTAATCTCAGCACTTTGGGAGGCTGAGGCAGGCGGATCACCTGAGGTCAGGAGTTCAAGACCAGCCTGGCCAACATGGTGAAACCCCGTCTCTACTAAAAATACAAAAAATTAACTGGGCGTGGTGGCAGGTGCCTGTAATCCCAGCTACTCAGGAGGCTGAGGCAGGAGAATCCTTTGAACTTGGGAAGTGGAGGTTGCAGTGAGCTGAGATTGCGCCATTGCACTCCAGCCTGGGCAACAAGAGCGAAACTCCATCTCGAAAAAAAAAAAGGAATGTAAGTTAGTTAATTTACACTCCAGTGGCATATTTATTTAACCATCTCTTGATTTCGGGTAGCTATTACTTTCATTCTCTTTCACTATACTTTATGATTCTTTTAATATTCAACTATAAGATAGTAAAAAAAATTCTTAGAGTTGCTTGTAAAAAAGAAAGTAATTATTTGACAGCTACTTGGGAATTATGTATCCAAAATCTGTACCTTATTTCTTCTAGTGGATCAATGAGACAATATTAGTGCCACTTGTTCAAGAGATTGAGTCTGTCAGCACACAGATGAGACGAATGGGTTGTCCAGAGCTACAGATAGGAGGTATGTGAAAACAGAGCCCAGTGTTGGATTTCTATTAGTAAATCTACCAAGTGGAAAACTTCTTGTAATGGACGGCTTAACTTATTTTGTTACCTTGGGGTGAAAAACCCCAAATGTCTATAATCTAGTTTGATTTTTTTTTAACGTGACAGCTTTATCAAGATGTAATTTAGCTACCATATAATTTACCCATTTAAAATGTACAGTCCAAAGTCTTGGGTTATGCAACCATCACCATAGTCAGTTTTAAAGCATTTCATCACCTGAAAAAGAAACTCTCCACCTTTTACCAGTCACCCCCTGTTCTATACATTTCTCCCAGTCCTTTGCAAGTGCCAGTCTATTTTCTGTCTCTATAGATAGGCCTGTTGTGGATATTTCATATGAATGGAATCACAGAATATGAACATGACTTTGTGACTGGCTTCTTTCACTGAGCATAATGCTTTCAAAGTTTGTCCATGTTGTAGAATTTATCATTACATCATTTTCTTTATTGCTGCATAATATTCAAAATAGATCTACTACACTTTGCTTATTCATTCATCAGTTGATTGACATTTAGGTGGTTTTCACTTTTTGGCTCTTATGAATAATGCTGCTGTGAACAGTCACGTACAAGTGTTTATATTGGACCTATGTTTTCATTTCTCCTGGGTATATACCTAGGGGTGGAATTGTTGAGCTGTATGGTAACTCTGACTAACCTTTTGAGGCACTGCCAGACTCTTCTAAAGCACCTAGCTGCACCATTTTACATTCCCACCAGCGTGTATGGGGTTCTGCTTTCTCCACATCCTTGCAACACTTGTCATATGTTTTATAGTCATCCTGCAGTAGGCGTGAAATGATGTCTCATTTTGGTTTTGATTTGCATTTCCATGATGACTACTGATGTTGAACATCTCATGTGTTTATCAGTCATTTGTATATCTTCTTAGAAATGTCTTTTTTGGCCGGGCGCGGTGGCTCACGCCTATAATCCCAGCACTTTGGGAGGCGGAGGTGGGCGGATCACCTGAGGTCAGGAGTTCAATACCAGCCTGGCCAACATGGTGAAAACCCCGTCTGTACTAAAAATACAAAATTAACCGAGCATGGTGGCAGGCGCCTATAATCCCAGCTACTCGGGAGGCTGAGGCAGGAGAATCGCTTGAACCCTGGAGGCGGAGGTTGCAGTGAGCCGAGATCGTCTGGGGGGCAAGAGCGAGACTTCGAGACTTTGAGACTTTGTCTCAAAAAAAAAAGAAATGTCTTTTTGATTCCTTTACCCATTTTTAAATTTGGTTATTTGTCTTTTTGTTGAGTGGTAGATGTTTTCTTTATATATTCTAGATATAAGCCCAAGACTCTTAGCAGATATTAATCACAAAGTTGTATAAAGCATAAAGACTATGTAATAATAGTAATTTTCCATCACCTATTTTCAACTCTCTTATCTGCTAAAGGTAAAATTTTAGGGTGCCATATAAATTGCCTAAAATATATATACTATAACTTAGTTATTAAGTAATTACCTTTACCAATAATGCTACGGTGCATATCCTCTTACCTAAATCTTTGTATACATTTGTAATTATTTCTTTAGGATAATTTCTTAGAAGTAGACTTGTGTGTCAGTAGGTGTGAATATTTTAAGATTTTTGTTATTGTTTTCTAGACAGAGTCTCGCTCTTTTGCCCAAGAGGGAATGCAGTGGTGCTATTATGGCTCACTACAGCCTCAGCCTCCTGGGCTCAAGAGATCCTCTCACCTCAGCCGCATCCAAGTAGCTGGGACTACAGGCACACACCACCACACCTGGCTGATTTTTGTATTTTTGTAGAGATGGGGTGTCCAGGTTGGTCTTGTACTCCTGAGCTCAAGCACTCCCTCCACTTTGGCCTCCCAAAGTGCTAGGATTACAGACATGAGCCAATGCATCTGGATATATTTCAAGGCTTAGAAGATACACATCTCTCCAAAAAGCTTTTACCAGTTTGTACTCTAGCAACCATGACACATATAGGAATGTTTTTCCTAACATTGGATATTGCTAGTACAGTTGGATATTTTGAAATTTTTAATTGCTTTTTACATTTCTATGCATAGTTATCTTGCAGGATATGATAAAAGAAATCACTACCATAAAAAGCTTCTGCTTGTCCTGGCATAATGGGCAACTTCTAATTCAACTTATTTTGAAAACAATTGTGTGTCTTTTTATACATGTCTTATACAAATTTTCTGTATATTAGTTGTTTATAGATTTGCCAAAATCGATTTGGCTGCTTCTCTGGGGAAGGGGAGGAGGGGGTGTTGCATGTGTAAATCTGGCTATCTTGCTGGGAATGGTTCTAGGTAATGTAGATCGTGCAAATTAAAATGCTTTCTTTCATTTATTCCTTCGACATTGAGTGCCTAGTCTGTTCCAGGTGTTAATACTATTCTGGGCACTGGGGGATACAGCAGTGAGCAAAATGGCCAAAGTCCCTGCCTTCATTAAGCTTTCATTCTAGTAAATGAGATAGACAATAAAAAAGATAAAGTACTTTGGGCCAGGCACGATGGCTAACACCTGTGATCTCAACACTTGGGGAGTCCAGCGTTGGTGGATTGCTTGAACCCAGGAGTTTGAGACCAGCCTAGGCAATATAGTGAGACCTTGTCTCTACTAAATAGAAAAAAAGAAAAAAAGTGAACCAGGTGTGGTGGCATGTGCCTGTAGTCCCAGCTGCTTAGGAGGCTGAGGTGGGAGGAGGATTGCTTGAGCCCATTCGATTGAGGCTGCAGTGAGTGGTGATTGTGCCGCTATACTCCAGCGTGGGTGACAGAGCAAGACACTGTCTCAAAAAACAAAAAGAGAAGAAGAAAAAAAGTACATTGGACAGTGGTTAGTGCTAAGGAGGAAAAAAGCACAGGAGGGTAATGTTATTAATGTTTAGAGAGGAGGGGTGAAATTTGAGGTAGGGTCGTCAGGGGAGACGTCATTGACTTGTATGAAGACCTGAAGGTAGTGAGGAACCAGCTGTATGAACACATGAGAAGAGCATTTTAAGTTCTTTTGGAAACTCACTTTTAGAATAATCAGTGTTCTCTGTGTTTTATGTTAACAGAGGCTAGTATTACTAGCTTGAAACAAGCTGCCCTGGTTAAAGCGCCTCTCATTCCGACTTTGAACACAATCGTTCAGTATCTAGACCTTACTCCAAATCAGGAATACTTGTTTGAAAGGATCAAAGGTAATTATTGATTTGAAGAGAAAAAAATAAGAGCTTTTTTACTATGCTGGAATTTTATCAGTGAAGATTAACAAGGAAAAACTTTTAATTAAAAGTATAACATGTCTTATAAATACGTATTAATTATAGCTTAATAACTTTATTTTGTGTAGGAAACTTAAATATGAGCTAAATGGGCTCCAGTGACTATTTCACTCATTTCCTACTTTTAGACTCATAAGAATGGGTGCCATTATGACATTCTTTATAGTTCCGGTGTGCTGAGCCTTATTTCTCTTAATTTTTATAATTCCTATTTAATAAGTTTCTTCCTTATATTTCTGTGATATTCTTATTATTTGGTGGAAGATGTGCTCTCCTGAGGAGACTGACTTGAGAATCAGGAAATGTAGGCTCCCTGACACCCCCATACACCCTCTGTGCCTCTCTACTTACAGAGCAATTCATAACGTTAGAATTTTTTAAAATTTGGATAAACTTTTTAAAAGATTCTCATCACTAAGACAAGTTTTAGAAATAGTATTCAAATTGATCATAAATCTTAATTTGAAAATATTATAGTGTTCTCCCTTTCCCCTAAGGTTAGAGCAGGATTCAGGAATAAACATTTTTCATGACTTTTTAAAACATTTTATATAAGGAGAATTTTAAACATACACAAAACTAGAAAAAATAGTATACACACTCCTCTTGTACACATCACCCAGCCTCAACAATCACTAGTCCCTGGCCAGACCCTGCCCTATCCATACCCCGTCCACTTTCTTCCTGTATTGTTTGAAGCAAGCCCTCATGTCATTATCAGTTCATCTGTAAATATTTCTTTGTATATCACTAAAAGATAAGCCTCCCGCGACCCCCTGCTTTTGAGAAAGGGTCTTGCTATGTTGCCTAGGCTGGTCTCCAACTCCTAGGCTCAAGCAGTCCTCCCACCTCAGCCTCCCCAAGTGCCGTGATTATAGACATGAGCCACCGTGCCCAGCTGAGCCTTTAGAAAACTAATACAAACATACATAACCAGAATACAATTATCATTCTTTTTTTTTTTTTTTTGGAGACAGTCTCTCTCTGTCGCCAGGCTAGAGTGCAGTGGCGCAATCTTGGCTCACTGCAACCTCCACCTCCCGGGTTCAAGCGATTCTTCTGCCTCAGCCTCCTGAGTAGCTGGGATTACAGGCACACACCACCATGCCCAGCTAATTTTTGTGTTTTTAGTAGAGATGGGGTTTCACCATGTTGGTCAGGCTGGTCTCAAATTCCTGACCTCGTGATCCACCCACCTTGGCCTCCTAAAGTGCTGGGATTACAGGCGTGGGTCACTGCACCTGGCCACAATTATCATTCTTAATATAATTTTTTTTTTTTTTTTTTTTGAGACCCGGCTCGCTCTGTCACCCAGGCTGGAGTGCAGTAATGGCACTAGTGCAGGAGTGTATAGCTCCTTGCAGTCTTGAACTCCTGGCTATGGCAATCCTCCCTCCTCAGCCTCCCAAAGTGCTGGGATTATAGGAGTGAGCCACCATGCTACCTGGCCCTAATATTTCCTGTGTTATGAGATATTAAGTCTGTGTTCAAATTTCCAGCTATCTCATAAAAATGCATAATTTTTTGGCAATGTTTGTTTGAATTGGGATTCAAATATTGTAATACATTGCAATTGGTTATTTCAGTTTATTTTAAGCTATATGCTTCCCATTCACCTTTTTTTTTCCTTTGCAATTTATTTGTCAGAAGAACTGGATTGTTTGTCTTTAGTGGTTCCCATAGTGTGGGTTTTGCTGAATGCATCCCTATGGTGTAGTTTTACATAACCCCTTCTCTTTCCCATAAATTCATGTTTGAGTTTTTTGGCAAGATTGCCTTGTAGTTAGCAGGGTATTTGTACATCCAAAAAGAGAAAGTGTCTGTGTATGTACACATATATACAAAGTATATAAAGGTTTTATATCAAATATACAAAAAAGCTTTAAAGAATACAGTGGGCTGGGCACGGTGGCTCACGCCTGTAATCCCAGCACTTTGGGAGGCCCAGGCAGATGGATCACAAGGTCAGGAGATCGAGACCATCCTGGCTAACACGGTGAAACCCCATCTCTGCTAAAAATACAAAAAAAAAAAAAAATTAGCTGGGCGTGGTGGCAGGCACCTGTAGTCCCAGCTACTCAGGAGGCTGAGGCAGGAGAATGGTGGGAACCCGGGAGGCGGAGCTTGCAGTGAGCCGAGATCACACTACTGCGCTCCAGCCTGGGTGACAGAGCGAGACTCTGTCTCAAAAAAAAAAAAAAAGAATACAGTGAACACTGTCTTGTTCTAGATTGGATAGTTAGAAACCTTTTGACATATTTGATTCTTTCTTTCCACATATATATACACACACACTTTTTTTTCTTGTTGTGCCATTTGAAAGTACATTGCAGACATTACTTTTTAGCATGCATTCTCCTAAAAGTAAGAACATTCTCCTAACCATAATACAATTATACCTTTAAAAAATAATAGTTTTCTGATATTTAATATATTGTCCATATTCAAATTTTCCCTACCCATCAACTCTTTTTTTAAGAAGCCAAAATAGTAGTCAGATAAATCTAAAATCCCACATTTTGGATTTATCTGATGTCTTCAGGGACATGTTTAACTTTTGTCTTTTTATATCTTTTATTTCTTTAGGTTTGGGTGTTTTGATCAAGTTTTTTAAATGATTTGCTTCCCTTATTATATTCCCTTAGCTTTTTTTTTCTTTTCTTTTTTGCATACTCTTAGCTTTTAAAAATTTCACCTTGTTGCCACAGAACTATCTCAGGGAGGTTGTATGAGCTCATTTCGATGGAACAGAGGTGGCGACTTCAAAGGACGAAAGTGGGATACAGACCTGCCCACCGATTCTGCTGTAAGCCCCTAGATTCTTTCATTCATTTATTTATTTACTGTTGATTGACTGACACAGGGTCTTACTCTGTCACCCAGGCTGTAGTGCAGTGGCACAGTCACGTCTCACTGCAGCTTTGATCTCCCAGGGCTCAAGTGCTCCTCCCAGCTCAGCCTCCCAAGTAGCTGGGACTAGGCCTGAACCACCACACCCAGCTAATTTTTTTAATTTTTTGTAGAGATGGGGTCTCACTTTTTTGCCCAGGCTGGTCTTGAAGTCCTGGGTTCAAGTGATCCCCCTGCCTCAGCTTCCCAAAGTGCTGGGTTTACAGACACGAGCTACTGTGCCTGACCCTTAGATTTATTTTGTTTTTTTCAGTTTCCATTACTGGATTTATGTGTTTTTGTTTGCCTATCATAAGAATAAGTGTTAAAAATAATTTAGAAAATAAGGTATTTATAATAGTATCAGCATGTTCACCCAACCACTGTTAATATTTTTGTGTATTTTTTCCCTTTACTTGGTGGCTACTATTTTTTAATGTTTTTATCATATTTGTAATTCTCCGGTATGTAAAATTATGTATTCTGCTTTTTTTCCACTTCTGTAATATTTAGGGTTTTTTTTTACTTCAGCCTCCTCCTACCTAGATATTTTTTCATTATTACACACTGTCATTTAACTATTCTCCTATAGTGGACCTAAAAGTTTGAGACACTTGTGGTGGAGAAGGAATTTTTACTTGTTTTTTGATCTTGAGTAATGCAGCATGCAAATAGTGTGATGCGCATTGCTTTCTTTCTTGGGATTGTCACTTTAAGAGAGACTCCTAGAATTACATTTAGGAGATCAAAGAACATAAATGTTTTTGTGTGCTTACAAGTTTTTCAAAATTATGTTCGCTTTTTTTTTATAGTGACTGTTACGGGTGAAAATTAAGTTTTATGTTGAGATTCAGATTGAGAATTGAATGTATTTTATCTTGGTTTTGCTATTAACTGTGTTGGTATGAATGATCCACTTAGCAAAAAACTAAGAATGCCCTGCTTTTCTAGGGTTGCTATGGAAAACTAAAAATGAAGATCAAATATGTAGGGAATGGGAGTCTGGTGTTTAAGCCCCACCCTCCACCCCTACCCTCAACAGATTATGGTAACTTCGTAGGCTGGAGTATTCAAACTTTTTCAATTTGAAAAGGAAACCTTCTCATCAAAATATAGACTGATTTGATGGCAAATATCTTTTTCTATTTTAAATTTTGAGTAGATTATTTGAATTAAGCCTAGCTTCATGTCTTAAACACACTGAATTCCTTTATGATTTAAGAGAGGAATTAGTGAATTCCTTATCTTTGTAGGAAATAATACTTTCAGTTAAAAGAATAGGTGTGCTACCTGAACTATGTGTTTTTATCTTTTTATTCTATAGATTTTATCTTGTAAATCTAACCATTTGACAGCATTTTTCTAATTCACTCTTCAGAGAAAAAATTTTTTAATTGGAATCGTTATAAATACAGATGTTTCTAAAGGGTTCTACATCCATGCTAGATTTTCATGCTGACTTAAAAAAAAATTATTTCTTCATCCTCAGATCATCATGCATGTATTTTGCACCTACCTTGATTCCAGATTACCTCCACATCCGAAGTATCCCGACGGAAAAACTTTTACTTCTCAGCACTTTGTTCAGACACCAAATAAACCAGGTATAAACCTCTCCTAAAAGAATGTGTTGAGATTTTCACACAAAATATCTCTGGGGGTTTGGTTTTTTAATGCAGCATATTGCCTTCCTTTACAGATGTTACAAATGAGAATGTTTTTTGCATTTATCAGAGTGCTATCAACCCTCCCCATTATGAGCTCATCTACCAGCGTCATGTATACAACCTGCCAAAGGTATTTCTATATAGAGAAGATGCTGTTACAGAATGTCTTGGGTGATTTGCTTGGATGATGTTTTTAAAATTATAATCTCATGTTAATAGAAGAAGTAAATTTTTTAAATTGGAAATGTGTTTCCTACATATATATTTCTTACTATAAAAGTAATATGTGCTTAATTTGGGGAAAGTATAAAGAAAAAGAAGGAAAATCACTCATTCCATTACCTGAGGCAGTCATTGTTGATTTTTTGATTGGTATATTGCCTTTTGGTAAATTTCATTTTGGTCTTATGTCTCTTTTTAGAGGCAGAGTCTAGCTCTGTCACCCAGGCTGGAGTGTAGTGGCATGATCATAGCTCATTGTAGCCTTGAACTCATGGGCTCAAGAAGTCCTTCCACCTCAGCCTCCCAAGTAGCTAGGACTACAAGCACGTACTAGTATACCTGGCCAATTTATTTTTTGTAGAGACAGAGTCTCTCCATGTTACTCAGGCTGGTCCTGTGCACCTGGCCCTTTCTTTATATTTTTTATGGGCTAAAATTATTTATGTAGTTTTATATCTGCTTTTAAATATTAGCTTTATAACATAATTTTCCATACTATTAAAAATCTTCATAAAAATTCCTTTTTTTTTTTTTTTTTTTTGAGATAGAGTCTCACTCTGTTACCCAGGCTGGAGTGCAGTGGTGCAATCTTGGCTCACTGCAACCTCTGCCTCCCGGGTTCCAGCAATTCTCCTGCCTCAGCCTCCCAAGTAGCTGGGATTACAGGCACCCGCCACCACACCCGGCTATTTTTTTGTATTTTAGTAGAGATGGGGTTTCACCATGTTGGCCAGGCTGGTCTCAAACTCCTGAGCTCAGGCAGTCTGCCCACCTCGGCCTCCCAAAGTGCTGGGATTACAGGCATAAGCCACCATGCCCGGCCTAAAAATACTTCTTAATGGCTATAAAAAAAACTTCACTAGTATAATTTATTCAACCATTTCTCTACTGTTGTACATTTTCTGTATTTCTTATTTTTTATTATAAATACTACTGAAAAGGTAGAGGCAGGCAGATCACGAAGTCAGGAGATCGAGACCATCCTGGCTAACACAGTGAAACCCTGTCTCTACTAAAAATACAAAAAAAATTATCCGGGCATGGCAGCATGCACCTGTAGTCCCAGCTGCTGAGGAGGCTGAGGCAGGAGAATGGCGTGAACCCAGGAGGCGGAGCTTGCAGTGAGCCGAGATCACGCCACTGCACTCCAGCCTGGGTGGCAGAGCAAGACTCCGTCTCAAAAAAATAAATAAAATAAAATAAATAAATACTGCTGAAAATGTATCTTCATGCATACAGCTATCTGCATTTCTTTAGTCCAGAGTTCTAAAAGTGGAATTCTAGGTCAAAATATTTTTAAGACTTTAAAAATAACATGTTACCAAATTACTTTATAATAAAGGTTATTGTATCAATTTATACTTCCATTAATGTGCTTTACTTTTTTTTTGAGGTAGTCTTGCTGTGTTGCTTAGGCTAGTATCACATTCCTGGGTTCAAGCAATCCTGACTCAGCCTCTTGAGTAGCTAAGATTACAAGCACATACAGATTTTTTACTCTTTTTTTGAGACAGAGTCTTGCTCTGTCACCCAGGCTGGAGTGCAGTGGTGTGATCTCGGCTCACTGCAACCTCCGCCTCCCAGGTTCAAGCGATTCTCCTGCCTCAGCCTCCTGAGTAGCTGGGACTACAGGCGCGTGCCACCACGCTTGGCTAATTTTTTTTGTATTTTTAGTAAGAGACGGGGGTTTTACTGTGTTAGCCAGGATGGTCTTGATCTCCTGACCTCGTGATCCGCCTGCCTTGCCCACCCAAAGTGCTGGGATGATAACAGGCATGAGCTGCCACACTGGTTTTTTACTCTTAATTACAAGCATCAGTTCTGTTGATAACCTTTACAATTATTTTTGTTACCAGCATCTTTACTAAGAAATTTTACATTGGCTATAATAATAAATTGTGCTGTCTATCAGATTCTCAGGAAGAGATGTTAATTTCATTTCTTCAAGTTTAATATTTTAGCTTTGTATGTAAATACTTTGGGCCATTGAAGTTCTTGTGAATATCCATGCCAATCTTTGTTTTTTAACCACCATCTGTTTTTTTTTCCTTGTTCTTACAGTGTAAACATTATCTTTTAAAAATCATACATTCTCTCAGATTCTTGAGTTAAAAACACATTAAATTAGAGTAAGTGGGGAAAAGTTAATCTGTAAATTGAAAATCTAAATTAGGAGCTGTTTTTACAGACCAAAAATTACATATAATAGTTTGATTTTAGAGCTAGCAATATGCTGCCTAGTATTCCCTTGCAGATAAAATAAATTTATATTTAATATGTTATTTGTATGCTAAAGTATATTCTGATATATTTTAAAGTATGACTAAAAGCTTTTTTTATCCCAACACTTGTTTATGCCATTATAGACCATTTTTATATGTGTAGTGTACAGGGGCACCAACCTCAGAATAGCTCTCCAGGCTCTTCCAGACCTTAGTAAGTGTTTCTCCCCATGTGTGAAACACAGTCCCCCAGCTCCCCACCCCCCAGTATGTTACCTTTCTGCTCATCTTTCAGGTTGCAGCTTAAAATACAAAAAAAAAATTAGCCGGGCATGGCGGTGGGCGCCTGTGGTCCCAGCTACTTGGGAGGCTGAGGCAGGAGAATGACGTGAACCCAGGAGATGGAGGTTGCGGTGAGCTGAGATCACACCACTGCACTCCAGCCTGGACGACACAGCGAGACTCCATCTCAAAAAAAAAAAAAAAATCTTTCCCTCAGGGAGGCATTCTGTCGCTAACCAGTCTAAATCAGACACTGCATCTTCATATGTTCCTATGGCACCTCCTCTCATAGCATTCCTCACACTTTGTTGTGATTCTTAGTTTACTGTCTGCCTTTCCTACTGGCCCTTATGTCCTTGACATGTATCCTTTCTGTCTTACTCACTGCAGTATTCCCACTTCCTAGCACAAAGCGTAGGTACTTTGTTTAATAAATAAATGAAAGTCTGAATTATATGGAATTCTGAGTTAGTAGGATATGAATTGATAAGATATGTATTTACCTACCAGATTGAATCTTTTTCATTTGGTTTAAATCTTGTCTTTTTTGTCTTTGTTCCAGGGCAGAAATAATATGTTTCATACATTGTTGATGTTTCTCTACATCATAAAGACCAAAGAGTCAGGAATGCTTGGGTAGGTACTTATGCTTTAAAAACGTAAGTAGTTATTTACTGATTTTCTTCCTATGTTAAGATTCTGCAGAAGGCAGCAGCATGTAACTGAAGGTTTATGGATTGAACAATAGATAATGGCTTCAGCCCTGTCACAGACTACCTCTGCTATTTTGGGCAATCCATTAGCTAACTCCTCGGAACCCATTGGTAAAAGGCAAGTGGACTACATCGTTAGCATTATAGTTGTGTTCCCTGGAGGAATAATTCAGAGATAGATAAAAATTAGACTCTTGCCGTTTAAAAACATTTTTTTTTTAAAATCTGGAGACTGTTTTTTTCCAAGCCATTTCATTTCAGACACAAAGCATTCTGCGAAGTGTTTACACTTCCAGAGAGACAGAGTCGGTACCTGTTCCATAATATCATTAACTGGAATGGAAAAGTAGTCAGTTGAAATCGTTTACATACTTGGTAACAAAGCTCACATACTGCAAGAAATTCAAAATTGTAGTATTGTCATTTTGATGATTAGAAATTTTAGTGTATCAAATGACACATGAAATAAGTAGACCCCAGCTAAAGCTAGGGATATTTGTAGTGCCTGATCTGGGAGTCGGAAAACCTGGGTTCTGGGTCCAGCTCTGCCATACTAAGTAACCTAAGGCTAGCAAAAAAAAAAGGGGGGATGGGCTTGGAGCAGAAGGGATTGTGGTCATTTCCACTTCCGATATGCATGCGTCTTTAAGTTTTAGATAGCATCCTGTTTGTAATTTAGAGTTTATACGTGTCCTAGAACTGTGCCATCCAGCACAGTAGCCACCAGCCCCATGTGGCACTGAACACTTGAAGCAGGACTAGACCAAATTGAGGTGCGCTAAAGTGTAAAACGTGTAACAGATTTCAAAGACACAGCCCCCAAAAAGTAAGATAACTCCTTAAAAATTGTATATATTTGTTACATATTGAAATGCTAGTTTGGATAGATTTAGTTAAGTGAAATATGTTCTTAAAATTAATTTCACCTGTTTATTAGGTATCTACTAGAAAATTTAAAATTATGTGGCTTGCATTTGCAGTTCATATCATATTGTATTTTTATTGGACAGCACTGCTCTAGAGAAAGCAAAGCTCCTTAAATATATCGGATGTAAAGATTAAAACAGACATGAACAAAAATGTGTAAACAAATATGAACATTTATTAGCTTTTTTTTTTTTTTTTTTTGAGATGGAGTCTCGCTCTGTCACCTAGGCCGGAGTACAGTGGCACCATCTCAGCTCACTGCAACCTCTGCCTCCCAAGTAGCTGGAACTACAGATGCCCGCCACCATGCCGGGTATTTTTGGTAGAGACGGGGTTTCTCCATGTTGGCCAGGCTGGTCTCAAACTCCTGATCTCAGGTGATCCGCCTGCCCGGCCTCCCAAAGTGCTGTAATTACAGGTGTGAGCCACCACACCCAGCTATTAGCTTCTTTTATCATATATTTTTTAATGTAAGAAAGATTAGGAAACTAACTTTATTGAGGCATCTAAACTAACAGGGTTTTTTATTTTTAAATTATGAAAATAATGCATACTCAGTAGATAAGTATTTAAATAACACAGCAGTGTATAAACTAGAACTAATTTCTAATTATGTGTAGAGACAGTATCTCACTATATTGCCCAGGCTGTGATCTACCTGCCTTGGCCTTCTAACGTGCTGGGATTACAGGCATAAGCCACTCCACCTGGCTTTATTTTTGTTTCTTTTGCTTAAAAATGTATTGTATCCAAACATAGTACTTTATGATCTAATTTTTAGGCTTATGGCATATCTTGGACATTCTCCCATGTCAAATTTTCCCTAAAATGTCTAGGAATGTTTGGTTATAAATATACTTACACATATATATTAGATGGAATATGGAATTTGATATAAATTCCATATTGTTATTATTCCATGTTGTTAATACAGGTCAAGTATTCTTTATCTGAAATGCTTGGAACCAGGAGTGTTTCGGATTTGATTTTCTCCGATTTTGGAATATTTGCAATAATTACTGAGCATCCCTAATCTAAAAATCCCCCAAATGCTACAGTGAGCATTTCCTTTGAGCATCATGATGTCACTCAAAAAGTTTTGGGTTTTGGAGCATTTCGGATTTTCAGATTATAGGTGCTTAACCTGTATAATATAAATAAGCAATTAATTTTTGGTTCTAATTGAAAATGTATCTTTTCCTCTGTGGATCCAAATTGATATTTTGATGCATAAATGGTTTGTCATGATAGCATGAGGTTTGAGTGCCATATACGGTCTGTCATATGCTTTAAAATGAAAAAGTGCTTAGTGGAGCAGCACTTTTTCATTTACTGAAATGTAATGAAATTTACTGAAAGGCCAAAAGAAATTGATACAATTTTTAAAGCGCTATATTCTCTTAATGAGCAACTTATATATGGGAAATTAAGCATTTTAGACTAAAACTAGTGTTTTTAAACTCGGGGAAAAGCTTGGAAATTATTAACCTTTCGAACATGAATATTTTTTCAAATACATCCTAAAACAAATAGTTAAAAACTTTCCTATAACTTAAAAGAAATAAGTGAGTGGCTCAAATATAGTCCATTTGGATTTATGACCATAAACCCACAGATTGATCCAAATACATTATCAATTTAATGTCAGGTATTTGTGCAGTAACAGGAATCAGATGAATGTTCTACTTGCAAAAGGAAAAAAAATCTAGACAGACTTGACTGCACAGTGACTTACATGTTCTGTTTGGGAAAAGACACTGTAAAGTTTAAAGTTAATGACAAACTGAAAGCATTATTCTGCTATAATATGAGCAGTAGTAATTGGGTTTGCAAATATAGCAAATCCAAGCTTATATTTGTTATATATAAAGAACATATATGATTTTATTAGAAAAATGGACAAAGGTATGAAAGATTTCTTCATAAAGTGTGCAAACAGCTCCTAAACACAAAAAGATGCTTAGACTCATGTACAAACAAGTCAAAATTAACTTTTTTTTCTGTCAAATTTGATATTATTTGTAGTGTCAGTGAGGGTATGAAGAAATGGAAAATACAGTTGATAAAAATTACCTGTTTCGAAAGGCATTTTTGGCAGCTTTTTATCAAAGTTAATACATTCTTATAATTTTAAAAGTCATAGAGGGCTAAAAGTTCATGACAGAAATGAGCAATTCCCTGTATTCCCCAAGTCTGCTTCTCGAAGTGGACTGTATTCCCCAAGTGGCTTTTTCTTCAGTTATTACTCTCATAGTTCCAAATAATAGAGGTATACAGCTCTCTTGATTCTTCAGTTTCAGATATTATCTGTTGATTTTTTTATTTTGTTAGGTGAGTAATTTCTTTCTCTTATAGCCCTCTTATTCCCTCAGACTTTGAATACAGTCATACTACTCTCTGGAAGAGAAGTATATGTATTTTGTTGTTGTTGTTATATGTAGTAGGATTTAATGTATTACTAATACACATATGAAAACTCACTAAAGTATCCCCAGTAGTTAGTAAATTCCTAATTCAAATCAAGTAATACAGTTCTCTGAGAGGCTAGCATCTCCATATCTTCCATCTTTTAAATACAATTGATACTTTTACTTTAATCTTGCTTGTTAAAATTATTCTGTTAGCTATTACCTGGTGTAATAGTTCTTGTTTACTGAAAAACTGTCAACACTCCATAAATCTATTTATTCTAAATTTGGGTTTTAGGCATAGTTAAGAAAGTAATTACTGTTACTGGAATTCACCTGATAAACCATGTATAACATAATTCATTGCAGAATCACATTAAATATCAGTTAAACATGTATTATTCATAAAGTTTTTTGTTATTAGAAAAAGACCTTAAATGCTTGGCAACCAATTCTAATAAAAATTTTTTTTCTCTTTATAGGAGAGTTAATCTTGGTCTATCTGGTGTGAATATATTGTGGATCTTTGGCGAGTAGCAAGTCATATATTTAATTCTGACATTTAGACTATTTCACTGAACCAGAAGTCGAAACTAAACATCTCTGAGCCACTGACTCTTCTGAAATAAAATACACATGGGTGTATGTTACAGACTCTTTAGATTTAACAGAAAATGTAGCTGTTATGAAATGTAATTGTAAAAATATGTCCCGTATCTTCTATATCGAGACATTGCCTTTAATTTTATATCGCTTTTCAGAAATTTCAGTTGACTACAAAACTGCAACCCTTCGGATTTTTATTGACTCAAAATAGTGCCATTCCCCTTAATGAAATAGATTTTGAGTCTTTTTTTCATTGTAACCCCCAAATGAGAATCATCTACCTGATTCTTGTACCAAAAAAAAATTTTTTTCAGTCTTTTTTTTTTTTAGAGAGGGTCTCTGTCAACGCAGACTGGAGTGCAGTGGCACGATCTTAGCTCACTACAACTTCTGCCTCCCAGGCTCAAGCAATTCTCCTGCCTCAGCCTCCTGAGTAGCTGGGATTACAGGCATGCACCACCACGCCCAGCTAATTTTTGTATTTTTAGTAGAGACAGGGTTTCACCATGTTGGCCAGGCTGGTCCCGAACTCCTGACCTCAGGTGATCCACCCACCTCGGCCTCCCAAAGTGCTGGGATTATAGGTGCGAGCCACTGCGCCCAGCCTCAGTTATTTTATTTAACAGTGTAAGTACTTAGAAAGTAAGAAAATTGCTGATTTAGTTTTTTTTTTTTTTTTTTTAATGTTTCCCCAGCATTCTGCAAGTTAGGCCAAAGCCCACATTCAAAGAAATGAGATTAACTCTTAAGTAATGTATTAAGTTTATGTATATTTTAAAATATTATTAAAGGAGGTTTGAAAGTATTGACATTTAAAAAGTCAACACTTAGATTAAATTTAGCTGGTAGTTTTAATTTGGGTTTTAGTTAAGAGTGTGAGGACATCAGGAAAACTGTTTACTACTTTGGTTTTAGCAGCTCAGTTTTACTATTCCATAATGTGTTATTTTTAAAGTTCTCTTTTTAAGATCACAGTGATATCCTATCTTCAAATTTTTTAAATATGTTCAAAATATCTGGAGGGTGAGAAGTTACCAAGTTTGTATGTTTTGTTTGACTCACCATCTTTATTTTCTGTATATGTAGTAGCTGGCAATTGCATATATTTTCTTGATTAACATATTAGAGACTGCTTCCATCATCTTATGTAAACCTGGAAACAGCTGAAACTAGTCTTTTCTGAAGAACCGTGTATCAGTGTTAGATGTGCATCCCGTTTTGTCATTCCCTCAGACTTTGAATACAGTCATTACTCTCTGGAAGAGAAATGTAAGTATATTTTTTGTTATCTGCAGTATGGTTTAACATGTATTAATAATACACATATGCAGACTCACTAAAGTATCCCCAGTAATTAGTAAATTCCAAATTTAAGTCAGTACAGTTCTGTATTTGTAAATTCTGTCTTTCAAAAAGTTGTTCGTGTTTTTAAAAGTTGATGTCCAAAGGAAAGGAGCTTCTTTTAAGTACTTTTGGTGTATGTTGAATATTTATTTGCTATGATATTCTAGAAGAAAATATCAAACATGTTAAATATAAGAACATGTTAAAATTTAAATTTGCTATTTCAAAAGTTACTGAAGATGTCTTGGAATAACAATTGTCATGCTGTTAAACTAGTTGCATATACTTCATTAAAAGCACCATGGAGAAACATTTTAACAATGCATAAGATGAAATGTCTTTTTTTCTTTATAGGACTTAGATAGCTTTTAGTCTAAAAATTCAAAGCTTTAATATTATATTTTTAAAGTGACTATCAAAAAAATACAGTCTACAGTAAATATATACATAGGGATACACACTTAAAAAGATGTTTTGTTTGCATACTATTAATAAGTCTAGTGTGGATTACTGTACTCTGGGTAGCTTTCCTATATTAGCTTTTCTTCCCAAATATTTGAGCCAGTTTGTACTTAAATATAGCTTTTATTAAAAATACTTTGGTAGATTCATTTGAATTCACCCCTCAGGAAGACAGTGCACTGCAAATAAGGCAATTTTTTTAGTCCTTGTGTTAAAATGGATAAATGCCTACTAATATCTCTGATCAAATGTTATTTACAGGATATATGTCACAAGTTTTTCTTTGATTGCTTGACTTCTTGTGGGATCAGATCCACTAATCTTCTAGATTACATTCACTTCATCATTTATCCTTTTCTTTGTCTATAAATATCATCCTTAAGCCAGATTTCTTTTAGAGGCATATTAGGTGTTTATAATTTAGTTTCTACTGAGACATACAAATGTTACGTTGTGTGGCTTTCTTTCTCAAACTAAAATATACTTGACACTGATATTTTATATTTTAACAGTAAAGACACGCAGCATGTGGGGTGGCACTTTTTTTTTTTTTTTTTTTTTTTTTTTTTTTTTGAGATGGAGTTTCACTGTTATTGCCCAGGCTGGAGTGCAGTGGCATGATCTCAGCTCACTACACTCAGCTCACTGCAACCTCTGCCTTCCGGTTTCAAGCGATTCTCCTGCTTCAGCCTCCCGAGTAGCTGGGATTCAGGCACCCGCCACCACGCCCGGCAAATTTTTGTATTTTTAGTAGAGATGGGGTTTCACCACGTTGGCCAGGCTGGTCTTGAACTCCTGACCTCATGATCCGCCCATCTCGGCCTCCCAAAGTGCTGGGATTACAGGCATGAGCCACCACACCCAGCCCTTTCTAGACAGCTTTGTAATAGAAATGCGCACATTGAAATGCACACATTCCTCAAAGGTCAGTCTTTGGTCCTCTGATTCACTGTATATGCTTTTCCTTAGAGATCTCATTCATTCCACTTCATTTATCACCTCTCTGCCTTTGACTCCCGAATTCATCTTCAAGCATAATGTTTCTCCTGAGCTGTAGTGTTGATTTCCATCTACCTGTCAGACATTTCCGCTTGGATATTCTGTGAACTCCGTGTCTGGAACTGCGTTCACATCTGCTCAAATCAGCTCCCTCTACTTACATCCCTTTTTCTGTTCATTGTACTACCAGTTACCGATGCTCAAAATTCTGGTGTCATCTTTTGATTCCTGGAGCTCCCTGGGTCCCCAATCCAATCAGGCAACAAACCTCATCCATTCTTTCTTAACAATGTCTCTTGCAGCTGCACTTCTTCCATTTCTGCCACCACTATGCTCATTTACACCCTTATCAACCCACACAGGACTACTGCAACAGCCTAATTAATCTCACAGCCTTCGAATTGTTGCCATGCTTCCATATTTTCCAATTCATCCTGCACATTCTCTTCAAATTCATCTTCCTAGAACACCTGTTTGATCATTTCATCCCCCTGATAAATTCCTTAGCCTGACATTTAAAGCTCCACACAATCTGGCCCCAACCTGGCCTCATGCACCTAAACCCTTGGCTCCAGCCAGTGCAGACTGCTCACTGCTTGCTGGGTTCTCTCTATGCTACCTCCTGCTCATCCTGATCACTCTCTGGAGATGCCCCCTCCCAATCTACTGTCTTCCTCTGCATTGAGACTTCCTCTAATTAAACCTTCTATTTGGAGCTAGTCCTGACCACTCCAGATGGCAGTCATTTCTCCCCTTGAGTGATTAGATCTGTGCCCCTCCTTTGGCACTCAACAGCTACATGAATGGATTCAGAAGTGACTTTTAGTCGAACAGTAGGTCCTCATGTCTTGTCTTATCCTTGCACAAGAACTGAGTTTCTTACTAGTCTGAGCTGTGCTGCTGTTCAAGTATACTTGTCAATGGCTAAAACTACCTTTTGGGAAAGCCTCACGTTCTCCTCCAAAGGACACCTTTTGATCCCTCCAAGCACACTGGCTTTCCTTTTGTGGCTAGACCTAAGAAGGAGGAAGCACTCCTGGGCCTGGACAGCCGCAGCAGGGGGACTGCTTGAAAAGTAAAGGTGTTAGGAAAATGATGAAACTCATTCCAGTGCTTCTGGGGGTCTTCCTTAGTAACCTGGGGGTGAGGGCACTGCACTTATGTACAACAGCACAACATTGCCCCAAATGCTGCAGGGACCAGTGGCGGGGGCCGGGAGGGGCTGGCTGGCCTACCTGTCCTTCTGGGTGGCTTTAGTCACAGCTGTCCCTAGACCGTGGATGAGGTCAAAAGTCTTCAAGGATAAGCAGCACACGGCTGGGCTCTCTGGCAGGAAGGCTTCAGGGAAGGACCCATGTGAGGCTTTGTCTGCCCAGTTAGAATGAGAGGGCTTTGTACAATCAGCACGTATGCCTCTTGGACCCCAGTGACACTGCCATATCTCACTGGGTATGCCAGTAGCTTTCTGCTGGGTGTGCAGGATTGTTAGGCGTTAGCTCTGAGCCACATTATAATTTGATCCCTGGATGTTCATCAATAATAACGTTTCCACACTGAACTGCATTGACCTGGGATGGGACAGGTTATGGATTCTACAGAGGCGGCACCTCAGTGGGAGTTAGGAAGGAGAGTCTAACAGCAGGATGGGTGTGGAGAACAGCACCACAGCCCTGCCACCCCGCAGGGGACAGCAGCGACCCTGAGGATATTTCTTAGCAAACTTGCATGCAGACAGTCCCAGGCACTACTGTGGATGAGATTTGTATGTAAGTCCTTTTCTGCCCCAAACCAAAATGAGTATTTCAAAATCAGTCTGGCTAGAAGAGCCACTGGCCTCAATGCACTGAGCATTCAGTGGGAGGACTAAGCTCTGTCATTAATTGGGGCAGGACAACTAGTCTCTCACACTGATTTTTTTTCTTCTTCTTCTTTTGAGACGGAGTCTCGCTCTGTCACCCAGGCTGGAGCGCAGTGGTGTGATCTCATCTCACTGCAACCTCTGCCTCCCAGGTTCAAGCAATTCTCATGCCTCAGCCTCCCAAGTAGCTGGGATTACAGATGCCTGCCACCACACCCAGCTAATTTTGTATTTTTTAATAGAGATGGGGTTTCACCATGTTGGCCAGGCTGGTCTCGAACTCCTAACCTCAAGCGATCCACGTGCTGCGATTATAAGCATGGGCCACCGCACCCAGCCCTACACTGATTTCTGATAAAATAAAATGGGCTGGATGTGGTGGTTCACGCCTGTAATCCCAGCACTTTGGGAGGCTGAGGCAGGAGGATCACTTGAGCTCAGGTGTTGGAGACCAGCCTGGGCAACATAGTGAGACCCTGTCTCTAAAAAAAATAATAAGTGATAAGATACTCTTCATACCTAGAGGTAATTGAGAAGCTCAAAGTGAAAATAATGAATGGACTGCTTTTAGGTGAAGGAAAAAAGAGCAAATTCATATAAAAGTAGGAAGTGGCCCCTTTGGCACTGTAAAGCAACTGTCTCGTCCTTGGATCACACTGAGCTACAGATCTTCAAGGCCTTGACACCCACCCACCCCAACTGTGCTAGCCCAGCTTTGTCTGCCTCCTGCTCCCTCTGTCCTTCCCTTCCCGAGACCTGGCCATTCATTGCCCCGTCATAGACAGTAGCACCCTTGTAGCCTGAAGGCTGGGCTTTCTGGTGTACCAAGAAAACACAGTCTCCTTCCTTTCCCATTTCTAAACTTGAAGGAAAAAATAACAATCCCGAATCAGACTCTGCTTTCATGCACTGCATCCCATAGGAGGAAAGTTAGAAGGTGGTGATCAGCTCCACTGGGGGCAAAACTTGTTTTCTCAGGAGCAGCAGCCAGGCATGATTCTTTCTCAAACACATGGTGTGGAGACTGGAATCAGGCAGCTCTGTGATAGTTTTGGCCCAGAATACAGGCACCAGCTTAATGAGCTCCACCTCCGAAGAAAGGCCCCTTGTGTTCCTAGTGGGGAGGAGTGTCATCCACGGTACAGCCTGAGGAGTCCCCTGACTCGGGAAAGACTTGGCAGACGGAAATCTGAACCTAAGCTGCCAGGCCGCAAACCTGGCGGTTTGAGAAGGTGTTACGTGGCTTCCATCTCAAAATTAAATTCCGTATGACACTCTGCTTCCAGTTGAATGGTCTGCGTGAATTCTTTAAACAAAGCACCCCAAAACCACAATAACCATTTAGTACCTCTCTCCCTGGACCAGAAATTCAGACAGGACTCAGTGGGGACAGCTCCTGTCTGTCAGCTCCACAATGTCTGCAGGTTTACATGTCTGGCAGTTGATGCTAGCTACTGACTAGGAGCCTAACTGGAGATACTGGCAGAACACCCACGCTTGGCCTCCACACAGGGCCTGGGCTTCCTCATAACATGGTGGCTGAGTTCCTAGGGCCAGTGTCATGAGAAAGTGAGAGAGAGAGAGGCAGAAGCATATTGCCTTTTATTTATAACTTAGCTTTGGAAGTACCATGTTTCTTCACTGCATTCTGTTGGTCAAGGCAGCTACAAAGAACTGCTCAGTGTCAAGGGGAAGGAACACAGACCCCTACCACTCAATGGAGGAATGTGCCACATTACAGCACGTCAGATGGAACATTTATTGGTGTGACCATTTTTGGAAAATACAATCTGCCATAATGTACAGTGCCAAAAAAAATTAATGCTCTTTGTCTCATTGACCTCAGGAAAATTTACCTTAGGAAAATATTCAACAGAAAAAAATAGTTATGCCTAAAGGTGTCCGTCGTGAGTGCTTATTCATTTATTTACCCATACATCCAATAATTTTTTTTTTTTGAGACAGAGTCTCGCTCTGTTGCCCAGACTGGAGTGCAGTGGCACAATTTCTGCTCACTACAACTTCTGCCTCCTCGGTTCAAGTGATTCTCGTGTCTCAGCCTCCGGAATAGCTGGGATTACAGGCGCCTGCCACCACACCCAGTCAATCCAATAAATACTGATTGAAGTATTTTGCCAGATGCTAGGAATACAAAGAAAACGTAAGATCTATCCTTCTTTCTTTCAAATAGCTTCCAGTCTATGATAGCTAAAAATAAAACCCATCCAAATGTCCAGTAATAAGATGGTTTAATAAATTCTATGTAGACCAGGCAGGGTGGCTCACACCTGTAATCCCAGCACTTTGGGAGGCCAAGGCGGGTGGATCACCTGAGGTCAGGAGTTCGAGACCAGCCTGGCTAATATGGTGAAACCCCATCTCTACTAAAAATACAAAAATTAGCCGAGTGTGGTAGTGCACGCCTCTAATCCCAGCTACTCGGGAAGCTGAGGCAGGAGAATCGCTTGAACCCAGGAGGCAGAGGTTGCAGTGAGCCAAGATCGCACCATTACACTCCAGCCTGGACAACAAGAGTGAAACTCCGTCTCAAAAAATAATAATAAATTATATGTAAACTCTAGGAGATACGATCTTGAGATGTTATCACTTAAGGATTTTTATTTTGACCTCTTTTTAAAACTCTCTGCAGCTCTGAAAAGACTATTTGGAAAGATGGGGAAATGTTGGATAGAAGTGAAAACAAATCAAAGTTGTATGTCTACTGTGATTACAATTATGTAAAAATATGCATGCATATCACCAAGGACTAGAAGAGAATATCCAAATGTGAACTCACTTGTTGAAGTGGGAATATGCATGATTGTCCTTACGTTTTCTTCTCTTTTCTTTTTTTTTGAAGTATTTTTCAATGTTATATTGCTTTTGTAATTGAAAAACTCCAGAAAAAATATTGTGGTGCAAATTAAATTGTATAGGTCAAAGGGAGAGAAAGTACTGCTCGGTGGGAAGCTGACAGGAGAGACTTCATTAAAAAGGTGACATTTGGGCCAGGTGCAGTGGTGGCAAACACCTATAATCCCAGCACTTTGGGAGGCCTGAAGTTAGGAGTTTGAAACCAGCCTGGCCAGCCAACAAGGTGAAATCCCGTCTCTACTAAAAAGACAAAAAAATTAGCTGGGCACAGTGGCTCACGCCTGTAGTCGCAACTACTCAGGAGGCTGAGGCAGGAGAATCAGTTGAACCCAGGAGGTGGAGGCTGCAGTGAGCTGAGATCACGCCACTGCACTCCAGCCTGGGTGACAGAGTGAGACTCCATCTCAAAAATAAAAATAAAAAGGTGATATTTGGATTTCAGTAGGAGGAAGAAGCAGGCTTAAGACAGGAAAGGAAGAGATGTCTTTAGAAAACTGCAAAGAATCCAAACTGAGATGGGTTTAGAGGAGCATGGGCAGATAGCACTGGAAGGAAGAGGGGGCCTCAGGTGCTGGACTCAGGATTTCTGACTTTACTCCGAGAGACTCTGGAGCTTTTTGAGCACAGCATTAACTGAAAGAGTGCTGAAGGGAGACGACCCACCGCAGTTCTGAAGAAGGGCAGAGCTGGAGCAGTTGGGAAGACCCATGAGGAGGCCCCAGCAGTCATCCAGGGCCTGGACTGCAGAGGCGGCAAAAAAAAAAAAAAATACTGGAGAGCATTTGTGGAAGACAAATGGTCACAACTTGGGAGCTCAGTGCACGTATCTAGGTGACTGGGAAGAGGGTGGCACCAATACCAGCAACAGAGCAATGAGGAAGAGGAACCGGTTTGCAGCAGAAGAGAAATTTTAAACGGGTTGCATTTGAGCGGCTTTGGAACATCCACATGGAGATAACAACAGAGAGTTGGAAATGCTAGTCTGAACCTTAAGGAGGAAAGCTCTACTTTTGGCAGAAGAACTGGAACGTATCCCCTCTTCCTGGAGTGCCTTTCCCTCAGCTGTCTCCTTTCCGGTCCTCAGTAAGGTCTCTGCTCAAGTACCCCTTCATGCCCTTTCCTGCCACCCTACAATGGTGCCCCTGTCACACACACCACCGCCCTCGCTCTGCTCAGTTCTTCTCTGCACCTACCTGAGATTTTGCTTATTACCTGCTCCCCTCCTCGAGCATCACCTTTAGAGTTGGGACACTAGTCTCAACTTCCTGTTTGAAAAACTGAACATTAAAAGGCAACCATGTCAAGAATATTCAGAATGAAGGCTGGGCACGGTGGCCCAGGCCTGCAATCCCAACACTTTGGGAGGTGGAGGCAGGCGGATCACTTGCACCCAGGAATTCGAAACCAGCCTGGGCAACATGGCAAGAAGACCCCGCTGGGGAGGTGCGTGCCTGTAGTCCCAGCTACCACAGAGGCTGAGGTGGGAGGATCACTTGAGCCTGGGAGGTCAAGGCTGCAGTGAGCTGTGATGGTGCCACTGCACTCCAGCCTGGGTGACAGAGCAAGACTCTGTCCCAAAAAGAAAAAGAAAAGAATATTCAGGATTAAAAAACAAAAAAGTAAAAAGCAACCAATTCACTCTTAACGAAAATTTCTACTGTGAATTGATACAACAAATAACATGTTCTTCCGACTCCTTTAGTCTTAAGGGTTTAAAACTTTCCTGCTAAGTTATAGATCAAAAATACAACTCAGAAGGAAGGATACAAACCAGCTCTTTGTTTAAAAAGAAAAAATTGGCCAGGCGCAGTGGCTCACACCTGTAATCCCAATACTTTGGGAGGCCCATGCAGGTGGATCGCCCGAAGTCAGGAGTTCAGGACCAGCCTGGCCGACATGGTGAAACGCCGTCTCTACTAAAAATACAAAAATTAGCCGGGCATGGTGGCGTGCACCTGTAGTCCCAGCTACTCAGGAGGCTGAGGCATGAGAATTGCTTGAACCCCAGAGGTGGAGGTTGCAGTGAGCCGAGATCACGCCATTGCACTCCTCCTGGGCAACAAGAGCGAAATTCCATCTCAAAAAAAATTAATTAAATTTAAATTTTATTTATTTTGTTTTGTTTTTTGAGACAAGGTCTCATTCTGTCACCCAGGCTGGAGTGCTGTGGCACAATCACGGCTCACTGCAAACCTCAACCTCCTGAGCTCAGGTGATGCTCCTGCCTCAGCCTCTGGAGTAGATGGGACCACAGGCACATGCCACCATGTCCAGCTAATTTTTGTATTTTTTGTAAAGATGGGGTTCTTGCTTTATTGCCCAGGCTGGTCTTGAACTCCCAGGCTCAAATAATCCTCCTGCCTCAGCCTCCCAAAATGTTGGGACTATGGGTGTGAGCCACCGCGCCAGGCCCACACCAGCTCTTTCTGAAGGAAGGTTCCTGAGTGGTGGCAGATGCTTCCACGTACATCCCGTGTGGCCAGCACTTGTTCACGTGAACACTTATAGCTGCAAGGGAACCTGGGCAAAGTAATTTTGGTTCTCTGTGGCCATGTTCAGCTAAGAATCTAACACAAAGGAAGAAGAGGATGGCTATGAATCAAAAGCAGCAGTCCAACCCCACAGGAGATGTCTAAATAAGCCCACAGAGCCTTGGCTACACCTGACTCTGGGGACGGTCACTGCTGCGGATGGAGGACTCATCAGTTCCCTTGAAACCTCTTACTCTCACCAAGCGCTTCCTTAAGTGGTTCATCTTTTTTTTTTTTTTTTTGAGACAGAGTCTCGCTCTGTTTCCCAGGCTGGACTGCAGTAGAGCGATCTCAGCTCACTACAACCTCTGCCTCCTGGGTTCAAGCGATTCTCCTGCCTCAGCCTCCCAAGCAGCTGGGACTACAGGCACACGCCACCATGCCCAGCTAATTTTTGTATTTTTAGTAGAGACGAGATTTCACTATGTTGGTCAGGCTGGTCTCAAACTCCTGACCTCATGATCCGCCCACCTCGACCTCCCAAAGTGCTGGGATTACAGGCGTGAGCCACCGCGCCCAGCCAATTGATTCATCTTCTGTCCCTTCCCCAGGCACTGGAAATGAAATGTTCAATAAATCCTGCAGAGCAAAAACAATGTAGACATGTCCACAGTGCTTCTGGAACAACATTCCAAGTATTTTTAGCCAGCGCCAACTACATAATTTGCGAGAGAACCAGAGCAAAATGAAAACGTGGGGCCCTCTGTTCAAGAATTTCAAGACAGCCACAGCAGGGCATTACACCCAGCACAGAGCCCTCCTAAGGGCCCATGCAGGCTGGGTGCAGGCCTGTGAAGACACCTCTGTGGCCCACCCCACATCACACACATAGGTGTGGTTTACAATATGAAGCACCCCATGCCAGTAGCGTTGGCTTTTCCAGCTGCTTCAGGTTTTTTGGTGAGATTTTGTCCTTGTCACAGCTCAGAAAAGCTTAGAAGGGGCCTTGGAGATCAAACAGTTGGACTGTCTTGTTTTACAGACGGCCCAGAAGCCCAGAGTGGGCCTGTCAGTGCCCAGGCCCTGCTGGTGCTGGGGTTCGAGGCCTTTCTAGAAGCGTGGCCTCAGGACACTGCTGCAAGAGGACGCCCCCTGGCGGCGCTGCTGGGGGGCTTGTTTCCTCCTGGCTTTCCCCCCCAGGCTGGCTCCTCTAACCCTCCCTGCACCTCCTGTTGCCTGCTTGGGTCAGACTCTTCCAGCCTCTGGTCAAAGCGGAGACAAGAGGTCACGCCATTGGGAGGGTCACAGGAAGGCCTGACAGTGGCCTGACAAGGGAGAGCTGGGCCCCTGCACTCTGATAATCCCCTCCACGGCCACCTCCGTGCTGAGGGCTGTGCCCCTTGGCACCGAGATGCATGCAGAGCTTACAGGAGGACTTCCTGGCTGGGCACAGCCTGCCAGCCAGGTACCAAGGACACCCTGATGGGCGCACAGGACAGTCCTGGCGGAGGCTGGAGCAGGAGGCGACGGGCTGCGGCATGGGGGTTGCACAGAGCAGAGGCAGCAGCGAGGCCAGATGGCCTGGTCCCGGGGAATGGGCAGGCGCTGAGGTGTCAGATGGGCACGCTTGTCCCCGAGGGCAGGCAGGCGGCGCGAAGCCAGGCGGAGGAGAGAGGCGGGATGAGCAGGGGGCCAGCCAGTCACGCATGTGGTCCCCAGGCAGCTGCAGGCACTGCGGGCCCTCCTGGGCCCGGACTCTGGGCCAGGCTGCGCAGCTGGCACTTGGAAAGGTGCCAGGGCTCCTGCGGGGCCTCCCGAGGAGGGGCAGGGAGCCTGGCTTCTCATGGCCACCTGCTCCTGGCTGGAGCCCAGAGCCGGCTTGTGTCAGCCTCGGGCCTGGCTCGCCTCCTGGCTTCTGACCAGGCCTGGCCCTCCCCACCACCCACCACACCCCTGCCCGCCACCCCCCTGCTGTCCCCACCACACCCTGAGGGGTTCTGGCTCCTGAGGTGCTGAGAGCTGTGAGCAAAGCAGAAGCAGTTGGGCACCGTGTCCCCTTCACACCCTGGCAGCACTGCCCCGGCCTGGGACAGCCCCCAGGTGGAGCACACAGCCCAGGCCAAACCCACACCCTGGGTTTGTGGTGTATGTGGTATGTGTAGCTCTCATGTGTATGCATTAGAACCTGGAAGCCCAGGTGTGAGAAGGCACCTTTTTCTGTCTCACCTTGAAGCAGTGTGGCCCTGCTACGGTCTCCCCAAAGGCTCCAGGGCCACACCAACACAGCTGTCCCTGCCTCACTGAGGACACGGAGGCCGATGATCACTAGTTTCCTGTAACATGGGGAGTTGTGGGCAAAAGAAACGCAACTGTTTCTCACCTGCTCCCGTGGGCTCGAGAGCTGTGAGGTGTTTGCCAAGCGGCCAGGGACCCTCAGCCCATAGTGCCTGGGTGCCCACAGCCCTTGATCGGTGGACTCTGTGGCCCCTTTCTAGAAGATGCTTTGCAGAACTGACTGCCACTCTCCTTCCTCCCCCACAGCATCTCCCTGAGCTCTGGAGAGAGGGCCTGACAGGGCTCAGGTGGAGGGAGGCAGGGTGGCCGTGGGCAGAGAGAGGGCCTGGGACCCGTGAGAAGACGGCAGGCCGAGGCCGGCGCCTCCCTGGAGCTGAGGGAGACCCGCAGGCCTGTAAGGGGCCCTATGCCTAAACCCTGCCCTCCACAGGGGCCGCTGCCGTTGTGCGCCTGGACCAGGCAGGGAGAGGGAGGAAGGTCAAAAACGGCCTCTCCTTCCTCCTTCCTCCTACCGGTCCCCGTGGCTGTTCAGGAACTGGCTCCACTGACTTTTCTGAGCTGCTCTTTGGAGCCAGGCGGTTCCCCGGGTACCAGCGCCAGGCCCAGCCTCTCCGCGGCTGCCCCCATGGCCCCAGAGGCCGGGGAGGTTCACACCCCTGTGGTGGTCACTTAGGTTTGCTGTTCTCCTGCCAGAAGCTTCTCTGCCCTGGCTGGGGTGGGGAGGGAAGAGTCCGTGTGGTCTGGCCCGGCCCTGGCCTCTGCCCGAGTGCCCCCCAGGAAGACCCTGGCTGCCAGCGCGCCAGCCCCTTCCCCGCCGGAGCCACTCCCAGTGGGGACCGCAGGCAGAGTCTGCTCGGGGCCCAGTGGCTGCCACCCCTGGCTGAACTCTTTTCTTCCCTGCATCCGTGTTCTCCGTCTGCAAAAAGAGATCAAAAATCCCCGGCTCTGAGTCAGGGGGCCGTAACCAGGGGCCTCTGCTCCTCCGCACAGCACAGCCCTCAGGAGGCAGGGACGCAGTTTGTCTCCAAAGGCGAAAACGGGCTGAGTGAGCCACTGTCTGCTCCTGCCCGTGCTGCCTGCCTGCGTGCGTGGCAAACGTGCCCTGCCTGGAGTCACAGTTCCTAAGTCCCCGTCACAGACTCCCACGCAGGGCAGGGGGCCATGGGCCTCTGGTGTATCTGGGGAATGTGGTTGCAGTGTGAGGGTGTGGTGTGTGGTGCATGGTGCGTATGTTTGTGTGGGGTGTATGTGGTTTGTGGTGTATGTGGTTTGTGTAGGTGTGGGGTGTGTAGAGGGGTGTGAGGGTGTATTTGTGTGGTGCATATGGTGTGTGCAATACATGTATGGGGCTGTGTATATGGTGTGTGTGTGTTTCTGGTTTGTGGTGTATGTGGTATGTGTAGCTCCAATGTGTATGCGTGGTATATGGTGTGTGGGGGTTAGCAGGTTGTATGGGTGAGTGTTGGGTGGTGTTTGTGTGATGTGTGGTGTGTGTGGTTTGTGGTATGTATCTGTGGCTTGTGTGTGTGTGTGTGGTCTGCAGTGTGTGTGGCTTGCGGTGTGTGATGTGTATTTGTGTGGTGTGTGTTTTGTGGTATGTTTGTGTGGCTTGCAGTGTGTGTGTGTGTGTGATGTGTGTGCGGCTTGTGGTGTGTGTGATGTGGTATGTTGTTTCTGGTGTGTGTTTCTGTGATGTGGGTGGCTTGTGGTGTGTGATGTGTGTGTGGCTTGTATGTGTGGCTTGTAGTGTGTGGTTTTTTATTTGTGGTGTGTGTGGCCTGTGGTGTGTGTGTTTGTGTGATGTGGTGTATGTGGCTTATGGTGTGTGTTTGTGATGTGTGTGTGGCTTGTGTGTGGTTTGTGGTCTGTGGTGTATGTGGCTTGTGATGTGTGTATGATGTGGCATGTGTGGCTTGTATGTGTGGCTTGTGGTATGTGTGGCTTGTGTGTGTGGCTTGTGTGTGTAATGTGTGTGTGGCTTGTGTGTGGTTTGTGGTCTGTGGTGTGTGTGTGATGTGTGTGTGAGGTGTGTGTGGCTTGTGGTGTGTGTGATGTGTGTGTGTGATGTGTGTGTGGCTTGTGTGTGGTTTGTGGTCTGTGGTGTGTATGTGATGTGTGTGTGAGATGTGTGTGTGGCTTGTGGTGTGTGTGTGATGTGGTGTGTGATGTGTGTGTGGCTTGTGTGTGATGTGTGTGTGGTCTGTGGTGTGTGTGATGTGGTGTGTGTGTGATGTGTGTGTGGTTTGTGGTGTGATGTGTTTGTGTGATGTGTGGCCTGTGGTGTGTGTGTGTGTGATGTGTGTGTGGCCTGTGGCGTGTGTGTGTCTGATGTGGTATGTGTGGCTTGTGGCATGTGTGATGTGGTTTGTGTGGCCTGTGGCGTGTTTGTGTGATATGACGCAATGCGGCTTGTGCCTGCACTGCCCTGGAGCAGAGTTCCCTAAGGGAAACCTGATGTACAGTACTTCCTAGGGCTGCTGCAGGGAAGGGCCTTGGTGCCTTCCTAAGAACAACTAAGAGCAATTTTCTTAGAAGTGTGGTTTTGAGGCCGGGCGCGGTGGCTCTCGCCTATAATCCCACCACTTTGGGATGCCGAGGTGGGCAGATCACCTGAGGTCAGGAGTTCGAGACCAGCCTGGCCAACATGGTGAAACCCCGTCTCTACTAAAAATACAAAAATTAGGCTGGGCTCAGTGGCTCACGCTTGTAATCCCAGCACTTTGGGAGGCCGAGGCGGGCGGATTACGAGGTCAGGAGATCGAGACCACAGCGAAACCTCGTCTCTAAAAAAATATTTTAAAAAATTAGCAGGGCGTGGTGGTGGGCGCCTGTAGTCCCAGCTACTCGGAGAGGCTGAGGCAGGAGAATGGCTGAACCCAGGAGGCGGAGCTTGTAGTGAGCTGAGATCGCGCCACTACACTCCAGCCTGGGTGACAGAGCGAGACTCCCTCCGTCTCAAAAAAAAAAAAAAAAAATACAAAAATTAGTCCGGTGTGGTGGCGTGCGCCTATAATCCCAGCTACTAGGGAGGCTGAGAGAGGAGAATCACTTGAAACCAGGAAGCAGAGGCTGCAGTGAGCCGAGATCACACCACTGCACTCCAGCCTGGGCGACAGAGCGAGACTCAAAAAAAAAAAAAAAAGTGTGGTTTCGGCCCCTCCTACAGCACGGCCACCTGTGGCCCTTCCTTAAAATGCAGGTCTGGGCCCACGCTGATTTACTGAATCAGAACCTGTAGGCCTGGGGCCTCCTAACCTGCCCTTTTTAACAAGCTTTCCCGGTAACTGCACCTGGTGAGTTCACACAGCGCGACCTCGGGGAGCCATGGCCCGGTCTTCCTTAGTACCTGCTGATGCGCCTTTCTGGGGTGGTGGGGCCCCACAGTGTACTTGGTAGCAAACATCTCCCTGGGTCACAGTTGTTCTTGCATGCTAGTGTTCTTGAACATTTAATATCTCCTCTGATTAGCCCCCTCAGCCTCACTGCACTGTGCCCATTCGAAGCCTTCTGGTTTAAGTAGCATGAATATCACGGCCACTGGGTGCGTTTTGTTCTCAGGCCATTTCGTGGGTAGATTTGTGTTTTCTCACCATTTTATTTTATTTTATTTTATTTTATTTTTATTATTATTATTTTGAGATGGAGTCTCGCGCCGTCTCCCAGGCTGGAGTGCAGTGGCACGATCTCAGCTCACAGCAAGCTCCGCCTCCCGGGTTCACACCATTCTCCTGCCTCAACCTCCCAAGTAGCTGGGACTACAGGTGCCTGCCACCACGCCCGGCTGATTTTTTTAAAAAATATTTTTAGTAGAGACGAGGTTTCACCGTGTTAGCCAGGATGGTCTCGATCTACTGACCTCGTGATCCGCCTGCCTCGGCCTCCCAAAGTGCTGGGATTACAGGCGTGAGCCACCATGCCCGGCCTCTCACCATTTTAATAATATCCTTGAGAGCAGACACATTTCCTGTTTTTGTTTCCTTTTTGTTCCCCAGGGTCTAATGTGTGTTCCGTACACAGCCCATGCCCAACTGCAGGCGGAAGTGAAATGGCGACAACCTGGAGAGACTCTAAGAGCCCGTGGGAGTTCCTGGAGGAACAGGGCAGGGCCCCTCGCTGCAATGGCCCCACACCTGCGGCTGCCTCTTCTGCACCCACACCTGCCTGGGATGACCGCCTCCCCCCGCCTCACTAGATGAACATGAGGATGAGGGCTGAGCTCCTGCTGGCGGACCCAGAGCAGAAACGGGCACAGCAGAGGCCGCAGGGCAGGTGGCTGCAACGGGCAGAGCACCCACCTCTCCATCTGCTTGGCTGACAGTGAGGTGGGACAGGTGCCAGCCTGAGCCCAGTCACCTCCCCCGGTCACCTTGCCAGGTCTCTCTCTGTGCCCAGCCCTTTGCAGCCACCACCCCCGTGGCTTCCTCCTCTAGCCCAGCAAGACTGAGAGTGCCCTTCTGCAGGAAGAGGGCCTCACTGCTGGTCCCCAGGCAGCAGGATCTGGGAAGGAGACAGCACATCTTCAATGCCACTCTCCATATTCATGTGCCCGGCCGCCCCGGGGGAGCAGGAGGCTTTGAGGACTTGCAGGATCAAACGTCTTCACAAGGCTTTAGTCTCTCCACCCACAAGCTGAGTCCAATTTTAACTGAAGCCTGTGAAGTGCACGGTCCTACAGAAACCATTACAAGAATCTTCTGGAAAAACAGAGGCAATACTCCCTGTAGGAAGGAGGATGAAAGAACTCACGGCTTGCCAAGCCCTCTGGGCAATAGGTCCCAGGGTACCCAGCAGACAGCTTCACCATCTCAGGTCTCTCCAAGGTCTCTCCCAAACCTGGTCTCATTAAAAGAAAACCAAAAGGGCCATATTATTTGGTTCCCATCTGGCCTCTCGAAATTTCAAAACTTTAATCAGTAGAAGGTAAAAAAAATTAGGCCGGGCTCAGTGGCTCATGCCTGTAATCCCAACACTTTGGGAGGCCGAGGCGGGTGGATCCCCTGAGGTCAGGAGTTCAAGACCAGCCTGGCCAACATGGTGAAATCTCTTCTCTACTAAAAATACAAAAATTAGCCAGGCACACTGGTGCGTGTCTGTAACTTCAGCTACTTGGGAGGCTGAGGCAAGAGAATTGCTTGAACCCAGGAGGCAGAGGTTGCAATGAGCTAAGATCGTGCCACTGCACTGCAGCCTGGCGACAGAGTGAGATTCCTTCTCAAAAAAAAAAAATTAACAATAACAAGGAAGCCACCAGCTGGCCCTTCCTGTGATCTTGCCAGACTGGATGGGAAATGGATAACACCATCTGGGCCTGACTTTCCTCCCAGGGAAGAGTGAGCAATTCTACCATTCGAGGACCCAAGTTTAAAAAGAAAAAAAAAAAAGACTTTCCAAATGAGGAAGAGTTATGCCCCTAAGCAGCTTAGGTTTAAAATACCGTTTGCTTCCTGCATCCCACTGCCGCCGCCCCAAGCCAGCCCTCTGTCCCCTATTCCAGGCTAAACGTTACGACGCAGCATCTTCAGGAAGGGCTGGCAGGTCAAGGTACCACAGGAGGCCCCCAGTGCAGACAGGTGCAGAAGTCTGGGAGCAGGAAATAAATTATGCTGGTGGAAAAGACAAAAAAAGAGTTCTAATTCTTCCTACAAGCCCAAGTCTATGATTTACACTTCTTCCTGGAGCCACCTTGCTCTCACCAGGGAGAGTCTGAACCTAAGTCTATGGTGGAAAGGTGGGGAAGAGGCACACTGCCCACGGTGACATTCAAGCAGAGGAGAGAGGTTTGGTGGCTCGTGCTGGCTGTCCCTTTTTCAAGGAGCCACTGCAAGGGAGCCTAGGCTTCTGGAGCCGGGAGGGCAGTGCCTCCATGGAAGGTTCCCATGCGTTCTCCTCTGGCAATGGTGGAGTGGCCCCTGCCCCATTTGGTGTGGCCCTGTGAAAAAGAGGCCAAGGCAGGCGGGAAGACTGGACGGGGCGGCAGAGTGGAAACCACAGCTGGGGCTTGGGCTCCGCTCTTGGAAGCGCAGCGAGGGAGCAGCTGGGCTCTTCTTCCCCAAGAGGGCTGTTGAGGAGGAAGCTGTTGGAGGTAGATCTCCCCACTGAAGGGCTTGCTAGCAGCCTTGAGCCAACTAGGCTGGCTCCCCTTACACCCTGCTGCCCGCCTCAGACTCCCATGGAAGCTCCTCAGCCGCGGAAGCTTCACCCTGGGTACAGGTTGGGTGTCACACACAGACCCCAGGGGTCATCAGCCTCTTGGACACTGGTGCCCTTCCTGAAGGGACTAACCGTCATCCTCCCAGGGAGCAATCCAGACTACAAAGATGGCGGAGGCCAAACTGGTGGAAAGAGATGGTGTTGAGGAGACAGCCTGCTCCCCGAAGGGTGAGAAGAGCACCCTGGGAAAAGCCCCCTGTAACGGCAGCGAGGGCTGGAGGCAGCCGGGTGGGTGGTGCCACTCAGGAGGCTGGCACCACAGCTCCTTTCAGGCTGTTAAATGTAGCATCAGTGGCCCCTGGGGTATCTAATCAAACACCTACCATTGGTCTGGCACTCTCCTGGTCACCCTGACTTTATCCTTGTGCTTGATTAGCACAACCTTCTGAGTGTGGATTTTCTCTTTGGCGAGGAGGAAGGCAAGGACCAAAATATTTCTTTTTTTTTTTTTTTTCTTTTTTTTGAGACAGGGTTTCACTCTGCTGCCCACGCTGAAGTGCAGTGGCGCCATCTCGGCTCACCGCAGCCTCTGCCTCCCAGGCTGAAGCAATCCTCCCACCTCAGCCCCCTAGCAGCTGGGAGTACAGGAGCATACCACTGCACCCAGCTAATTTTTATATTTTTTTTGTAGAGATGGGCTTTTGCCATGTTGCCCAGGCTGCTCTTGAACTCCTGGGCTCAAGTGATCCGCCTGCCTCAGCCTCCCAAAGTGCTGGGATTACAGGAGTGAGTCACCGCACCGGGCCAGAATATTACATTTCTAAGCAGAATTGCTGAGACCCAAAACCATGTATTGTTTAAAGCCAAGGAGGCTTTTCTGCAGAGCTTGTGCAGCTAAAACACCTGGCCAAGTGTGTGGATCCAGGTATGCATGTGTCGCCAGAGTCCACTCTACTTTGCTGGCTTGTTCTCTTTAGGGCAGGCTGTCCTCAGGCAGAGGTCACAGGGCTCCTGTCAGCTCCAGGCTCAGAGCCTTAGGTCAGCAACCCCAGGAGAAAGAATGTGAGTCTTTTTTCTTTAGGTCTCGCTCATGTCACCCAGGCTGGAGTGCAGTGGAGTGATCTTGGCTCACTGCAGCCTTGACCTCTCAGACTCAAGTGATTCTCCCACCTCAGCCTCCCAAGTAGCTGGGACTATAGGAGTGCACCACCAGGCCCAGCAAACTCTTTTGTATTTTTTTTATAGAGATGGGGTATCGCCATGTTACCCAGGCTGGCTCTGAACTCCTGGGCTCAAGTGATCCACCAGCATGTCTCCCCTAAGTGCTGAGTGTGAGCCACTGTGCCCTCTTTCAGTTCTTTAGGAAAAAGTATAGTGGGCAGGGTGCAGTGGCTCATGTCTGTAATCTCTGCACTTTGGGAGGCCAATTTGGGCAGATTACCAGAGATCAGGAGTTCAAGATCAGCTTGACCAACATGGTGAAACCCCGTCTATACTAAAAATACAAAAAAAAAAAAAAAAAAAAAAGAAGAAGAAAAAAAAATTAGCCAGGCATGGTGGCAGGCACCTGTAATCCCAGCTACACGGGAGGCTGAGGCAGGACAATCGCTTGAACCCAGGAGGGGGAGGTTGCAGTGAGCCGAGATCGCACCACTGCACTCCATCCTGGGTGACAGAGCAAGACTCTGTCTCAATAAAAAAAAAAGAAAAAAAAAAAGAAAGAAAAAGAAAAAAGGAAAGAAAAGAAAGAAAAAGAAATAGTGAGTAACATAGAGAATATGCTTGTTCCTACTGAGGTGTGTCATTATCTTCACATTCTGCCCCGAGCCTGTGTATAAAAAAAGTTTAGAGAAACATAGGAACATTAAGAACAAAGACACTCAAGTCGACTCTTTCCACGAGGCCCCACTGTGTGAGTTTCCTAGGGCTACAAAAACAAAGTATCGCACACTGAGTGGCTCAACCAAGAGAGATGTATTATTTCACAGTTCTGGGGCCTGGCCTTTGAGGTAAAAGTGCCAGCAGAGTCAGCTTCCTCTGAAGGCTGTGAGGGAGAATCTGCCACGCTTCTCTCCTGGTTCTGGTGGTCTAGTGGCAAGCCTTGGTATTTCTCAGCTTATAGACAGACGTGTCAGCCAGATCTCTGCCTTCATCTTCACGTGGTATTCTGTGTGTGTGTCTTGGTTCAAATTTCCCCTTCTCATAGGGATACCAGTCGTACTAGATTAAGGCCCATTCTAATAACCTCATTTTGTTTTTGTTTTTTTGAGACAGAGTCTTGCTCTGTTGCCCAGGCTGGAGTGCAGTGGCACAATCTCAGCTCACTGCAACCTCTGCCTCCTGGGTTCAAGCGATTCTCCTGCCTCACCCTCCCAAGTGGCAGGGATTACAGGCGCACACCACCACGCCCAGCTAATTATTGTATTTTCAGCACAAACGGGTTTTCGCCATGTTGGCCAGGTTGGTCTCGAACTCCTGACCTCAGGTGATCCGCCCACCTTGGCCTCCCAAAGTGCGGGGATTATAGGCGTGAACCTCATTTTAATTTACCTCTGTAGAGACCCTATTTCCAAATAAGGTTACATTCTGAGGTTCTGTAGGCTAGGATTCCAACATATATTTTTTTGGGGGGGATGGGAGGGACACAATTCAATCCATAGCATCCACTAAGGACACAGCCCTGCCCTGCCATGTGGCAGCTGATTGGAGTGGTGTTGCTATGAAACAGGGAGGGCTGCGTTTATAACCAGCCCAGGCATTGATTATATTCCACCTCGGAGCACCCATGGGTAATTTCACAAGCAGGCTGCAATTCACACCTGGATCTCCCATTAGAGCAACCTGTCAGTGGCTTGCTTGGTTAGACACATTTTCCAGGTGACACAGGACAATTCAACACGTGGCAGGTCAGCTTTCGCTCTGTGGGTACAGACAAGCCCCCAGCAGTCACGTCCCAAGGCTCTCCGGGAGACCTGGGTGTACCAAGAGCTTTTCACTTTCTGGTTTTGTCTCTGTGCCAATGAGCCCACGCCTGACATTCCACCGGTGTAATTCCAAGAAGAATTCTCTCAAGATCAATTGCCCAACACATACTTACTGTCTGACACAGCCATTTGTATTCCTTTTAGAGTCCTTTCTTGCATTGCTGACTTCAAGAAAGCAAATTAATTATTTGAGACACCGCTATTAAATTGACACAGTGATTAATCTGATAATCCTTTTTATGAAATTACCTCTGAAATGCTAACTTTTCATCTTTTGAAACTCACTGCGTAAATTACTCTGAAGATTACATTGTACCAGCTTTCAGCTCTGTAAATCTTAATGGCAGTTTTTCGCCAAAAGCAATAAAAGCTGTCCTGAATTTATCAGGTGAATCAGGAAAGAGGCAGGCGGGCAGGAAATTGAAGGTGACTCCCTTTGCAAGTGGGGGTTTCAATGGATGGACTTTGAAACCTGTTGTTGCTGGTTACACACAGCGAGGAACAGGAAGCAGACAGGAGCATGGAGCCCCCGGTGCAGGTGTCAGGGCTGCCTGTCTGAGAGAAGGGCTAGTGTGGTTCTAAGAGGGTCTTCTCCCCTCTTTCCTCTCCCCCAACCCCTCCCAGTGCGCTGCCAGGCTGAGCCCATCGGTAGTGGTGGAGGCCTCCAGCACATCCCACTTGGGCTGAACCCACAGAGAGCTGCCTCATTGCCACTGCCCCTGCACAATCCCCAAAAGTCTTTGGTGTGGGGTAGGGGCAGGGAGCACACCTGGGCTATTGCCCTCCACCCTGCTTTTCCTAGCGGGCAGAGTCTTGGCCTCAGGATGAATTTAATTTCTCCAATTGTGCTAGCAGTTGTCATGTAGAAGGACTCTTTTTTTTTTTTTCTATTTGTCACCCACTCTGTCACCCAGTCTGAAGTGCAGTGGCCCGATCTCAGCTCACTGCAACCTCCACATCCCGGGTTCAAGTGATTCTCCTGCCTTAGCCTCCCAAGTAGCTGGAATTACAGGCAAGTGCCACCACGCCTGGCTATTTTTTTTTTTGTAGTTTTGATAGAGATAGGGTTTTGTCATGTTGGCCAGGCTGGTCTTGAACTCCTGACCTCCAGTGATCCGCCCACCTTGGCCTCCCAAAGTGCTGGGATTACAGGCATGAGCCACCTCACCTGGTCGATGTGGAAGGACTCTTAAAGCCTGGCTGGGGCTACGGGCCTGGTGGCAGTAACAGCATCCACCTTCGTTATCTTTTTAAGGCCAGTCTGTTTTTCTTTTTAGTTGTAACCTCTGTGCCTCACATCGTGTGCTTCACCAGGAGTGTGTTATGCCACTCTGCCAGCCTCTTCTAAGGCCGCAGCACACTTCCCACTTGTTGGAAGGGGAACTGGGGAAGGACACAGCCTACTGACCCCATGGCCCCATTTATCCCCCCATCCACCCCTCCATCTGACAGCGTACACTGAGCATCTACTATGTGCTAGGCTCTAAAGAATACAGACAGAACAAGAACAAGGCAGAGACGTTTCCAGTCCTCATGGCACTTCCATTCCAATGGAGAAAGTCTGGCAATAAACAAGGTGTGTACTAAACAAGATGGTGTTCCATTCTTTGGGAAGAGGACAGGGAGTGGAGAGTCCTGAGCAGAGGGGAAGACTATACAGTTTTAACCAGAGAGGGCAGGAAAGCCCTTGCTGCCTCACTCGCCTCACCCTAGCCCTGGCTCTGCCTCATTGAGAAGACCACATTAAAAAACTGAAGGAGGCCAGGCACACAGCCATGTGGATACTGGAGGAGGAGACCTCCAGAAAGAGGGAGCACGCTTGACCGCTCAAGGAGCAGCAAGGAAGCCACCGTGGCTGGTCGAGAGTGAGCAAAGGCACAGTGGTAGGAGTTGAGGCCAGAGAAGTTTGGACTGTGCGGGCCCTGGAGAGAGCTGGGTAAATGGGACATTTCAGGGTGTTCTGCAGGCAAAAGCAGGCCCTCCCACCCTCAGTTCTGTTCTGTCTCCGGGCAGTCCACAAGCACCTGAGGGCCCACGTGAGGAGAAGAGGCCTGGGTTTTCCGGGCCTGGAAGCTCCACTGCCAGAAGCATTCGCCCCCTGGCCCAGACAAACCAAGGTCAGAAGGCACCTCCACCCAGGTTTCCACAGGCGTCCCTGCTGCTGCTTCACTGGGCTGAAGCTACCCACGTTCACTCAGCTTTGCCAGGGCAGGATGCTTACTCCCTACAACCTCCCTCTGTGCCGTTTTTCTCCTATCCCTGGGCACGCAGGTGAAAGCTAAATGAGGAGAGACCCGCCCCACACCTGAGTGGCCAGGCTGACTCCTGTGGTGGAACGAGTTTTTAATAAAACCAGAAGAGCTTCCCAATTCCACGCCTCGCTGCAGTCTCTTCACCTTGCTCCAGAGGAAAGACCCAGAGTATGGCAGGGCTGCGGTTAGCGAGGGCTTTGGTCAGCAGCTGGAGAGTGCCGTAGTGACATGGTGACAGTCCTCGGCCCCCAGGAGGGGCGGAGGCCACCCCTCTGGGACCCCCAGCCCTAGAATCCCATGCAGGAGTGACTCTGCTGTCCCATCACACTCACAGCTGCAGCAAGGATGCCTTTCCAGCAGTCACACTCCCACGCAGGGGTCAGCCTTCCTCCCAGGGGGAGCAGGGTGGAGCGGGAGCTGGTCCTCCCAGCATACTGCAGGCGGACAACAGTGGCCTGTTTCAGGTGACACCTGTCTTTGGGCCCAGGTCCCACTTCTGTGGTTGTCCCCAGGCTGAGCTGCCCCCTGGAAGGGTTTTCTGGAAAGGACCAGAGAGGTGTGGATTTCGGAATCTCTGAGAGCTCTGGCACCTCTGTTTTCTGCTCCCTGGGTTGAGTGGCCAGAAGAGCCTGTGTGCTTGCATTTTCGGTATGACCCCTGGCCCTTATGTGTCTCTGTGTCCCCAGGCCCCTGCTCAATTCTCCACTTCACCGAGGGTGCCTGACCCCTCTCCTTTTCCCTCCATCCCCCCACTTCTGAACGCACCCCACCGTGTGCATGGGAGGGTCCTTCCTCCCTGTGGCTTTTCCGGGGAGCCTTTTCTTCTCCCTGAAGTCACCCCCGCATATCCCGGAGAGCCACAGCGCCTATCCCCTGGGTTGCCATGGAAACAGCCTTCTTTCCTCTTCCCTCCTGTTTACCTTGGTCAGGGACTGCGGCAAAAACCAGCCCGTCGCTGGAGGAGAGGGAGAGCAGTGGGCGGGGGAGCAGGGAGGGAGCCAACCCGCTCCAAACCAGATCATTCCGGTTCAGAGCGGCTTCCCCTCCGGTCCTAGGAGCCTCTCCGACAAGGCGCGCTGGGCTGCGCAGGGAGGCCCTGGGCCGAGCTGGCCTTAGTGGGGAGGGCCTGAGCCCACCCTGGCCAGCACCCCCTCCCCAGTTCCGTCCGGCCTCCATGCGTCCCTCCTGCCAGTGCTGGCGCAGCGGGGCCTGGGGCGCTGTCCCTGATTGCTGGCTGTTCCCCGCACAGGGGCGCCCTGCTGGGGCGGGGGTGATGGGAGCAGAAGTGTCTCGGCCCCAAAGGTGCTTTCGCCCTCCTGGGACCCCCGGGCACTCTCCTGCGACAGGGATGCTCTGTGTGGCTCTGGCTTAAAGCTTCCCGCTGCGTTTAGAGAAGCCAAACCCTTCGTCCCAGCCCCGGGATAGGTGCGGGGCCGCCTCTTCGCGGGGATTCCCCTGGCTCCCACCGCAAGGCTTCTTCCCCTTGCAGAAGACACCAGAAGCTGGGTTTTGTCCCTGCCCCGAACACTCTGGTCACACTTTCTAGCTCCCCGTGCACACCGGGCGGGAGGCTTTCCTTGTTTCTACGCCACACAGCTCCTATTCCCCCTCCATGGGCCACTGTGGTCATCTTGCTCGTTTGCTGTGGTCTGATCGATCGCCTCCTCCCCAATGGAAACTTCCCGAAGGCAGGGCCCGCTCACGCAGCACCCCAGCACCAATGGCACGTGCCAGATGTTCGGTGAGCGACGGTGGCCTCGAGGATGGGACGCGCGGCGGCGCCGGGCTGCGGGGGCCACCTCCCGGCCGAGTCCCCTCCCCGCTAGCGGGCGGCAGCTTCTTAGTCGTCTGGGTGTACAGACTGAAATCCACGGCTCTTCCTCCCCAGCCATGTGCGCTGCAGGCGGCAAGTCCATGGCCAGCGGGCGGGTAGCCCAGCGCACCGGGCCTTGGGGAGCCGCCCGCAGCACGGACCGCCCTGGCCCCTGGCTTCACCGCCCCTGCGCGGCTGCTCCCAACCCAGAATCCCGGGAAGCCAGGGGTGACTTCACGTCCCCGAAAGCCCTTCTGAAAGAATTTTCTCAGTAACTATCCAGGCCCATGTGCCTGCCGCCGGGTCCCAGGAGGATGAAAGTTCTCATGAACGCGACCTTGCAAGCTTGCAGACTTGGACTCCCTTCTCTGGCCCTTGGCAAATCACTGAATTTGTCTTGTCTTGGCCTGCCAATCTGTGAAACGGGGATAAAACTTCTAGGCCTGCGATTCAATACAGGCTTGCCGAGGAGAAAATGAACTGAAAATGCTTGGCTGACATGGCAGGGGCTGCAGAGGCTGGGCTCTGGGTTAGTGTGTGTGTTTGGGGTCCGGGGTTAGATCCAGTGTAAAGCTGGAGTTCTCGTCCTGGATGCCCTAGTATGCAAGTAGCTCTGAGACACCCCTGTGCCTATTGTTCTTATAAACCGCGTCTTTGTGGGCAGCAAGCCTGTGCAGTGCAGGGTGAGCCCAGGCAGAGGCCGACATCCCGAACCATGACCTGATCTTAGCTGTTTCAGGGTGAGGTTTGGGTAGTAAATAACCCAGGTGCAGGAGATGCCTGGATGGCCTGGATGTATTTTTCTGGGGCTGGGAGAGTAACAAAGTTTGCTCCCTGACAGTGGGGTGGGGATTTTGAACACATCCTAGGCAGTCATGGTGAGAGCCTCCTCCACTCCCAGAACCTTGCGGTTCTAAGTGGCAGGTTCAAGGAGGATAAACTGACCAGTCTGACTCCTCTAAGGTGACACAGGCTGCATGGCAGCTGCTTTCTCTTTTCATGGATGTCATCTGCAATACTCTAAAGCTCCTGGCCTGCTGTGGGGCCCCCAAATAGTAAGTGGCCAGAGCTCCCAGCTGTCTCTGCCTTCTCTTCCCAAGTCCTGGAGCTGGGCTGTGGTGGCTCCTGACCTCCCTGAGTGGTGTTTGGCACCTACCTTCCTGCATGGGCTGCTGAGCTCCCCTGCTGAGCTGTCTGCTGGAGAATCTGAGAAGCCTCTTGCTTTTGCATTTGAGGCTGCAAGGCCAGTGTAGGGTGAGCAGATTGGCTGGGTTGGCTTTGTATGTCACTCAAAACTACCTCCTCTCACCTGGCTGTGGATGAAAGAAAAAACCTCTGCTCTACAATAATGTTCTTGCTTGATTTTATGAATGGACAGGATGGTAAGGAATAGGCTTTGGGCAACAGGATAAAATCACAGCTAAGCCAGGTGTGGTGGTACATGCCTGTGGTCCAAGCTACTTGAGAGGCTGAGGGAAGAGGATCACTTGAGTCCGGGAACTGTGATCGAGCCACTGCACTTCAGCCTGGGCAGCACAGCCTGTCTCAAATAAAACAAACAAAAACCCCACACCTAAAACTTGACAGAGTGTGTATTTTTTAAAAACCTCCTCCCTCTCTTCCATTCTTTCCTTCCACTAGCCTCTAGAATTGGCTTTTAAACCAAAGATTCCCAAGTACCAGTGAGGTTGCAGCTGAATCAGGGAAGAACTTGAAAATACAAATACTCCAGCTGCACGCTTTGAATCGCCCCGTCTTATGTGGTCAGAAGAGACTCAGACTCGCCATATTCTGAAGAAGAGCTAGACTGAAAGAGCTACAGAAGGTTCTGCTTTAGGAAGGCGGAAAAAGTAAAAAAAAAACAAAAAATCAGGATCACACTCAAAAACCAGCAGTCACTGCCACAGCCCCTCTGTGTCGTCACCTGTCTTACTACCATGAGCTCTTGCAGCTGTTTTTTTTTTTGGATACTCACCTTTTTTTTTTTTTTTTTTTTGAGATGGAGTCTTGCTCTGTCACCCAGGCTGGAGTGCAATGGCACTATCTCAGCTCACTGCAACCTTCGCCTCCCAGGTTCAAGCAATTCTCCTGCCTCAACCTCCCCAGTAGCTGGGATTACAGCCACCCACCACCATGCCCGGCTAACTTTTGTATTTTTAGTAGAGATGGGGTTTCGCCATGTTGGCCAAGCTGGTCTCAAACTCCTGACCTCAGGTGATCTGCCCATCTCAGCCTCTCAAAGTGCTGGGATCACAGGCGTGAGCCACCATGTCTGGCCTGATATCCACCATTACTCTCTAATTTACACGTGTACCTGGCTGTTGCTTCAATCTGAGACATTCTGTTTATCCCCTTCCTGCTATGGAGAGCAGGACTCAGCTCACTTGCATCACCACCCTCCCTCCCTCGTCCTACATTTAGTTTCTTCTTTATTGGTTAACTTTGTAATTTTTAGTAAATTTTTTTTTTTTTTAGTTGGAGTTTCGCTCTTGTTGCCCAGGCTGGAGTGCAATGGTGTGATCTTGACTCACTGCAACCTCTGCCTCCTGGGTTCAAACTATTCTTCTGCCTCAGCCTCCCAAGTAGCTGGGATTACAGGCGTGCGCCACCACGCCCGGCTAATTTTGTATTTTCAGTAGAGACGGGATTTCTCCATGTTGGTCAGGCTGGTCTCGAACTCCTGACCTCAGGTGGTCGGCCTACCTCAGCCTCCCAAAGTGCTGGGATTACAGGCGTGAGCCACCATGCCCAGCCTTCAGTTTTATTTCTTATTCCATCAACTAGAGAGCAATCACAGTGAATATCTCCATAATGCTTACTATATGCCAGGCGTCATTTGAAGTACCTTACCCATATCTACTTATTTCAGCCACACAGTATGAAATAAGTAGCTAGTATGGAGAGAGGTTACTACTGTTAGCCCCATTTCAGAGAAAAGGAAACTAGGGCCATTTTGTTATTATTTTAGTGGTTCTCCAAGAAGGAGCGGAGAATACCTGTGTACTCGGTCTGCCACTGAGTTCTAATGGGCAAGGATTGGGAAATGTTCATTCTGGCCTTTGCAGTGAAGTCTCCTGCTGGACAATGAAATATGACAATAAAAAGTAAGGTAACAAAATCTCTCATCTTGGCCGGCACTGGCCAGTTAGCTCAGCTGTGGGTCAGGGGTTCCCAAATGTCTTAAACCAGCTGAATTGGAATCAATGAAAGAGTTTATTAAAATTACACACTTATTAAAATATAATCCTTGGGGTTTGGGCCCAGGAATCTGTATTGTTAACAAGTATGGATCATGGTTTTGAAACCAGTGGGTTACAGGTGGCTTGGCAGTGGCCGTGTTCTAGTCCCTACTCCATTTTCAATACTTTTTCTTGGAGCCTGCACTATGCAAGTGGAAATCCTGACTGTGCCACTCACTAAGGAACCACCTGGAGCGGGCAGCAGACCTCCCACCACGGTGGGATCAGTGATCTTAAGATCAGGATCGAGTTTAAGAGGTAACTCCAGTCCTAGCACTGCACACCTATGGTACTCACCATTATGCTGCAGCCTTTTTTGGCCAAACATCCTAAATAATGTTAGATCTTGGGGATTATCTAGCCAACCTCCTCCTATTTGACAGATAAGTAAACCAAGACCCAAAGAAAAGCAAGTTGCATACAGAACAGGGCTATTATGGACTGAGCCAAGAGCAGAGCCCTTGTCTCCTAACCCCCAGGTCATCTCTTCCTAGAATTGCACTAAGAGGTAGCCACTAGCCATGTGTGGTTATTTCCCTATAAATACATGAAAATTAAATCAAATTAAAAATTCAGTTTCTCAGCCATACTAGCCACATTTGAAGTACTCAAAAGCCCCATGTGGCTTGTGGCTACCACCATATTGGGTGGTGCAGATACAGAACATTTCCACCATTGCAGAAAGCTTTATTGCTCTAGCACTGGGCTAGAACCTGGCCTTTCATTTGAAGGCAGTAGGGAAACTGGATGGTTTTACCAATGTTTTCTTCCCTCAAGCAATTACTGCAGAAGATTAACTACAAGAGAATGTGGTTGTTGTTAAAGTAGCTTAACAACATCATTTTAACAAACTAGAATTATATACACATAAACTGGAAGAACAAAACCACGCAAACCAACTAGGCCACTGAAACTCCTCCCACTAGGCCAAGATGGGTCTTAGATGCCTTATCTAAGAACCAAATCAGATGCACATAAGAGTCCATTTCAAAGCTCTGGCTGGTCTGAAGACTGAAAGGTATAGGGTGCATTTCTTATATCTGGTAGCTTGGAGAGGAGTATAGTTAGGAGAAATAAACCCAAGGAAAGAAGACTGCTCTGCATAATAAAGTATTAACTGTAAGGTGGATGAATGGGTAGAAATTGTTTCTCTTCTTCCTTGTAGATGTATATTGTAATATCTAAGATTATTTGTCCATGGAAGGTGTGTTTGATCCAATAGTTAACCAATGGAAACACTGAAAAATACAAGGCATCTGTTCAGTTCTAGAAGGGAGACCTTAAAAGTGACCAGACTTGGGAGTATCCTTCCCTACCTACTCTGGACTACACAGACATGGAGAAAAGCACTGCATGGAGAAGGATTAGAGGATTAGAGATCACAGCATCATAAAACAGAGGTTTGTTTTGGTGAGGGAAGCATCTGGAAGACCAAGGGCAGAGCTAGGAAGTGTAGTTTCACCCCCAGAGGACCCCTGCACAGGGCTCAGCAGCTCCTGGGGCTCTTCCCTCAGATCATAAAGACAGTCAGATGACTATATATACGGGTTCACATTTTCCCTTTGAATTCTCTGTAGCTCTTCCAACCCTTCAGAAAAGTCTTGATATACCTATACAAACTTGTCTAGCAGTGGTTTGGGGAACATGGGGTGGGGCAGTGAGAGGGAGTGTGGGCTGCCCGACAGTTGCTCCCTTGCTGATGTCTTTGTGGAGGGAGCAGTGTGCTGGTGAGGGAACTCTTGTGTGTCCAGGAGTTCCAGATAATGAGCAGATAAAGAACCCACAGTGGAGTGGGGGTGGAAGGCAGATGACTCACAGATATTACAGAGAAAAGCTGAGCCTGGTGGAGGTGGGTAGGACTGACGCTTCTGTCATATAGGTGCGCTCACGTACACACAAATTACCATTAGACAATCAAGGTGAACTTGAACCAAATTGATTTGGATAAGATTTATTGATCAGATTGTTTTAGAAAACCAACAGCAAAACACTGACAAGGTACATAAATACAGATTGGACATTTTAGGGTAAATTCACTGTATTTCCTACTTGCTTGTAGGAAACCGAGTAAAGTGGAAAAGCTGTCCTGATCATATGGCATGCACACCAGACTGCAAAAGGACGTCCACACTATTTAACAGGACTGTGGCAAAATAGCTTTAAAGTAAGGCGAGCATTGTGTATGGCCCAAGCATACCCTGTAGGAAGAGCAAAGCTAGGCTCACCTCTCAGAGACTGTGTCTCAGAAAGAGGCTTCCTTTCTTGCCTAGGTTCTTCCATGAAATTCGTCATTGGCAGGTGCTTTTCCAGGGAGATGCCTGTGCTCTCCCTGTGCAGACTCTGTGCACAAGGAAGTGGCTTTAGAGAGTGTGTTTTCTGATGCCTCCTTTATATTCTAAATGTATAACTAGTAAAACAACAATTACTACCGCTTGGTGAAATTGTTTTTTGTTTTTTTCTGAAAACTGCCTCTGACTCCACCCTGTACACTGACTAAGCAGGGCCCTTAAAAAACTTATAAAAAGTTGTTTTTTTTTTTTTTTTTTTTTCAAATTAAAAACATGAAAATTACACCAAAAAGATGGAACTACTTTTGTAGCACAACTCAGAACTTCTGTTCGTAACACCGGACTAGAGAAGAGGTCGCTTTTGGCTGAATCTAATGACCTTAGAAGGGAAAGGCCATTGCTGGGCAGGATCTGGTGGCAACGCACACGGAAGTCCTAGAACTCTATGAAGCCTACCTCAGGCCCTGCGGGTGCGTCTGGAGTTCCAAGGCATTTGGGGAACCAAAGCAATTTCAGCTAACAGTGACCAGTTTTTAGAATGGAGCTTATGATCAGAGGACCATAAACCCTCATCCACCCTAGAGCTCAATGCCAGAAAAATAAAAAATAATACAAAAAATAAAGGAAAATAGCTTTTTGTGCTATATCAGAATGCTGGCAGGTAGACAATTCAGTAACCTGTGCCACTTTCTAAACATCTGTAAGACCACAAAAAAAAAATGGGTTTTACAGAATACGAAGACCAACACAGTCTTAGAGGATCATTCAACCTTTCCTACATGCCAAGCTGTGTGATTGGAAAATAGAAGAGCCATAGCTCTTGCAAGATTAGAGGAAAAGCAAGTATTTGTCAAGAGCCAAAGAAATGTGTTCAAATAATGGAGTTTCCTCTGTGTCGCACACAGCTTTTCCTTCCCGTAGGTACTAAGAGTTCTTTGGTGGTTAGAGAGATGGCCTGGAGCTCAGGGCAGGAGATGACGCTGAAGAGCTACATCTACTCAGGATTACCACCTGTGGTTCCTAATTTCAGCATTCAACTCTAATTGTTCAGCCTGACTAATTACAGGCAATCAGCTGCTTATATGGTCACTGGTTGTCAGCTCCTACTGATTATTCCTTTTCCTTTTCTACCTACTCATTAACCCCATTCCATGGAAAAACAGGTGCTTACAGGAAAGGATAGGGAGGAAAAAGAAATGTAAATGAATCTATTGTTTGGTAGGAAAGTTGATTCACTGATTATCTATGGATTTCAATGATCTGTGCTTTACTCTTGCTACTGTGGATAACCAAAGGTCACTGTTAACGTATCTTTTGCTTAAAAATGTTAATATGCTTATTATGCTTTAAAATCTAGCTATTTAAGGGCATGAATGGTTTAAAGCAAATTTTTACATCATGTCATTATGGCCCTGAAAAAAGGAGATTCTGCCAATGGAAAGGGTTTTGTTTAGCCCCAGTTAAGATTTCAACCTATTCTGTGTCAGTTTATAGTTTTTCCAGGATGTGGAAAATATTAAATGAAGAAAGCATCATTTTCTTCATTTAATAAAGTATTACATTCCCAGATAAATTAGTATATACATAGGAGAATGGTTAGTGTTAAATACTAGGTTTTAATTCTCCGTTTAGGAAACTCCTTACAGATGGACTTCCTTGTTCTCCGGCAACAAAATGTAAGACATGCAAACATGAGAGAGTACAAAGATGACAGGGAGAAAAAAAATCTCAACTCTAACAAACCTAAGGAACAATGAGTCTCTAAGAGTTGGAGTAAGAAAACATGGACTTGAAAATCCAGCTTTATCATGACATGAGTTGGCTTAAGCCAGCTGATCACATCTAAAATTCTTGGCATAATTTGAACCTAAAGTAATGAGCTCACTTCCCCAAGATGCAAAAAAGTAGTCTACCTGCTTTATAGTTACACCCTATATATAATCTGTATATATCCATATGTTTCTATATATTGCACTTAAATTTACAGGACTGTAGTAAGACGGCTGGGAGTACCTCAAAGAGGCAGAGAAGCAGCAGGCATAAACTTTCCTAAATCAAGTAAACAGTGTCAGGAATTCCGAGTGCTGGTTATAGGTATACCGAAACGCCTGATGACCCCTATCTAATTTCTAGTTATCTACACTTAGTCATTTACACACAGTCTCATTTGGCATCCAGAACATGTACACATGTGTGGTTCTATAGCACTCAGTGCTGGTCATACCATGTCATTTTTACTAGTGTTATATTAAAAGAAGACACTTTAGACCAAGGATATATACTTTTATGAAAATAAAACACACAGGTCTTCGATGTCAGGCCTCCAAGGTCTACCTCAAAGAAGACTGCCCTCAGAAGGCTTAACAAAGGATGCCAGCAAGTATGGATGGAACCAGACCACATCTCTCTTCAGCTCTCTGGTGTAGCAGGGCTAGAGACTCACTTCTATCCTAAGGACCATGAAAGTCTAAGCACAGAGGCTGAGCATTCAGTCTTTGGTCCCTGTATAAATCCAGGTCAAAAATCCTCTTGCCACCCTGGACAGCCTGGCTTGTTCAATTTAGAATATATTTCCACCAAATATCCAGAGGCCAGGCTGAAGTCATGCAGCAAAGCTCTGTTTTGGACTAATGGAGCTGCTCAGACTGACTTGCTCTGGGAGAGAACGGAGGAGCAAGCCTGGCAGTGGTGGCAGGAGGTTAAGTGCTACACAGACTGGTAATGGCAAGATGTGGGAGGATGGGCCCCTAGAGGAGCTGCTCCTTTTTCTGCCTCTCTCCCACATTCCTCACTCCCCAGAAAGGACCCACGTTCACAGGTGCGTGGTTATTATAAGACTTCCCAGAATACAGGCTCCATGAACTCAACCCATCACAGAGGGGATGGTATGATAAGGCCTAGAAATCAGGAGCATGTCTGGAGGCTACGGTTTTCTCTTTCCCAGAACTGAACACCAGATGGTAGCTTTTTAACCGTAGCTCAAAGGTCATTTTAAATCCACACATAAGCTAAAGAGATCCCTTCTGAGATGAAGGACAAAGAATAACTTTAAAAGCTAGGTGAAAAAAGAGGCACTTAAAGGAAAGATGTGTTCCAACTCTCCCATGCGAGTCTCCTGCTGTGAGTTGGCCCCGGGAGGACCAGCGCTGCCCCTTGCACGCCTTCAGCACCTTGAGTACACCTGCGGCTTACACATGCGCATGGTGAGCCTCTTGCTCAGCTCCCCTAGCAGCCAGATGGCAAAGCGAGTGAAAATTTATGTCATTCTTTTTAGAATTAAAAAAAAAACAAATCAAACAAACCAGAACTAAAATTTCACACACACAAAATGAATGCTACTCAGTTTCATTCCTTCCTCATGCTAGTTTTTAAATGATACTTGGTTCTTCAGGAAGGATGACCTGTGGCTTTACCCCCAAGACCTTGTATCCAATTACTAGACAATTATTCACAGCACCATGCACATTAAAGCAGACGGAAAAGAAGGCAACAAGCTAAGGGAAAAATCAAGGACCAACTGCCTGAGAAAATGGCAGGTACCTGGCCCAGAGATTAGAAAAGAAACAAGTTCTCAAAAGGAAATGGCCAAGATGATAGCCAAAGACCACAGCCCGAGTGGAAGCCAAGTTAACAAGCCCAGAGGATGCAGGTTTTCTCTGCCTGGCTCTTCTCTGGCCTCCCTCGGGAGCTTGTGTTCATGTTACATGGCATTTACACCACATACTTAGGGTCTACAATTCCCCATGAAGAAGTCAAAGAGATATTTAAAACCATTAATAAGCATAAGAGAGTTTCAAAACTGCCAGAATGAAGAACTTTGGCCACCACAAGTTTTTCCGTTTGAAACATTCTTGGTGCCATAATTTCTAAGAGCAACAACAAAGAGCACGACCACGACACACACGTAAGTCTTTTGACAAACCAACTCTAACCACTGCTGGCACCATGAGGATGAGAAAGAAATCACTAACCAAGAGTTGCTGGGCTGCTTAACCTTCCTTCAAAGCCAAAGGGTAGGTTTGAGTTATCTGTGCAACAAGATGGCAAGCACTGCTGCCATCAGACCCAGCTACTACTCAGTTAGACACATCTTGAAAACACTAAGTTAAACATCTAGGTTTAAGTATAACCTGCAAGATTCCCAAGGTTAGCCTTCTCAGCTTCCCCTAAATTTGTGGTTGTTGCTGTTGCTAGATGTAAAAATTTTTTAATTTCATTTTTCTTTATGTTGATGATGTTTTAATTTCTAGAATATTGTATGACATGGAACTATTCAGAATTCCTTTAAAAAGGAATCTGTCTTGATTAATAACATTATTAAGGTACTTTCAGGCTTTCCCTTAACTCCATCGAGAAGGAAGAGGGAGTATGTGAGTACATGTGCATGTAATGGGTCAGGAGGAACAGAAGCAAAGAAGGAAGCACGTGGGAAAGTGAGATGTCCATAAACTGAAAAACCAATTTACAGAAAGGCATCTGATGTATTTTCTAAATAAGGCCTTGATCAGGGTAACCAATCCTCTTTGTAGCACATTCTACACTGCCCATAAATAAAGGAGTCTCTTTAAATTAACATTTCCAGTATCAATGAACAGTCCAGAAATCCTCATTTCAAGCGTTCGATGAGTCCCTGTGTGAGTCCAAGGTGCAGAAGTTGTGTTCGGGAGAGGTTTGCAAGGTTAGGGAAGGCCGCAAGCAGCTTCTCCCATGCCAGTTCCAGCAGGCTAGGTACCACCAGCCAGATCTTAAACAATGACCCAGTCCGTTTGTTTTCATGGATGTTCACCACTCCTCCATGAATGTACATGCAACCAGCCTATGAGTAGTCAAAAGAGGACAAATTCAAACGGGAGAGAAACATACAAGGCTGAAGACTCAGTGGGGAAAAAGCATAGTAGATGGAATCAAAATGAAATGAAACAAGAATTCCTCACTGATCCCAATACCATGTGGAGATCAAGAGGGTTTAAATAATTAATGAATTACTAAGGGAAAAACTATATATATATATATATGATTTTTTTTTTTTTTGAGACAGAGTCTCACTCTGTCGCCCAGGCTGGAGTGCAGTGGCGCAATTTCAGCTCACTGCAAGCTCTCCGCCTCCCGGGTTCACGCCATTCTCCTGCTTCAGCCTCCAGAGTAGCTGGGAATACAGGCACGCGCCACCACGTCCGGCTAATTTTTTTTTGTATTTTTAGTAGAGATGGGGTTTCATCCGTGTTAGCCAGGATGGTCTCAATCTCCTGACCTCGTGATCCGCCCACCTTGGCCTCCCAAAGTGCTGGGATTACAGGCCTGAGCCACCGCGCCCGGCCTATATATATGAATTTTTTTTTACTTCAACAACAAACAATTTCACTATTAACTAACATTAAACTAAACCTATATTAAGTATCCAAGATGCCAAATACTGGGAATACAAAGATGAAAATAAAGGCCTTTGCCTTCAAGAAATGAGCAGGATCTTCAATAATATGGTATCAAGGGGGTAAAACTATTCCGCCCTCCCAGGAAACACCTTTGACATCACGGTCAGGGCCGGAATGCCACAGGTAGCATTTCTCTTACATTTATGTTATTCTCTCAAATTTGGGTGTGATGATTTTTCTCCTCTTTTCTTAGAGGAGGGCCTAGCTTTGGAAGGAAGTTTTAAAAATATGTTATTAATCATCTAAGGTTTGCCTATATCTGGCTTTTTTTCTTGCTAATATCTCTAAAAAGATTTCCTTATCATCTGTAACTACATAAGGAAGATATGAAAATAAAAACTTACTGGTGTAACAGCTGCACAGTGAAAATAAACTGGCTCTGGCATGGTAGCTGGGAGCTTCACCCATTGGAAAGTCTGCAGATTCAACTTCCAGATATCTCCCAGGATCACCTCTCCATTATAGCCCCCACAAATAAATACATCTATGAAGAAAAGAGAAAGCCAAGATCACACAAAGGAAAAGAGCCAAAGCTATGGAGTGTTTTAGAGTAGGTCACACAGCCAGCTGACATGCGGCCAGTGAAGTGGATTGCCCCATGACACAGACGACTTCTGCTGTGCAGCCTCTCATGCTGTTGTCTTGTCCCTCAACAGAACTGAGATGCTATGTCAGGGTCTTCCCTGGGACTAAGAATGCAAGCCTCTAAGGAGCCTTCATGTCAAAGTTACCAAATTCAAACACATACCTACAGATTCCAGGCACAGAAAGTAAATGAGCAAGGGGGTCTAGGGAAGATAAACAAACAGAAGTCTCAGGAAAACAGACAGAAATGCTCATGCTCTAAAAGAGGCGACAGCTATGCAGCCCCAGCTGTTCGGTCCTATAACAGACTTAAGGCTGGCAATTGCCAGATCGTCCATTTTTTTCAAGGCAAGTTGGAAATCTGGTTATGTTTTTAAAAATGAAACATTTTGATTTTTAAGTTTTGGCTAGTATGTATATATATATATATATATATATATATATATTTTTTTTTTTTTTTAAGAGACAAGGTCTCACTATATTACCCAGGCTGGTCTTGAACTCCTGGGCTCAAGTGACCCTCCCGCCTCAGCCTCCCAAAGTGCTAGGATTACAGGCATGAGCCACCATGCCTGGCCTCAAAAAAAATTTTAATACACATATGAGCCAAACAAAACACATTTGCAGGCCACCAGTTTGCAAACTCTTCTTTAAATAATGTCCTGGAAAGAATATACATTTATCTGCTCGCAGAGACTAAAGTCTCTATGTAGACATTTAACCTGAGGAGGAACGTTCACTTCACTGCAATGTTCAGTTTAGGAACACAAAAGAGGCTCTTCCAAGCTTTCTTCGGCGAGAAGAGGACAAACTGAAGCTCTGTTTGATCTGTACAGTTATTAGGAATAATTTTCCCAAAATGAAAGGTGTGGGTTTTCTGGTAAAATCAGTTAGTTATAACTAATTAGATAACTTGTAACAAAGGCTATGTGAACCTTCAAACGAAATGCCTAGAACTAAGGTTGAATTCTATTTGTATGGTGCTTGGCCTCAAAGAATTAAATGAATAAATTTCTTAACTCAGGTCTAGACCAAGTTTAAGCCAATACTTAAGCTATAAAATGCACTGGAAACTTTTTTGGCTAGGATTCAAGGAAAACTGAAAGTACAGTTCCATTCTCACAGAGAGAAATGTGAGCAATGTCATTATCTATAAATCTTATCCAGAAAGCAGGAGCACAATAAAAAATCCCTCTGAACTAGAGATGGCAGAATAATCCTAGTTGTATCTGAACTAAGTTGCTAAAAGCATACAGGCTATCTAACTCATTTATACATGCTTTCCTCCCAGAAAAAATTTAAGAGCTATATCAGACGATGAAATAAGTTGTAAATTAAAAGACAGGAAGGTTATCCAGAGAGGAGTCACTTATCACATTTAGTTAAAGTAGCTGCAGCTGCTTTCTGAAGCCATACAATGCCTTTGTTGTAATATGGCCAAAGAATGAGTGAAGAGTTCCATTTGGCATCAGAGAGAGAACAGAATCAACTTTATGAAATAACACTCTGAAGGAGTTATTACAATTTTAATACAATGTTCGCTGAGGTCTCTACAGTATAAACAGTCAAGATTATTAGTATTAGCCACCATAACCACAGACATCTGTTGAGGTGTGGGATGCTGAAAGATCAAGTGCTACAATAAAAGCTTATTTATCACCATTTTTTGAGTTCTCTAATAACTGAAGGAACCCAAACACCATACTAGTTTACATTATGAAAACAGCTGACAGAGGCATAACTATGAATTTCCCTTTAAGTTTACAAGAAATAGACTTTTCTCAAAGTTATGAGCCTCTTTTGAGGGGGCTATCTTAGGAAATAAGACATTTTCAGAAGATACAATTACAGAAATGGAAGCAAAATGTTATTTAGAATCCTTACCATTTTTTATTTGAACACAACTGTGACACCTTCGGGCTGCAGGAAAGCCTGCCAAACACACAAACACAGAAGTTCCATTACTTACAGAAAGACTGGGAACCACACTGATATAACACAGTGAAAGACACACTACGTGTAACTCAAAACAATCCCTTTGTTACATGTTAAGCAAACATTGACTAGTCCTTCCACTCCCTCCTTATTTCAAAAGCCATCAGGAGTCTCATCATAACAGTACAATGCTAAGGTGCCGGAAACAAAGAGGGAAAGGACAGGAGTTGCTAGTGGCTTTCCCAAGCCCTTTTACCCACAAGGAGATAGGTAGATCTTTATTATTTATTTAATTTAGAGACAGGGTCTCACTGTGTTGCCCAGGCTGGAATGCAGCAGTGCAATCTTGGCTCACTGCAGCCTCCGCCTCCTGGGCTCAAATGATCCTCCCACTTCAGCCTCCTCAGTAACTGGGACTACAGGTGCACACCACCACACCCAGCTAATTTTTTGTATTTTTAGTGGAGACAGGGTTTCACCATGTTGCACAGGCTGGTCTCGAACTCCTGGGCTCAGCCTCCCAAAGTGCTGGGATTATAGGCATGAGCCACCATACCCAGCCGGTAGATCTTTATTTAGGCTCCAATTTCTTATATCACCCATATTTCCCAACTTCTGCCAAAGAATTCAACAAAGAGGATTAAAAGTCTCTTTGCTCAATCGCTAAGGAGAATTACTGTGTTTTTTTGTTAGTTTTTGTTTTTGTTTTTTATTTATTTATTTTTTTGACAGAGTCTTGCTCTGTCTCCCAGGTTGGAGTGCCGTGGCGTGATCTTGGCTCACTGCAATCTCTGCCTCCCAGGTTCAAACAATTCTCCTGCCTCAGCCTCCCAAGTAGCTGGGATGACAGGTACATGCCACCACGCCCAGCTAATTTTTACATTTTTAGTAGAGATGGGGTTTCACCATGTTGGCCAGGCTCGTCTCGAACTCCTGACCTCAAAGGATCCACCCACCTCGGCCTTCCAAAGTGCTGGGATTATAGGCATGAGCCACCACGCCCAGCCCTAAGGAAAAATTATAATTGGGCTAAGGAATACAAGTATTTTCTAATACCAGTTCAACAGATTTTTCTTTCTTTTTGAGATAGGGTCTCATTTTGATGCCCAGGCTGGAGAGTAGTGGCTCAATCATGGCTAACTACAGCCTCTATTTCCCAAGCTCAGGTGATTCTCCCACCTCAGCCTCCGGAGTAGCTGGGACTACAGGTGTACACCACCAGGCCCAGCAAATTTTTTTGTATTTTTTGTAGACACAGGGTCTCACCATGTTGCTTGGGCTGGTCTCAAACTCCTGGGCTCAAGCCTTGGCCTCCCAAAGTGCTGAGATTATAGGCGTGAGACAATGCGCCCAGCCCAACAGGTATTTAACTTGACATATAACTCAGTAAAATTACTTTTTCCTTCCAAAATGAGTAAAAGTATAATACATGTTTGTTAAAGATAAATTAATCAATACTTTAAATTTACCTATTTTTTCATGGGGTTTTGTTGCAATTTCCTCCCAGGCATTCGTTTCAAGGTTGTATGCATGGATCTTGGAGAAAAAAAAGAACATATACACATACATAAATAATTGTAATTTTAGCTAGCCTGAAAAAGGATTTTTTAAAAAATAGACTTTGTTTTTTAAAGCAGTTTTCAGTTCACAGCAAAACTGAGCAGAAGGTACAGTGATTTTCCATACAGAAAACTGGACTTTTAACAGCAGCAGCCTGCGTAAACATATATTCTTAGTTGAAAAGTCTTTCTTTTCTTTTGCTTTTTTTCTGATCTTTCCAAATACAAGGGAAAACATTAAATGAGGCAGTTGAAAATTAAACACATACATGATTTCAATTTTTATTTTATATTTTTTTGAGATGGAGTCTTACTCTGTCACCCAGGCTGGAGTGTAGTGACGCGATCTTGGCTCACTGCAGCCTCTACCTCCCAGGTTCAAGCAATTCTCCTGCCTCAGCCTCCCGTGTAGCTGAGACTACAGGTGCCCGCCAACACGCCCAGCTAATTTTTTGTGTTTTTAATAGAGATGGGGTTTCACTATGTTGGCCAGGCTGGTCTCAAACTCCCAACCTCAGGTGATCCGCCCGCCTCGGCCTCCCAAAGGGCTGGGATTACAGGCATGAGCTACCGCACCCAGCCCACTTTTTAAAATTCACAGAAAAAAACGAAGAAAAAGGTTGGAATGAGAAGCTGCAGTGCATGTGATGCTTGATTTTCTTCTATATGTTGTTCTGCAACTTCCACATTTTCTACAAGGGGCATGTATCATTTTTATAATAGAAAAAAGCAAGTGTTTGTAAGGGAATGTGGGAATTCAGTTTTGACAAAACTTGAAAAAGACCATTAAGGTTCCAAGCAGTCCAGGAGCTCTACAGCCTAATCTAGGTTCCCCTGGGATGTGTGACTATGACATTTTAGAAATGCCACAGGGATGGATGAATAACAGCCCTTTAGAGCTCAGCTTTCTCAAGTTCATGACGTGCAACCCTAAACAAGCCTGTTCTTTTTAGATACACAGCAGTGATGATGATGCGGATGTGACATTCTGATAATGCTGGTTCCAATTCTAATTAGTTGCTCCATTCAAGCTACTATGCCTTCCTTTTAGTCACTTTCCTTTTCCAGCATAAGGGGATAATTTTTATAAAGTATTTTCAGTGTGTGATAAATAACACCTGTCAACTGAAAGCATTTTGGGGCACAGGGTTCGACCTTATAAAGTGCATCCAACACAAAATAGGTGTTAATGAGGAATGTGCTCAAAAATTAAAATATCCAAAGTAACAGAATTATCTTGCTTGGTTGACGCAAGCCTCCTTCTATCCTTCTCCCTCTCCCTTTTTTTCTTTTTAAAAAAATATACCTTGTTTAAGGAATATGCTGTCCAGGAAGTACCACCTCCCAAGATGTAAATCCTCTGCCCGTCATGTGCAATTTCATGTCGGTATCTGAAAATTTACAATAAAATTCATTTATAATTAAGTGAAAAATGACCTATCTAAGATTTAGCTATAAGGTTTTTTATTACATCATTATTTATAACAATAAGTTATTGGAAATAACCTAGGCGTTTAACAATAGTGAATTGGTTATATGACTTACAGAATATACATAAAATGGATTAGTATACAACCAGTAACAGAGTAGGCACCAGATGGTGGTTAATGTATTGAGAACTTTTTTGTGTCATTATTTTTTAATCAATTGCATTAAAAATTTATAGATACATTAATATGTACAGAAAATGGCTATTAGGATATCATCCAAAACATTAAACCTGGTTATCTTTGAGTTTAGACTTGGATTTTTATTTTCTTCATTTTGCTAATTTGTATTTTGTAGATTTTTCTATAATCTTTTGTGATAACTTTGTATAAAGGGGAAATTATTACATAGTTTTAAAAAGTGATCTGCCTACATTTAGAGACCTTAGACTATGAGTTTGCAAATTAAGATACTTATTTAGCAGAAAATTATACTACACAGAACTGTGGATATAACATAAAACACCTCAGAACTTTCATCCAGGCAGTCTAGCTAAAAGCTAAAATAATTTATGATATGTCCATAAAATGACTTAAAGAAAGCAACCATGTGAAAATGCTTTGAAAACTTAATCTATTTCCTTCTTTACCTGAAGGCCTTGTTGCTGATAAAATAAACTACATCAAAATCATTCCAGTAAGAGGCCAACTTCCAAGTCCTCTTATGGTAGTTTTACAATGATCAGTCCACTAACAGTCTACAATTAAGATAAATTCTTCCTTAGCACCTATATGCTATTTTGTTTAAAGAGGCAACAAAGAGGCACTGGATTCATCTAAATAGAGTTAATAAAAAATGGTTTACTGTCTTTGCTTTCAAACTGGAGGGGAAAAAAAATCTCTTCAAGTATTTCAGTGAGTTTAATTCTTTTTTTTTTTTTTTCTGAGACGGAGTCTTGCTCTGTCGCCCAGGCTGGAGCGCAATGGCGTGATCTCAGCTCACTGCAACCTCTGCCTCCCGGGTTCAAGCAATTCTCCTGCCTCAGCCTCCCGAGTAGCTGGGATTACAGGTGCCCACCACCACACCCAGCTAACTTTTTTTGTATTTTTAGCAGAGACAGGGTTTCACCATGTTGGCCAGGCTGGTCTCGAACTCCTGACCTCGTGATCCGCCTGCCTCAGCCTCCCAAAGTGCTGGGGTTACAGGCTGCGCCCAGCCACAGTGAGTTTAATTCTATGAAGAGGCAACTGCTATTAGGAAAGAAAAGTGAAAGATATAGATCTGCTACTAGAAGGCAACTAGAGAGAACCATGCGATGTTTGAGTGTTTAACACAGCACTTAAAATGAATGACCTTTCCATCCATCCATCCATCCATCCATCCATCCATCCATCCATACATCCATCTATCATTCATCACCCATCCATCCATGCAAGCTTCCTTCCATCTATCCAATCAACATTCACTGGGCATCACTGTGGGGATGGCCCTGTGCCCTGTATTGAAGATATGTCTGTGAGAGAATGAGCCAAAGAATTCTAATATGCAAGTTAAGAAGGGAAATCAGGCTCAGCTTGGTGGCTCACACCTGTAATCCCAACACTCTGGGAAGCCAAGGGCAGGCAGATCACTTGAGCCTAGGAGTTTGAGAAGCAGCCTGGGCAACACGGTGCGGCCTCATCTGTACAAAAATTTAGCCAGACGTGGTGGCACATGCCTGTATTCCCAGCTACTTGGGCGGAGGGCTGAGATGGGAGAATGCCTTGAGCCCAGGAGGTCAAGATTGCAGTGAGCCATGATTATGTCACTGTACTCCAGCCTAGGTGACAGAGTGAGACCCTTTCTTTAAAAAAAGGGAAATCAAAAAGTAACTGGACGGTAACTGTTTTGCCTGTAATATGAAATTTGGTTATAGTTGTTACCACTGGTTTCTTCTTCAAAGTGTTACTATCTTCCTAATGCAGAGAGACTAAAGTATAAGAGGAAATGACATGGAAAAAAATTCTGTAGTTTAGAAGGAAATATTATTTCCTCACCAGAAGAACTTTTTTTACTATAGACCTTTCTTTACTATTTACCTGAGATCTAACATCCAACAGCCAGTTAGTTATTCTAACTGGGGCCAAAGGGTTTTCTTCATATTGCCAACACTCTGAAAGAGGTCAAATGTTAGCACGAAAGAATAAATATGCTTGAATCCTAGAACCTCACCTCTCTTCTGGTAGATCACAGGATAGGTTGTTTGGTTTCAGTTGTGTCCACTCTCTGGTATTGAGATCTAACTTGTGCAGGTCTGTGCTGTAAATATAGCCGGTTGTACCTCCAAAGACATAAAGGGAGCCATTGATGATGGCCATAGCCTGGATAACAAGGAAAGGTGAATAAGACCGACTTGTTAACACTTGATTAAAGAATGTAAACTTACCAGATACCTCCAAATCAGGTTTTATGAAATTCTCTTGTATTTTAATCTTTTAATGTATCAGACTCTTAAAAGAATAAAGATTTTAGAGAACCCAGAGATTATTTTAAGAACCTGGAAAACACCTTTAGAAAGGTGAAGCTTTACTCAACTGGAAAGGAAGTCCTACCTCCCAAGATGATTCTTAAGGGTCCTGGCTGATCAAATAATTTCTAGCCCATGGGCATAAGCATTTCCATTGAAAGCTGCTTCTCTTTATAAGCAGTCTGAAGAAAAATGCTCTCAAGAAGCAGCAGATATGAAAATAAGCCACCACAATCTGCTAAGTAGAAACCCTAGTTAGCAGTTCAAGGAACCTGATGTTTTCCACTGGACCCTTTTCAATGAAAGTTTCAGCTATTGTTATGGCCACTTCTTAAGTTTAAATGCCTCCTGTGGAAGCAACAAAGTTATCCAGTATGTGCTCCTTTGAAGTTAAGCTCAGAAGCTGTTTATCAGTACTAATGCCAGCGAGTCAAGAAAGAAGTCAAAGCTTGGTTGTTTTAAGCTTAAACTCTCAAAGAGTCTCTGATGTATGGTGGGTTGCTCCCTATCTTTCTGGATATAACTTTTCAGACCTAAGGTTTGAAGCGCTGGAACCTAAACTAATCTCTACATAATGTATGTTTTAGCTCAGATCCATGTAAAAGTTTCTTCACCAAGTGCTTTCTCATCTACTCAAGAATCACTCTAAAAATGACCAGGACCCAGACCATAGTGAAGCCCAATCTCTCACGGGGGGTGAGGGTAGAGGTGGAGGTGGGGTTCTAACATTTAAAGGAACTTCCATACAGGTCTACATCCTGACCTAAATTGAATTAGAAACAGAAAGTGAAAAAAAAAGAAAAGAAAGGAAGAGAAAAGAAAAGAACACAGCAAGTAACCAGATTTGCAAATTATAATTTCATATCAGAACTAAAAAATCAAGTACTAACCACAAAGAACTCTTCTCCATTAAAATAAAATGGTAACAATTACAAATATTCTAACACCATCCCCAGACTAGAAAAATATGAACAAATACACCATGACTGGCCACAGATTGGTACCTGTCCATATATACGACTGGGTTTCTTCCCCCGACAGCTGAGCAAAGCCCATCTCTTATACTTCACATTACACACATGGACGTCATTGCCGTTGCTCTCTCCAAATGGGATGCCCGTACCTCCAAATACTAACAGGTTGTTTCCATGCAGCACAACTGAGGAAGGAGAAGCACAAGTTCTGTTCACAAATGGCTACCTGCAATTTGTTCCCACATAAACCCAGAATATCTGAGAAGCTACACATATCTGCTTTAATGATCTCATAAGATAGCTCAAACCACTGACATCTAACTAGTAGCTGAGCGTGCCAAATCTGAAAATCTGAAGTCTAATTCAAAATCCGAATTAGACTTTTTGCGCACCAACAATGATGCTTAAAGGAAATGCTCACTGGAACATGTTGGATTTCAAAGTTTTGGATTTGGTATGCTAAGTACAATGCAAATATTCAAAAAAAAATTTTGAAATGTGAAACACTTCTGGTCCCAAGCATTTCAGATAAGGGATACATAGCCTATACTACAAAGTTCTGCAGAAAAAGATCTAATTCCACTATATGGGCTCTATCACATAGTTCATTGCTAGGCATATATGACGTATTCAATACATATTTATGGAATTCACTAAATACTGTGTATAATAATATTGAGTTCCATGAACTACAGTCTACCCAGTATACCACTGCTGCTGAAGACAGTTCAAGCATGCAGCAAAGCAGAGAAAAATGAAGTATCATCTTTGCGTTAGCAAAGACCCAAGGGGACTCAGAATAAAGGGACTAAAGGGACATTCTGTTTTTGCCAGGAGAATGATTTCTAAATTTACAATTATGGTTTCTGTCATTTTAATCCTCTACCAGATTAAAACAAAACACACCAATATCCTGCAGGTAACTTTGGTGTTCTTCCTCCTGTAGCTCTTTTGTTCCTGCCACCACACACACAAACATACACATGCACACTGTACACACGTATTCTCTTCACTCATACATATGCTCTTTCTCTCTCTCAAAATAGTGCTCCTATGTTATTTCAGTGGCTTTTTTTTTTTTTTTTTTTTTAAGACGGAGTCTTGCTCTGTCTCCCGGGCTGGAGTGTAGTGGTGTGATCTCAGCTCACTGCAACCTCCACCTCCCAGGTTCAGGTGATTCTCCTGCCTCAGCCTCCCTAGTAGCTGGGATTACAGGTGCCCACCACCATGCCCAGCTAATTTTTGTATTTTTAGTAGAGACGGGGTTTCACCACATTGGCCAGGCTGGTCTCGAACTCCTGACCTCAGGTGATCCACCTGCCTTGGCCTCCCAAAGTGCTGGGATTACAGGCGTGAGCCACCATGCCCAGCTGGCTTTTTTTTTTTTTTTTTTTTTAACTCTTTTTTTGTTTGTTTGTTTGAAAGGCAGGGTCTCGCTCTGTCACCCAGGCTGGAGTTCAGTGACACGATCACGGCTTACTGCAGCCTTGACCTCCAGGACTCAAGTGATCCTCCTGCCTCAATTTCCCAAGTAGCTGGGACTACAGGTGTGTGCCACCATGCCTGGCTAACTTTTGTATTTTTTTGTAGAGATGGGGTTTTGCTATGTTGGCCAGGCTAGTCTTGAACTCCTGAGCTCAAGCAATCCACCCATGTCAGCCTCCCAAAGTGCTGGGATTACAGGGGTGAGGCACCACACCTAGCCTTTATTTATTTTTTTTTTTTTGAGTTGGAGTCTTGCTGTCTTGCCTAGCTGGAGTGCAGTGGCATGAACATGGCTCACTGCAGCCTTGAACTCCTGGGCTTAAGTGATCCTCCCACCTCAGATGTCCAGGTAGCTGGGACTATATGTACAGGCCACTATGCCCAGCTAATTTTTTTTTTTTAAGAGACAGGGTCTTGCTACATTGCCCAGGCTGGTCTCGAACTCCTGACCTCAAGTGATCCTCCCTCCTTGGCCTCCTAAATTGCTGGGATTACAGGCCTGAGCCACCACGCCAGCACTGATCAGCGATCTTTGATGTTACTATTGTAACTGTTTTGAGGTGCCATGAACCACGCCCATATAAAACAGTGAACTTAATAAATGCTGTGAGAGTTTTGACTGCACCAATCAGCCATTCCCTCATCTTTTTCCCTCTCCTCAGGCCTCCCTATTCCCTGAGACACAACAAGATTGAAATTAGGCCAGTGAATAACCTTACAATGGCCTCTGAGTATTGAAGTGAAAGGAAGAGTCTACCGTATCTAACTTTAAATCAAAAGCTAGAATTGACTAAGCTTAGTGAGGAAGGCATGTGGAAAGCAAAGGCAGGCGAAAGCTAGGCCTCTTTCAACAGTTAGCCGAATTGTGAATGCAAAGGAAAAGTTCTTGATGGAAATTAAAAGTACTACTCCAGTGAACACACGAATGATAAGGAAGCAAAACAGCCTTATTGCTGATATGCAGAAAGTTTAAGTGGTCTGGACAGAAGATCAACTACAACATTCCCTTTAGGCCAAAGCCTAATTCAGAGCAAGGCCCTGACTCTCTTCGATTCTATAAAGGTGGGGAGAGGTAAGGAAGCTGCAGAAGAAATGTTGGAAGCTAGCAGAGGTTGGTTCAAGAGGTTTCAGGAAAGAAGCCATCTCCATAACATAAAAGTACAAAGTGAAGCAGCAAGTGCTGATGCAGAAGCTACAGCAAGTTATCCAGAAGATCTAGCTAAGTGGCTACACTAAACAACAGATTTTTAATTTTTTTTATTTTTATTTTTTTTGAAACGGAGTCTCACTCTTATTGCCCAGGCTGGAGTGCAGTGGGGCGATCTTGGCTTATTGCAACCCCCACCTTCCCAGGTTCAAGGGATTCTCCTGCCTCAGCCTCCTGAGTAGCTGGGATTACTGGCGCCTGCCACCATGCCCAGCTAATTTTTTTTGTGTGTGTGTTTTTTGTAGAGACAGGGTTTCACCATGTTGGCCAGGCTGGGTCTCAAACTCCTGACCTCATGATCCGCCCGCCTCAGCCTCCCAAAGTGCTGGGATTACAGGTGTGAGCCACCATGCCCGGCCTCTTTTTCTTTTTTTTTTTTTTTTTTTTTTTTTGAGACAGGGTCTTACTCTGTCACCCAGGCTGGAATGCAGTGGCATGATCACAGCTTCTGCAGCCTCAACCTCCTGGGCTCCAGCCATTCTCCCACCTCAGCCTCCCAAGTAGCTGGGAATACAGTCGTGCAACACCATGCCTGGTTAATTTTTTTATTTTTTGTAGAGAAAAGGTCTCACTATGTTGCCCAAGCTGGTCTTCAACTCCTGGGCTCCAGCGATCCTCCTGCCTCGGCCTCCCAAAGTGCTGGGATTACAGGCATGAGTCACTGTGCTCAGTGAAAGTGGTTTCTTGAGATAGAATCTACTCCTAGTGAAGATGCTGTGAACACTGTTGAAATGACAAGAAAGGATTTAGAATATCACTTAAACTTAGTTGATTAAGCAGTGGCAGGGTTTGAGAGGACTTGACTCCAATTTTGAAAGAAGCTCTACTCTGGGTAAAATGCTATCAAACAGCATTAAATGCTACAGAGAAATCTTTTGTGAAAGGAAGAGCCAATTGATGCAGCAAACTTCAATGCTGTCTTAAGAAATTGCCACAATCACCCCAACCTTCAGCAACCACCACCCTGATAAGTCAGCTGCCACCAACATCAAGACAAAACCCTCCACCAGCAAAAAAGATTACAACTCGCTGAAGGCTCAGATGGTTGTTAGCACTTTTTAGCAATAAAGTATTTTTAATTAAGGTATGTAGTTTTTTAGAGATAATGCTATTGCACATGAAAGAGACTAGTGCATAGCGTAAACATAACTTTATATGCACTAGGAAACCAAAAATGTTGTGTGACTTGCTTTATTTTGGTGGTTTGAAACTAAACCCAGGACATCTCTGAGGTATGCCTGTACTTTGCTCAACAGCTATTAACTGTCATCGTCATAAGCCCCATTTGTTGACCTTCTACTGCGTGATACTTTATATTGAACCCTCTAAGATATTATTAATCCCATTTTGCAAGTTAGGAAATTAAAGCTAAAACTCACCTGACAAGCTGAATTCAAACTCAGGACCCAAATAATTTGGAATCACCATACTGTTATTACCCTAGTAAAAAGCCTATCCACCCACAGGGCGAAATCACATTATAGTGTTATAAATTATTAATGAGGAATATGGGACATTGAACCTGGCTTCTCAGACATTTCATAAAGTCAGGAGTTACGAACTGCTTGCACTCACGTGACATAGATGCCAATTCCCGGGGCATGTAGCCATCTGTGCCCATCTGGTGCCATACTCCTGTAGCAAAATGATACCTCCAGAGTTCCCTGAAGAGAGGATAGTCTTCATTATCAGGCCCTCCCGATTCATCATAATCTGGGTTATAACCTCCAAACACATATAGGTTGGTATTATCTGCCACACAACGATGTCCACTTCGTGCTGGTGGAGGTCTGTGGCCTAGGAGAGAAGAGGACAGTTTTCCACAGGTGTCCTACCAGTTTAAAAGCACAAACAAAATTAGGTAACAACCATTTTAGCCATAAAAGGGGACCAGGAAGGATTTATAACATGGATATACTTCTTATTTGTTTAGATTTATAACATGGATATACTTCCTAATAATACTTCTTATGCACATATACTACTTAAGATTTTAAGGAGCTAGTCTCTACTTCTATTTTTTATGACTACCTTCAGATTTTGATAACTGTAAAAAGCATGACAAATTCAAGAAAATGGCTGACAACTTGAAATTTTCAAGAAAAGAAGGAGGAAAGATTTAATAATCCAAAAGCTAACAGGACAAGTTTTCTTATTTCCTTAGAGGAGAAAAAAACACAGGCCAACTAAATTAAACTGTGAATATTAGAGAACTAAATAAATATAATCACGAATATGAATGAGTCATGTATAAATAAAAATACACACACACAAAATCTATGATTTTTCCACAAGATATAATTATACACTTACAATGAAAACTGGCTGTTAAGGAGTTACAGTAAAATTTTGACTTTAAATAACATCCCGGATATTATGGAGGTTAACAAAGAATCTCCTTATATTTATCTCAGAGAGCATCTTTCATCCTATTAAGAGCTTTACTAAGAAAAGCTATTCCTACAGTTTAAATTTGAAAGTGTCCTGAAGTCTAAATTATATCAACTTTTTTTTTTTTTTTTTTTTTGAGACCAAGTCTCACTCTGTCACCCAGGCTGGAGTGCAGTGGCGCGATCTCAGCTCACTGCAACCTCTGCCTCCCAGGTTCAAGCAATTGTCCTGCCTCAGCCTCCCAAGTAGCTGGGATTATAGGTGCCCGCCACCATGCCTGGCTAATTTTGTGTTTTTAGTAGAGACAGGGTTTCTCCATGTTGGTCAGGCTGGTCTTGAACTCCTGACCTCAGGTGATCAGCCTGCCTTGGCCTCCCAACATCCTGGGATTACAGGTACGAGCTACTGCACCCGGTCTCAACTAGTTTACTAAAAATTACTTCAAGGTTATTTTAGAGTAAAAAAAAACAAAAAACAAAAAACTTTATTGTAGTTTCTGTTATCCTTAAAATGTTTATACCAATCTATACAAACCCTTGCCCAACTTCAGAACCAAAGATGCTTAAATACATATTGGATGGAATAAGAAGCTACTATAGTTGTGACCCTAAAGATGAACGTAGTTTTTTATGTTGGTAATAGATACTAGTATAAAGTTAATATTTAGGACAACGCTAGACACCTAATAAACATGTTATACATTTATTACCAACCTAATACAGGCCTTCTATATTTACTTTTTAAAATCAAAATCCCACTTTCTAAGGTTATATTTTTAAACCAGAGCTGAAATTGTGCACAGATTGAGAGCAACAAAAAACAGTGAATCACTGAGTCACTCACGTCCAACCTGTTAGTCGTGTTTGAAAGTCTTTGATGGTTCCTCACCACTCAAGTATCAAGTCCCCTGCCCAACATGTTAGAGCTTTTCTCCTACTAACCTTGTCCTACTGTCAGTTTCTCATACTTCTCTCTGCTTGGAAATCCCAGAGTTCCTCCCTTACACCTTGGCCTAGTCTACCTACCTACCCATCAATCCCTACTTGTGGAAATACCTAAGTCTAGTGCACACCACCCTTTTCATCAAATGAACCCTTCCAGTTCAGTACCATACTACTCATATATTAGTGTATACATGTACAATTAATAAGATCACACCTTAACTATGTAAATACATGAATATCAGGCAAACTATAATCAGTTGGCAAATTTACTATTTACCTTAAATGAAGAACTCAGTTCCTCTTTTTAGGACTCTTGAAACAGAAAGTGTGGTGTGGAAGAAAAAATAAGAGCTCCTATAAATGTCTAAGTTTGAATCCAGGTTCTTTCTAATTGCTACTTTGAGCAAGTCACTGACCTTCATTTAGTCTCAGCTTCCTCATTTGCATATTGGGATATTATTACTGCACTTCAAAGATTTGTTAGATTTGTCATGTTGAAATGTTTATTGGCTTATACAGGTAACTTTCTAGGAGGCTGTGAGCTATTTGAGGGAAAAGGAATACATTTGTATTTACCTTTCTATAACCAAGCCTCGGGCACACAGCAAACACTAAATGAAACGGGAATCAATTTATTTGGCATTTAATTTTTTCTATGCATTTTGTCAGTTTGTTTTTCTTTTCCAAACAGTTTATAAGCTCCTCAAGGGCAAAGGTCATGTATAATAATTATCCTGTATCACCCACAACACCTAAAACAGTTAGTACCTAAAAACAGGTACTAAAAGTTTGGTTGACTTTAACGTCAGGCCAAAGTAAACAGCGACAGGGAAGATTAAAACAGTGTCTAACTCTCAGTGGACTTTGGTATTATTATGCCTAACAGATACATGGTTTAAGGCACGGGTGTTGGATTATGCAATGTTCTTCTCAAGGCACAAATGCTTCTTTCTAAGAATTAGCAAGACAAATTTAAAGAAGAAATCTAACAGAGTTGCTATGTTCAGCAGACAGGAACTCTAAAAATCTCTGTCATTTGCTGTATTACCTGAAGCCAACAGATAATTTTTAAAGCTGCTTTTGGGCAAATATGAAAAGAAATGCAGTCTATTCTACATTTTCTCTAAATGGCTGTACAGCAGGGAAAGTAATGTTATAAGTTTATTGCCAACTATCTCTGTGACAAATACAATTCACATGGATTACACAGTTGAGGGGTCTGTGAAAAGACGGTTTCATATTTCTCTACTCACTCACTCAGGTCAAAAATATTGGGCCAGGCATGGTGGCTCACACCTGTAATCCAAGCACTTTGGGAAGCCAAGGCGGGTGGATGACCTGAGGTCAGGATTTTGAGACCAGCCTGGTCAACATGGTGAAACCCCGTCTCTACTAAAAATACGAAAACTAGCCAGGTGTGGTGGCAGGCAGGTGTAATCCCAGCTACTCGGAAGGCTGAGGCAGGAGAATTGCTTGAACCTGGGAGGTGGAGGTTGCAGTGAGTCAAGATCGTGCCACTGCACTCCAGCCTGGGTGACAAGAGCAAAACTCCGTCTCAAAAAAAAAAAAAAAGTTACTATTGGATGCTGGCTATGTACTAAGTACCATGTACTGTGCTAGGTGCTGGGGATACAGTGATAAGGCAATGACTACCTCTGTCCTTGGGAGCTTACAGTCCAGCCTGCACAGCCCAAGTCAGTAGCCATGAGCCATAACATATGGCTCCTGAGCACTTGAAATGTGGGTGGTCCAAACTGAACTGTGCTTTACATGTAAAATACTCACTGGATTTCAAAGACTTAGTACCCAAAAATGAATGTGAAATTATTAGTTTTCATATTGATTGTATGTTGAAATGATATTTTTAATATACTGGGTTAAATAAAAATATTAAATAAAATTAATGTTACCTGTCTGTTTTACTTTTTTAAATGTGGGTACTGGAAAAATTTTAATTTTGTGGTTTACCTATTTCTGACACAGTGCTGATCCAGCCCAACTGTTGGTTTCTGTTAATAATTTCACGATCTCTGCAAATCACACTTTTGGGTAAAGAGCATCTAATCAATATTTGATAAATATTAAACATCCTGTCAAGGAATCTCATAGCTGAGAGTAAAAATGCAACTCCTCTTTCTCTCTCGCCAGTAACTACAGATTTCTTTCTCATATTTATAACCCAAGAGTGACTAACATATTAAAAAGCCATTCCATTTTGGATAAACCATGGGAATTGTCTGTCTGGATTAATGCCACGGAGACTAAGCATTAATTTTTATTAGGTGAAATATAGCATAGGGTCCTCAACCTTGACAAAACTGAAATTGTGTTTCAGGGTCTAAAGTAGCTCTCTAAATCCTCCCCCAACTTCTCCATCTGCAAATCCCATTTTCCTAAAAATTACTTGCTGCTAATAAAATCTACCATAGAATTCGTTTACCTGATTCAGGAACTCCCAGTGGGAAATGTAAAAGCAAAAAATTAAAACAGAACCTGTATTCACAGGTAAACACTTAATATCCAGAAGGGAACATGAAGCTAAAGGATTATGTCCCTGTGATGTGGGACCCATCCTCTCTTCCATGTCACAAGGACTTGCTCTTTACCCAGGGAGCAAGCAGGAACTTACGGTAACCAGGGAAATGGGTTTCAGTTTCTAGCCCAAAGGCAGAAAGAAGCTAGCTGTCTGAGATAATGTGACAGAAGGTTAAGTTGTTTCCAATGTTTTCACTACTACAAATAATATTGTAACAAAGCTTCCTCTACATATATTTGTATACAAATGTATGAGAATTTCTGGAGGTAGAATTTCTAGGTCAAAGGAATATGCATTTAAAATTTTTATAGAAAAAATAAAAAATACAAAACAAAAAATTTTTAATAGATACAATACTGTTATAGGGCCATACTGCTTTCCAAATAGAATGGACCCATTTCTACTCCCAGCAATGTTATGCCAGTGCCTACTTCTTCATGCTTTCTTTAGCCTTCTCAAATTTGTGCCAATCTGATGGGTATAAATTGGTGTCAGGTTAATCTGCATTTCCCTTATTTTACTAGTTCACATGTTTATTGGCCCATTTGTATTTCTTCTTTTTGGAACTGCCGGATCATCTCCTTTGCCTACTTTTTAGATCTATTAGGTTGTCTTCTCACCATTGTGTAATTTTTTTTTCTTTTTCCTTTGAGACAGGGTCTTACTCTGTCGCTCAGGCTGAGTGAGACCTACCTGTGGTAGCATAATCACAGCGCACTGCAGCTTCAACCTCTCTTCCTCAAGTGATCCTCTCACCTCAGCATCTAAAGTAGTTGGGACTATAGGCATGAGCCACCACACCTAGCTACTTCTTTTATTTTTTTTGTAGAGATGAGGCATCATTATGTTGCCCAGGCTGGTCTTGAACTTCTAATCTAAGCTCAAATGATCCTCCTGCCCCAGCCATCCAAAGTGCTGGGATCACAGGCATAAGCCACCTTGCCTGGCCCCAAATTCTTTATTTTATATGTATTTCTTCCAGCCTGCTCCTTGTCTTTTGTTTACGGCATCTATTAACATACAGAGGTGTTGAGTCTCTCAATCTTGTCTTTTACAGCTCCCTTGTTCTATATTTCATTCACCTCTGCATTATTATAAAATGATTAAGATATTGTCATTTGTTTCGAATAATTTCATGTTTTGATTTTTTATATTCAGAATTCGAATACATCAGAATTTATATTTTTGTGTGTTGTATAAGGTAGGGCTCTAATTTTTCCTCCCAAAATAAACAGGCTACTGTCCCCAAACCACTTAAAGAAAGCCACCCCTCCTATACTTATTTGAAATGCCACCTTTACCATATACTAAATCGACATGTTCTAGAGTAGAATTAGGAAAATCCCAATATTCAGGTCTAATCCCCTTGGACACAAAATTTATTGCTCTTTAAGAATATATGAATGTAAATATATATAAACAATATGTAAATATATAAAAGAACATCACAGAAGCTTAAATACAAAAGCTTGTAAATAAAGTAGTACATAACATTTACTGCTTAGTAAGTCTATTACTTACAAGATGTAGCCACCTACAGATGTGCTAATGAACATTTGTGGTGAGGCCATTTTAAAAAAAAACTTATTATTAAAAGTATTCATTAGTTATAAATATCGAACAGCCTAAATGATTAATCAATTTAACTGGTTACTTCTTTCCAAATGTAAAGGCCACAATTACCTCTACCACAAAAGACAGGTCTTCTGTTGGACCTAGAAGCCTCAAGGAAAGCCAAGGAAGTTTGATCCAGTTAGCTCTCCCATATCCCCCAAAAGGCAGGTACAACTTTTTACTACTCCCAGAGCCCAAGTTGCTCAGACCAAAGCAATCCATTCACACCAGCCCACAATATTACTTGTTGGTTATATAAGCATCTCCTACCACAGGGCCTCCCAAAGTGCTGGGATTACAGGTGTTAGTCACCATGCCTGGCCCTCATTACCACATTGTTTTAATTATTATAGCTTTGAACTATCTTTCAATATTTAGAACAAATTCCCTTTTGTATTACTTTTTCCCAAAAACTTCTAGTTATTTTTCTCCATTTACTTTTGCAATGAATTTTAGAATGAGTTTGTTAAGTCTATAAAAAGTCCCATGGACAGACAGCATCTTATCCAGGTGATCAAAATTAACATCACCAGTAATGGGACAAATCAATCAACATCATGTGCAATGAGATGATCACAATATTATTTCAGTGGTAGTCCTGCCAAAAATATATAAGCTGAATGTAACTATGAGAAAATGGGGAGAAACCCAAACAAAGGGACGTTTTACAATATACCTAGCCTGCAACTGTTCAAAAATATCAATGTCAAAAAGACAAACGCTGAGAAACTGTTCAACACTGAAGGAGGCTAAAGATACATGACAACAGAATGTAACACACAATCTCAGATTTTCTACTGCTATTAAAGAACATTATTGGCCCAGCACGGTGGGTCATGCCTGTAATCCCAGCACTATGGGAGGCTGAGGCGGGCAGATTGCCTGAGGTCAGGAGTTTGAGACCAGCCTGACTAACATGGTGAAACCCTATCTCTACTAAAAATACAAAAATTAGCCACGCGTGGTGGTGGGCACCTGTGATCCCAGCTACTCGGGAGGCTGAGGCATGAGAATCGCTTGAAACTGAGAGGTGGAAGTTGCAATGAGCTGAGATTGCACCACTGCACTCCAGCCTGGGCAACAGAGTGAGACTCCGTCTCAAAACAAACAAACAAAAAGAACATTATTAGGATAGTGGCAAAATAATAATGGCAAAATCTGAAACAAGGTCTGTAACTTATATAGTAGTATTAATTGTACCCATTATTTATAGGGTTAATAATCAGTGTTGATGCCTAATTTTGATACAGGTTCTGCAGTTATGGAAGAGAATGTCTGTTTTTCAGGAGCAAACACTTTGGTACACAGACATAAAGAGATATGGCAAAATAGTGAAACCCTATCTGTACCGACCCTGCCAAAAAAAATTAGCCAGGCATGGTGGCACATTCCTGTAGTCCCAGCTACGTGGGTGGCTGAGGTGGGCTGGAGGATCGCTTGAGTGCAGTAAGCTATGATTGCACCCCTGCACTTCAGCCTGGGTGACAGAACAAAACTTCATCTCTAAAAAAAATTAAATTTTAAAAAATTAAAAAAAAAAAAAAGAGACCTGCTGGGCTCAGTGGCTCACATCTGTAATCCCAGCACTGTGGGAGGCCAAGGCGGGTGGATCACTTGAGATTAGGAGTTCGAGACCAGCCTGGTCAACACGGTGAAACCCTGACCCTACTAAAAAAATACAGGGTGTGGTGGCGCACACCTGCAGTCCCAGCTACTCAGGAGGCTGAGGCGGAAGAATCACTTAGACCCCGGAGGCGGAGGCTGCAGTGAGCTGAGATGGCGCTGTTGCACTCCAGCCTGGGCGACAGGGTGACAGCCTGTCTCAAAAAAAGAGAGAGAGAGCAAGACATCATGTCTGCAATTTTCAAATGGTTGAAACAGAAAAATATGTATGTGCGTATTGTGTATAAAGGGGGGAAGGGAGAGAGGAGAGGGAGCAGGATAAAGTAAAAGACAAAATAACATTTGGGGAATCTGGGTAAAGGATACAGGAGACATTTTTTTCCCTTTTCTTTCTTTTTTTTTTTTTTTGTTTGAGATGGGGTCTCGCTCTGTCGCCCAGGCTGGAGTGCAATGACTCAATCTTGGCTCATTGCAACCTCCACCTCCCGAGCTCAAGCGATCCTTCCACCTCAGCATCCTGATGAGTGCTGGGACCACAGGCGCGCACCACCACGCCCAGCTTTTTTTTTTTTTTTTTGGATATTTGGTAGAGACGGCGTTTCGTCTCGTTGCCCAGGCTGGTCTTGAGGCGGCTAACTCCTGAGTTTAAGCGATCCACCTGCCTCGGCCTCCCACAGTGCTGGGATTACAGGCGTGAGCCACCGTGCCCGGCCAGGATACAGGAGAATTTCTACCATTTTTGCAATTTTTGCAATTAAACCGGAAGTTCTATGGCAATTAAAATTCTATTTTTAAAAAGTCCCTTGAGGATTTTATCTGGGATAACCCATTAAGGAACATAATCCCTAGCCATTTATTCTTGTCTTTTTTGATGTCCATGAGTATAGTTTCTTTTTTCTTTTTTTTTGAGACAAGTCTCGCTCTGTCGCCCAGGCTGGTGTACAGTGGCGCGATTTCGGCTCACTGCAACTTCCGCCTCCGGGTTCAGGCGATTCTCCCACCTCAGCGTCTGGAGTAGCTGGGACTCCAGGCGCACACGACCTCAACCAGCTAGTTTTTTTTTGTTTTGTTTTTTGTTTTTTTTTTCCCGGGGAAGGGTTTTTTGTTTTGTTTTGTTTGGAGACGGAGTCTTGCTCTGTCCCCCAGGCTGGGGTGCAGTGGCGCGGTCTCACCTCACTGCAACCTCCGCCTCCCGGGTTCCAGCCATTCTCCACCCTCAGCCTCCAGAGTAGCTGGGACTACGGTACGGGCCACCGCGTCCGGCTCTTTTTTTTTTTTTTTTTTTTTTTTGAGACGGAGTCCCACTCTGTCGCCCAGGCTAGAGTGCAGTGACGCGATCTTGGCTCACTGCAACCTCTGCCTCCTGGGTTCGAGCAATTCTCCCGCCTCAGCCTCCCGAGTAGCTGGGATTACAGGCGTGCACCACGACGCCCGGCTAATTTTTGTATTTTTAGTAAAGACTGGGTTTCGTCATGTTGGCCAGGCTGGTCTTGAATTCTTGACCCCACGTGAACCGCCCACCTCGGCCTCCCAAAGCGCTGGGATTACAGGCGTGAACCATGGCACCTGGTCGCCCAGCTAGTTTTGTATTTCATCAAGTTTCATTGTTTTATTGTTTTTTTATTTCTAAGTACTTTATAAATTTCCATACAATTGTAACTAGATACCTCTTTTATTTTGTAATTGGTTGCTGTTAATATATAGGAAGGTGGTTTTTTGCAAGTTTAAATTTTGTCCAGCCAATTTTCTGAACTCTAGTATTAGTTATCATGAATTATCTTGAATTTTATAGGTAGACAATCAGATCATCTGTTATTAATGCCAACTTTAACTCTTCTTTTCCAATATGTGTACTTCTTTTTTCTTTTTCCTGGTCTTCTACTGTATTGGCTGAAAACTCCAGAACAAGGTTGAATAGTGGAGATGACAGTGGACATCTTTGTCTCGTTTTTTTTACTTTAATGAGGACACTGGTAAGGTTATGCCGTTATGTATTATGTTTGCTATTGGTTTCTTATCAATAAATGATACATCATATATGATATTTACTACTGGTTTCTTATAGTATTCTGTCATAAAATAAATCTTCTTTTATCCCTGGATGCGTAAGAATGTTTTCCCTTACCAGGAATGGATGTGGGGTTTATTTGTTTATTTATTTTTGAGACAGGGTCTTGCTCTATTGCCCAGGCTGGAACGTAGCAGTGTAATCACTGCTCACTGCAGCCTTGACCTCCCAGGTTCAAGCAATCCTCTCATCTCAGCCTCCCAAGTAGCTGGGACCACAGGTGTGTGCCACCACGCCCGGCTAATTTTTGAATTTTTTCTTAGAGACAGAGTGTTGCCCAGGCTGGTCTCCAACTCTTGGGCTCAAGAGATCCTCCCACCTCAGCCTCCCAAAGCGCTGGGATTACAGGCATGAGCCACTGTGCGCCCAACACAAAGTTTGTATTCAAATGTAACATACAGAAAAGCATATATGTCATAAGGGTACTGGATGCATTGTAACAAAATGAACACATTAAATATCAAATTTTATTAAATGTTTTATTTAATACAGCAAAGTCACAATTTTTCTTTAAGCCTATTAAAATAGTAAACTAAATACATTCCACAGATAAGGTCCATTTGATCTTGATTTCTTATTTAGATTTGTCCCTGCAATCTTATGTATTTTTTATTTACCGCTCTTTCTCGCTTTATTTTCCCACTTTTCTGATTTTATTGAAATAAGCTTTCTTTTTTCCCCTACAAAGATCTGTATCTTATTACCCCTAACACTTGCTGAAAAACAAACTTTTATTTTTTAACACTCTTCAGAAAGAACCACATCTGGAAAGACTCGCCTGTTAATGGTGGTTGAGTGAAGATGTGAGGCAGGATCTTTGCTTTTTAAATTTAACTCCTTTTATTGTTAAATATGGCATGCATTAGAATTTACATAAATATAAATGTACAGATTATTATTTATTTTATTTATTTATTTTGAGACGGAGTTTTGCTCTTGTTGCCCAGGCTGGAGTGCAACGGCGTGATCTTGGCTCACTGCCTCCGCCTCCCAGGTTCAAGCGATTCTCCTGTCTCAGTCTCCCGAGTAGCCAGGATTACAGGCATGCACCACCATGCCCAGCTAATTTTGTATTTTTAGTAGAGGTAGGATTTCACCATGTTGGTCAGGCTACTCTCAAACTCCTGAACTCAGGTGATCCACCCACCTTGGCTTCCCAAAGTGCTGGGATTACAGGCGTGAGCCACCGCGCCCGGCCTTAAATGTACAAATTATTAAAAAGAGAACACGTAACCACCATCCAGCTCAAGAAACACAATACTGCATAAAGTGCTTAATAAATTATTAAAATAGGAACATATAACCATCACCCAGGTCAAGAAACAGAATACAGCCAGCACCCAGAAACCCTTTGACTGCCCATCTTGATCACACCCTCCAACCTCCCTTCACTTCTAGAGTATCCTACTTCCTGATTTTTAGGGCAATCATAAAAATCTGTTGTCTTTTTATAGCTTTATTATACCTAGGTATGCATCTCTAAACAATACTGTTTATTTTGGCCTAGTTTTAAAGTGTATTTGAATAGAATAATATATGTAGAATAATATAGTATATTTTCTTTCTGGGCTCTTTTATTCACAATTATGTTTTTGAGATTCATCCCTGTTCTAGGGGAAAAGAAGTGGTCTGTTCATTTCCCTTGCCAAATATTATTTATTTGTATGAATATATGTCACAATTTATTTATCCAGTCTAAGTTGCGTGAAGAGGCATTTTGGGTTGTTTCAAATTTGTGGTTCTTAATGTTGCTACAAACATTTTTGCACATGTTGCAAGTGCACAGGGGCTCACATTTCTGTTGGCTATAAATGTAAACATGGAATTTCTGAATCTTAATGTATGTAAATCTTCACCTTCGTTTGGTAAAGCCAAAATGTTTTCAAAATGGTTGTACCACTTTACATATCCAAGGGCAGCATGTGAGAATTCCTGTTGTTCCATATCCTTGCCAATACTTGGTATTGCCACTGTCAGTCTTTTTAATGTAGCAATTCCTGTGAGTTTGTAGAGCTCTCGTGGTTTTACTATTCATTTCTCTCATTGCAATGAGGGTGAGCGCCTTTTCATGTTTATTGGCCATTTGAATTTTTCTTTTGGGAAATGCCTGCTGATATGGTTTGGATCTGTGTCCCCGCCCAAATCTCATGTTCAATTGTAATCCCCAGTGTTGGAGATGGGGCATGGTGGGAGGTGACTGGATCACGGGGACGAAGTTCTCATGAATGCTTTAGCACCATACCTCCTTGGTACTGTATAGTGATGAGTTCTCACAAGATCTGGTTGTTTAAAAGTGCATAGCACCTCCCCTCAACTCCTCTTGGTCCTGCTCCTGCCATGTAAGACACCTGCTCCCACTCTGCCTCTTGCCATGAGTAAAAGCTTTCTGAGGCCTCTCCAGAAGCAGATGCTACCATGCTTCCTATACAGCCTGCAGAACCGTGAGTCAATTAAACCTCTTCTTTATAAAGTACCCAGTCTCAGGTATTTATTTATACCAGTGCAAGAACAGATTAAGAACACCTGCTTAAGCCTCTTACATACATTCTCTCATTGAACTGTCTTTTTTGAAATTGATTTGTAGAAATGTTATATATGCTTGCAGTAAGGATCCTGACTTTTCCCCCTATGTATTTCTGTATTATTTGAATTTTTCTTTTAGTAAGTAGATAATACTACACCTGTAAATTTTAAAACAAAAAATTCTAGGACCTTTAGTACAACTCTCAATTTAATTTTAGTTACAGAATGTTATACAGTTGACCCTTGAACAAAATGAATTTGAACTGCACAAGTCTATTTATATGCAGATTTTCCTCTGCCTCTGCCACTCCTGAGACAGCAAGCCCAACTCCTCCTTTTCCTCTTCCTCCTCAGCTTTCTCAATGTAAAGACAGTAAGGATGAAGACCTTTATGATGATCCACTTCCACTTAATGAATGGTAAGTGTATTTTATTTTTCTTATAATTTTTTTTTTGAGATGGAGTCTTGCTCTGTTGCCCAGGCTGGAGTGCAGTAGCACGATCTTGGCTCACTGCAACCTCCGCCTCCTGGGTTTAAGCGATTCTCCTGCCTCCGCCTCCTGAGTAGCTGGGATTACAGACACCCACCACCATGCCCGGCTAATTTTTGTATTTTTAGTAGAGGGGGGATTTCATCATGTTGGCCAGACTGGTCTCAAACTCCTGACCTCGTGATCCACCCGCCTCAGCCTCCCAAAGTGCTGGGATTACAGGTGTAAGCTACCACTCCTGGCCTGGATTTTTCATTTTACCAGAGTACATCTTCAAGTAATTTTATCAAAATGGGGTATGTCACAAACTTTCAGAAATCTTATTTTGACCCCCCCACTTAAACATTAGTGAGGCCGGGTACTGAATTCTGTCTTGAGAATAATTTCCCCTCAGAACACTGAAGGCATTTATCTTGTAGCAAACCATGCTGCAGGTGAGAAATCCATGCCAGTCTGATTTTCAGTTTTGAGTCTATGTAACTTGTTTTCTACCTCTGAAATAGTAAGTACTTTAGTAACGTATAGGGAGGTACTTTCTGTTGGTTTGTTTTTGCATTTTTTCCTGTTTGGTCCTTTATACATGAAAGGCATGCCCTTTATACGTGAAAACTCAGATTTTTTTTTTTTTTTTTTGAGTCTTGCTCTGTAACCCAGGCTGGAGTGCAGTGACATGATCTCAGCTCACTGCAACCTCTGCCTCCCGGATTCAAGCAATTCCCCGCCTCAGCCTCCCGAGTAGCGGGGATTACAGGCACCTGCCACCACGCCTGGCTAATTTTTTTGTATTTTTAGCAGAGACAGGGTTTCACCATATTGGCCAGGCTGGTCTTGAAATCCTGGCCTCGTGGTTCACCTGCCTCGGCCTCTCAAAGTGCTGGGATTACAGGTGTGAGCCACCGTGCCTGGCCAAAACTCAGATTTTTAAATTTTCTCCCTTCCATTGTCTGATCTTTCCTTCTGTAACTCCTGTGAAATGGGTACTTGATCACTCAGATCTATCCTCAAAGGATGAATTTTCCTCATGTACTTTCTATCTGTAGGTCTTCTTTATAGTCTGCAAATTTCCTCTATTTTATTTTTATGAAAAGTAACTAGTCTTAAGTGTATTGTTTAACCCTCCAACTGAGTTTTAATTTCAGCAATCAATTCTTCAATATAAAACTAATTCATTAATCATTACTTTTTATCCATGGAAGCGTTTTTTGTTTTGTTTTGTTTTGTTTTTTGAGACAGTGTCTCGCTCTGTTGTCCAGGCTGGAGTGCAATGGCGCGATCTCATCTCACTGCAACCTTTGCCTCCCAGGTCCAAGTGATTCTCATGCCTCAGCCTCACGAATAGCTAGGATTACAGGCGGCTGCCACCATACCCAGCTAACTTTAGTATTTTTAGTAGAGATGGGGCTTCACCATGTTGTTTGGCCAGGCTGGTCTTGAACTCCTGGCCTCAAGTGATTCACCTATCTCAGCCTCCCAAAGTGCTGGTATTAGAAGTGTGAGCCACCATGCCCAGCCAGGAAGCTGTTTTTTTAAATTTATGGATCTAATTCACTCTTGGCTCTGTAAAGATACATTCTGTGATTAGAACTTCCTCAAGTTCCACTCCACTTGTTCATTATCTCTGTTTCTACCATAGGCAGCTGTTTTGTTTATTTTAGTCTCTTCTTAGTTTCCCTCAAATGTATGGTGAGCCTTTATCACCTACTCATATTAATAAATGAAGGACTACATTGGTTAGTTATTATAAGAAACATGTGTTTCCTCAACAGTTGTATTAATTTGCCTCCAAAACCCAAATGGAAGGTCTGTCTGAGTGTGGGTCTCTGCAGGTAAGTGGCACACTGACAGACAGGCTTCCCTTTACAAGTGGAGAAAAAGAAAGCAGTTTGACCTTATTACTGCCAAAATTGGCAGGCTGTATTTTGACAGTATTGTCCTTTAATGCATATGGATCCTTGATAGAGCTCCTCTTCTTGTTCTCCTCTCATTCCACTCTCCTCATCCATCTACTACAAAAGTCCATTCGCTAAGGCTCTGCTTTGTGCACTCTTCCTCCAGTCTTTTTTTTTTTTTTTTTTTTTTTTTAAGAGGGAGTCTCACTCTGTCGCCCAGGCTGGAGTGCAGTGGCATGATCTTGGCTCACTGCAAGCTCTGCCTCCTGGGTTCATGCCATTCTCCTGCCTCAGCCTCCCAAGTAGCTGGGACTACAAGCGCCTGCTACCACGCCCGGCTAATTTTTTGTATTTTTAGTAGAGACGGGGTTTCACCGTGTTAGCTAGAATGGTCTCGATCTCCTGACCTCGTGATCTGCCCACTTCAGCCTCCCTAAGTGCTGGGATTACAGGTGTGAGCCGCCGCACCCGGCCTTCTTCCTCCAGTCTTAATCGATGCTCGCAATGCCTGCCCAATCCTCCCCAAGGCAAATCTTCTACTTTCCTTGAAATGTTCTCATGGCTTTATCCTGGAACTAATGCCATTGCTAGGGTGCTTTATGTGAAGGGAGAGAAGGAGTAGGGGAAGTAACTGTTTTGAAGGCAATTCTTTCATTACCTGCCCTGATATTCCACCTTCCCCCAAAACTGCTCCATCTTCCTATACTTGCCACCTCTATGCTTAGAGTTTAAGAAAAGAGCCCTACTAAGACACTCTCTGACTTCCACCATGCAACAGGAGCATCTATTCTGGGTTGCATTTTATTCTGTGCTGGTTCCTCCATCAATATAATTCCAATTGTTTTCTGGTACCCTAAAATTTCTAAAAACTTCTGGCATTCTAACAATAACAATAATGATAGCTAGCACTAATTCAACATTTGCTATATGTAAAGAAACTCTCCTAAGTGCTCTGTACATACTGTCTCTCTTGATCTTCACAGTAACTCTAGGAAGTAGATACTATTATCATCATTCTAATTTTACAGATGAAGCAACTGAGGCAAAAAAAGAATAAGCAACTTGCCCAAGGTCATACAGTTGCTAAATGGCAGAGCCTGGATTCAGACACAAGTAATCTAGTTTCAAAGTCTCCCTTTTCTGTTTTTTTTGTTTTTTTTTTTTAATTACAATGATTTATTCTTTGTCTTATGTCTGTTTTGTCATTTCCAATGACATCTGAGAAGTAGGGAAAAGTAAATGGGTATGTTAAGTCTGCCATTTTATAATAAAAACCATTGTTTTCATTACGCCATTACTGTTTTCACTACACCACAATTTTAATTGGTAGAAATATGTTTTAGAGAAGATGTAGGACCTAGTGAAGAGGAATCTAGTGACAGAAAATGGGCCCTATGAAACTGTCTACAATCTGAACCAAGAGAGGTGATATAAAGAATTCCAAAATATCAGGCTTCAAAGTGGCTATTTCAAAAGTATAGATAAGTTAAAAACAAACAAACAAGCAAAACCACACAACCTATTGAAGCATTAAACAATAGCATTTTCATGTTCTCAACAATTCATTAGTTCACTGTCACCAATACCAGAGAGAAGTTGAGAACATAATAAAATGTTACTCCCATCCTATTTTCTGACAGTGGCCTTTACAATACTTTAATTCAAGGTCAAATACATATGATATACCTGCTACATGCACTATGCTACAAACTGGAGTAAAGATATGAAAGGCACTGTCCTATTGTCCCTGCCCTTACAGAGCTTACAGTCTAATGGGAGGCACAGACAAGTAAACAACTACAATTCAGTGCAATAAGTGCTATGATATAGGTAGGTACACGGAGGGTGCCATCAGAACAAAGAGGGGAGAGGCCTGCCAAGGAAGTTTCCCTGGAAATACTCTTGGACTGAGTGTTAAAGGATATGCTATTAATGCTATTATTGGTTGTTCTGGAGAGACTAAACTGAATTTATTATCCTTTGCCTAAAATCTACATCTAATTTCACTTCCACTTCCTTATATGTCAAATCAATTCTCTACTTTTTTTTTTTTTAATGAGACAGGGCCTCGCTCTTTCACCCAGGCTGGAATGCAGTGGCATGATTATAGCTCACTGTAGCCTCGAACTCTTAGTTGCAAGCAATCCTCCTGCCTCAGCCTCCCAAGTAGCTGGGACTACAGGCATGCCCCCACCACACCCGGCTAATTGTACATGCGTGCATGTGTGTGTATGTAGACAGACAGGGTTTCACTCTGCTGGATTGCAGGTGTAGGCCACCATGCCCGGCCCCTATTCTCCATTCCTATTACAACTACCCTCATTTCAGTCTCCATCATTTTGCACACTAATAACTATAATAATCTCATAATTAGCCTTTAATTAAATTTCTTCACTAGCTAAAAAACCAAATCTGATCCTGAAAACTCCACTTGGGTGGTGCCCACTTGATCTGGGCCCTCTCCAGCCTCTTTTGTCCACCTCTTTCCCACTGTGCTGAACTTTCTCTACATCTCTAAAAACACCATGTCCTGTTTTGCCTAAATGCCTTTACTCAAGCTGCCTGATCCCCATGGTTTGAGAGGATCCAACCCTCCTTTGCTGACACCTACTCAGCCTTTAAGCACATCCCTTCTGATGTCATCCTCATGGCCACTCCTCTGTCACCCTCCTTCAGCCAAGTTGAGTCAGATACCTCTCCTGTGTGCTCCCATAGCATGCTACCTCATCAGAACACTTACCACAAATAATTATACTCAAATTATTCTGTAATTGTCTGTTTACCTGATTCTCTATTACTTAGATCATCAGGCTAGCACAGTACATAGGAAGCAATCAAGAAATACTGAAAGAATGAAAGAATGAACGAACGAACAAACGAAGAGACTTAAGCCTGTGAAAGTTGATGAGACAACTAAAGGAGATAATGGAGAGGACAGAACACTGGAACAATATCCACCTTGAGGGAGCAGGAAGAAAGAAGCTAGTGAAGGAAACAGAATGAACAATCAAAGAGGTAGGAAGAAAACATCTAGAACTATACAGTAAAGCAACCCAAAAAAAGAGAAAAATTTAAGAAGGGCAAGTAGTCAACAGCCTCAAACACTACAAAGAGGTTAAAGAAGGTGAGAACTAAAAGAAGGCCACTAGTGATCCTGATGTTGCTGATGCTGAGTTAACTCCCACCTCAATTCCAGCACTGCCAGGGGCCACCTTTCTCAACCACTGATTGAGGCTATTGAGGGCTTACAAATAACCAATGGTATAAAACTTACCTGTGCAATCTTTTTTCTCCACAATCAAAAAATTGAAAAACAAACACCATACAAAAGAAAATAAAATCCCCATCATACAGATACAACCTGTTATGTCACTATTTGTTTTTTATGTTTATGTGTTTTATATCATTATTATGTTGAATTATATATCCTAAACAATTCCTTAATTATGCTTATATTTAGTATGTATAATTAATTATATTAATATAACTAAAATGAAGTTTAATTTATGCTTTATTCAGCACAAGTTAGATTTCTCATTGGAAATTGGTAAATTGGCATTCTAACTTATAAATAGAAAAAAGAAAAAATGCTATAGAATTAGACATGCCTGCTTGGCCATGTGTGTACAATGGATAATACTAAAATCATCTAATTTTTTTTCTTTTTTTTGGAGAAAAGTCTCACTCTATCGCCCAGGCTGGAATGCAGTGGCACAATCATGGCTCACTGCAACCTCTGCCTCCTGGGTTCAAGTGATCCTCCCATCTCAGCCTCCCATGTAGCTGCGACTATAAGTGTGTACCACCATGCCCAGCTAATTTTTGTATTTTTTACAGAGACAGGGTTTCACCGTGTTGTCCTGGCTGGTCTTGAACTCCTGGGCTCAAGCAATCTGCCCACCTTGGCCTCCCAAAGAGCTGGGATTACAGGTATGAGCCACCCAGCCTGGTCCTTAATTCTTACTAACAAAATTTACTCATGCTAAAAGGTGGTACACCATCTTGAGGATCTTATCTTGACCCATTTTATGGTTGATTTTATGCATGCTCTGGAGCTCAGGTGACAAAAATAGGTTAGGAACTAGATATAGAAACATCTATAGCAGTTGCAGGATTTTTTCCTAGGTTAAAAAAAAAAAAACTCCAGTTAAAATTAGATACACTGGGTTGTAAATAATTTAATACAGTCTAAATTACAACATTAAGTATGCTTGTGTGATAATTTGTTGTATCTAGAAAAATAGTGTGAACCAGAGTTTTCAACCCTCTTTTGAGATTTTCTTTTTTCAGTATGGAGTATGTATTAGTAGAAAAAATAAAAAGTAGAAGGAATGCAACATTTCTAAAAGTAAAAACTGCTAGGTCAAAGGGTATGAATATTTCTAAGGTTTTTAATACATATTACCAAACTGGTTTCAGAAAAGCTGTATAAAATTTATACTTCCTTCAATATATGAGCTTTATCTTCCCATACCCTTGCCAACATTGGGTATTCTTATTTTTGGTCTTTGCTCATCTAATAGGTAAAAACATCTTATTGTTTTAATTGTTGTGTTTATAATAATAGTAAAAATAAATACTTGTTCATAATTATTGGCACTTCTTTTTAACAAACTGGTAATTCTATATCCTTTTACCTATTTTTCTAGTGGGCATTTGTTTTTAACCTATTGGTTTATAAGAACTCTTTATATATTCATATTACCCCTTTGTTAACAAATAATTCTCTTTTTTATCTTTTAATATATGACATTTGACATAAGAGGTTTTTTATTTTATACCATTACATAATCTTTTATTTCTTCCTTAGAATCATATTTAGAAAATTCTTTCCCACATCCATATTTTATAGATTATTCACTCAAAATTCTTTCTAATATGGCTACTGTGGAATACCATTTATATCAGTGAGATGATTTATCTCTACCATCTAATAATACACTAAGTGATTCTGACTCCCTGAAACTTACAATTACAATCCCAATAGTGGCCAACAAGAAACAGGTTTAAAATTAAGTTCTAGATTTTTCTTATTCCAACTGTTTCATTAGCTGTTTAGATGATTTTTAAAAACCAGAGTTTTGAGCTTAGAAAATTCATTCAAAGTTCCCTTTAACCCATACGAAGCACAGATCTCTTGCTAATTATCACCCACCTCTCAAAAACCTGTTAGGGATCCTTATGATGGGACAGGACTGAATGAAGCGCCTCCTAACTGGGTCCCATCGTATTTTCTTCTTACCTGTTACCACAATTATCAGCAATAAGTCAGACACATACAACACATTGCAAATAATACATAGTTACTGTAGTTATAAAGACAGAAAAACAGGAAACAAAACAATACTTGAATACAGAAAGAAAGTGACGTAAAGTAGCATTTAACCCTGTTTTGGAAGTCAAAATTAAATTAACATATAAGCAGTGATGAAGGTTTTCAACTCTTACCCCCAAAAGAATACAATTTTGTGCACCGTTTTTGGGAATTCTGGTTCAATAGCATGTGCACTCAATAATCACCAATGCCATCTTGTGGCAAAAATTCACCAGGAGCTTTATGAACAGATTAGAAACGATGACATTTTTAAGTCAGTTAATTTCAAAATGGAGCTCTGAAACTAATTGGACATAACAGAGGCTCCTGTTCTCTTCAAGGTTATATTAATTATATGGTTAAGAAGATAAAGCAATGGGCACCATTCTTTAAATACGAAATAAGCTGACTCTACTATAATTAAATTTTAAAACAGCAACCAAATTAAACAAACATTTAATATCTTGGCACTTCCATGGGGGAAGGGAGGGAAGGGGCTCATCTGCCTTCCCAGGAAGCAAATTACCTCCATGTTAACCCCAATTAAAATATGTTTTCTTATAAAATAGAATAAAAACCTAATTAAATTAATGGAACTATTATGGGGTAATTATCTCTTTTCCCAAAGTTTTGATCGCTCCCAAATATAGCTCTTATTGACAATAAAAACAATTAACACTTGCATAATGTTTAGGGTTTACAAAGAGCTTTCACATATATTACCTCATATAATTCTCACAACAATCCTGTATTGATTCAACAATCATTTTATTAAGCATCTGCTATGCCTGGAGCCCTATGCTAGGACCTGAGATTGCAAAACAAGGACATGATTCCTGCTCTTCAGAGCCCATGGTCTCATAAGGAAGGCAGATGTGTAAACAAATAATTACGTTACTGTGAAGGAATTGCTGTAACAGGAGCTAACAAAATACTTTGAAGAAGATAGTATCATCATAATTTTTCAAGCAAGGAAGCTAAAGGAAAATTAAATGACTTAATGCCAGAGCCAGGATTCAAGTGAGGCCTTCTGACTCTAAAAACTTGCCTCTTCCCACTACACCATATTTTATCCTGTCTTAAATTCCCTAGAAAAAGAACAGTTTTTATTTTTGGCAACTGGAAATATATATTCAGATGTCCATTAGCAGGGTCTAGTTTGCTTACTACAGAACTTGTACATAGAGATATACAGATTCTGTATAATGAAATGGCATCACCTGCACATTTGCACTTAATTTTGTAGAGAATACAGACTCATGGAAAAGGAGAATTATTTATTTTGCAAAATGATTTATCTTTTAATAGTCTAAGTCTTTTAAATCAATGATTCTCAAATGCTGGTCTACAGACCACTGCTAGGCTAAGGTGAAGATTCACCAGTCCAACATAAAATGAGAAAAATATGGACAAGGCAATAAGTTTTTCAAAAAGCTAAAATGTTCCATTTAAAGGCCTGCTCCTTTTTCAGAGATTAGAACCTTTTTGTTGTTAAATATTCTTTACTTTATGAAATGATGCTGATAAGAAAATGGTAGTTGGTTTTCTTTTTAATATTTTTTCGTGGAAAAACTGAAAATTTGCAAGCCCATATCTACTATAAATATACATATATGGATAAATATAAGTATATATATATTTTTAATGTACAGGTTTATGACATTCAACAATCTTAGAGAACCATTGTTTTAAATCAATACAGTATGTGTTGAGATGACTCCAGAGTCCAAAATTGTAAACCACACTGTCAAAGGATACATTAAATATATAAGAAACTTCCCTTGCCCTTAAGTTTACATTCTAATTAGGGAGACAAGACAGACACACAAAACAATTAGCAATACAAGACAGAATATAACAAGTGATTAGCTTAAAATTTGACATTTTTATGTATCAAAAGCGTTAAAATGTACATACCCTTTGACCCAGCTATTCCACTTCTAGGAATCTATTCCTAAAGAAACAATCATAGATGCATGGAAAGATGTATGGACAAAGATATTAACTATGGTATTATTTATAATGGTAAAAAATTAGAAACACTTTCAATGTCCAATGATAGGGGATGGTTAAGTATGCTAAATAAACATACTTAAATATGCTCATATTCTACATACCACTGAAGAGTATATACAAAACTATTTATTAACATGACAAAACATTCACAATATATTGCAAATGAAAAATACAATGTACAAAATAGTATTAAAGTATGATACCATTTTAGTAAAGAAAAAAGTATTTTTATATATTCAGAAAAAATACAGGAAAGATTACATCAAATTAATGTATTTGACTGTAGTTATCTTTGGATGGTTCTAATGAATTATTTTTGTTTTTTCCCCTTTATGATGGTCTTTATTTTCCAAGCTCTCTGAGTAGGCATTACTTTTAGACTGGAAGAAAAACAATACTGTATTATTTTAATTTTTTAAAAAAGTGATTAGAAAAAAATACTGGAAAGAAACATACCAAAGTCTTAACACTGGTTATGATTGGGCTTGAGATTATTACCTCTTTTACGTTATCCATAAATTCTACGATATATGATTTTATAATGGAAAAATATTAAAAACTACTTTGGAGTAACACTGAGGGAATAACATTAAAAATTACCAAACTGGGCCTGGCGTGGTGGCTCACACCTGTAATCCCAGCGCTTTACGAGGCCAAGGCGGGCAGATCACTTGAGGCCAGGAGTTTGAGACCAGCCTGGCCAACATGCCAAAACCCCATCTCTACTAAAAATATATAAAAATTAGTCAGGCGTGGTGGCAGGTGCCTGTAAACCCAGCTACTCAGGAGGCTGAGACAGGAGAATTGCTGGAACCCAAGAGGCGGAGGTTGCAGTGAGCCGAGATCGTGCCACTGAATTCCACTCTGGGCGACAGAGTGAGACTCTGTCTCAAAAACAAAAACAAACAAAAATAATTAACACACCAAAACTGTAATAAAAAACCCTTTTTATGTCTTCTCAGGGCTTCTATCAAACATCTTTGGCATGTCTCTCTCTCAGCAACCAGCATAAGTCTGTATGCACAGACTCCTGTTGACTCTGCGGAGGTTATTCAATCAAGGCAGGCACTGACTTCAAAACCCATTTTATTCTTTCACCCAAAGAGCAGAAAAAAGAGAAACCAGCAACATAACAGTGTGACGCCAACACAAATGTACTTCTTAAATTTTTAAATAAATGTATGCCTCTCCAGTTTCATATAAATATATTACTGGTCTGAACTTTTATTCATTGAGTTTTAATTTTTATATATTCAAAGTGCCAACCTTCCTACGTGATAGCTTCGACTCTTCAAAACAAAAATATAGGCCGGGTGTGGTGGCTCATGCCTGTACTCCCAGCACTTTGGGAGGCTGAGATGGGCAGATCACCTGAGGCCAGGAGTTTGAGACCAGCCTGGCCAACATGGTGAAACCCCATCTCTACTAAAATACAAAAAAAATTAGCTGGGCATGGTGTCATGCACCTGTAGTCCTGGCTACTCGGGAGGCTGAGGCAGGAGAACTGCTTGAGGGCAGGAGAACTGCTTGAGCCCAGGAGGCAGAGGTTGCAGTAAGCCAAGATCACGCCACTGCACTCCAGCCTGGGCGACAGAGTAAGACTCTGTCTCCACAAAAATAATAATAATAATAATTTCTTCAATAACTTCATCAATATTTTATTTTTTGCTAGTTTTTAGTTTTTTCTCTTTCTTACTATGTTTACTTCACTATAAATATAACATAGTCATTGGCTGAATTAAGATGGTAGGCTGAGCACAGTGTGAGCAAGCTCACCTTCCCCTAAAATCTCCCAAATAACAAAAAAAAGTCATTAAAAAAAAAAAGACATAATTAAAAGAAAACAAGAAATGCCCTTAGTGGACTAATACTATGAGGAATCACTGGAAGATGAAAAGCAGATAGAATCGGACTAAAGAAGACACCACAGTCCTACACACCAAGAGCAGAGGACCAGGGCAAGTGGAGGGACCAACTCTCGGGGTCAACTAAGCCCCAAGGTAAAAGACAGCAGGAAGAAGTGAAACCATTTTAAACATTTACAGCCTAAGTGATTGGAGTGTAGCACAGAAGTTACATAGCAGGTTAACCCCTCCCAGCCATCTACCTCTTTGAGTCAAGCATTATAGAATAGAGGTATTTGCTCCCAGATGGGAACAGTGGCAAAAACAACAAAGGTGTCACTCTCCAGCTAGAACAATCAGTGTGAACACTGGGATCAGAGGGAGAAGGTAGAACCCCGTGGGGATACTAACACCCAGGCAGAAGAGGGGACAGTCACACTGAAGGAGCCTGGCAAGTAGTACACTTCATCTCATTGCTTACTCCATCCCTATCCACAATCTGTGGAGACCTGCTGCAATAAACAGATTTAACACTCACAGCAAGGCTAACTAGGACTCACGATAAAGATGATTGAGCATAAAACTAAGGCCCAAGCATGAAGAAGTATTATAGAAAAGTATATTAAAAAGTTAAGACACAAAAGAGAATCGAACAATATTAAAATTTCAACTAGCTTTTTGTTTGTTTTGCCAAAATGAACAAGCTAATCCTATACTTCAGATGGAAAAAAGCAAGAAACCCAGAATATCAAAACAATCTTGAAAAAGAAGTGAAAGAAGACTCATACTTCCTCATTTCAAAACTTTCTGGAAAGATACAGTATTCAAAAAGTGTGGTACTGGCATATGGATGGACATACAGATTAAATTAATGAAATTGAGAGTCCAAAAGTAAACCCTAACATCCACAGTGTCAACTGATTTTTTTGACAAGGGTGACAAGACTATTCAGTGGGGAATAAATAGTCTTTTCAACAAATTGTCCTGGGACACTTGGATATAGTTTTACATTTAGAATTCTATACCTACTCCAACTCTTGCTTAAGAAGGAGAGTGAAATAAAGAAATTTTTTTATATGCAAGGGCCCAAAAAGTTTGCTTCCTTCAGACTTCTAATGAAATAATTACTCAAAGATATATAATTGGATTGTTTTTTTAAAAAATTAATGCAAGAATAACAAACAAGGCCCAAGAAAAGGGTAAGCAGAGAAACCAGTAAAACCTTTAAGTCTAAATATGCACTGACTGGGGAAAAAAACATTACTAACATTCAGAACTATAATCTCAGATGCTATCAACAGGAATATTTATAAGGGTAGGAAGGGAGGCTGAGAGAAGGAAAACCAGAAGAACATTAAAGTATCTGTCTTATTCAGATGAAGGATATAGAAAATGACTAATATAGATATTGATGAAAAAATATAAATTGAGGTATTGTGTAAAAGATTTAAGAATACTAGCTGGCTTCACTGGTGAATTCCTCCAAACATTTAAGAGCCAATTGCCAAGTCAAATTGATAGAAGTAACCAAAGGTCTCATTCTAGAGAACCTGAAGACACATGTAAGAAGTCAGTTCTGATTTTCTAAAAATGAGAGAGACTAGTTAACAGTAGTTGCCAAAGTGTTTTATCAAAACTGATCATGGTGGCAAGGATGCAGAGGAACTGGATGAGTTATACTTTGCTGGGAGGAATGTAAAATGATACACACATACTCTGAGAGACAGTATGGCAGTTTCCTACAAAACTAAACATATACTTACCATACAACTCAACAATTACATTCTTGGCCATTTACCCCAGAGAAATGAAAACTTATGTCCACACAAAAACCTGTACACAAACGTTCCTAACAGCTTTATTCACAATAGCCAAAACATGGAAGCAATCCCAATGTCCTTCAGCGAAATGAATGGTTAAACCTGTGGTAAAACCATGAACTATTGATACATGCAACCAATAGGAAAAAAAAAATAGTGTCAAAAGGTTACATACTGTATGATTTTACTCACATAGCATTCTTGAAATGACAAAATTTTAGAGAACAGATTAGTGGTCACTAGGGGTTTGCCAGGGAAGGTGGCTGTGGCTGTATCAGGGCACCACCAGGGAACCTTGTGATGGAACTGTTCTGTATCTTGACTGTGGTGGCCACACGAATCTAACATGAAATAAAATTGTACAGAATATGATACACACACACACACACACACACACACACGAGTATGTGTAAAACTGATGAAATCTGAGTAAGGTCACTGGATTGTATCAATGTCAATTTCCTAGTTGTGTTATTGTACAATAGTAACAGGATGTTATCATTCCAAGAAATTGCCTGGGGAAGGGTATATGGATCTCTCAGTATTATTTCCTTCCCTTCTCTCTTTTTTTTTTTTTCTTTAAGACAGAGTCTTGCTCTGTCACCCAGGCAAGAGTGCAGTGGCATGATCTTGGCTCAATGCAACCTCCACCTCGTGGGCTCAGGCGATCCTCCTACCTCAGCCTCTCAAGTAGCTGGGACTACAGGTATGTGCCACCACACCTGCCTAATTTTTGTATTTTTTGTAGAGATAGGGTCTCACCATGTTACCCAGGCTGGTCTCAAACTCCTGGGCTCCAATGATTTGCCCACCTCGGTCTCCCAAGTGGTGGGATCACAGGTGTGAGCCACTGCACCCAGCCAATATTATTTCTTAAAACTGTAAATCAATCTACAATTCTCAAAGTAAAAGGTATAAAAATTAAATAAAAACCAAAAAGAAGAAAAAAAAGATGGTGCCAATATGGAATAGCTTACATTCAAAAATGATATCTCTAAAACAATTATGAATATTTAACAATTAGAACTATTAGGCCAAGGCGGGCAGATCACCTGAGGTCAGGAGTTCGAGACCAGCCTCAACATGGAGAAACTCCGTCTCTACTAAAAAAAATACAAAATTAGCCAGGCGTGGTGGTGCATGCCTGTAATCCCAGCTACTCGGGAGGCTGAGGCAGGAGAATTGCTTGAACTTAGGAGGCAGAGGTTGCGGTGAGCCAAGATCGCGCCATTGCACTCCAGCCTGGGCAACAAGAGCGAAACTCCATCTCAAAAAAAAAAAAATGAAAACTATTGAATCAGAGAAAATGATCCAAGAATTCTGACTTAGGTGGCTACAACATGTGGTACAGTCCTACTCCTATATACAATTCAGGATCTATAAAGAATTTCAAAAGAGAAGCAAATTAATACTGTATTTGGAATCGCTGCACAGTTGTACAGATTGCTTACTGCACAAGAGCTCCAGGCAAAGTGTCTAAGGGAGGCTAAATCCAGCCTTCACTCTATTCTCCAATGTACCCATGGGACTATGTCTACCTGGAAGAGGAACCTTTTTAAAATTTCACAATGGCATACATTGAGCTAACAGTGACCTACTTGTTAAGTAAATGACTTTCTTTTAAATTTAGGATAATCGACATTTATTATCTACTCTATGCCAAACACCTTTATATACTGAGTATCTACTCTATGCTTAGCACTTATAAATACTCTTTTTTTTGGCGGGGCATGGGAGAAGTAGACACAGGGTCTAGCTATGTTGCCCAAGCTGGTCTTGAACTCCTGGACTCAAGAAATCCTCCTGCTTCTGTCTCCCAATAGGGAGACAACAGGCATGTGCCATCACACCTGGGTCATTTTTGTTTATATTGTAGAGATGGGGCCGGGGTTTCACCATGTTACCCAGGCTAGTCTCAAACTCCTGAGATTACAGACATGAGCCACCATGCCCAGCAGTCTTTTTCAATTTTTTTTGTGATTCTAAGAAGTTTCGGACAAGGGGAAAAATTTAAAAGATAAAAGTTCATTTTAAAATATATGTTTTTTTTTTACTGTACATGGGTTTTTTTCTGTAAGATTTACCAAACATCTTGCCTGCATTTGTACTTTATATGTATCGATGTGAATGTGCCTATCTTGAAATATTAACTATAGCCAGAGATTGTTTTTCTTAATTGAGTATCATCTCCTTCCTTTTTATCTCCAGTAAAACTTCACTTAGAAAAATAAATTGAGGCCAGGGGCGATGGCTCAGGCCTGTAATGCCAGCATTTTGGGAGGCTAAGGAAGGTGGATCACTTGAGGTCAGGAGTTCAAGACCAGCCTGGCCAACATGGTGAAATCCTGTCTTTACTAAAATAGCTGGGTGTGGTGGCGGGTCCCTGTAATCCCAGCTACTCGGGAGGCTGAGGCAGGAGAATCACCTGAACCTGGGAGGCAGAGGTTGCAGTGAGCCGAGATTGTGCCACTGCAGTCCAGTTTGGGTCACAGAGTGAGATTGTCTCAAAAAAAAAAAAAGAAAGAAAGAAAGAAAGAAAAAGAAAAACAAAAAACCAAACTAGAAAAGTGATCAATTTTGAAAGTGAAGACACGGCCGGGACTGGTGGCTCAGGCCTGTAATCCCAGCACTTTGGGAAGCTGAGGAAGGTGGGTCACTCGAGGTCAGGAGTTCGAGACCAGCCTGGCCAACATGGTAAAACCCCCGTCTCTACTAAAAATACAAAAATTAGCCAGGCGTGGTGGTGCGAGCCTGTAATCCCAGCTACTCAGGAGGCTGAGGCAGGAGAATTGCTTGAACCCAGGAGGCAGAGGTTGCAGTGAGCCAAGACTGCACCACTGCACCCCAGCCTGGGGACAGAGCCAGACTAAGTCTCAAAAAAAAAAAAGGTGAAGACACAACTTTTATTTATGAACTCACTTTCCCTTCTCTCAGGTCATTTTCTCTTGGCAAATGCAATGCCTTCCAAGAAAATACCTAGAGCTGACTGAAGGATATAAAAGCTTATATTGGACTAAATCCAGCAAAAAGCAAATAATAGTCACTAATTAGCAAATTTTTAATATCTAATATCTGATATTTTAAAAGTTGCTTTAAAAAGTATAATATGGCCGGGCACAGTGGCTCACACCTGTAATTCCAGCACTTTGTGAGGCCGAGGCAGGTGGATCACTTGAGGTCAGGAGTTCGAGACCAGCCTGGCCAACATGGTGATACCCTATCACTACTAAAGATACAAAAATTAGCCAGGCGTGGTGGCGAGCACCTGTAATCCCAGCTACTCGGGAGGCTGAGGCAGGAGAATTGCTTGAACCCGGGAGGTGGAGGTTGCAGTGAGCCGATACTGTACCATTGCACTCCAGCCTGGGTGACAAGAGCGAGACTCCATTTCAAAAAAAAAAAAAAAGAAATTCCATATTTCTGTTTTAGGTTTGTGTGTATGTGTGTGTTTTAAGGAATTTGTTTTATGTGACACCAAAATATTTGTGGTTAGCATTTGATCAATTACACATCTGATTGAAATTAATTGAGTTGACAGTTTGTTGATGAAACCATATGGCAGGAGCTACTATGGGTAAAAAGGGAAAAAACTCAAAAGAAAAAACACCATTCAACTCCAAAGATCACTTATCTCATTTTTTTGTGAGTCATAATACTTCTAATTTCACTTCACTATCTAGTCTTATTATGCCTTATGACGCTTTAATGCTCACATCCTAGATAAAGCTTGGAACAAATTCATGGAATATAGCAAATATAAAAGGGAAGAGCATGAGATTGGGCTGGATTCTAAATGCAGCAGGAAGCTACTGAAGGATTCTGATCTGACAAGCAACATAACCATAGCTGTGCATTAGGAAAATTAATCTTGTTTAAATATAGAGAATGGGTCAGGAAAGTAAGACTAGGAATAGCAAAAAAAACATTTTTAGTGTAGTCCAGTTTACACCAGTGAGGACCTCAATTACAGTACTAGTAACAAAAAGAACTGGGAAGGACAGGAAGCAGAGGGGAGTGCAGCATGGTGCAGGGACTTTAGAACCACATTGCCTGGGTCTAAATCCTAGCTCTGTCCCTTGCTAGCTGTATGTCCTTGGACAAGGTTTTGTCCTGGGTACCCCAGCTTCCTTAACTATAAAAAAGGGGACAGCAATAGTATCTGTTCCCTTACTGGGTTATAAGTAAATGTTTATATAAATCCCTGGCTAATATTATTATAGGGATAAAACATAAGGATGTAAAAGACTAGCTGAATGGGAAAGCAGAGTAAAATAAGGGGATAAGTGTGAGTTTTTAAGTTCTACAACTTGAGGAAAACTTTAAAAACACAGATATTAAAAGGCAAATTAGCAATATTTATCATTATACATTGCAGTGATTGTTCTTAAATAACAGAAACCAGAAACAAGCTAAATATCCATCAATTGGGTGGCTGGTAAATTACAGCACATTCACACAACACAATACTTTCAGCCATGAAGAAGCATGAGATAAGTCTAAATGTGCTAACACAGAACAATCCCCAAAATATATTTTTAAGTTAAAAAAAAGACAGATGCAGAAAGAATACTTTGTTGTTGCACTCTGTTTTAATATAAAGATAACATACACCTATATGCACATATATGCAAATTCTATTTCTGGAAAGACAGACCAGAAACTCTAGGGAGATGGCACTGCTAGGGAGACAGACTGCAAAACGAGGGGTCTCAGGTGAAAGGGACACTTTCTCCTCTTGCATACGATTTGATTTTACCAAGTTTATGTAATGTTTTTCCATTTTAAAAATTAATGAAAAAGACTTTTAGGAGGAAAGCTGTATGCATTCAATCACAGGAAATCATACTTACATATTTTAAGTAAGCGTAACCTTTATGTGTTCTACAAGCTTGCCCAATACTGATACTGGTAAAAGTCTAATGATACAGAGTGTTCAAAACCACTTAAAAATTGGGCAGAAGACTATAGAACCATTGAAAGTGAAAAGGAAAGAAGCAAAGAAGGTCAATAAAGTAGGAGGAAGACAAGGACTGCTTACTTTAAAAAGTAAGGGAATGGCCTTAAAAATAATTTGGGGAAAATAAAGCCTTAAAAAATATACAGGCTAATAAAAATTAGGCTGCACCTCAAAATTCTAAGTAATTACATCAATTTGTCATTTGAAATTCTTAATATATTTTCCAATGTTATAAATAGTTAATAGGTCAGTCCCTACTCAGCCCACAAAGGCCTACTATACCCTGTAAGATTACTTATAGTACTGTACTAATGGTAGTACAAAGTCCACCATTTTATTTTATTGTTGTTGTTAATTTTTTTTTTTTTTTTTTTTTTTGAGAAAGAGTCTCACTCTGTCACCCAGGCTGGAGTGCAGTGGTGCAATGTCGGCTCACTGCAACCTCCACCTCCTGGGTTCAAGCGATTCTCATGTCTCAGCCTCCCAAGTAGCTGGGACTACAGGCCCAAGCCACCACGCCCGGCGTTTTTTGTATTTTTAGTAGAGATGGGGTTTTGCCATGTTGACCAGGCTGGTCTCGAACTCCTGACCTCAGGTGATCCACCCACCGCAGCCTCCCAAAGTGCTGGGATTACAGGCAGGAGCCACTGCACCCGGCTGAGTCTACCATTTTAAAACCTTATCCTACCTTGCTCTCGACAAGGTAACCTCTCCCTCCTTCTTGAAACATGTTTTTCTCTTGACTCTTATGAAACCAAGCAGTCTTGGTCTTCCTCCTACCTCACTGACCTTTGCTTGCTTCTCCTTTCCTTCTCACTTTCAAGAGTTATATAGTCTTCTGCCCAATTTTTAAAAATATTCTTTTTTTTTTTTTTTTCTGAGATGGAGTCTTGCTCTGTCCTCCAAGCTGGAGTGCAGTGGCATGATCTCGGCTCACTGCAACCTCCACCTCCTGGGTTCAAGCAATTCTCCTGCCTCAGCCTCCCTAGTAGCTGGAATTACAGGCACCCGCCACCACACCCGGCTAATTTTTGTATTTTTAGTAGAGACGGGGTTTCACCATGTTGGCCAGGCTGGTCTCAAACTCCCAACCTCGTCTCGGCCTCCCAAAGTGCTGGGATTACAGGCATGAGCCACCGCACCTGGCTAAAGATATTCTTTGGTGAACTCATCCAGTCCAATGGCTTGCTAATAATTCCAAAAAACATTGTGAGCCTCACCATCTCCCTTGAGTTTGATTTTTTTTAATGTAAAGATTACTTACTCTATATCCTTACTTGGAGGTCAAATAGGCATCTCAAGCTTAACACTGCCAAAACAACACTCTTGATTTGCCCCCTACAATCCTGCTGCTTCAGATCTGTTCCATCACATTTGATGAGACTGTCATCTATCCAATTGCTCAAGACAAAAACTTAGGAGTCTTTTTTTTTTTTTTTCAGAGTCTCGCTCTGTCACCTAGACTGGAGTGCTGTGGTGCAATCATGACTCACTGCAACCTCCGCCTCCTGGGTTCAAGCAATTCTTGTGCCTCAGCCTCCCGAGTAGCTGGGACTAATGGCACGCGCCACCACGCCCAGCTGATTTTTTATTTTTAGTAGAGACGGGGTTTCGCCATGTTGGCCAGGCTGGCCTCAAACTCCTGACCTCAAGTGATTCACCCACCTTGGCCTCCCTCCCAAAGTGCTGGGATTACAGGCGTCAACCACCGCATCTAGCCTTGTTAGCAATCATCTTGATTCTTCTCTCTCCTTCACACCTCATAGCAAATCCTATTAATGCTACTTTCAAAATACATCTCATATTCAACCACTTCCAACCACTGATATACCACCTAGTCCAAGCCACCACAATCTTTTTAGGAAAGTACTTCTATAGTCTTCTAAATGACCTCCATGCATCTGTGTTACCGTGTCCCATTAGCCATTCTCCAACCAGCAGCTAGAGGGAGCTTTAGAAAATAATAAATCATACCACATCACTCCTGTGCTTAAAATTACCCAATAGTTACCCTTCAATTTTATAATAAAGATCACAAATTCAGTTTTAGGCTTGCTGAGCTTCAGAAATATGAAGCATGTAATTGTAGATATGGAGAAAGCAAGGAAATGGCCCTCAAAAGAGATTTGGGCTGAAATTACAAAGTGGCATAACTTATTGGCATATGGATAGATATTGAAAATCACAGATTTGGAAGAGAACACCTCAAGTAAGTTGAAAAGAGAAGGGTGGGGACACAGAACCAAGAATTGAGAACTCTCATACATAAAGTCCTGGTAGAAGGGAAAGAGTTGACAAAGACGACTAAGGATGAGGCCAGACACATAAGAAAACGAGACCTGACACCCAGGAAGCCAAAAGGGAAAAGGATGTTTAAAAATGAAGGGAGATCAAGGCAGATGGAGATTTTAAAATGTCCCTTTGACTTGACACACATAAGTCATTTGTGGGTTTGTTTGTTTTTGAGATGGAGTCTCACTGTCGCCCAGGCTGGAGTGCAGTGACGCAATCTCAGCTCACTACAACCTCCACCTCCCGGGTTCAAGCAATTCTCCTGCCTCAGCCTCCCAAAGTGCTGGGATTAAAAGAGAGAATAGGAAAAAATGCTATGTAGATTAAAGTATACATGGGTGGGTCTAAGAAGATGACTAGGAGAATGGCACTTTAGAAAGAAGAAATGGTATGTACAGAATCAAAAAACAGTGTAGCACAGGAAATTCCAAGTTTTTAAAAAATCTCTCCTCTCAACCTACCTTGTTCCAAGAATTTAAGGCAACTAACTGAAAATACTTCTGTATAGCTGAAATATAAAATGAAAGACATAAATGCGGAGGGTAAAGAGGTAGAAAGGGACAAATAGAGTGAGGGTAAGGAGGAAGAATCAACAACACAATTCCTTATCGAATTGTGACCAATTCTATAAGGAATGAGTAAAAGGAAGGAATCTAATGTGATTCCCACATTTCTGGCTTGACTCACTAAATTGATGATATAGCCATTAAATTAGTCAGGATAAGGAGCACAGGATGAAGTAACAGGTTTGCCAGGAAAAATGATGAAATTGTTTTTTGAAAATGTTGTATTTGAGGTACTCATAAGTCAGTTGGTAGAAACATCTAGAGGCTGCTGGCAAACAGGCCAGAGAGAGAGATGTGGGTTAGACATAGATGTAGGTTTGGTCAGGACATTAATGATATCTTACTAAGAGTAAGAAGGGGAAACAAACAAAAGAAATACTCTTGGATACCAATATTAAGTGGCAGATAAAGGAAAACTAATAGGAAGTTCAAGAGATACAAGAATAAGAGCTCTTTAGGAACAGGAACTTTAGTTAATTATGTATTTCTAGGGTCTAGCATAGGAGACAGTTAAAACCAAATTCTAGAGAAGCTGGGTAGGATGAAAACTAAGAGCTATCTACTGGAGTTAGCAATTAGGACGTTATTACCTTAGTAAGAGCACTTGAGTAGAACGATGGAGGCAGAAGTGAGACTGCAAAAGACTGAAGAGAAAAAAGAAATTAAAATATAAACAACAGAGTCTATTCTTTCTGAAAGCCTGGCTGTAACAGAGAGAAGTAAAATAGGCCACCAGCTAGGAAAAAACCTAAAATGTTATTCATATGGTAAACTGAGGAGAAAGAGATTCCACCTAATAAAATAACAGAAAACATAAGCAAGCCTTGTGAGTAAAACATTTAAATATAGAACAGTTTTAAGAGAATCCCAAATTCCTACAGGTGATAAGTAATTATTTACACAGTATTAAATGAACACTTGATAAAGAACTAAAAGGAAAGTAAAATATCAAAATGTTGATATAGCTGTCTTTAAGTGATTTTCTCCTTGTCTCAATTTTTCTACGTTTTCCAATTTTGGGGGTTTTTTTGAGGCAGCATCTCACTCTGCTGCCCAGGCTAGAGTGCAGTGGCATGATCTCGGCTCACTACAGCCCCAACCTTTTGGGCTCAGACAATCCTCCTGCCTCAGCGTCCCAAGTAGCTGGGATTAGCTGGGATTACAGGCATGTGCCCCCACAGCTGGCTAATATTGTTTATTTTTTGTAAAGACAAGGTCTCACTATGTTACCCATGCTGGTCTCAAACTCCTGGACTTAAGCTTTTTGCCCGCCTCGGCCTTCCAAAGTGCTGGGATTATAGGTGTGAGCCACTACACCCAGCCCATTATCCAAATTTTAATTAATGAGTTTGTATTCCTTTTATATAGTGGCTGTGGTAGGGGGTGGGAGACAACAGGTTTTACAAAAACTAATGTCTCAAGTCCAGAAAAGAAAAGAGACTCTAGCTCTAGAAAGGCAGACAATAGAAAGAAATATAAACAGAGAACAGAAAAGAAATGGAAGGGAAAAATAAAACCAACGCAGAAATGAAATCTTCATTGAAAGTAGCACAAAGGAGTACCAGACACTACTGAAAACATAGTAAGGGACATATTAATAGATGACAGAATTGAGAAAGGCAGGCAAAACATAAATGACCTGTGAAAACCCAAAACATTGTTGACATAAATTCAAGATCTAAATAAATGGAAATACAACATGTTCACAGACCTAGAAGACTTAACATTATCAAAATGCCGGGTGCAGTGGCTCATGCCTGTAATCCCAGCACTTTGGGAGGCCGAGGCAGGTGGACTGCCTGAGCTCAGGAGTTCAAAACCAGCCTGGGCAACACGGTGAAACCCTGTCTCTACTAAAATACAAAAAATTAGTGGGGCGTGGCAGCGTGCGCCTGTAATCCCAGCTACTGGGGAGGCTGAGACAGGAGAATAGCTTGAACCGGGGAGGCAGAGGTTGCAGTGAGCCAAGATCATGCCACTGCACTGCAGCCTGAGTGACAAGGGAGAGACTCCATCTCAAAAATAAAAAACAAACAAAAAAAAATATATAAAAGAGGCCAGGCGCGGTGGCTCACGCCTGTAATCCCAGCACTTTGGGAGGCCGAGGCGGGTGGATCACCAGGTCAGGAGATCGAGACCATCCTGGCTAAACACGGTGAAACCCCGTCTCTACTAAAAATACAAAAAATTAGCCGGGTGTAGTGGCGGGCGCCTATATTCCCAGCTACTCAGGAGGCTGAGGCAGGAGAATGGCGTGAACCCAGAGGGCAGAGTTTGCAGTGAGCCAAGATCACGCCACTGCACTCCAGCCTGGGTGACAGAGCGAGACTCCGTCTCAAAAAAAAAAAAAAAAAGAAAACTGAAAGAAACAAATTAATAAAAAAAGAAAATATTGGAACTAAGTTTTAAAAATCCAAGAGCCGGTTATAAACAAGAAAGGGCAAAGCCTCACATAATACAAAATAAGAAATGATAATGAGTAGTTGCAAATCCAGGAAATAATTGTGTAATCATAAAAGAATACCTTGGTCAATTCGCACAAATAATTTTGAAAATCTGGATGAACTGGGTGATTTTCTAGGATAACATAAATTATCAAAGCTACCCCCAAAAGATATAAATTGTAAGCAGCCAACTATCAAAGAATGATATAATTGGTCTGCACACGGTAGCTCACACCTATAATCCCAGCACTTTGGGAGGCCGAGGTGGGAGGATTGCTTGAGCTTGGGAATTCAAGACCAGCCTGGGCAACATTGAGACCCCACTGCTACAAAAAAAAAATTTTTTTTAATTAGCCAGGTGTAGTGGTGTACACCTGTAGTCCCAGCTACTCAGGTGGCTAAGGAAGGAGGATCCCTTGAGCCCAGGAGGTTGAGGCTGCAGTGACCCATGATTGTGCCACTGCATTCCAGCCTGGGCAACAGTGTGAGACCCTGTCTCAAAAAAACTAAGAAGTATGATATAATTGGACAATATAATTGTCTAAGAGCTTCTTCTACCCCCTAAAAAAGAGGAGGTCCAAATGACTTCATGGGGAATTCCACAAAACCTTTAACTTCAATGCCATTTAACCACAGAGGGGAAAAAATGCATAGAAAAAGAAAGGAAGGGCCAGGCACAGTGGCTCATGCCTGTAATCCTAGTACTTTGGGAGGCTGAGGTGAGAGGATGACTGGAGGCCAGGAGTTTGCAACCAGCCTAGGCAACATAGCAAGGCCTTATCTCTACAAAAAAATTAAAAATAAGCTGGGTGTGGTGGTGCACGCCTGTAGTCCTAGCTACTTAGGAGGCTAAAGCAAGAGGTTGGCATGTGCCCAGGAATTCAAGGCTGCAGTGAACTATGATTGCACCACTGCACTCCAACCTGGGCGACAGAGGGAGGGAGGGAGGAAGAAAGGGAGGAAGGGAGGGAAGGAGGAAGCGAGAAAGGGAGGAAGGGAGGGAGGGAGGAAGAAAGGGAGGAAGGGAGGGAGGGAGGAAGAAAGGGAGGAAGGGAGGGAAGGAGGAAGCGAGAAAGGGAGGCAGGGAGCAAGGGAGTAAGGAAGCAAGGGAGGGAGGAGGTGTGGGAAGGGAGGAGGTAGGGGAGGGGGAGGGAGGGAAGGAAAAAGGAAGGAAGGAAGGAAGGCAGGAAGGCAGGCAGGCAGGCAAGCTTTGAAATAGTTTTATAAAAGTGGAAACAAAAATAACACAATAAAAAAAACAGAAAGGAAAATGAAAACGCCTATGAGGAGTGATGCAAAATTTCTAAGTAAAGTTTAGCAAACAGAACCCAGCAGTACGTTTAAAATACTAATACACCACGACAAAGTAAGTTAATTCAGGAACACAAGAATGGTTCAGTAACAATAAATCCATTAATACAATCTACCACAATAATAGATCAAAGGACAAAAATTACATTATAATTCCCATAGATGCTGAAAAGGCATTAGCAACATTACTTCTAATAAAATACATTTTTTAAATAAAGTATTTATTAAAAAAAATACTTTAGGCCTGGCATGGTGACTCATACCTGTAATCCCAGCACTTTGGGAGGCCGAGGTGGGCGAATCACTTGAGGTCAAGAGTTCAAGACCAGCCTGGCCAACATGGTGAAACCCTGTCTCTACCAAAAACACAAAAGTTAGCCAGACGTTGTGGCGGGCACCTGTAATCCCAGCTACCCGGGAGGCTGAGCCAGGAGAATCACTTGAACCCAGGAGGCGGATGTTGCAGAGGGCCAAGATCGAGCCACTGTACTCCAGCCTAGGCAACAGAGTGAGACTCTGCCTCAAAAAAAAACAAAAAACAAAAACAAAACAAAACAAAAACTTTAAAAAAACAGTAACAGCTGAATACTTTAACATGATAAAATATGTACGCTTCAATCTAAAGCCAGATCTAATCTTAATAGGAAAGCATTAAAAATATCTGATTGAAGTAAGGAATAGGACAAAGCTCCACTACTATCTTATTGTTTAGTATTTTTGGAAAGTACTAGCGAAATCAATTGAACAAAATAAAGAAATAAGTATCAAAAGTGAAAGGAGGGGCCAGGCGCGGTGGCTCACGCCTGTAATCCCAACACTTCGGGAGGCCGAGGAGGGTGGATCACGAGGTCAGGAGATCGAGACCATCCTGGCTAACACGGTGAAACCCCGTGTCTACTAAAAATACAAAAAATTAGCCGGGTGTAGTGGCACGCGCCTGTCGTCTCAGCTAGTCGGGAGGCTGAGGCAGGAGAATGGCGTGAACCCGGGAGGCAGAGGTTGCAGTGAGCCAAGACTGCGGCATTGCACTCCAGCCTGGGTGACAGAGCGAGACTCTGTCTCAAAAAAAGAGTGAAAAGGAAGGCAGGGCGCGGAGGCTTATACCTGTAATCCCGGGAGGCCAAGACAGAATGATCACTTGAGCCCAGGAGTTTGAGATCAGCCTGGGCAACATAGCAAGACTCCATCTCTATTTTATTTTATTTTTATTTATTTTTTATTTTTGGAGACGGAGTCTTGCTCTGTCACCCAGGCTGAAGTGCAATAGCGCAATCTTTGCTGACTGCAACCTCCGCCTCCAGGGTTCAAGCGATTCTCCTGCCTCAGCCTCCTGAGCAGCTGGGACTATAGGCATGCACTACCACATCCGGCTAATTTTTTTGTGTGTGTTTTCAGTAGAGACGGGGTTTCACCATATTGGCCAAGCTGGTCTCAAACTCCTGCCCTCAAGTGATCCGCCCGCCTCAGCCTCCTAAAGTGCTGGGATTACAGGCATGAGCCAACACGCCAGGCCTATTTAAAAAAAAAGAAAAAAAAATGAAAAGGAGAAGATAAAATTATCATTATTCAGTAATGATATGATTATTTAGCTATACCTGTTATTCTCTAGAAAAACAACTGGGAAACTATTATAGATAATATTAGAATTCTTAACGTGGCTAGGTATAAAATTAATACTCAAAATTTAATAGCATTCTCATATTCAAACAACCACATAAAAGTTATAAAAGAAAGTAGAAACCCCGGCCGGGCGCGGTGGCTCTCGTCTGTAATCTCAGCACTTTGGGAGGCCGAGGCCGGTGGATCACGAGGTCAGGAGATCGAGACCATCCTGGCTAACATGGTGAAACCCCATCTCTACTAAAACTACAAAAAATTAGCTGGGCGTGGTAGCAGGTGCCTGTAGTCCCAGCTACTTGGGAGGCTGAGGCAGGAGAATGGCGTGAACCCGGGAGGCGGAGCTTGCAGTGAGCCAAGATGGTGCCACTGCACTCCAGCCTGGGCGACAGAGCAAGACTCCGTCTCAAAAAAAAAAAAAAAAAAGAAAGAAAAAGAAAAAAGAAAGTAGTAGAAACCCCATTTACAATAGCAACAAACAAGATAAACACCAAGGAATAAACATAATAAGAAATGTGAGGCCTATATAAAAAAATAAACAACTTTTTAATGTTGATAGATACAAAACAATACTTGAATGACAATAAATACATATACTGTTTTTTTTTTTTTTTTTTTTTTTTTTTTTGAGACAGAGTCTTGTTCAGTCACCCAGGCTGGAGTGCAGTGGCACAATCTTGGCTCACTGCAACCTCTGCCTCCCAGGTTCAACAATTCTCCTGCCTCAGCCTCCCGAGTAGCTGGGATTACAGGCACCTGCCACCAAGAACGGCTAAGTTTTATATTTTTAGCAGAGATGGGGTTTCCCCATGTTGGTCAGACTGGTCTCAAGCTCCTGGCCTCAAGTGATCCGCCTGCCTCAGCATCCCAAAGTGTTGGGATTAAAGGCGTGAGCCCCCATGCCTGGCCACATATACTGTTCTTGAACATAAAGAAATGAATATAGACCCTGTTTTTGAACCTCAAAACGATGTCAATTATCTCTAAATTAATCTATAAATATAATACAATACCAATAAAAATGCCAACAGGACAGAGGAGCAGGACTTGGTTAGCTAATTCTAAGCCATATAGAAAAATAAACAAAGAAAACTTCCCAGGAAAACTCTGGGAAGTAGAATGAGGGAAGATGATAACCAAGGAATAGAGTCATTAGGTATAAATAGGTAATCTGATCAATGAAACAGAATAAAAGTCCAGTAATAACCTCAAACTGTAGGAACTAAGTACACCTATAGACAACATTTCAATCAGCAGGGCAAAGCTGAACTAAATGAAGGACACTGCCATAACTGGGCAGCCATCTGGAAGAAAAGTATAGTTGGATTCCCACCTCGACACTTTATTTAACTTACATTTTGTGTGGGTAAGTGCATTTAACTTAAAAATAAAATTACAGAAGTACCTGGAGAAAACACAAGAATATTTAATTTGAATTAGAAATAATAATAAAATAGGAAAGGCCTTTCTTATGACACAAAACCTAGACTCTGAAAAGACTGATAAATTTCACAACAAAACATTTAAAACATTTAATTTCTGATGAAAAAATAGACCATAAACAAAGTCAAAACGCAAATGAAAAACTGTGAAAAATATCTGCAACGTGTCAATGGCTAAGAACTGATTTCATTAAAATACAGAGTTCCTATAAACCAGGGGTCCGCAAGCCCCAGGCCATGGACCCCTGGTACCGGTCCATGGCCTGTTAGGAACCTGGCCACATAGCAGGAGGTGAGTGGTGGGCGAGTGAGCATTCCCGCCAGAGCTTGGCCTCCTGTCAGATCAAGCATTAGATTCTCATAGGAGTGCTAACTCTACGGTGAACTGTGCATGCAAGGGATCTAGGCTGTGCACTCCTTTTGAGTCTCTAGTGCCTGATGACCTGAGGTGGAACAGTTTCATCCTGAAACCATTCCCCCCACTCCTCCACCCCACCATCCCGGTCCATGGAAAAATTGTCTTCCACGAAACTGGTCCCTGGTGCCAAAAAGGTTGGGTACCGCCTTTATAAACAATATGAACCATCCCAATAGAAAAATGAACAAAAAATATAAACAGATCTATAGATAAAGGAAACAAATAAATGGCTCTTTTATCTACCTATTGGAAAGACACTTAAGAAAACTATTCCTATTAAACTGACAATTTAAATAACGTTTGATAACCCACTCCGTTACCAAAAGAACAAGGAAGACAGCACTCGAACAACAACAGGGAAACATAAACTTGAAATTTGACAGAATCTATCAAAATTTAAGCAGTAAACATAAATCCTTTGACCCAGAAACTGTACTTCTACAAATTTATCCTAAAGAAAGACTCTCTCATGTGCAAAAGTTATATATGTATAGGGCTATTCATTGTATCACTATTTGTATTAGCAAGATTGTAAACATCTTAAATACCCATCCAAACAAAGGAATGCTACCATCTCCACAAAGTCCCTCCCGTCCCCCCTGAACCTGGAAAAAATATACAGGAAATGTATCATTGGTTGCTTCTAGGGAAGGCAGTCAATTAGCTGGGGTCAAAGGAAGAAGAAAAACTTGCCTTTTACCATATACTTTTTTGTATCATTTGGATTTTATACACATTACTTACTTAAAATTTTTAAGTTAAGACTACAGTATTATTTTTACCCAGCTTTACCAACTGTTACATTTTTCCTTCTTTTTCTTTGTCAGTTTTCCAGTTCCCATGTTAGCAACAATGTTTAACTGTTTTCCCAGCTAATCATGGTATTTAATCAAACTCACACAGTTAAATCACAACAGCTACCTGAATTCCATTGCCCCATGAACCCCGCGCTCCTGAGCTCTCTGCATACTTATTCTACAAAAAGCACAATTCCCTGTTCGTTACTGGGTGTATAGAAATTATGAGTTAGTAAAAATCCAGGAGTAAAAAGCTATTAATTTCTTGGCCTATGAGGCAAACACATAATCACTAGTGAACTTCAGAAAACAGGAGAAAGGCAAGTGCTTAAAAAAAGGTTTCACAAACTATTGTTTGTGCTGTCGCAATGGATGCAGAGTCTAATCCACTACTTTACATTAAAGAACCTGATTTTGGCCAGGCACGGTGGCTCACGCCTGTAATCCCAACACTTTAGGAGGCCAAGGTGGGTGGATCACAAGATCAGGAGTTCGAGACCAGCCTGGCCAACATGATGAAACCCCGTCTCTACTAAAAATACAAAAAGTAGCACAGTGGCGCGCACCTATAATCCCAACTACTCAGGAGGCTGAGGCAGGAGAACTGCTTGAACCTGGGAGGCAGAGGTTGCAGTGACATTGCGCCACTGCACTCTAGCCTGGGTGACAGAGCAAGACTCCATCTCAGAAAAAAAAAAAAAAAAAGAGAGAGAACCTTGATTTTAACCATCTATCCAGAGTCAATGTGGCTAGAGGATTGAACCACACTAACCAAACTCACTAGACACTAACGTGTTATATATAATGCCAATGCGTTAATTTAGAATTTTAAAAATATATGTATATGTATATGGCATATATATACGCATATGTGTGTATATGTATACGCACATACATCTCAAGAGTATCAAATCATGCATATCAAGGAATCACACACAAATGGTAAAGTATGCCCAAGGAGAGCCACATGATGCTATGAGTGTTACAGAGAGAAGAGACCAAGTCAGAAAGTCACGGAAGGCTTCCATGTAAAAAAACATTTTGATCAAACTGAGATCTAATGGAAGAGAAGTTAAAACAAGAGAATGGAATGAGGAGTAAGAAGGTTCTTGGATGACGGAAAAGCTTGTGCAATGGACCTGGGGCAGGAGGAAGCATGATACATCCAAGGGGGCAGAAAAAGATCAATGACCAAGAGAACGTAACACAGGATTAACTGTAGAGTTAGAGAGGAGTCAGACGACACAGTGCCTTTGAGGCCATGTTAAAGATTTTTGCCTTATCCTAAGAGCAATAAAAAGGTTGTGAGCAGGGATGAGAATGTATTTGGGCTTGCAAAAAGACTGGTGTGCTATATGAATTGAAGGGCAAGAGTAGAAGCACGAATACTGCTTAAAAAGCTCCTGCAGGAGACCTAAGTGAGGGATGGTGGCACCGTGGATTGGAGTTATGGCAGGAGTAAAAGAAACGGACTTGGTAAATGATTACACCTGAAGTGCAACGGAGAAGAAAATATTGAGGAGGATGACCAAGTTTCAAGTTTGCATAACTGGATGGATAAAGAAGCTATCACTGAAAGAGAATGAGAACACTCCAGGAAGACCAGGTTGTTTTGTTTGGTTTCATTGGGGGCTGGATGGAGGGTTGAGATGTAAAAAGTAAGAAAAGGTTCTAAGTATCAGTAACTGGAAGTCTTGGTAGAGAAGGATGAAAAATGGAACATGGGGCTGGCTGGGCGCTGTGACTCACGCCTGTAATCCCAGCACTTCGGGAGGCTGAGGCGGAAGGATCACTTGAGGCCAGGAGTTCGAGCCCAGCCTGGCCAACATGGCAAAAACCCATCTCTACCAAAAATACAAAAAATTAGCCGGACGTGGTGGCCCGCACCTCTAATCCAGCTACTTGGCAGACTGAGACAGGAGAATTGCTAGAGTTCGGGAGGCAAAGGTTACAGTAAGCCAAGACTGTGCCACTGCACTCCAGCCTGGGCCACAGAGTGAGGCTCTGTCTCAAAAAAAAAAAAAAAAAAAAGACAAATAGGATTTAGAGGTCAAAAGAGAGAGACAGTGAGCTATACTATAGTTTTTTGTTGTTGTTGTTGTTGTTTTTTAATTTTTAACTTGAGATGTGGTCTTGCTTTGTTGCCCAGGCTGGCCTTGAACTCCTAGGCTCAAGTGATCCTCCCACCTTGGACTTTCAAAGTGCTGGGGTTACAGATGTGAGCCACCACGACCAGCCGCTATAGTACACTCAAAAAAATAAAAAATTTGGCTGGGCGAGGTGGCTCACGCCTGTAATCCCAGCACTTTGGGAGGCTGAGACAGGCAAATCACCTGAGGTCAGGAGTTCAAGACCAGCCTGGCCAACATGATAAAATCCCGTCTCTACTAAAAATACAAAAACTAGCCTGGCGTGGTGGTGGGCGCCTGTAATTTCAGCTACTCAGGAGGCTGAGGCAGGAGAATTGCTTGAGCCTAGGAAGTGGAGTTGCAGTGAGCCGAGATCGCGACACTGCACTCCAGCCTGGAGGACAGAGTGAGACTCCATCTCAATAAATAAATAAATAAATAAATAAATTTAAAATAAAAGGTTTTATCTCCAAGGCCCGTCAACCAAGCCTAGACATCCTATTCCTCCCCATCACCTAAAATCTTTTAAAATCTATCAAAATGCAAGAAAAGGGAGAGGCTTAAAATGCAATACCTAGCAGAATAAAGAATTGGTATGAAAGAATTTCAAACTACATAATACATTGAGGTATCAGATGTGTCCCAATTTTGAGAATGAGTAAAGGAGCAATGAAGTGTCAGTCAAGAGAAAAGGGAAGCAGAAAAAAGAGACTGATGACCCCGCTTTACAAATTTTCACAGTTTAGACACGTTTATCTTTACCTCCGGATAAATGGCTGTTCTTGGTCTTGTGTGCTAAGGGAATGCAGAAATAGCTCTACACTGAAGCCCCTTAGCAGAAATCATGGCTTCCACTGCCATCACGTGGTTGAAGTGAGGAAGTGCACCAAGCAGGTTCTAGGAACCTAGGAATGCCTACTTGAAGCCCATGGTATAATTAATCCGTGATCAAAGACCTAAAGATTGCGGTAGTAGAGGGCAAACTGGTGACAGTGTTTGCTAAGAGATTCATCTTCTAAGCTGCCAATACACAAAAATCTAAGTTTTTATTATTAATTGGGAGTAAGAAAAAAGATTGCTCCTTTTTTCTTTTTCATGTTAAAGATCGTATATTTAGCAATTCTAGGATGCCCAGTCTGATATTAACGTCTCAAACCCAACTTCTGGTATATTATATGACTACTTACAAATGCCTCGATTTAATGCATATAAATGGGGTAATGTACATTTCTAGCACACATCAACAACCTCATCACGAACATAAGCAATTGTCTCATTAAATGTGCTAAATTCCCTTTGTCATCTTCAATTTAATCAAATAATAATTTTTGACTAGAAGTATAAGGTACAGTCTTAAGCACAATTCATAAAAACCAATTCATCATGTTCTCAAAACTCATCAGCTAAACAAATATATCACTAATATAATCAATATTATTCACAAAAAACACGATGAATAATTAACACATCATTCCTGATAGTTCTTTTCATAGTAAAAATAAGCTTGCCCAGTGGGATATTTGACGTTCTCTGCATTATTTAATTCCCTACCTTCCTTCTACTAGATTGAATATTCAATTACAAACATACCTCTTTAAAATTGTCTACACATACATATCCACTTGATTTTATTTTGTTTTCAAAAGCATCTGAACTCAAGGCTAGGGCACTGTAGACCAAAATGTCAAATAATTGTATTGGGTACATTTTTCCAATTCTCAGTTGTTTTTATATTGTAAACACAGCATAATTGTGTCACTAAGTATATTTTTGATCTTCACTTTCTCCCCTTAAAACCTAGACACCATTATCCTGTCTCTGAACATTCCAAAATATTAATAATCCAACTAGTTTTCCCTAATCCTCTAGGTTCTCTTTCCCATACACTCCCCAGCCAACACTCCCCCACCCCTTTCTTCCGTTTCAGAATGCCTCTTACACACACGCCCCGTGTAGTTTTTACAAAATCACTCCTTGGAATGCGTTTCCTTCTTCTCTCCTTAACTTGGCACCCTTTTTGAAATAATTTCCCACAGCTAGGCGCCAATGTCTTTCATTTACAAGATCAAACTGCGGAAGGGGAAGAGATTGGGAATCGAGTAACCGAAACATTTGGAAATGTCAATGAGACAGTGGCCTCTCCTTTGAAAAGAAAACACAACTCTCAGCACAGAGCTTTCAACAGAGCACAGATACTTTTCTTCGCTGTGCTCCTGTTCCCTCCCTGACCTCAAAGACACCTTCCCTTTTCTCTGATCCCCAGTCCCTCTGCTATGCGTGGGGCCTGCCTTTCCTCCTCCCAAGGAAAAGCAAGCCAGGGAGAAAAAGAAAAGGTAGCAGTCACCTTCCCGCCCGCAAGCGGTCAGGACCCTGTCCCACGACTCACCTGGCAGGTGCGGCCGCCCGGAGAGTTGCACGAAGCGGTTGAGCTGGCCAGTCCCCCGACCCCCGCTGCCCCCACTGCCCCCGCCGGCCCCGCTACCTCCGCCACCAGCGCCGGCGGCGCCTCCTCCCCTCCGGCGGTTCCTGTCCCAGCCCTGGGCGGCCGACATGACCCGCTAACGATTGCCGCAGCCCGGTCCCGTCAGCGCCTGACCCAGCGGAACCAGCGGAGCCTCCTTCCTGGGCTCCTCCAGAGACCCAGGAGACAGGGGAAGGGGGCAGCGCCCGGTCCCACCAGAGACCAATGACTTACCGCCTTGGTGAAAGGCAGCCAATGGTCAGTCGTTTTCTTGGTAGGTGGCGGGAGGCGGAGAGAAACGTGGTAACCATAGCTATGGCTAAAAAAAAAAAAGTAGGGGGAGAGAAAGGCAGAAGCAGCCACTCCTAGCTCTCATCGTCCGCTCTGGGCTGGCCGGCGTCACCCCGACTCCTGCGGGGCCAGGCGGGCCAATCGAAGACCGAGTGTCAGAGGCCGCGCCTGCGGAAAGACTCCCGGGGACGGCCAGTGCCTCAGTCTTGGTTAGGATTCAGGAACTTTTTCCCATAAACATTGCAATCAGACACTGGATATACGCATAATACACATATTTGGGGGCAAGACGGTATTCTGCCAGCTTTTCAGATTGAGATCCCATTCACTGATGGTTGACACACACAAAGGGCTTGCTTGGGGTCCGGGTAGGTGAGGGGACCCAGGGGCGGAGTCAAAGCTAAAATGTAAGAACCAGATATTCCTGGGTTTCATTTGTCTTTCAGTCGGCTTAGCTGCATTTGTCCCTGTATAAGCCACGTCCCAATCAAACAGTTTTAAACCTGGTTAACAAATATGGGAAAATGTTCACTCTCACCTGTAATCTTAGAAATACAAAATAAAACCCCAATGAGAAACCATTTCTGGTTTATTACATCAGTAAAGACTTTTCAAATAACACCTGGCAGTGTGTGGAATGCCAAGAAAAAGGTATTCTCATAGATGGCTGATGGCTCTGTAAATATTTTTGTTCGCTCAAACTCCTTTTGGCTAGTAGAAAATTTTAATCAGCTTGGAAGATATATAATCAAGAGGAAATGTAAAATTAAATAAAAGGCAGCAACGGGTATGGAAGATCAAGATCAAAGAAAATTTTTAATGTGCCGATCAGGAGTTTCTATTGTTCCAAAATTAAACAGAAATTTTGGCTTGAAACTTACTGGGCGCAATGCAGACTGGGAAAACATACTATACACTGATGTTTCTGAATGATAAGGAAAAAGCATATCAAATTCCTCAAGGGAAACAAAACTTTTCAAGGTCCTTAGATGTGACAGATTTTTTTTTCTTTTGCATTAGAAGAACCTTACATGGTTGCAGAGAAAAAAAAGAAACTCTGCTGGAGCTGAGGACAAATACCCTTTGTACCTGGTGTGCAAATTTCTGGTCGCCACTGGCACTGCCTCCTTGTTTTCCTACTTCCAGTCCCTGTAGGCAGAAATGTTTTAGTCACTAGCACCATAGCACGCTGCTTATGAAAATGTTTGAGACTTGAAAAAAAAAAAAGCCTATGGTTCTAAAATATAAAAACCAAAATTAATATATGTTAACTGTTTTTTTTTTTTTTTGAGACGGAGTCTTACTCTGTCGCCGAGACTGGAGTGCAGAGGCATGATCTCGGTTCACTGCAACCTCTGCCTCCCAGGTTCAAACAATTCTCCTGCCTCAGCCTCCCAAGTAGCTGGGATTACAGGCATGTGCCACCACGCTCTGCTAATTATATTTTTAGTAGAGATGGGTTTTCACCATGTTGGTCAGGCTGGTCTCCAACTCCCCATCTCAGGTAATCCACCTGCCTTGGCCTCCCAAAGTGATGGGATTACAGGTGTGAGCTGCTGCGTCTGGCCAGTTTTTTATGTATATAGGCAAAATGCAGTCTTACACATTTTACATGTTTAACCTGTCTAATCCTCACAGAAATCCTATGAAATGCTGTTTTCCCAATTTGCAAAGCAAATTTGTAGAGATAGGGCAGTGTGTGGGGATGAGGGGGTGGTTTTGCCTTGTTGCTCCGGCTAGTCTAGAACTCCTGGCCTCAAGCCATCCTCCTGCCTTGGCCTTCTAAAGCATTGGGTTATAGGCATGAGCACCACGCCCAGCCAAAGTAGATTCTTAAGTAACACTTTTTAATTAATCAACTGGGAGAGATGAAATAAGAAAATAACATATAAAGTTTTGGTTGGGCGCGATGGCTCATGTCTGTAATCCTAACACTTTCTGTAATCCCAACCCTTTGGGAGGCCGAGGTGGGTGGATCACCTGAGGTCAGGGGTTCAAGACCGCCTGGCCAACATGGTGAAACCCGGTCTCTACGAAAAATTCAAAAAAATTAGCCAGGCGTGGTGGTGGGTGCCTGTAATCCCAGCTACTCGGGAGGCTGAGGCACGAGAATTGCTTGAACCCGGGAGGCAGAGGTTGCAGTAAGCCGAGATCGTGCCATTTTCACTCCAGCCTGGGCGACAAAGCAAGACTCCGTCTCAAAAATACATACATACATACATACATACATACATACATACATACATACATACATACAATGGCCGGGTGCGGGGGCTTACGCCTGTAATCCCAGCACTTTGGGAGGCCGAGGGGGGCGGATCACGAGGTCAGGAGAGGGAGACCATCCTGGCTAACACGGTGAAACCCCGTCTCTACTAAAAATATTTAAAAAAAAAAAATTAGTCTGGCGTGGCGGCCCGCGCCTGCAATCCCAGCTACTCTGGAGGCTGAGGCAGGGGAATCGCTTGAACCTGGAAGGCGGAGGTTGCAGTGAGCCAAGATAGCGCCGCGGCACTCCGGCCTGGGCAACAGAGCGAGACTCGTCTCAAAAAAAATAAATAAATAAAAATAAAATAAAATAAAATAACATAACATAACATAAAAAGTTTTAGTAGTCCCAAGATTTGGCTCAGTAGCTATATGGGTAACTGCTATGATTCGAATGTGTCCCCCACAGTTCATGTGTTGGAAACTTAATCCCCAATGCAACAATCTGGAGAAGTGGAACCTTTAAGAATGATTAGTACCTGAAGGTTCTGCCCTCATGAATGGATTAATGCTGTTATGGCGGGAATGGGTTAGTTATCTCAGGAGTGGGTTCCCAATAAAAGGATAACTTTGGTGCCTCTCTCTCTCTCCCTTTCTCTCTCTCTTCCTCCTTCTCTCTGCCTTTCCCTTTCACTCTCTCTCACCCAATGTGATGCTTTCTGCCATGTTAAGATGCAGCAAGAAGGCCCTTTCCAGATATGGCTCCAGGATCTTGGACTTCTAAGCCTCTAGAACCATGAGCCTAATAAATTTCTGTTCATTATAAATTATTCAGTCTGTGGTATTCTCTTATAGCAGCATAAAATGGACTAAGACAGTAACTCTACTGTCTTTAAAGTTAATCCTAGTGTTAAAAATAATGGCCAGGCACAGTGGCTCACACCTGTAATCCCAGCACTTTTGGGAGGCCGAGGCGGGTGGATCTCCTGAGGTCGGGAGGTTGAGACCAGCCTGACCAACATGGAGAAACCCCGCCTCTACTAAAAATACAAAATTAACCGGGCATGGTGGCAGGCGCCTGTAATCCCAGCTACTCGGGAGGCTGAGGCAGGAGAATCACTTGAACCCAGGAAGCGGAGGTTGCAGTAAGCCAAGATCCCTCCATTGCACTCCAGCTTGGGCAACAAGAGTGAAACTCTGTCTCAAAAAAGAAAAAAAAAAGTACATCCTTATGGTATAATCTTAAATAAACAGAGGAATATAGAGAAAAAGTGAAACTTTCCACTTCACCCTTCCCCTAGTCTTATTCTCCTCTTGGAAAGACTATTAGCAGTTTGATGGCTGGGCTCAGTGGCTCATGCCAGTAATCCTAGCACTTTGGGAGGCCGAGGCGGACAGATCGCTTGAGGTCAGGAGTTCCAGACCAGCCTGGGGAACATAGTGAAATCCCGCCTCTACAAAAATTAGCCAGGCATGGTGGCACATGCCTGTGGTCCCAGCTACTCAGGAGGCGGAGGCAGGAGGATTGCTTGAGCCCAGGAAGTCGAGGCTGCAGTGAGCCGAGATCACACCACTGCGCTCCAGCCTGGGTGTCAGAATGAGATCCTGTCTCAAAAAAAAAAACAAAAAAAAAGACTGTTAACAATTTGACATAGGCCAGGTGCAGTGGCTCATGCCTGTAATCCCAGCACTTTGGGAGGCTGAGGTGGGTGGATCACCTGTGGTCAGGAGTTTGAGACCAGCCTGGCCAACGTGATGAAACCCCATCTCTACTAAAAGTACAAAAATTAGCTGGGCATGGTGGCAGGCACCTGTAATCCCAGCTACTCAGGAGGCTGAGGCAGGAAAGTCACTTGAACCCATGAGGCGGAGGTTGCAGTGAGCCGAGATCGTGCCATTGCACTCCAGCCTGGGCGACAAGAGTGAAAATCCATCTCAAAAAAAAAAAAAAAGAAAATAGAAAAAAACACAGTTTGATATAGTTTTAGTTCTCTTTCTATGTATAAACACATACACATTTGTAGACCTATGCAGTACTCTGTTTTTGCTTATTACATAAATGGGATTGGGGATTGTACAGAATGTATTCTGCAGATAGGTTTTTGTTATTTTATAAAATATGTCTTAGAGAGCTCTATACATTATTTTTTGTGGGTTTTATTTTGGTTTGGTTTTTATTTGTTTTTTGAGACAAGGTTTCATCTGTCACCCAGGCTGGAGTGCGTGATGCAATCTTGGCTTACTGCAGCCTTGACCTCCTGGGCTCAAGCCATCCTCTCACTTCAACCTCCCAAGTAGCTGGTCACAGGCATGCATGACCATGCCCGGCCAATTTTGTTTATTTTTAACAGAGATGGCGTTTCACTGTTTCTTTTTTCTTTCTTTCTTTCTTTTTTTTTTTTTTGACTCTCTGCATTGCCCAGGCTGGGGTGCAGTGGCACGATCTTGGCTCACTGCAACCTCCACCTCCCAGGTTTAAGTAATTCTTCTGCCTCAGCTTCCCAAGTACCTGGGATTACAGGTGTGTACCACCACACCTGGCTAACCTTTTTTGTACTTTTAGTAGAGACAAGGTTTCACCATGTTGGCCAGGCTGGTCTCAAACTTCTGACTTCAAGGGATCCGCCCACCTCAGTCTCCCAAAGTGCTGGGATTAAAGAGGTGAGCCACTACATCTGGCGTACATTGTTATTCCTTTTTTTTGAAGCCTACAACCAGGGCCAGGCTCAGTGGCTCACGCCTGTCATCCTAGCACTTTGGAAGGACAAGGCAGGTGGATCACCTGAGGCCAGGAGTTTGAAAGCAGCCTGGCCAACATGGTGAGACCCTCTCTCTACTAAAAGTAAAAAAAGAAGTTAGCCGGGTATGGTGGTACACGCCTGTAATCCCAAATCCCAGCTACTCGGGAGGCTGAGGCAGGAGAATCACTTGAACCCAGGAGGCAGAGGTTGCAGTGAGCCGAGATCACACCATTGCACTCCAGCCTGGGTGACAAAGCAAGACTCTATCTCAGATAAATAAATAAATAAATTTTTAAAGTAAATAAATAAATAAAATCTGCAACCATTCTTTTTTCACCATTGGTGAAAACAATTAGCAAAGATCTCTCCAAAAAAAAAATGAGGCCAGGCGCAGTGGCTCACACCTGTAATCCCAACACTTTGGGAGGCCGAGGTGGGTTGATCATGAGGTCAGGAGTTCAAGACTAGCCTGGCCAAGATGGCGAAACCCCGTCTCTACTAAAAATAGAAAAATTAGCCAGGTGCAGTGGCTGACACCTGTAATTCTAGCTACTCGGGAGGCTGAGGCAGGAGAATCACTTGAACCGGGGGGGCAGAGGTTGCAGCGAGCTGAGATAGTGCCACTGCACTCCAGCCTGGGCAACACAGTGAGACTCCGTCTCAAGAAAAAAAAAAAAAAAAAGACTGCTAAGCCCCAAATCAGCACACTGGAAGTTTAAAATGTAAGTTTAAGGCCAGGTGCAGTGGCTCATGTCTATAATCCCAGTCCTTTGGGAGGCTGAGGTAGGAGGATCACTTGAGCCCAGTTCAAGACCAGCCTGGGCAATATAGTGAGACCCCCGTTTCTTTCTTTTTTTTTTTTTTTTTTCTGAGATGGAGTTTCACTCCGTCCAGGCTGGAGTGCATGGCGCAATCTCACTCACTGCAACCTCTGCCCTCAGAGACGGGGTTTCACCATCTTGGCCAGGCTGGTTTTGAACTCCTGACCTCGCAATCCACCCGCCTCGGCCTCCCAAAGTGCTGGGATTACAGGCATGAGCCACTGTGCCCAGCTGTGAGACCCCCGTTTCTACAAAAAAAAATGCAAATTAGCCAGGCATGGTAGCCCATGCCTATAGTCCCAGCTACATGGGAGGAGGAGGTAGGAGGATCCCTGAGCCCAGGAGCTCCAGGCTGCAGTGAGCTATGATCTCATGGCTGCACTCCAGCCTGGGTGACAGAGCAAGACCTTGTCTCAAAAATCAATAAAGTTTTTTAAAAAACAGAAAAAATCAAACAAAAGATGTTAAAATCATTCAGAGTCCAAATAAATAAAAGCAAAGTTGAAGTTGTCTTCAGCATATGAACGATCTTTCCTTTCAAAAAAAATTAAGGGTAGGCTTGGGATTTCTCTAAACAGGAAAGATAATTCGTCAAGATCTGAGTGAATCTGAGGATATACTTGTACAGTAGGTTCAGAAAGTTTGACAGGTTGGGGCAGCCCATGCCTGCAATCCCAGCACTTTAGGAGGCAAAAGTGGGTGTGTTGTTTGAAGCCAGGAGTTTGAGACCAGCCTACACAACAGGTGAAACCCTATCACTGCAAAAAAAAAAATACAAAAATTAGCTGGGCATGGTGGTGCCCGCCTGTGGTCCCAGACGCTGCTCTGGAGGCTGAGATAGAAGGGTCACCTAAGCTGGAGCAGTTGAGACTGTAGTGAGCTGTGTTCATGCCACTGCACTCCAGGCTTGGCGACAGAGTGCAGTGTCTCAAAAAAAAAAAAAAAAAAGAAGAAGAAGAAGAAGAAGAAAAGGGACCGGGCATGGTGGCTCACACCTGTAATCTCAGCACTTTGGGAGGCCAAGGCGGGTGGATCATTTGAAGTCAGGAGTTCGAGACTAGCCTGGCCAACATGGTAAAACCCTGTCTCTACTAAAAATAAAAAAAAATAGCCAGGCATGGTGGTGGGCGCCTGTAATCCCAGCTACTCAGGAGACTGAGGCACGAGAATCGCTTGAACTTGGGAGGTGGAGGTTGCAGTGAGCCGAGATAATGCCACTGTCGACAGAGCAAGACTCCATCTCAAAAAAAAAAAAGAAAGAAAAAATTCCACTGACTTTCATCTCCCCTGAGGGAATTTGTTCATAGGACACAGTTCTGGTTTCTCCATGCAGATATTGCTCCTTAAATCAGGAGTTCTTGGCTGGGTGAAGTGGCTCACACCTGTAAACCCAGCACTTTGGCAGGCTGAGGCACGAGGATTGCTTGAGGCCAAGAGTTCAAGACCTGCCTTTACCAAGACCCCATCTCCACTAAAAATTTAAAAAATTTGCAGAGTGTAGTGGCGCCCCCTTGTGGTCCCAGCTACTCAGGGGACTGAGGTGGGAGGATCACTTGAGCCTAGGAGGTCTTTCCAGCCTGAGAGACAGAGTAAAACCTTGTCTCAAAAAAAACAATCAGGGTTTTTTAACCTCTATCAACCTGGTGGAGCCTATGGACACTTTTTCAGAATAATGTTTTTAACGCATAAAATAAGATGTGTAGGATTACAAAGGAAACCAATTATATTGAAATATAGATATAAAAATATTAAACTAATTAAAATTGTAAAATAGTAAATTTTTTTTGAGATCGCGCCACTGCACTCCAGCCTGGGCGACAGAGCAAGACTCTGTCTTTAAAAAAAAAAAAATCAGCCAGGCATGGTGGACTGTGCCTGTAGTTCTAACTACTTGGGAGGCTGAGGCAGGAGGTTCCCTTGAGCGCAGGAGTTTGAGGTTGCAGTGAGCCGAGATCACCCCACTGCACTCCAGCCTGGCTGACAGAGTGAGGCTCTGTCTCAAAAAAATAAATAAATAAATAAAAGAATTCCTAAAACTCAACAACTAAAAGACAACCCATTTAAAAAATGGGCAAAAAAGCACAAATAGCTATTTCTTCAAAGAAGATATACAAATGACCAATAAGCACAGGAGAAGATGTTCAACATCACTGGTCATTAGGGAAATGCAAATTGAAACCACAGTGAGACACCACTTCACACTCACTAGAATAGCTAAAATATAAAAGACAGACAATTATAAGTGTTGACAAGGATGTGGAGAAAGTGAATCCCTCATACATTGCTAACGGGAGTGTAAAATGGTGGAGCCATTTTGCAGAACATTTTGACAGTTTCTCTAAATGTTAAATATATAATTACCATATGATCCAGAAATTTTGCTCCTTAATATATGCCCAACAGAATTGAAAACATATGCCCTTACAAAAACATCTGTATGAATATTCATGGTAGCATTTTTCATAATAGCCAAAAGCATAAACAATCCAAATGTTCATCAATGGATGAATTGAGAAACAACATATGATATGTCTATACAGTGAAATATTGTTCAACCACACAAAGGAAGTATAGTACTAATACATGCTACAACATGGATGAACCTTGAAAACATGCTAAGTGAAAGAAGTCAGACACAAAAATCCACATATTGTATGACACCATTTACATTAAACGTCCAGAACAGGCAAATCCATAGTGACCGAAAGTAGATTAGTGGTTGCCAGGGAGGGAGAGGAGGGATGGCAGTCACTGCTAATAGGTACAGGGTTTCTCTTAGGGGGTGATAAAATGTTCTGGAATCAGTGGCAATAGTTGCACATATCTGTGAATATACTAAAAACCACTGACTTGTACACTTTAAAGCGTAAATATTATGTTACGTGAGATATATATCAATAAAAAGCAGCCCATAAGAAATGAAAATGTTTTGACTCGGCACAGTGGCTCATGCCTGTATTTCCAGCACCTTGGGAGGGTGAGGCGGGTGGATCACTTAAGGTCAGGAGTTCAAGACCAGCCTCGCCAACATGGTGAAACTTCGTCTCTACTAAAAATACGAAAAAATTAGCCAGGCGTGATGGCACACACCTGTAGTCCCAGCTACTGGGGAGGCTGAGGCCTGAGAATTGCATGAACCCAGGAGGTGGAGGGTGTAGTGAGCTGAGATCATGCCACTACACTCAAGCCTGGGTGACAGCAAGACTCCATCTCAAAAAAGAAAAAAAGAAATGAAAATGTCTGATAAATGTGTATTCACTTAAAAACCTGTGTCATGTTTTATATAAATTAAATTTTCACTAAAAATAAAAATTTTGCTTTTTTTTCTATTTTTGAGACAGGGTCTCACTCTGACACTGTCTAGAAATCAGTGAGGCAGTCGTGGCTCACTGCAGTCTTGACCTCCAGGGCTCAAGCGATCCTTCTGTGTCAGCCTCCTGAGTAGCTGGGACTACAGGTGCACACCACCAAGTCTGGCTAATTTTTAAATTTTTTGTAGAGACAGGGTTTCACCATGTTGCCCAGGCTGGTCTCAAACTTCAGGCCTCAAGCTATCCACCCACCTAGGATTCCCAAAGTGCTGGGATTACAGATGTGAGCCACAGCTCCTGGCTAAATTTTGCTAGTTGACACATTTTTCTATTTCATGAAAAAATTATACTCGCAAATATAATATGTTTGATTAATTTCTAAGAGGAGAGGTCCTATGAAGTAGTAAAAGCTTATCAGCTTAAATTTGTGTGTGTGTGTTTTTTTTTAGACAGAGTCTTGCTCTGTCACCCAGGCTGGAGTGTAGAGGTGCGATCTCAGCTCGCTGCAACCTCTGCCTCTCAGTTTCAAGCAATTCTCATGCCTCAGCCTCCCAAGGAGCTGGGATTACAGGTGTGTGCCACCATGCCCAGCTAATTTTTGTATTTTTAGTAGAGGCAGGCTTTGACCATGTTGGCCAGGCTGGTCTCAAACTCCTGACCTCAAGTGACCCGCCTGCCTCGGCCTCCCAAAGTGCTGGGATTACGGGCATGGGCCACCACACCTGGCCGAATGTTTGTGTGTTCTCACATTAAAAACCATACATACAGCTGGCCGGGCATGGTGGCTCACGCCTGTAATCCCAACACTTTGGAAGGCTGAGGTGGGCGGATCACAAGGTCAGGAGATCAAGACCATCCTGGCTAACACGGTGAAACCCCTTCTCTACTAAAAAAAAAAATACAAAAAATTAGCCGGACATGGTGGCGGGTGCCTGTAGTCCCAGCTACTATGGAGGCTGAGGTGGGAAAATGGGGTGAACCCGGGAGGCGGAGCTTGCAGTGAGCCGAGATAGTGCCACTGCACTCCAGCCTGGGCAACAGAGTGAGACTCCGTCTCAAAAAAAACCATAAAAACCAAAAAAATACATACGGCTGGGCACAGTGGCTCACACCTGTAATCTCAACACTTTGGGAGGCCGAGGCGGGCAGATCACGAGGTCAGGGGAAAGATACCATCCTGGCCAACATGGTGAAACCCCATCTCTACTAAAAATACAAAATTAGCTGGGCATGGTGGTCTGTACCTGTGGTCCCAGATACTCGGGAGGCTGAGGCAGGAGAATTGCTTGAACCCAGGAGGCAGAGGTTGCAGTGAGCTGAGATCCCGCCACTGCACTCTAGCCTGGTGACAGACAGAGTGAGACTCCGCCTCAAAACAAAACAAAACAAAACAAAACACCATACATACAATAAAGACAGTCTGACAGCTGGAGCAATCGGCAGAACTGTCTACTTCCCCAGGATAAACAAAATGGATAAGCAGCTCCTGAGAGGGAGATTAGCATGCAGGAGGTTTTTGGGGAGGATTCTTGGGGTCAAAAGGACGGGAAGGAAGCTGATCTGGGCAGGGGGAGGAGCTGGGCTATGATGCAGTCTCAAGGGAGACCCTCCAGGAAACCCTGAGGCTGGATGGCCCTTTAGCATTGTCCTGAGTTGGGACACGGAGCTGGGCCTTTTATAACTGTCTGGATTAGTTACTGGATGCCCTGAGGAAGGGAGTGGAGGTGACCTCAGGAGAAAGGGCTTCCTTCAATGAAGTAGCTATCAAAGGAGATGACAGCCAAGGACAGTAGGGCTTCCTGCTGCTGGTATGCCCAGCGGCTGGGGAGATTAGTTCTTCCTTCCTGAAAGAAGGTGAGGTAATGGTCACTAAAATGCTTAGGAAGAAAACTAGCACTTACCAAGAACCTACTACGTATCAAACATTTTCATATACATTCTTTCATTTAATCTCATATCCAGAAGTTATTTGACCCCAAGGCCACATGGCTAGTGATGGAAGCAGAATAAGAGACCATCTCTCTCTCCAAAACTCTTTTCTTCACATCACACTGGGCAAGTGACTATCTGAAACTTGGAAATTTTCCAAGTGTTTATTGATTCCTGTCTTAAAATTGACATCTTCTGGCTGGGCATGGTGGCTGACACCTGTAATCCCAGCACTCTGGGAGGCCAAGGCGGGCAGATCATGAGGTCTAATGATCGAGACCATCCTGGCCAACATGGTGAAACCCCGTCTCTACTAAAAATACAAAAATTAGCTGGGCGTGGTGGCATGCACCTGTAGTCCCAGCTACTCGGGAGGCTGAGGCAGGAGAATCACTTGAACCCGGGAGGCAGAGGTTGCAGTGAGCCGAGATCGCACCACTGCACTCCGGCCTGGCAACGGAGCAAGGACTCTCTCTCAAAAAAAAAAATTGACATATTCGGAACATCTACTATATGCCAGATGCTGGAGTATTAAGGGGAAAAAAACTGAAATATCACACACACACACACACACACACACACACACACACTATATATATATATATATATATACATTATACATAATAGATATAAATAAATAAATATCTATTACATCAATATACATATAGTTGTCGCTGTATATCCTCAGGGGATTAGTTCAGGACTCCTCTTCAATACCAACATCTACAGATGCTCAAGTCCATTACATAAAATTTGCATATAACCTATACACATACTTCCATATGTGTATCAGTTAAGTCATCTCTAGATTATTTATAATACCTGATACAATGTAAATGCTATATAAATAGTTGTTATACTGTATTGTTAAAAGAACAACAAGGAAAAAAGCCGGTACATGTTCAATACTGATGTAACCATCCATTAAAAAAATATTTTCAAGGCTGGGTGCAGTGCCTCACGCCTGTAATACCAGCACTTTGGGAGGCCGAGGCAGGCATCTCAAAAATATATATACATATATATTTTTTCTAGGCTAGGCTTGGTGGCTCATGCCTGTAATTCCAGCACTTTGGGAGGCCAAGGTGGGCGGATCATCTGAGGTCAGGAGCTCAAGACTAGTCTGGTAAACATGGCGAAACCCTGCCTCTACTGAAAAATACAAAAATTAAACGGGAGTGGTGGCAGGCACCTGTAATCCCAGCTACTTGGGAGGTTGAGGCAGGACAATCACTTGAACCCAGAAGGTGGAGGTTGCAGTGAGCTGAGATTGCCCCATTGCACTCCAGCTAGGGCAACAAAGCGAGACTCTGTCTCAAAATAAATAAATAAATTATATATATATATTTATAATATATAAATATATATTTAAATATATTAATATATTTTTAATATATTAATATATTTATATATAAATATGTATTTAAATATAAATATATATTTAAATATATAAATATATATTATATATTATAAATATATATATTTATAATATAAATATATATATTATAAATATATATATTTATAAATATAAATATATATATTATAAATATATAATATATATTTATAATATATAATATATAAAATATATTTATATATTATATATGTTTATATATTATAAATTATATATTAATATATTTATATATTATAAATTATATATTAATATATTTATATATTATAAATTATATATTAATATATTTATATATTATAAATTATATATTAATATATTTATATATTATAAATTATATATTAATATATTTATATATTATAAATTATATATTAATATATTTATATATTATATATAATTATATATAATAAATATTATATATAATTATATATTAATATATAATATTATATATAATTATATAATATTATATATAATATATATAAATATATATTATATATAATTATATATATATAAATATAATATTATATATATTTATATATAAATATATTATAAATATATAAATATATATATTTATAATATATATTTATAATATATATTTATATTTATATATATTTATATATATATTTATAAAATATATATATATATTTTTTTTTTTCTAGGCCAGATAAGGTGGCTCATGCCCGTAATCCAAGAACTTTGGGAGGCTGAAGCAGGAGGATTGCTTGAGCCCACGAGTTTGAGACCAGCCTGGGCAACATTTCTACCAAAACTTATTTTTAAAAATTAGTTGGGAGTGGTGGCATAAGCCTGTGGTCCCAGCTACTCAGGAGGCTGAGGCAGGAGGATTGCTTGAGCCCAGGGATATGAGGCTGCAGTGAGCTCTGATCACGCCACTGCACTCCAGCCTGGGGGACAGAGTGAGACACTGTCTCAAAAAAAAAAAAAAAGAAAAAAGAAAAAGAAAAAGAAACATCTGTCCATAGTTGGTTGAATCCATGGATGCAGGACCCATGAATATGGAGGGCTGACTGATATATCTATCAATCAGTTGTTCAGGCCTGGAGTTCCCCTTAAAACCTACTCCTGGCCAGGCGCAGTGCCTCACGCCTGTAATCCCAGCACTTTGGGAGGCTGAGGCAGGCGGATCACGAGGTCAGGAGATTGAGACCATCCTGGCTAACATGGTGAAACCCCGTCTCTACTAAAAACACAAAAAAATTAGCCGGGCGTGGTGGCGGGCACCTGTAGTCCCAGCTACTTGGGAGGCTGAGGCAGGAGAATGGCGTGAACCCGGGAGGCGGAGCTTGCAGTGAGCCGAGATCGCGCCACTGCATTCCAGCCTGGGTGACGGAGCGAGACTCCGCCTCAAAAAAACAAACAAACAAAAACAAACAAACAGAAAAAAACTACTCCTCACCTGTCATGTACAAGCCATCACCAAGTCCTGTTGTTTCTAATTCCAAACTACATCTTGTATCTGCTCGCTTCCAGCTGTCTTCACCCCAGCCTTACCCACCATTGCCTCTGTTCTGCCAAGGCTTTATCAGCAACTTCCTAACAGTCACTCCATATCCTCTTTTGGCTCCAATCCATTTTTCACAGTCTTTATAGTGACTTTTCCCAAAATGCACAATTGTTCATGTCACCGTGCCACTTAAAGTCTTTCAATGGCTGCCGTTGGCTTTTAGGATAAAGTCCAAATTCTTTGGAAATTTGTGTACATTAATTGAACAATTATTTATTGAGAGTCTACTATGTCCATGAGGTATTGTAAAGACTGGGGACACAGCAATGAATAAAAAGTATAAAAGCCCCTCTTTCTTCCTTCCTTCTTCTCTCTCTCTCTCTCTCTTTCTCTCTGTCATTTTTAGATGGAGCTTCACTCTTGTCGCCCAGTCTGGAGTGCAATGGTGCAATCTCAGCCCACTGCAACCTCCGCCTTTTGGATTCAAGCAATTCTCCTGCCTCAGCCTCCCGAGTAGCTGGGATTATAGGCGCCTGCCACCATACCCGGCTAATTTTTGTAATTTTTGGTAGAGACAGGGTTTCACCATGTTGGCCAGGCTGGTCTTGAACTCCTGACCTCAAATGATCCACCCGTCTCGGCCTCCCAAAATGCTGGGATTACAGGCGTGAGCCACCATGCCTGGCCAAAGGCCTCTTTTTTTTTTTTTTTTGAGACGGAGTCTCATGCTGTGGCCCAGGCTGGAGTGCAGTGGCACAATCTTAGCTCACTGCAACCCCACCTCCCAGGTTCAAGTGATTCACCTGCCTCAGCCTCCAAAGCAGCTGGGATTACAGGTGCGTGCCACCACACTCAGCTAATTTTTTTTTTTTTTGTATTTTTAATAGAGACAGGGTTTCATCATGTTGGCCAGGCTGGTCTCGAATTTCTGACCTCAAGTGATCCACCCACCTCAGCCTCCCAAAGTGCTGGGATTAAAGAGGTGAGCCACTGCACCCAGCGCTAGGATAGATAATTTTTGAAGGACCTTTGCCGTAAATAAAAGCAGAGAAGGTGTTTTCTTGTTTTCTGAAATAGAGTCTTGCTCTGTTGCCCAGGCTGGAGTGTGGAGTTCAGCGGCACCACCTCGTCTCACCGCAACCTCCACCTCCTGGATTCAAGCGATTCTCATGCCTCAGCCTCCCAAGTAGGTGGGACTACAGGTGCATGCCACCACGCCCAGCTAATTTTTATATTTTTAGTAGAGACAGGGTTTCGCCATTTTGGCCAGGCTGGTCTTGAACTCCTGACCTCAGGTGATCTGCCCCCCTTGGCCTCCCAAAGTGCTGGAATTACAGGCATAAGCCAGTGCACCTGGCCTGTTTTGCATGTTTTTAAGATGGGAGAAGTAATATCTTGCTGCTAATGGAAATGTGCAGTGGAGGGGAGAATTGGTGGACAATGTTCTTGAGTAGGCAAGGGGAATTAGATCCAATGTGTAAGTTTGGCCTTAGATAGGCACATAGATTACAGCAGGGCTTCTCAACCTGTGCACATATTGGGTGAGATAATTTTTTGTTGTGGCGAGGCTGTTCTGGATGTTGTAAAATGCTTAGCAACATTCCTGGCCTCTATCACCACTCCAACCAAAAATGTCTCCTGACATTGCCAAGTGTCCTGTGGCAGGCAATATCACACTCATTTGAGAACCACTGATCAATAGTAACAGGAGGGAAGGTAAAGTACGGTTAGAGGATGATGAGAACACCATTCATCATGCGAAATAAAAACACAAAGCCGGCCGGGCACAGTGGCTCATGCCTGTAATCCCAACACTTTGGGAGGCTGAGGCAGGCAAATCACGAGGTCAGGAGATTGAGACCATCCTGGCTAACACAGTGAAACCCCGTCTCTACTAAAAAAATACAAAAAATTAGCCATGCGTGGTGGCGGGTGCCTGTAGTCCCAGCTACTCAGGAGGCTGAGGCCACAGAATGGGGTGAACCCGGGAGGCGGAGCTTACAGTGAGCCGAGATGCGCCACTGCACTCCAGCCTGGGCGACAGAGGAAGGCTCCGTCTCAAAAAAAAAAAAAAAAAAAAACCACAAAGCCAAATTTCTTGCTTACTATAAACAGTAAGAGCCATGCAGGTGAGGCACAGTCTTCAAGCAGACCAGACTACTAATCTATCAGACTTTGAGAAAGTGGGGAGTTCAGAGATTGGCAAACTTTCAAAGGTGTGTGTTAGCATCATTTGTAGAAGTGATAACTTGGGTGAAACTATTGTTGAGTGGCTGGCACTCAGAGGAGTGCTTATTGAAGTGAGTCTTTGTGATTGGCTGAATCAAGAAGTTGTCATTCATTGGGTTTACAAAAACACATTCACTGTGATGAGTAATCATGGGTCAATTGAACTTAAAACTGGCTCTGATTGCTGGTTGTTACCATGGCTAACTGTACAGTCAGTATTTTCCTAGGAGTGTGTCATTAGCAGAAAGGGAGGATGGATAAGTGGAAGTATTGAAGGTGTTTGAGGAGAGAGGTATATAATAGTCATCTATGAAGGTGGGTGCAGTGGCTCACACCTGTAATCCTAACACTTTGGGAGGACGAGGTGGGCAGATCACTTGAGGTCAGGAGTTCGAGACCAGCCTGGTGAATGTGGTGAAACCCTGTCTCTACTAAAAATATAAAAATTAGCCAGGTGGCCAGGCATGGTGGCTCACGCCTGTAATCCCAGCACTTTGGGAGGCCAAGGTGGGCGGATCACCTGAGGTCAGGAATTCAAGACCAGCCTGGCCAACATGGTAAAACCCCGTCTCTACTAAAAATATGACAAATTAGCCAAGCATGGTGGCAGGTGCCTGTAATCCTAGCTACTCAGGAGGCTGAGGAAGGAGAATCGCTTGAACCCAGGAGGCAGAGGTTGCAATGAGCCGAGATTGTGCCACTGCACTCCAGCAGGCAGCAGAGGGAGACTCCGTCTGCAAAAAAATCAAAATAAAAATAAAAAATAAATTTAAAAAAATAAAAAATAAAAATAAGTCATCTATGAAAAGTGGGATGAGAAGTGGACTAGATAAAGGTAGTATAATTACTGGGCAGAATTAAGGTCCCACTTGAAGTCAAGAATATAAAGAGACAAGTTTGTCATTTCTCTTTAGCCATATTTAGTTGTATGGGTACAGAAGCAATAATAGAGAACTTACTTCAACTGTGATTGAGGTTTTGTCAAGTAAGTACTATTAAGCAAGAGAGGTTCAAGGAAATTCAAAGGGTATTCAAGAACATGTATTTTTTAGCTTATTTATTTTGCTTTTTATTATGATATTGTCAAACATACTTAATAGCAGAAAGAATAATATAATGAATCCCACAATTCTATCATCCAAGTCCGACAGTTTAAAATTTTGCAATATTTTTTCATCTATTCCTCCACATGTTTTCCTGGATAACTTCAAAGCAAATTCCAAACATCATATCAATTCACCTATAAACACTTCAAGATGCATTTCTAATAAAGAAGGGCTTTTAAGAACCATAACTACAATGCCATTATTACATATAGTGAAATCAACAATGTTTCCTTCATATTAACTAAGTCTCAACCCATGTTCAAATTTTGCAAAGGGATGATGATAACAATTAGTAATGAATTTAAGCTGGCTAAGAAAAGAAGAAACAAGGGTGGTGGTGGAGTTAGGAAGAGCAGAAAGGTAATTGGATCAATAGGTTGCAGGTCCTGCTGCTGGGAACACTGATAGAGTTAGGAGCCCACAGGTAGGGTGCTGGAAGGGTAGGAGGTGATCCCACTTTCCTCTTTGCCCATTGTTTAGTCACATCAGTCTTCCAACCTGGGGTGTTGGAAGATTCTGTACAGATTTCTTCCCTTCAATCTCATCCGTCTCAGCTCCAGTACCTGATTTTTCTCAGGAGAATGTGCAAACTAAATTAGATTCTCCTATTATAACCTTGGTACATCCTTGGAGCACTTGTAATCATAATTTTAAAACTATAGGAAAATTTGACATCTAACTCCACCAAGATCTACAGCTTCTTTGCTCACGACTGTCATTGCTAGTGCCTAGAGACTATCAATAGGATGCTTTCGGCCGGGCGCGGTGGCTCATGCCTGTAATCCCAACACTTTGGGAGGCCGAGGCGGGCGGATCACCTGAGGTCAGGAGTTCAAGGCTAGCCTGACCAACATGGTGAAATCCCGTCCCTACTAAAAATACAAAAAAAAAAAAAAAAAATTGCTGGGCGTGTTGGCGAATGCCTGTAATCCCAGCTGCTCGGAAGGCTGACGTAGGAGAATCGCTTGAACCCGGGAGGCAGAGGTTGCAGTGAGCCGAGATCGCGCCATTGCACTGCAGCCTGAGCAACAAGAGCGAAACTCCATCTCAAAAAAAATAAATAGGACGTTTTCAATAAATATTTGTTGGACTAAGGAAGGAGTATCAATAGTGTCAAATGCCACAGACTTCTAAATCCATCCATAACACGGTTTCCAACAAGGATTCTAAATTATTTGCTCTCCAATGAGGGTCACCATTTCCTCGCTTGTAGAAAGGTGCAACTTAGGAGGGTCGTATGAGTTAATTTATTTTTATTTTTATTTTTTTTGAGTCGGAGTTTTGCTCTTGTCGCCCAGGCTGGAGTGCAGTGGCGCAATCTCGGCTCACTGCAACCTCCGCCTCCCGGGTTCAAGCGATTCTCCTACCTCAGCCTCCCTAGTAGCTGGGATTACAGGCGCCCGCCAGCAAGTCCAGCTAATTTTTGTATTTTTGGTAGAGATGGGGTTTCACCATGTTGGCCAGGCTGGTCTCGAACTCCTGACCTCAGGCGATCCGCCCACCTCGGCCTCCCAAACCGCTGGGATTACAGGCATGAGCCACGGCGCCCGGCCGTATTAGTTAATATTACTTGAAAATTAAGTTGAGCCCCTCATCCCTGCTGAATTTGGACTGACAGCGTTCTAAAAATCTCTTATCAACCTAAATATGCTAGTTGATAAAGGAAACGATTAATCAAGATTGTCCTAAACAGTACAGCCCTCCTTAAGCTCGCTCTAAGGTTCTAAAATGATGAGAAAAGGCGTGGGCCCCGCGGTTAGACTTTCCCAGCCAGGCTGCCTCAAGAGGCGGATATTAACCTCCCAGGACGGAAGTTCCGGAGCCTTCAAACTCTCGGGGAAGCAACTCGGCAGCGGACCAAGATGGCGGCGCCCTGTGAGGGACAAGCGTTTGCCGTAGGGGTTGAAAAGAATTGGGGTGCAGTAGTTCGCTCCCCAGAAGGGACCCCCCAGAAAATCCGGCAGCTGATAGATGAGGGGATTGCCCCGGAAGAGGGAGGCGTGGACGCGTGAGTTCACGAGTTAACCCTGGGTCCGGCGTTGGAAGATTGAAGAAGGCTTGGGGAAGGGGTGGCGGGTTGGGGGAGGTTCCCCTCGGTCGGCGACTCGGGCAGTGGGGATGGCTTCTTAGAATCTGAAAGAAACTCTGGTTACTATGTTTGATCGGCTTTGATCTTCCCCTCGGGGTGTACCAGATTCCCAACCGCAGCCGAAATTTTGTCATCGGACATTATTTTTGGAAGTAAAGAGGACCGTTAACTGAATGAGTTCACTTGACTTCTCTTAATTGGGGATTCTTAACCTTTTTTTGTGCCGTGGACCCCTTTGGCTCTCTGGAGAAGCTTATTAACTCTCAGAATATTTTTAAATGCTTAAAGTAAATTACATAGGATTATAAAGGAAACCAGTTAGATTGGAATGTAGTTATCAAGATGGTAAAAGGAAAAAGTTACGCAGTAACAATGCTTTTTATTAAAGAGTCCATAATATCTAGTAGTATGTGTTGTCAACCATAATTTTGAAGTAGTGATGAGCACAAAGGTATTTGAAGACATGCAACCACCATAATGTGGGAACATTATTTCCATTGGTGACAAATTAGCAGGTACTGCTAATACTACTATGGTGTTTTTACCTTCATTCATAATTGAAGAAAATGCTAAATCTTGTCATTTAGAGAGAAATAAATGTCATTTTTACCCATCCAAGTTTATGGATGCTGTGAATTTTTTTTGGCCTAGAACCACACCCGCTTGAGGCTCTCTATGAATCTCTGAGAGTCTTAGAGTAAGTTTATTTCTTTTGAGCTATAATCGTTGATGTAATCCTATTTTTATTAAAATAATGCCTGTCGCCGGGCGCGGTGGCTCACGCCTATAATCCCAGCACTTTGAGGAGGCTGAAGCGGGCAGATCACGAGGTCAGGAGATCAAGACCATCCTGGCTAACACGGTGAAACCCCATCTCTACTAAAAATACAAAAAATTAGCCGGGCGTGGTGGCCCGCGCCTGTAGTCCCAGCTACTCGGGAGGCTGAGGCAGGAGAATTGGTTGAACCTGGGAGGCGGAGGTTGCAGTGAGCCGAGATCGCGTCACTGCACTCCAGCCTGAGTGACAGAGTGAGACTCCGTCTCTAAATAAATAAATAAATGCTTGTCTTTCAGCAATTCCCCAGGCACTGTTGAAATGCCTTCCACTGAAAATGAGAGAATTGCTTTGCTGAGTTTTTTTCTCCCTGATTTTTTTTTCATGAAATCTCCCGAAGATCTTTGATTCGAATTTTCTAATTGGTTCTTTTTTTTTTGGAAGGAGTGGGTATGAAAGGTCCCTCCAGGTAGAAATATCAAAATTGTTTTTTCTGCTGTTAAGAGTCGAATTTCTGCCAGGCGCTGTGGCTCACGCCTGTAATCCCAGCACTTTGGGAGGCTGAGGTGGGCCAATCACAAAGTCAGGAGTTACAGACCAGCCTGACCAACATGGTGAAACCCCGTCTGTCCTAAAGATACAAAAAATTAGCCGGGCCCACGCCTGGTGGTACGCGCCTGTAATCCCAGCTACTGGGGAGGCCGAGGCAGGAGAATTGCTTGAACCTGGGAGGTGGAGGTTGCAGTGAGCCGAGATCGCACCGTTGCACTCCAGCCTGGGCAACAGAGCGAGACTCCATCTCAAAAAAAAAAAAAGTCGAATTTCTGAAGAGATTCAAATTGTATAATGCATACTTGAAGTCTTGAGTCTTATTTTCTGTCTACTAAAGTTATGCCAAATACTTGTGGAGAACAGTGAGTGAGTGAGGAGAATAGTTTGCTAGGATTAGTGGAGCCCTGTAGAGGTAGAAATTGAAGTTTAGATATGGGTAAACTGTAAAGAGTTTTGAATGCCAGACTGAAAAATTTGGATTTTATTTAGTAAGTATTATAAAACCATTGAAAATAATAAGCTGAGGAATGACATGAGTAAAATGATTTTTAGGAAGCTTAAAATCCAGCGTTGGTGTGATTTATGATACGATGTGTAGAGAAGCTAGATAACATTTAAGCAGAGGGTACTGTGAAAGGTTTACCAACAGTTTTGCCACTTTATATTAGGAAGGACACGTCTGCCACATCCCAGTCAGTTAATGGATCACCCCAAGCGGAACAACCTTCATTGGAATCTACAAGCAAAGAAGCCTTCTTTAGCAGAGTGGAAACATTTTCTATATCCTTTTTTAGTTCATGTGAATTGCACTTTCTGCCTGCTTCTAGAATTCCTCCAAGGTATTACACCACTTACTGTGATGCTTTAAACTTAAGAATAAAACCTTGGTAAGAAATTATATAGGAAAGTCAGCATCCTAATATGTTATCACTCAGAGGGACAGTTGAGGTTATCTAACCTTTTCTTTTTACAGAAGAAAAAACTAAGAGCCTGAGAAAAGAAGAAATAATAACTAATACTTGTATATAGTATGTTTTTGTATATATTATCACATTCGATCTTGACCTTAAACCTATGAAAATAAGCATTATTATTATACTTGTTTTACAGAAGAGGAAACAGTTTGGGGCAGGTTATATGACTTGCCCAAGATGAACCTGTTAGCAAATGGCAGATCCAGGATTATAATCTAATGTTTTTTAGATTATTAGAGACTACACTACTATAATGTCTCTTTCTAGATTTTCCTTTGTGTATTAGCTACCTATTGCTGCATAGCAAATTGCCCCAAAACTTAGTGATCTTAAAACAACAAACAGTTTTTATTTCATAATTTCTGTGGATCAGGAATCCAGGCATGGCTTAGCTGAGTCCTCTGGCTCAGGGTCTCTCACAGACTGCAATTAAGGTTGGTCAGGGCACTGTCATTTCAAGGCTCAACTAGGAAAATTGTCTCAAAAGAAAAATAAAATAAAATAAAACAAAACAAAACAAAATTAGCCAGGTGTGGTGGTGCTCACTTGTAATCCCAGCTACTCAGGAGTCTGAGGCAGGAGAATAGCTTGAACCTAGGAGGCAGAGTTTGCAGTGAGTCGAGATCGCGCCACTGCATTCCAGCCTTGGCAGCAGAGCAAGACTCCGTGTCAAAAAAAAAAAAAAAAAAAAAAAACAACTAGGAAAGGGTCCACTTCCAAACTCAGTCATTGGCATACTGTTGGCAGGATTCATTTACTTGTGTCTGTTGGACAGAGGGCTTCAGTTCTATACTGGCCATTGGCCAGAGATGTCCCTCCCCACTTGGTTCCTTGCTATGTGGGCTTCTCTAAAGGAAAGTTCACAACTTGGCAGCTGACTTCCATCAGAGTGAGCAAAGGAGAGAACAAGATACAAGCCAGCCTCATTTTGTAATCTAATCTCAAAAGTGACATCTCATCATTTTTGTCATATTTTATGCATTAGAAGCAAGTCACTAGGCCAGCCCATACTCAAGAGGAGCAGATAACACAAGGGCATGAATATAAGAAGGCAGGGATCATTGGAGCCACCTTAAAAGCTGTTCACATCACCTTGCTTTGAGAGAAGTCTTTAGTAGCTCCAGCTGCTTTTTTTTCCTGCCAAGTTTGCACCCCTACCCGTGTGTGTGTGTGTGTGTGTGTGTGTGTGTGTGTGTGTGTAGACAAAGTCTTGCTATGTTGCCCAGGCAGGTCTCGAACTCCTGGCCTCAAGCAATTATGCTGCCACAGCCTCCCAGAGGGTTGGGAGTACAGGCCTGAGCCGCCAAACCTGGCCCCGAATTTCTGTCTTATAAACTATTAACAAGGTCTTGACCTAGGAATCAAAAATTAACAAAATCTCAGAATTTAAGACCATAAAATAAGCCAAATCACACACCTTTTTTTGATCAAGAAACTAATACTGGCTAGGCATGGTGGCTTACGCCTGTAATCCTAGCACTTTAGGAGGCCAAGGTGGGCGGATCACCTGAGGTCAGGAGTTTGAGAGCAACCTGGCCAATATGGTGAAACCCTGACGCTACTAAAAATACAAAATTAGGCCGGGCGTGGTGGCTTACACCTGTAATCCAAGCACTTTGGTTTGCTGAGGCAAGTGGATTACGAGGTCAAGAGTTTGAGACCAGCCTGGCCAACATGGTGAAACCCTGTCTCTACTAAAAATACAAAAATTAACCAGGCATGGTGGCACATGCTTGTAGTCCCAGTGACTCGGGAGGCTGAGGCAGGAGGATTGCTTGAACCTGGGAGGCGGAGGTTGCAGTGAGCCGAGATCATGCCACTGCACTCCAGCCTGGGCGACAGGAATGAGACTCCATCTCAAAAAGAAAAAAAAGAATGCACAGTTAGCTGGGTGTGGTGGCATGCGCCTGTAATCCCAGCTACTCAGGAGGCTGAGGCAGGAGAAATTGCTTGAACCTGGGAGGCAGAGGTTGCAGTGAGCCGAGACCATGCCACTGCACTGCAGCCTGGGTGGCAGAGAAGACTCCGTCTCAAAAAAAAACTTATACTGGAATATTACCCAAATGAAAAAGTAAGCACATACCAGCTATCACATTGCATGTTTCACGAAGAGACATTAAACGTTATGTCATAAGTTTATTTAGAAACATACCTAGTGTGCTATATGCCTGACTTCAAGAATTTGATCCATTGTTTTGTTTCCTTTTTTCCCTTCAACTTTTTTTTTTTTTTGAGATGGAGTCTCATTCTGTCATCTAGGCTGGAGTACAGTGGTGCCATCTTGGCTCACTGTAACCTCCACCTCCTGGGTTTAAGCAATTCTCCTGCCTCAGCCTCCCAAGTAGCTGAGATTACAGGCGCCCGCCACCATGCCTGGCTAATTTTTTGTATTTTAGTAGAGATGGGGTTTCACTGTGTTGCCCAGGCTGGTCTCAAACTTTTGAGCTCAGGCAATCCTCCTGCCTTGGCCTCCCAAAGTGCCAAGATTACAGGCATGAGCCACCATGCCTGGCCTTTTTTTCTTCAACTTTTATCTTCAGTTCCGGGGTACATGTGTAGGATGTGCGGGTTTGTTACATAGGTAAACGTGTGCCATGGTGGTTTACTGCACAGATCAATCCATTGCCTAGGTATTAAGCCCAGCATCTGTTAGCTATTCCTCCTGATGCTTTCCCTCCCCCAACTCCCACCTCCAACAGGCCCCAGTGTATGTCGTTCCCCTCATGTGTCCATGTGTTCTCATCATTCAGCTCCCACTTATAAGTGAGAACATGTGTTTGGTTTTCTGTTCCTGTGTTAGTTTGCTGAGGATAGTGGCTTCCAGCTTCATCCACATCCCTGCAAAGGACATGATCTCGTTCCTTTTATGGCTGCATAGTATCAAAGAGATTGTGAGCTCAAACATCCATCTTAAGCCGTTGATGTCTTTTTTTTTTTTTTTTTTTTTTGAGATGGAGTCTTACTCTGCCACCCAGGCTGGAGTGCACTGGTGTGATCTTGGCTTACTGCAACCTCTGCCTCCCGGGTTCAAGCGATTCTCCTGCCTCAGCCTCCCAAGTACCTGGGATTACAGGCTCCCACCACCATTCCTGGCTAGTTTTTGTATTTTTAGTTTCACCATGTTGGCCAGGCTGGTCTCAAACTCCTGAAATCAGGTGATCCACCCACCTCAGCCTCCCAAAGTGCTGGGATTACAGGCGTGAGCCACTGCACCTGGCCCAGTTGATGTCTTATAAAGGAAAGTGCAGCAAATGAGATCCAAAGTACAAGTCATCATAATTAGTAATTGCCACTTGTTTTCCACTGAAAATGGCAAATTCTTCTCTGGGCTGTCATTTTGTCTCCTATAGACCATAGAGGTTGTGAAGCTGAGGATACTCTACTCCAACATGGCCAACATGGTACTGATGGGTAGCTCTGTGAAAGGAGCAGAGACTGAAGGCGGAAGAAATGTGGTACCACACCACGTCTTCTGCTTTTCACTACTTTATTCCCTGTGTGCAAGGACAGAAAGACTTACATGGTAATTTTTTACAGTGATTCTTAAAAATTTTTAAATTACAGACTTACAGAAAGGTTGCAGAGATTACAAAGAACCTTTTTTCCCTGAGCTATTTGAAAGTAAGCCACCAAAGTGATGTCTTACTACTCCCAAATATTTCCTACAAACAAGGACTTTGTCCTACATAACCAGAATGCAACCATCAAAATCAGAAAATTGACATTGATAAATTACTACCCTCCAATCCTCAGACCCCAGTTTTTCCATCAGTTATACTAATAACATTCTTTATAGTTGAAGTATCCAGTTGAGAATCACACAGTACATTTAGTTGTCATGTTGCTTTATTCTCCTTTAATCTGGAACATTTCCTCAGTTTTTTCTTGAATTTCATGATCTTGATACTTTTGAAGATTACAGAACAGTTATGTTGTAGAGTGTATGTCAATGACATTTGTTTGATGTTTCTTTGTGATTAGATTCAGGTTATGCAGGAGTGTCGTGAAGCAATGCTGCATTCTCATTGCATCCTGTCAGGTGACACGTGATTTCTATTTATCCCTTTATGGTGATGATCACTTTGATCACTTGATTAAGGGAGTATCTGGCATTTCTATTGTAAAATAACTCTTTCCTCCTTTGTAAATAAAAAGTACTTTGTGGGGAAGTTCTTTGAAACTTTGTAAATATCCCAGTCCTTATCAAACTTTATGTAATTGATTTATTTGTAGTAACATGGACTCAATATTTTCTTTGTTATTCAATGGGTTATAATTCATTACTATCATTATATATTTTGATACTCCAGTTGTTCCTTATTTAGTCAGTGACATCCCCCTCAGGTTGGCTTCTGTGGCCTTTTGACATGTCCCATAACCCATGACCTCTTTATTGCTTTCAGGAACAAGTTGTTCTCGGCTTATCTTGTATTTTTCTTGCCCCATCCCTGGAATCAGCCAATTTTACAAGGATCCTTGGCTGTTTTTCAGTGGAGAATGTTATTTAAAAGCTAAGATCTGAACTGGGCATGGTGGCACACCTGTAATCCCAGCACTTTGGGAGGCCCAGGTGGGAGAATTGCCTGAGCCCAGGAGAGACCAGCCTGGGCAACATAGCAAGATCCTGTCTCTATATAAATGCATGAATGAATGCCAAGATCTGGGTGCAGGGAGAACTCATAGCTAGTGGGATGCCACTGTTCTCAGGCCCTCTCAGAGGAAAAAGCTAGAAAATATATATGTTTATGTACACACACACAGACACACACATTCACATGTATACACACATCTAAATTTACATCCATTTCTCTCTATATTTTAAAAAACGATGAGTTCCTGCTGACATCTCCAGTTGCAATTGTACATCACAGGATTCATTCTAGTTTTCTCCTTTTCCCTATTTTTCCCTCCCATATTCAACACTGTGAAACATAATTTGTTATCCTTAATATATTTACTACTTTGATCAATCCCCTATATGTGCTTAATCTCCCATTTCTGCCATGCTGCCATCCTTTCTTGCATGAATCTCTCGTCACCCCATTTAGGTCCTAGCACTCCACACTTGGCTGCCCGCAAGTGAATGCCTGTTACATACCACTTTGGTTCTGACACCCTGGGCTGAGCTGCCTCTTCGCAGCCTCCTGGCTCTGACATCTTCCTTGTTCACCGCCTAATGGCTTTAAGACTGAATTGCTCAGGAAAGGGAAGGTATTTTAACCATCCTTCTACCATTATTTCTTGCATTAAATCTTGATTTTGATAAAATATTTAGATCCATTTCCTTTTTGTTCATTGGCTATAAATTGATCAACATTTTGGATATGATGATTATTTATTTAACCATTACTTTTATTCTAGATAATCATGGCTCCTTTAATATTTGTATCTGAATTTTGTTTTCCAGTCTTCATTCTTCCTTTGCTGATGTTGGAATGTCTTTCAAATTCCTATATCCCTTTATAAAAATGTATAACTTTCCTGCATCTTCTTTCATATTTTATCCTTTTTTTTTTACTGTGCTTTGTGAAATAAGAGCTCTTCAGGTAGAATTTTTCTTTTGAGACAGAATCTTGCTGTGTTGCCCAGGCTGGAGTGCAGTGGTACCATCTCAGCTCACTGCAACCTCCGCCTCCCAAGTTCAAGCGAGTCTCCTGCCTCAGCCTCCCCAATAGCTGGGATTACAGGTACATACTACCACACCCAGCTGATTTTTGTATTTTTAGTAGAAATGGGGTTTCACCATGTTGGCCCAGGCTGGTCTCAAACTCCTGACCTCAAGTGATCCGCCCGTCTCAGCCTCCCAAAGTGCTGGGGCCACCGCACCCGGCCCACATAGATTATTAAAAACTGAAGCTGGGCGAGGTGGCTCATACCTGTAATCCCAGCACCATGGAAGGCCGAGGAGGGCCTCAGGCGTTCAAGGTCAGGCATTCGAGACCAGCCTGGCCAACATGGCAAAACCCCTTCTCTATTAAAATTACAAAAATTAGTGGGGCATGGTGGCGCACGCCTATAATCCCAGCTACTCGGGAGGCTGAGGCAGGAGAATCGGTTGAACCCAGGAGGCAGAGGTTGCAGTGAGCTGAGCTCGTGCCATTGCATTCCAGCCTGGGCAACAGAGCAAGACTCCATCTCAAAAAACAAAACAAAACAAACAAAAAAACTGAGCATTTAATATTAAGGAGTAATAAATGTTTTAGGATACCTTTCCAAATACATACTTACAGATGCTTTTAGCTGTGTAAAACACATTCTCACACATCCCCATTGATACTAGCAATCAAATTTTGGAGGGATAATTTTATTGCCTTTATTCTTTGGAAAGTAAAAATGGATGGGGTACAGTAGGAGAGCATAGGTGAATGGCAGAAAATATTTCTGTGTGTTTAACTTTGACTATCTCTTATTGTTTAGGCATATCCCAGTACTTTCACTGGTGCCTTTAAGTTCCTAGTATTTCAGATTCAGTGAAAATTAATGGATGCTATATTCTACCAGACAACCAATAATAAACTTTTTTTTTTTTTTTTTTTGAGACAGGGTCTCATTCTGTTGCCCAGGCTAGAGGGCAGTGGTGTGATCGTATCTTACTGTGGCCTTGATCTCCTGGGCTCAAGCCATCCTCCTCCCTCAGCCTCTCAATTAGCTGAGACTACAGGCATGCACCACCACATCCCGCTAATTTTTTGATTTTCAATAGAGATGAGGTGTCGCCGTGTTGCCCAGGCTGATCTTCAACTCCTGAGCTCAAGTGATCCTCCCGCTTCAGCCTCCCAATGTGCTGAGATTACAAGCATGTGCCACTGTGCTTGGCCAATAAACATTTTAAACACATAAAATACATAGTGCTTCTTCAAGAATAAGTTAATAACTTTTCCCCTCCACTTATTACTTAAATGACCTTCATCATTCTGTGAAGTATGGGCCTGTGCATTAAAAATAGTTTTTACCACTTTTCTCATTGCCTTTCTCCTTAATGTTTATTCCTATATACATTAAGAATGAGTTGGGCCGGGCACAGTGGCTCACGCCTGTAATTGCAGCACTTTGGGAGGCCGAGGTGGGTGGATCACGAGGTCACAAGTTCAGGACCAACCTGGCCAAGATGATGAAACCCTATCTCTATTAAAAATACAAAAATTAGCTGGGTGCAGTGGCAGATGCCTGTAATCCCAGCTACTCGGGAGGCTGAGGCAGGAGAATCACTTGAACCCGGGAAGTGGAGGTTGCAGAAACCGAGCCGAGACTGTGCCATTGTACTCCAGCCAGGGTGACAGAGCAAGACTCTGTCTTGAAAAAAAAAAAAAAAAAGAATGAGTTAAGATTGTAATTTATGACTTATTCATTTTAATATACTTGCAGTGTTCACCTGTGATTCCAGCACTTTGGGAGGCCAAGGTGGGCAGATCATCTGAGTTCAGGAGTTCAAGACCAGCCTGAGCAACATGGTGAAACCCCATCTCTACCAAAAAATACAAAAATTAGCTGGGTGTGGTGGCGTGCACCTGTGGTCCCAGCAACTTGGGAGGCTGAGGTGGGAGAATTGCTTGAACCTGAGAGGGTGAGGTTGTAGTGAGCTTAGATCGTGCCACTGCACTCCAGCCTGGGAGACAGAGTGAGAACTTTTCTCAAAAACAAAAAAAAAACAGTATGTGTATACACACACACACACACACACACATACACACACATATATATATATATTTGCTGTGTTGTTTTTCTTAACATGGATACTCTTTGAAATGGGCAGGTAAGCCCTTTGAGCTGTCTCCACTCGTCTGTGCAAAATATGGCTGGGTCACAGTGGAATGTGATATGCTCAAGTGCTCTAGCTGTCAAGCTTTTCTCTGTGCCAGTTTACAACCAGCTTTTGACTTTGACAGATGTAAGTATAAGGTACAAATTACATTTTTCTCCACACTCAAATATATACTATCCTGGTTTTCTGGGGGGGGAAAAAAGGTCATTTTAGTTTGATCAAAAAATGCGTACTTCAATCTTTTTTTTTAATCTTTTTTTTTTTTTTTGAGATGGGGTCTTGCTTGTTGCCCAGGCTGAGCAAGATGTAATAGTGCAATTACAACTCACCACAGCCTCAACCTCCTGGGCTCAAGCGATCCTTCCTCAGCCTCCCAAGTAGCTGGGACTACAGGCGCAGTGCCACTACACCTGGCTAATTTTTGTTTTTTTTTTGTAGAGGTGGGGTTTTACCAGGTTGCTCAGGCTAGTCTTGAACTCCTGAGCTCAAGTGATCCGCCCACCTTGGCCTCCTAAAGTGCAGAGATTACAGGGGTAAGCCATAGTGCCTGGCCAGTCTTTTTTTTTTTTTTTTTTTTTTGAGACGGAGTCTCGCTCTGTCCCCCAGGCTGGATGGAGTGCAGTGGTGCGATCTTGGCTCACTGTAAGCTCCGCCTCCTGGGTTCACACCATTCTCCTGCCTCAGCCTCCCAAGTAGCTGGGACTACAGGTGCCTGCTACCACGCCTGGCTAATTTTTTGTATTTTTAGTAGAGACGGGGTTTCACCGTGTTAGCCAGGATGGTCTTGATCTCCTGACCTTGTGATCCACCCGCCTCAGCCTCCCAAAGTGCTGGGATTACAGGCGTGAGCCACCGTGCCCGGCCTTTTTTTTTTTTTTTTTTTTTTTTTTTTTTAAACTAAGCTAGCTACTGCAGCATGGACTTGACTTAATGTAATCTAGGTAACAGCAGCATGTTTACTTTATTATTCCAAAATGTATACTTCTAGACGAAGAGTGACAAAGGACTTTTATGAAGTCTCACACTTTGGAATGCTCTGCTTTATAAGATACATGGGGGCCGGGCGCAGTGGCTCACGTGTGTAATCCCAGCATTTTGGGAGGCTGAAGTGGGTGGATCACATGAGGTTGGGAGTTTGAGACCAGCCTGACTAACATGGTGAAACCCCATTTCTACTAAAAATACAAAACACTACTCAGGTGGCTGAGGCAGGAGCATCGCTTGGGCCTGGGAGATGGAGGTTGCAATGAGCCGAGATTGCACCACTACACTCAAGCCTGGGCGACAGAGCAAGACTCTGTCTCAAAAAAATAAAAAATAAAAATAAGATACATGGTATCTCCTTTGTTGATCTTAGGATCTCAATTTAAAACCTGTTTTGTGAAAAATATTAAGATTATGTACTTGATAATATTTTCACATTTTAAAATTCTCTTATTTTTAGTTAAATCTCTGCTCTTAGAGGCCATTCATTGGATTTTGAATCTATATAGTGTTTTTTAAGGTGTTGCTGTTTATGTGGATTTCAGATAAGCAACGATGTGCTGAGCTGAAGAAAGCCTTGTGTACTGCCCATGAGAAGTTCTGTTTCTGGCCAGACAGCCCATCCCCAGGTACTTATTTTTGAGAATTCCTGTTCACCATTTTTCCTTCATCATTGCATTTCTAATATTGTCTGTTTGTGAAAACCTAGTCTTTGAACTTTCTTTTTCTCCTTTTCTTTTTTTTTTTTGAGATGGAGTTTCACTCTTGTTGCCCAGGCTGGAGTACAGTGGCGCGATCTTGGCTCACTGCAACCTTCGCCTCCCGCGTTCAAGCAATTCTCCTGCCTCAGCCTCCAGAGTTGCTAGGATTACAGGCGTGCGCCACCACGCCCAGCTAATTTTGTATTTTTAGTAGAGATGGGGTTTCACCATGTTGGTCAATCTGGTCTCGAACTCTTGACCTCAGATGATCCGCCCGTCTCGGCCTCCCAAAGTGCTGGGATTGGGATTACAGGGGTGATCCACTGTGCCCGGCCTCTTTTTCTCCTTTTCTATTTGCATTATTTCCAGAAAAACTTATATTCACTTGTGTTATTACTTACCTTCATGAAGTGCATTTGACATGCTTAAGGCTTTAGACATATATATGCATTATCCCATTTAATCCTTACAGGGGCCCTGGGAGGTAGATACTACCAACCCAGTTCTTTTGGTTTTTTTTTTTTTTTTTTTTGAGACAGAGCCTCGCTCTTTCACCCAGGCTGCAGTGAGGTGGCACGATCTCAACTCACTGCAGCCTCCACCTCCGAGGTTCAAGCGATTCTCCTGCCTCAGCCTCCCGAGTAGCTGGGATTACAGGTACACGCTGCCACACCCTGCTAATTTTTAAAATTTTTTGTAGAGATGGGGTTTCACCATGTTGGCTAGGCTGGTCTCAAACTCCTGACCTCAAGTGATCTGCCTGCCTTGGCCTCCCAAACTGCTGGGATTACAGGCATCAGCCACTGTGCCCGGCCATAACCCAGTTCATTTAGGTGAGGAAACTAAGAATCAGAGGTCTTAAAACCAACTAGAGAGAAGCTATAACTAAGTTTAATCTGATTTCAAACCCTCCGCTTTTCCCACCACACCAAGCAATGCCATGTTCTACCTAGGTTTCCTGTAGAGGGAGTACTAACAGCAATAATGGTGGAAGTTAAACAGGGTTCATTTGCTGAAGAAGACTCACAGGACCCCAAGTGAGAGTGATCACAAATCTGCAGTTTATTGCAGTAAAACAGTACACTATCACAGCAGCACTGAAGTAAGGGTGTCATTACAGCCACAGGCTGCCTGTCTGGGAAGGCCAGGTCCAACCTCCTATTTCCTGTCTATATAAGGGCCATGAGAGGACATACTCTCCCTTGAATCAGGAACTACTGATGTGTGCACAGAACACTTTGGAATAAGAGAGCCCAAAGTGTAATCTCAACTGGGTTTTTAAAAATATTTTGTTCTTTGGCCAGGCACAGTTGCTCCCAACCATAATCCTAACACTGGGAGGCCAAGACAGGAGGATTGCTTGAGTTTAGGAGTTTGAGACCAGCCTGAGCAATAAATATAGTAAGACCTCATCTCTATGAAAAATAAAAAATATTTTGTTGATCACATAGGCATATTCCTGCTGAGTAAACAGCTTCAACAGCAGAGCCCTCTGGTGGGGAATCTAAGAGCAAGTATAAAAAAATTCTTTAGACCCATAGTTAAAAAGCAACACTATTCATCTGTATATTTCATGCCTTGACCAGGAATCAGTGCCATGTAGGTATATTTTTTATTTCAGTAGGATGGCAGGCTAATTCCAGGGTCACTGATGGCTAAGAATATTCCATGATTTACCACTAAAAGGAGAAAATAGATTGAAAATAACCAGAGATTCCCCTCTACCTTTGATCAATGAAAGGGTGGTAGAAAAGGGATTATTAAATAAAATTGTTTAAGTGAAGATGATTGTATAATAAGGATTTCCTGCTGTTGAAATAGCTAGGATTTACTAGTTATTTACCTGTATTGTATAACAAAACTTGGTCCTATGAGGATTTGATTCCATCCTTGTCTAGTGCACTCAGTCCAAGTTTGTTTGTTTGTTTGTTTGTTTGTTTTCCTTGAGACGGAGTCTTGCTCTGTCGCCCAGGCTGGAGTGCTGCAATGGCTCAGTCTAGGCTCACTGCAACCTCTGCTTCCTGGGTTCAAGCAATTCTCCTGCCTCAGCCTCCCGAGTAGCTGGGACTACAGGCGCGTGCCACCACACCCAGCTAATTTTTGTATTTTTAGTAGAGACAGGGTTTCACCATGTTGGCCAGGCTGGTCTTGAACTCCTGACGTCAAGTGATCCGCCTGCCTTGGCCTCCAGAATTGCTGGGAGGCCTGTAGGCGTGAGCCCCCGCGCCTGGCCGTCCAAGTTTTTAAGGTCTGCCCAGGGCTCTATTGGTGGTTCCCAACTCTTGTCACCGTACATTTTGCTTTCCTGATCTCATTCATAACTTCAGCTACCACCTCGGAGACCTCTAATTCCTATCCAGACCTCTCTTTTGAGCTTGACTCATATTTTCATCTACCTTCTAAACATTTCCACTTAATATTATAGGTACCTGGAACTCAATGTGTATAAAACTGAACTCTTCATCTTATACCTAAAACTTTCTCCATCTTGGCAAATGGCACTGACGTCCCATCCAGTTGTCCTAGCCAGAAACCTGAAAGTCACTTTAGATGCTCTTCTCTATGGTCACCCACTTTGACCTATCCATTCTACCTCCTACATGGATCTTAGATATAACCTTTCAATTATATGATCCCTTGGTTTGGTTCTTTAACATTCAAAGGACATTTGTGTGGATAAAAGAACACTCAGTTATTTCACTTTATGCTTAAATTTATTAAGCAAAACTAATAATTTTGAAGGTAATTTTTTTCTAACATTTGCCAATAATTATAAGCTAAATTAAATTTCTTTAAACATTTTATTTTATTTTATTTTATTTTTTATTTTGAGATGGAGTCTCACTCTGTCACCCAGGCTAGAGTGCAGTGGCGCGATCTTGGCTCACTGCAACCTCCGCTTCTTGGGTTCAGGCAATTCTCCTGCCTCAGCCTTCCGAGTAGCTGGAATTACAGGTGCCCGCCACCATGCCTGGCTAATTTTTCCCTCCTGAGTTCAAGCGATTCTCCTGCCTCAGCCTCCCAAAGTGTTATTTTTAGTAGTGACGAGGTTTCACCATTTTGGCCAGGCTGTCTTGAACTTCTGTCCTCAGGTGATCCACCTGCCTCTGCCTCCCAAAGTGCTGGGATTACAGGCGTGAGCCACCACTCCCAGCCTTACCTTGACTTTTAAAGCCAACTTTGTTCTTTCTCCAACTTTTCCCTTGGATTGCAAATTCATGCAGAGTCAACAAGTGCACCAAAGAAAATCCCCTGAATTGCGGAAAAAAAAAAAAAAACAGGCATATTACTCTTCAGAAAAATCAAAGCTAGAATGTTTATCTATTAAAATATCTCTCCCACCTAGGCTCAGATCAAATGGCTTCACTGTTGTGGCTCAGAAAGGGGCAGACTCCTTCCTTCCAAATCACCCCATCACAGAACACCCATTGCTAAGTAGCAAGCCAGAGGGTTAGACTGGATGCCCCATAAGAGGAGACTTCAAAGTGTTGAGACCTTCAAGTGTAGCCTGTGGAGGAAAATCTTAATCTGTGGGTGACAAAATAAGTGCTTCAGGACCACTTGCTCCAAATCCACATTCTGCAATACAGTCCAAGAAAAAAGGCAAAGTGGCGAGGCGTGATGGCTCACACCTGTGATTCCAGCAGTCTGGAAGGCCAAGGCGGGAGGACCACAAGGTCAGGAGTTCGAGACCAGCCTAGCCAATGTGGTGAAACCCCATCTCTACTAAAAATACAAAAAAATTAGCCGGGCGTGGTGGCACATGCCTGTAATCCCAGCTACTAGGGGATGTTGAGGCAGGAGAATCGCTTGAACACTGCACCCCAGCCTGGGCGACACAGTGAGACTCCATTAAAAAAAAAAGTGCTGATATATTTGGGGAATGCTGAATAGTTTCACAGGGCTCACTGCAACCTCCGCCTCCCAGGTTCAGGTGCGAAACTACGAGATTTTTTGAAGAAGGAAGCCACTTCACTCGGCTGTTTTTTTTTTTTTTTTTTTGAGACAGTCTCACTCTGTTGCCCAGACTTGAGTGCAGTGGCTTGATCTCAGCTCACCACAAACTCTGCTTCCCAGGCTCAAGCGATTCTTCTGCCTCAGCACCCCCGAGTACCTGGGATTACAGGTGCATGCCGCTACCACCTGGCTAAGTTTTGTATTTTTAGTAGAGACGGGGTTTCACCATATTAGCCAGGCTGGTCTTGAACTGCTGACCTCAAATGATCCACTCTCCTCGGCCTCCCAAAGTGCTATGATTACAAGCGTGAACCACTGTGCCTGGCCTCTAGGCTGAATTTGAAAGACCAGCAACAGTGGGTAAAAGCAAAAGGCCAAAGGATGGTACATTTGGGGAATGCTGTAATAGTTTCACAGGGCTGGCTCACAGTGTCCCTGTGGGGAGAATAGAAGAGAAGACTAAAGTGTAGACAGTGGCCAAACCATGATTTTATTAAATGTATGTGATGAGAAGCTACGAGATTTTTTGAAGGAAGAGATGTTATAGATAACATGAACTAGGGTAGAGTACAAACTGCAAGGGGTAAGTCTTGAGGCAAAGAACTAAACTTAGAAGACATAAAAGGACTTAAAGTAATAACCCCAGCCAGGCATGGAGTCTCATGCCTGTAATCCCAGTGTTTTGCAGGGCCAAGGTGGGAGGATCACTTGCGGCCAGGAGTTTGGGACCAGGCTGGGCACCCTGTCTCTACAAAGAAAAAATTTTTTAAAATTAGCCAGATGTGGTGGCATACCCCTGTCATCCTAAGCTACTCGTGAGGTTGAAGCAGGAGGATCCCTTTAACCCAGGAATTCCAAGTTATAGTGAGCTATAATCATGTCACTGCCTTCCAGCCTGCATGACAGAGCAAGACCCTGTCTCTTTTTTTTTTTTTTTTTTTTTTTTTTTTGAGACGGAGTCTCGCTCTGTCGCCCAGGCTAGAGTGCAGTGGCAGGGTCTCGGCTCACTGCAAGCTCTGCCTCCCGGGTTCACGCCATTCTTCTGCCTCAGCCAACCCAGTAGCTGGGACTACAGGCGCCCGCCACCACACCCGGCTAATTTTTTGTATTTTTAGTAGAGACGGGGTTTCACCGTGTTAGCCAGGATAGTCTCAATCTCCTGACCTCGTGATACGCCCGCCTCGGCCTCCCAAAGTGCTGGGATTACAGGCTTGAGCCAAAATGCCCTGCCGACCCTGTCTCTTAAAAAAAAAAAAAAAGGAAATGAAAGAAAAACAGGATAGAATAATATGCGGCATTAAATTGGGAAAATAAATTATAAACTCAAGGTGTTAAAATAGAAACCTAGCAGTGATGGCTACATGGATGTGCACGTTAAAACTTATCAAACATGTGCAGTTTATGTCAATTAGACCTCAGTAAGGCTGTTTAAAAAAATATCTTTTCCAGTTTTGCTATTAGAAGGGGCCCAAATGTAGTAACAGCAGCACTTCTGCCCACAATTCTTTGCATTGTTAGCAACCAGATTTTGGTCCCTCATTTTAGTCTACTGTGATTAAAAGGATCAGGCTCTTTGGAGAGTTGCTGATTCCATGTCTTGGGGCAAGGACAATAAATCAACTTGGATCCAGAATATCCTGTTGTTGCTAGAAAGCAAGAATGCTTTCAAGAATGCTACAGACAGGCCAGGCGTGGTGGCTCACGCCTGTAATCCCAACACTTTGGGTGACCGAGGCAGGCAGATCACGAGGTCAGGAGTTTGAGACCATCCTGGCTAACACAGTGAAACCCCATCTCTATTGCAAATACAAAAAACAAGCCAGGCATGGTGGCACGTGCCTGTAGTCCCAGCTACTGGGGAGGCTAAGGCAGGAGAATTGCTTGAACCTGGGAGGCAGAGGTTGCAGTGAGCCGGGATCGTGTCACTGCACTCCAGCCTGGGCGACAGAGCAAGACTCCGTCTCAAAAAAAAAAAAAAAAAAAAAAAAAGAATGCTATAGAAATGCTACAGACAATGCTAAAAGAATAGAATAGCCAGCTTAAAGGAGATCCATTACCCCACTTGTGAATATCTGAAACTCAAATAAGAGAATAATCATTACAATTAAACTAAAATGCAGCCAGGGTAGTCCCAGCACTTTCGGAGGCTGAAGTGGGCAGATTGCTTGAGTCCAGGAATTCAAGACCAGCCTGGACAATATAGTAAAACCCCATCTCTACAAAAAATACAAAAAATTAGCTGGGCATGGTTACGCATACCTGTGTTCCCAGCTACTCGGGAAGCTGAGGTGGCAAGATCGCGTAAGCTTGGGAGGTTAAGGCTGTGGCGAGCCATGATTGCACCACTGCACTGCAGCAAAGGAAAAAGATGGTGTCTCTCTCTATTGCCCGGACTGACCTTGAACTCTTGGGCTCAAGTGATACTTCTGCCTCAGTATCCAGAGTAGCTGGGTTTACAAGTGCCACCTGGCTAATAATAATTAATTTTAAAAATTAATTTTAGTAAGCAGGAGAGCACTGATATATTTGTAAGTATTATTTCTTCTATCAGGTAGTCCATCCCTCCCTTCCTCCCTCCCTCCTTCCCCTCCTTCCCATCTTTCCCTTCCTTCCCTTCTTTCTTTTCCTTCCCTTCCTTTCCTTCCCTCCCCTCCCTCCCTTCCCTCCTTCCCTTCCCCCCTTCCCCTCTTACTGTCCCTCCCTCCCTCCCTCCTTCCCTTCCTTCCTTCCTTCCTTCCTTCCTTCCTTCCTTCCTTCCTTCCTTCCATTTCTTCTATCAAGTACACGTTTCTCTCTCCTCTCTCTCTCTCTCCCAGGCTACAGTGCAGTGGCACAATCATAGCTCACTGCAGCTTTGAATTCCTGGGCTTAAGCAATCCTCCTGCCTCAGCCTCCTGAGTAACTATGACTACAGGCGTATGCCACCACATCCAGCTAATTTTTTTTTTTTTGGTAGAGATGGGGTCTCACTATATTGCCCAGGCTGATCTCAAACTCCTGGCTTCAAGTGATCCTCCTACCTCAGCCTCCCAAAATGTTAGGATTACAGTCATGAGCAACTGTACCTGGCCTCAAATTCATGTTTCTTGTCTCAATCTGTGTAGGATGTCTTCAGTGGGGATGGTGGAGGAAGGGCATCTGAAAATCTTCTATGAGAGCAAAAAGAACACTTACAAAAATTATCAAAATCAACTTACTTTTTTTTTTTTTTTAGAGGGAATCTTGTTCTGTTGCCCAGGCTGGAGTGCAATGGCGTGGTCTCGGCTCACTGCAACCTCCACCTCCCAGGTTCAAGCAATTCTCCTGCCTCAGCCTCCCGAGTAGCTAGGATTACAGGCACCCACCACCATGCCTGGCTAATTTTTGTATTTTTAGTAGAGACAGTGTTTCACCATGTTGGCCAGGCTGGTCTTGAACTGCTGACCTCGTGATCCGCCCACCTCGGCCTCCCAAAGTGTTGGGATTACAGGCGTGAGCCACTGTGCCCGGCCTCAAAATCAACTTTCACAGGACGATTGGACAGAGATTTCTTTAAATGCCTGAACAAATAAGTCCCCCAGTCTTGCCAAGGAGCTCTGTGTGTGGTGGGGGGAGCACACCTTCAGTAGTCAAGCAGGCAGTTTGCAGTTCTGTGTTAGCCTTCACTTCCTGCTTGTGCAGAACCTCAGCATCAGCCAGAGATGAGAGAGCTTAGGGCCTTTTCAGGTCTTTGCTGGGCATGTGTATAGCTCTATACCTGCACATGTCCTTCTAGATTCCAGGGAATATGTCAGAGCCTTTCAAGCCTGCCTATGGACATTTCATTTCCCAGCTTTTAAGGTTTTTGGTCAGCTTGTTACTTGCTCCAACTCATACTGCTGCCTCAAAGCAACTGTGATGTTAAACAGTTGCCAATGATCATTTTTGAAAACCTGTCTGGGGAAAAGGGTGTTCTCACTGCGACAGTATAATGTTCTAGGCAACTGCCACACAGATCAAATAATGGTGGTTCTCTGGAATGGGGCTTTGGAGGAGCTCCACCTCTTTTCTGTGCTCTCCGGTGACTGCTAAGCTACTGGTTTTCACCATGATTGTGGGGATGTTGGTTTTCTGTTTTTTTTTTTTTTTTTTGAGATGGAGTTTTGCTCTGTTGCCCAGGCTGGAGTGCAATGGCGCAATCTCAGCTCACCAAACCTCCGCCTCCCGGGTTCAAGCGATTCTGCCTCAGCCTCCCGAGTAGCTGGGATTACAGGCATGCGCCACCATGCCTGGCTAATTTTGTATTTTTAGTAGAGACGGGGTTTCTCCATGCTGGTCAGGCTGGTCTCAAACTCCCGACCTCAGGTGATCCACCCACCTTGGCCTCCCAAAGTGCTAGGATTACAGGTGTGAGCCACCACGCCCCGCTGGGATGTCGGTTTTCAAGGCTACCACAGAGCTGAGCTGGGGAAGGGAAGATGGAAACAAGAGTTAAAACATCACAAAATGGGCTGGGCGCAGTGGCTCACGCCTGTAATCCCAGCACTTTGGGAGGCCGAGGCAGGCGGATCATGAGGTCAGGAGATCGAGACCATCCTGGCTAACACGGTGAAACCCCGTCTCTACTAAAAATATAAAAAATTAGCCAGGCGCAGTGGCGGGCGCCTGTAGTCCCAGCTACTCGGGAGGCTGAGGCAGGAGAATGGTGTGAACCCCAGGAGGCGGATCCTGCAGTGAGCCGAGATCACGCCACTGCACTCCAGCCTGGGCAACAGCGAGATTGTCTCAAAAAAAAAAAAAAAGATTATGAGTGACTTTGTTGAGCAACTAAATGTCAATTTGAGGCTGAGAGAAGACCAGTGACTCGAGTGGCTTCCTACTTTTTAGACGATCAGGCTAGGATGACATGTTCTCTCTTCACTTTTCCTATGAATCCCTTCCAAAACGTGTTTTCATTCTTTATTAAAGCTGATTCAGGGCTGGGCGTGGTGACTTACGCCTGTAATCTCAGCACTTTGGGAGGCCAAGGTGGGTGGATCACCTGAGGCCAAGAGTTAAAGATCAGCCTGGCCAACATGATGAAACCCTGTCTTTATTAAAAATAGAAAAATTAACCAGGTGTGGTGTCAGGCACCTGTAATCCCGGCTACTCAGGAGGCTGAGGCAGGAGAATTGCTTGAACCTGGGAGGCAGAGGTTGCAGTGAGCCGTGATCGCACCATTGCACTGCAGCCTGGGCGACAGAGCAAAAACTCTGTCTCGGAAAAAAAAAAAAAAAAAAAGGCTGATTCAGTGTAGCTTCTACTTCATTCTAGGCCTACTAGACTGACCTCTTTAGGAAGTAGCTTAGCAAGGCCTTTCTGCACTCATCATTTGCCTTTGTACCAGTGTACCAAGTATGCAGTAGATGAATTGGGTAATGCCAGAGATAATTATACTATAGTATATAATCAGTTTCCACACTGCTTAGATTTCAGGCAGATTCCTTCTTTTCCAACTTAGGTATTACCAGTAGAATTCCTAATTGTATACTTTATTTACTCTGGTACCCAGTTAAGCTTCACCTTACAATGCAAGCCTTTTTGTATCTCTTGTGTAGACTTTAGGAACATGCCATTTTTTTCATTCTTAGCTCACAGTAAGTTATAACTTGGTAGTTATAAAATGATGGTTCTTTAAGACTTTTCACCTATTTAAGCATCCATCTCCACTAACTCTGTTCTGTTTTCTCTTTCTTAAGGTAACAATTTCACACATATATAGAAGTACACGGAATAGTATAAATAATGAAACCCCATCACTCAACTTCAACAATGATCAACTCATGGCCGATCTTGTTTCTTCTATATTCCTAACACCTAACACCCTGCCCCTCTGCATTGTTTTGAAGTTCAGTCCCACATATGCCATTTTATCTAAATATTTCAAAATATAAAAAATATGGATTCTACTTTTTAAACATGGTCTCAGTAGTATCATTACAGCCCCATCAAAATGAAAAACAATAATTTCCTGACACCATCAAATAGCTCATCAATTTTACTATATTTCCTCAATCATTCAATATGTGTTTTTTATTTATTTTATTTTATTATTATTTTTTGAGACAGAGTCTCTCTCTGTTGCCCAGGCTGGAGCACAGTGGCACGATCTCAGCCTCATTGCAACCTCTGCCTCCTGGGTTCAAGTGATTCTCCTGTCTTAGCCTCCCGAGTAGCTGGGATTACAGGCACGCGCCACCATGCCTGGCTAATTTTTTGTATTAAAGGAGGCTGAGACAGGGGTTTCTAGGTTGGCTAGGTTGGTCTTGAACTCCTGACCTCAGGTGATCCGCCCGCCTCGGCCTTCCAAAGTGCTGGGATTACAGGTATGAGCCACCATGCCCAGCCGTGTTTTTTATTTTTTACAGTTTACACCAATATAATCTTCCAATTTACTTTTTCCACAGACCGATTTGGGATGTTGCCCCTGGATGAGCCTGCTATTCTTGTTAGTGAATTCCTAGATCGTTTTCAAAGCCTTTGTCACTTGGACCTCCAGCTTCCTTCCCTAAGGCCGGAGGACTTGAAAACTATGGTGAGTTTTTCCTGACTAGGCTGCAATGGCCTCCAGTTGTTGCCAGCATTTATACCTGAAGCATTTCTTTTAATGACAAGAAGATGCAATTGCTGTGAAGAGAACTGCTTGTCTGTCTCTCATCTGACCTTTTCAGTCTCCACCAGGAAGGTGACAGTTGAGAGTTCCATTTGAATGTTTAGGTATGTTTTTTTAAATGGCATAGATTCAATTTAACATATATGTATATAAGCAGTTTATTTGGGCCAAGTTTTAGGGCTGTAACCTGGAAGCATAGATTCAAGTTTGCCCTGAATATATGCTTCCCATAAATTCAGTTTTATCTTGATTTATTACTTAAATTATTATTATTATTATTTTGAGACCGAGTCTCTTTCTGTCACCCAGGCTGGAGTGCAATAGTGTAATCTCGGCTCACTGCAACCTCCACCTCCCAGGTCCACGCAATTCTCCTGCCTCAGCCTCCTGAGTAGCTAGGATTACAGGCGTCTGCCACCACACCTGGCTAATTTTTGTATTTTTAGTAGAGACGGGGTTTCACCATATTGGTCAGGCCGTTCTCAAACTCCTGACCTCAGGTGATCCACCTGCCTCGGCCTCCCAAAGTGCTGGGATTACAGGCATGAGCCGGCACACCCAGCCTACTTAAACTATTTAACAGAAAATACTGAAATGTGACTGCATATGGTTTATTGCATATCTTTTTTTTTTTTTTTTTTTTTTTTTTTTTTTTTTTTTGAGACAGAGTCTTGTTCTGTCGCCAGGCTGTAGTACAGTGGTGATCTTGGCTCACTGCAACCTCCGCCTCCTGGGTTCAAGCGATTCTTCTGTCTCAGCCTCCCAAGTAGCTGGGATTACAGGCACGTGCGACCACGCCTAGCTAATTTTTGTAATTTTAGTAGAGACAGGGTTTCACTGTGTTGGGCAGGATGTTCTAGATCTCCTGACCTCGTGATCCGCCCACCTCGGCCTCCCAAAGTGCTGGGATTACAGATGTGAGCCACCACACCCGGCCATCATTTTTCAAAGAAAGTAACAAACTCCTTTCTCCTTGTGAGTAGAAATGTTTAAATGCTGTAGTCAGCCCGGGCACAGTGGCTCATGCCTGTAATCCCGGCACTTTGGGAGGCTGAGGTGGGTAGATCACCTGAGGTCAGGAGTTCGAGACCAGCCTGGCCAACATGGTGAAACCCCGTCTCTATTAAAAATACAAAAAATTAGCCGGACATGGTAGTTTATGCCTGTAGTCCCAGCTACCTGGGAGGCTGAGGCAGGAGAATTGCTTGAACCTGGGAGACAGGTTGCAGTGAGCCGAGATCGCACCATTGCACTCCAGCCTGGGCAACAAGAGCGAAACTCCATCTCAAAAATAAAATAAATGCTCTAGTCAATCTGTACTTTGAAACTGAATATTTACTGTTCCATTTAATCACCCTATGGGTACTCCATGAAGACAAGCTTTACTGTAGGAAATAGTAGCCTCTTCAAATTAAGAGAGTGGTATGGGTTTTAGCATCAAACTGTTAACCTCCCAAAGTCCCCTCCAAGTACTAACCAGGCCTGACCCTGCTTAGCTTCCGAGATGAGATGAGACTGGACGCGTTCAGGGTGGTATGGCCATAGACTGAAACTATTAACCTCTGATGCTTATGAATATAACCCTGTCCCTAGCCAAGGCAATTTTTTTTTTCCACCTGGTCATAGTTCCTTATTTTTCTTAGAACAAAAATAAAGTCTAACGAGCTTTGTTGTTCTGTCAAAAAGTAAATTTAGAGCCTGGGGCACAGTGATGTATGCCTGTAGTCCCAGCTACTCAGGAGGCTGAGGTGGGAGGATTGCTTGAGCTCAGGAGTTCAAGACCAGCATGGCCAACATAGTGAGACCCCATCTCTAAAATTTTTTTTTCTTTAATTTTTTTTTTTTTTTTTTTTTGATACGGAGTCTTGCTCATTCGCCCAGGCTGGAGTGCAGTGGTGCAATCTCAGCTCACTGCAAGCTCCGCCTCCCAGGTTCACGCTATTCTCCTGCCTCAGCCTCCAGGGTAGCTGGGACTACAGGTGCCCGCCACCACGCCCGGCCAATTTTTTTGTATTTTTAGTAGAGACGGGGTTTCACCATGTTAGCCAGGATGGTCTCGATCTCCTGACCTTGTGATCCACCTGCCTCGGCCTCCCAAAGTGCTGGGATTACAGGCGTGAGCCACCACGCCTGGCCTCTTTAATGTTTAAGTAAATTTAGTGTCAGGCTAAGACATAAGCAGTAATTTGTCTTCACTATTTGGGTTTGAAGTTTGCAGGTTTCAGGGAAAATCTGCAGCTGGTAAATTGAACAATTTAGTACTAACAAGAGTTTTGGCAGTTCCAGGGAGACTCCATCTTTCTCAGTCAGCAGATTCAGGGCAATTCAGAAAGCTTCTGTGTGATACTATAGCCCTGTCCCTGGAAGTATTTTGTTCTCTGTGAAGAGAAGTATCTTCATGTTTGTAATTTCCTTCCTGATTTTCGGCTTGTACCATCTAGGTATGTTATAATGTGTAATTTTTCTTTTTATGGTGGTTGAAACGAAGTTTTTTACTTGGCTCCCTTGTAGTGCTTGACAGAAGACAAGATCAGTCTTCTCCTACACTTGCTTGAAGATGAACTTGATCACCGAACTGATGAGAGAAAAACTACAATCAAATTAGGCTCAGACATCCAAGTCCACGTCACTGCCTGTATTCTCTCTGTGTGTGGCTGGGCGTGTAGGTGAGTCAGCAGATTTTGCCTGGAGACATGAACCATGACAACAGCATTACACCCATATATATCAGTCACTAATCGTATTTAGAAATCACATGGTGTTTCCCGTGAGAAAAAGAGACAAAGAAAAACTGGGTGGGGGATGGTGCGAGGAGAATGGATAATAAGAATTAGTAACAAAACCAGAATTGGAATTCAGGAATTCTTGGTGTTCACAACTGAACTTTGTTTCTTGTACTGTTGCTTCTTAACTGGGAATTTGTGTTCTCTTTTTTTTTTTTTTTTTTTTTTTTGAGACGGAGTCTCATTCTGTTGCCCAGGCTGGAGGGTAGTGGCGTGCGCGATCTCAGCTCACTGCAAGCTCCGCCTCCCGGGTTCACGCCATTCTCCTGTCTCAGCCTCCCGAGTAGCTGGGACTATAGGTGCCTGCCACACGCCCAGCTAATTTTTTGTATTTTTGGTAGAGACGGGGTTTCACCGTGTTAGTCAGGATGGTCTTGATCTCCTGACCTCGTGTTCTGCCTGCCTCGGCCTCCCAAAGTGCTGGGATTACAGGCGTGAGCCACCACACCAGGCTGAATTTGTGTTCTATAAACAGTGAACCTCCTTTCTAAAAATGGAAAGAAAATAAGCTCTTTTCTATTTTTAAGAAGGAAAAATAGAAAGGAAGTTCTTTTCTATTTTTAGAAAGGAAGAAAAATCCGCTTAATTGATAAAAACTACCATAGGAAACACCAGCTGGAGTCTTCTAGGCCCCCATGTTGCTATTTCCATTCCAGCTGCTCAATTTGGCATAGACTCCCACTATCCTTAATCTACCAAAGAGAGCATATTTAAAATACATCAAGATTGGTTCTGACAGTAAATAAATCTTGATGTATTTTAAATATGCTCTCTTTGGTAGATTAAGGAATGTTTTTTGTTTAAAGGGAAAAGACTTTAAGAGGGACAAGAGAGGGTGGGTACGGTGGCTCACACTTATTTAATCCCAGCACTTTGGGAGGCCAAGGCGGGTGGATCACCTGAGGTCAGGAATTCGAGACCAGCCTGGCCAACATGGTGAAACCCCATCTCTACCAAAAGTACAAAAATTAGCCGGGCATGGTGGCGGGTGCCTGTAATCCCAGCTACTCAGGAGGCTGAGGCAGGGGAATCACTTGAACCTGGGAGGCGGAGGTTGCAGTGAGCTGAGATCGCACCATTGCACTCCAGCCCGGGCAACAAGAGCAAAACTCTGACTCAAAAAAAAAAAAAAAAAAAAAAAAAAAAGAGGGACAGGAGAAACTTTTTGTGTTGTTGTTGTTGTTGGTCAGGCTGGTCTCGAACTCCTGACCTCAGGTGATCCACCCACCTTGGCCTCCCAAAGTGCTGGGATTACAGGCATGAGCCACTGCACCCGGCCGAGAAACTTTTAAAACATGCCTGCAAAACAGTCTTACCATAGAGAGCACACTAAGAACCCGAGGTCTTTCTATGGGAAATATGTGAGAGATGATGAAGTATGAAGCTGGGTCCTGAGACTGGAGCACAGAGGCTCTGATAGGACATGGTGACTGTTCCAGAAATTGGATGAGATAAGGCATACTCACAAGACATTGCACTTAGTCATTTGGAAATGTTACACTTTGAGAAAACTCTCTTTTTCATTCCTATCTAGTTCCTCTTTGGAATCCATGCAGCTCTCCCTGATAACATGTTCGCAATGTATGAGGAAGGTGGGGCTCTGGGGCTTCCAGCAGATTGAATCGTCCATGACTGACCTGGATGCATCCTTTGGCCTGACCAGCTCCCCAATCCCAGGCCTTGAGGGGCGACCAGAGCGCTTACCTCTGGTGCCTGAATCTCCTCGGAGGATGATGACCCGGAGCCAGGATGCCACTTTCTCCCCAGGCTCAGAGCAGGTATTCACTTAGCTTATTTGGGGTGGAATTTTAAACAACATTCTTGGCAAAAGTGTTGTTGGTAGAAAGTTGGAAATTAATTTAGGTGGATAGGCTTCTCTTCCCACTACATTGGTTACGATACCACATAGTGTTTCTGTTCACTAATGGGGAAGCTAAATTCAGCCAGACCCGGTGGCTCACGCCTATGATCCCAGCACTTTGGGAGACTGAGGCAGGCAGATCACTTGAGGTTAGGAGTTTGAGACCAGCCTGGCCAACATGGTGAAACCCCGTCTCTACCAAAAATGCAAAAATTAGCCAGGTGTGGTGGCAGGCACCTGTAATCCCAGCTACTTGGGAGGCTGAAGCAGGAGAATCACTTGAACTCGGGAGGCAGAGGTTGCCATGAGCCAAGATCGCCTCACTGCTCTCCAGCCTTGGCAACAAAGCGAGACTCTGTCTCAAAAAAAAAAAGAAAAAAGATTAAAGAAAGAAGTATTTCTGACCATAATCATTAATATCATTCGTGTACTTCCATTATCTCCCCTTTCCTTCAGGCTGAAAAGAGCCCTGGTCCCATTGTCTCTCGAACTCGGAGCTGGGACTCTTCCAGTCCTGTTGACCGTCCTGAGCCAGAGGCTGCTAGCCCCACCACCAGAACTCGCCCAGTGACCCGAAGCATGGGAACAGGAGACACCCCTGGCCTGGAGGTACCATCTAGCCCTCTGCGGAAAGCCAAGCGAGCTCGCCTCTGCTCCTCCAGCAGTTCGGTGAGTCCACCTCGCATGTAGCAGTGGCTGAGCATAAACAGCATATTGGGCCCTCCCTAGGCAGCATGGAGAAGCAGGCAGGAGCCCTTCCGTGGTCCAATGCAAAAAGTAGACCATGTGAATAAATTTAAAGTTGGATGACCAAAGGGAAAAAATGTCAGTCATGTTTTTTGCTCCTTTTTGTTCCTTTGGAGTGGATTCTGGAGAAATAATAGATATTTCAGGCAAATGGAACAACGGTGTGATACAGGGACAAACCTGATCTGGCAGCGGTCCCCAACCTTTTTGGCACCAGGGACCGTTTTCATGGAAGACCATTTTTCCACGGACCACGGTTGGGAGGATGGTTTCGGGATGATACGAGCACATTACATGTATTGTGTACTTTATTTCTATTATTATTATATTGTAATATATAATGAAATAATTGTACAACTCACCATAATATAGAGTCAGTGGGAACCTGCAGCTTGTTTTCCTGCAACTAGATGATCTCATCTGGGGGTGACGGGAAACAGTGACAGATCATGAGGTGTCAGACTCTCATAAGGAGCCCGAAGTCTAGATCCCTCTCATGTGCAGTTCACAGTAGGGTTCCTGCTCCTATAAGAATCTAATGCCACTGCTGATCTGACAGGAGGCAGAGCTCAGGTGGTAATGCAAACAATGGGGAGCAGCTGTAAATTCAGATGAAGCTTTGCTTGCCCGCCTGCTGTTCACCTCCTACTGTGCGACCTGGTACCCATCCATGGCCTGGGGGTTGGGTATCCCTTATCCCTTGTGATAAGGTATAGTTTGTTTAACACAAAAGGAGTGAAAAAATAAAGAAAATGAGAGGAAAATGTGTAGGCAAAGTTTGAAGGAGAGCATAAACACTCGAAGTATGGGTAGTTGTGAGATTCTGGACTTGATAACTAACAGCAGTGCCTCCCTGAACTTACATAGCATCTACCTATGAATGCTATTTCTTTTTCTCCTTCCTCAGGACACATCTTCCCGAAGCTTCTTTGATCCCACCTCTCAGCATAGAGACTGGTGCCCTTGGGTGAATATCACACTTGGCAAAGAAAGCAGGGAGAATGGTGGAACTGAACCAGATGCCAGCGCCCCAGCAGAGCCAGGCTGGAAAGCAGTGCTGACCATCCTCTTGGCGCACAAACAGTCTAGCCAGCCAGCTGAAACGGACTCCATGGTGAGATACGCCACTGCCTTGTGTGTGGGCAGCACTTGCTGTTTATGGGAGGTGGAGCAGAGGCTGGGCCTATAATTAGCACCCCGCCTGCCTTCAGCTTTCATACGTCAAGTTATTTGGGTTTTTTTGTTTGTTTGTTTGTTTTTTGAGATGGAGTCTCGTTCTTGTTGCCTAGGCTGGAGTCCAATGGCACGATCTCAGCTCACTGCAACCTCCGCCTCCTGGGTCAAGCGATTCTCCTGCCTTAGCTTCCCAAGTAGCTAGGATTACAGGCGCCCACCACCACACCCGGCTAATTTTGTATTTTTAATAGACAGGGTTTCACCATGTTGGCCAGGCTGGTCTCGAACTCCTGACCTCAGGTGATCCCCCCGCCTCGGCCTCCCAAAGTGCTGGGATTACAGGCGTGAGCCACCGTGCCCGGCTTATACGTCAAGTTAGACTCATTCTGCTTTCGTCCTAGGGATTAGGCATAGAACCGGTTCGTCTTTCTGTAGTTTAGCATATGGCATTCCGTCAAGTTCTGATAAATTCTTTTGTTCTCCTAAATAAAGTGACTCCAAGTAGAAAAGGAGTACGGAAACAGAAATAGATGAACAGGCAGCTGCTCCGGCCTCATGTTGCAGACAGCTGCTTTTTCTTTCATTTGCTGTCACTTGCACTTGGAGCCTGGCCAGTTAACTTAGCTGTTTGGAGCACTGGGCTCTGACACCAAGATGATGGCCTCATTCCGCACGCTGGGCACATTACTTTACTCTGTTCCACAGCCCAGACTGTGACTCTGCTAGCCATTGCAGCCATAACTGCTGTGGGTTACAAATGTGGGTGACAACTGAGAAGAAAAGTCAAGTGTTTGCTCTGTGTAAAGATTGGAAGTGATAGGCTGGGTAATATGGAACCATGAAAACTGGGTTCTCTCCTTCGCTGGCTCACTCCCAAATTTTCCTTGTAGCTGGTAACAATTTCTGATCGTAGTCTATAACTTTCAAGGACAAAGTAAAATAATACTTGTCAGCAGATATTTATGAGCAGCACTCCTAGATTCATGGTTTTCTAGGGTTACAGGATTCCACTGGAGGGAACTATAGTAATGCTAAAAGTCCAAAATTGCATGGCTGGGTGTGGTGGCTCACGCCTGTAATCCTAGCACTTTGGGAGGCCAAGGCGAATGGATCACCTGAGGTCAAGAGTTTGAGACAACCTAGCCAACATGGTGAAACCTCGTCTCTACTCAAAATACAAAAAAAAAAAAAATTTGCCATGTGTGGTGGCAGGCGCCTGTAATCCCAGCTATTGGGGAGGCTGAGGCTGGAGAATCACTTGAACCCAGGAGGCGGAGGTTGCAGTGAGCCGAGGTTGCGCTCCAGCCTGGGCTTCAGAGAGAGACGCTGTCTCAAAAAAAAATAAAATAAAAATAAATGTATATTAGTACCCTTAGTAAATATGCAGGTGAAGGTTTTCCAAGTTTTCACAGAAAAAAAAATCCGCATTTCTCTGCCTAGATCTTCAGGAACTAGTACATTGGCAGTTTTCAGTAAGACTCCTCTCTGTCACTGCCATACGAAAAAGAAAGCCTATGGGTTTTGTTTTTGTTTTGTAGTGGGAAAAGTTGGCCTCATAATTGGCCCTGGATTCCAGGACTTTTTTTTTCGGTAGTGTGTCTTAACCTTCTGACAGCTGCTGTGACGAAGCTAGAAAGCTTAATGAGACTGTGTGGTAAAGGATCCTGATGTTCGAAAAAAAAAAGTATATACCGAGGCCAGGCACAGTGGCTCATGCCTGTGATCCCAGCACTTTGGGACGCTGACGCAGGGGAATCACCTGAGGTCAGGAGTTCGAGACCAGCGTGGCCAACATGGCAAAACCCCATCTCTACTGAAAATACAAAAATTAGCCAGGACTGTTGGTGTGCACCTGTAATCCCAGTACTCCAGAGGCTGAGGCAGGAGAATTGGGAGGTGGAGGTTGCAGTGAGCCGAGATCGCACTACTACACTCCAGCGTGGGCAACAGAGTGAGACTCCCTTTCAAAAAAAAAAAAAAAAGAAAAAAGTGTATACTATTTTTTCAACTCAGGTTTCTTTCAACTTTGTCACTCTATTAACTAAATTTCCCTCAGTCATTAGTAAGAGTTCAAACTTTTTCCTCCTGGAACTTATTGAAACATCCTCAAAGAGGATAGATTTTTAAAAAACTGTGAAAGTGGGCCGGGCGCAGTGGCTCACGCCTGTAATCCCAGCACTTTGGGAGGCCGAGGCAGGCAGATCATGAGGTCAGGAGATCAAGACCATCCTGGCCAACATGGTGAAACTCCATCTCTACTAAAAATACAAAAATTAGCTGGGCGTGGTGGCATATGCCTGTAATCCCAGCTACTCAGGAGGCTGAGGCAGGAGAATCGCTTGAACCAGGGAGTCAAGAGGTTGCAGTGAGCTGAAATGGCACCACAGCACTCCAGCCTGGCGACAGAGCGAGACCTGTCTCAAAAAAAAAAAAAAAAAAAAAAAAAACCTGTGAAAGCGTCATATGAGAAACTGGAGGTAACTGTGGATCATCTTGCTAGACATTCTTTGTACTCTCACTGAGACCCTTTCTGCGTGGAATACTTGCTCTTCATTGTGACTCTCAAAGGCAGACAGAACCAAGTGTTCTGATTCACCAAGAGCTTTTGTCTCCTAATGAATTACTTTGTCTCCCTTTACCACCATTTCTCAGAATCTCAGAGTACTTCATTGGCATGATCAGATGGCACTGCGATTCTTCCTATTATTAGCACTGCTGGCTAAAACATAAAAGCGGTGAAGACCAAGGCCAGAGCTTAAACTCATAGGGGTCATTCAACTCTGTTTTTATTAGTTGTCCTTGGTTTATACTGTTAACCTCAGCTAGGCATCACATTAAGTATAAGTACTTATTCACAATAAATAATGAACTAGGGCCAATTCAGCATCATGAATGAAAAACCAGTGCAGGCCGGGCGTGGTGGCTCACGCCTGTAATCCCAGCACTTTGGGAGGCCGAGGCAGGCGGATCACGAGGTCAGGAGATCAAGACCATCCTGGCTAACACGGTGAGACCCCCATCTCTACTAAAAATACAAAAAATTAGCCAGGAGTGGTGGCGGGTGCCTGTAGTCCCAGCTACTGGGTGAGGCAGGAGAATGGCGTGAACCCGGGAGGCAGAGCTTGCAGTGAGCCGAGATTGCGCCACTGCACTCCAGCCTGGGTGACAGAGTGAGACTCCGTCTCAAAAAAAAAAAAAAAAAGAAAAACCAGTGCAAAACATGTGCTGTACTAACGGCAAGTCAGAAGTGTCATCCTCAAGTACAAAGATGAGGACAGATACAGATGCCTGAAGGGAGGATATGAGCCGTGTCTTAGAGGCTCAGAGTGTGTTAACAGGAGTCTGACAGTAGAACGTTGGCCCCTCGATCTTTAGTCTGACTTTAGGTATACATTATGTATAGCATACTACAAAATGAATTTTTACTTAGTCCTAGACATATCCAGATCATTGTGGGACAAATGATCTATCCTTTGTCTCTATAAAAGAACGTAATCACTAATAATAAGCTTTTCTACCTACAGAGTCTCTCTGAGAAATCAAGGAAAGTATTCCGAATATTTCGGCAGTGGGAATCTCTGTGCTCATGCTGAAGATACTCCAGCGCCTTCCTGGAGATAGCTGGAATGAGAGTGACTTTTTGAAAAATTAAGGCTGAGTTCCTTTCGGTCAGCTGACACTAAGTTTTTCCTGTTCTGGGTTAATCATAAGGAGCCCCCTGCCATAGCAAAGGCAGTGAGTGTCAACTATCTGCATCTGGCTGAGAGAGACCCGTTTCCTTTCAGGGATGTGGACAGGGTAAGGGCAGCAAGCATGGTTCTGTTAAAGGAGTGTGGGATTAACAGACTAGAAGGAAGACTAAGGACCTGACCACCCATTTCAGCATCTTCAATGTGGAGCAGTGTTCTGAGGACTCTTCTATCCTAGGACTATGACAGTGTGTATTAATAAAATATTTGCTAAGATTCTCATTGTTGGAGAACTGTTTTCCCCCTTGCCCTGTGGGCCGGAGAAACTTCAGTGGAACATTCAACTTTTGATTTTCAGATTGGCTGCAAAGCCTAAAATTTGTGATTCCAGTCAAGGAGGTATAATCTTTCCTAAACCAAAAGCAAGATGATTTTCATTATGCCACCAGGAAATTTCCTGGTGTGTTATAGTGAATGGTCAACTGATAATTTTCTCCTTGCTTTGATAATAACAGAATAAAACAATGTAATGGGGAGGAAGGCACTTCAGAAGAGACCCCTCTCCATGTGCCATTGAATGCATGAGTCCCCCAGTTGGGCTTCCCCAAGACTCGTTGCTTTTGGGGGATCATCAGTTTTTGTGGTAGAGAAGGTGGACCCTGAACTGCCCACTGATAAAGTAACCATGACCTAGCAAAGGCTAGAAAGTGATTATTCTCTGATATGCCATGTTTTTCGTCACTGAGATTGTTTTGTTTTATACTTTTGTACTGAAGTATTTTAAAGAAAATAACACATAATATTTTACTCATAGTTTAATCTCTAAAAAATAGAACCTAGGCCAGGTGCGGTAGCTCACACCTGTAATCCCAGCACTTTGGGAGGCCAAGGTGGGCAGATCACTTGAGGTCAAGAGTTCAAGACCAACCTGGCCAACATGGTGAAACCCTATCTCTACTAAAAATACAAAAATTAGCCAGGCGTGGTGACGGGTGCCTGGTGTCCCAGCTACTGGAGAGGCTGAGACAGGAGAATCGTTTGAACCCAGGAGGTGGAAGCTACAGCGAGCCGAGATCGTCTGCTGCACTCCAGCCTGGGTGACAGAGCAAGACTCCGTCTCATTATATATATATATATATATTTATGTATATTTTTATATATATATAACTTTTCTCCAACATATTACACCCAACAAAAATTAATAATCTGACCGGGCGTGGTGGCTCACGCCTGTAATCCCAGCACTTTGGGAGGCCAAGGTGGGCGGATCACCTGAGGTCAGGAGTTCAAGATCAGCCTGGCCAACATGGTGAAACCCTGTCTCTATTAAAAATACAAAAATCAGCCGTGTGTGGCGGCGTGCACCTGTAATCCCAGCTGCTCTGGAGGCAGAGGCAGGAGAATAGCTGGAACCCCGGGGGAGGAGGCTACAGTGAGATTGCCGCCATTACACTCCAGCCTTGGCGTCAGAGCAAGAGTCCAGGTCAAAAAATAAAAATAAAATGGCCAGGCACAGTGGCTCACGCCTGTAATCCCAGCACTTTGGGAGGCCGAGGCTGGCGGATCACGAGGTGAGGAGATCGAGACCATCCTGGCTAACACGGTGAAACACCATCTCTATTAAAAATATAAAAAACTAGCTGGGCGTGGTGGCGGGCGCCTGTAGTTCCAGCTACTGAGCGCAGGAGAATGGCGCGAACCCGGGAGGCGGAGCTTACAGTGAGCCGAGATCGACCACTGCACTCCAGCCTGGGCAACAGAGCGAGACTCCATCTCAAAAATAATAATAATAATAAATTAAAAAATAAAATAAAATCATAAATGGAAGCAGAGGCCAGGCATGATGCCTCATGCCTACAATCCCAACACTTTGGGAGGCTGAGGCAGGAGGATCACTCAAGTCTAGGAGTTCAAGACCAGCCTGGGCAACAAGGAGAAATCCTGTCTTAAACGAAAAATAGAAAAAAATTAGTGAGGTATGGTGGCTTTTGCCTGTAGTCTCAGCTACTCAGGAGGCTGAGCTGGGAGGATCTCTTGAGCCCAGAAAGGCAGACTGCAGTGAGCTAAGATCACCGTTGCACTCACTCCAGCCTGGGCAACAGAGTGAGACCCTGTCTCAAAAATAAATATGTAAATAAAAATATAAATTGAAGCAGATTGAGATAGACTTTGTGTAATTCAAGAAACATTCTCTTTCATGTGTGAGGCACTGTGCTAGCCCCTGTAGATGAATGACTACCTACTTTCTACCTCTAAGAAGTATATAGGCCAGGCCAGAAGACACACTGGTATATAAATGTTGCGGGACAAACTGCTAAATGCTCTAGTCTAGGAGAGGTATAAAAAAGGAAGAAGTGAATGGTCATGTGTCGTTGGGAAGAACTTTGAGGAAGGTGTAGATTTGAGCTGGTCCTTGGAGATGAGTGGGAGATGCAGGCTCCATGAGAACAGGGACTTTGTCCTGGTTTTAATCTCAACATTCAAAACAGTGCCTGACACGTGATAGACCCTCGGTTAAAAATATGCACATCCGAGACTGAGGGAGCATTGTAAGCAAATGAGCAGCATGTAGGATATGTTCCAGGAAGAGCAGGTATTCTGCTGTGGCTAGAACTCTGTGTTGAGTAGAAAAGAAAGGAAAAGAAAATGGAAGTTGGGCCAGATTAGAGTCTTGTATGTTATACTAAGGAGTTTGGACTTGATTCTCTAGGGAAAGAGAAACTCTTAAAGAATATTTTGGGCTGGGCATGGTGGCTCATGCCTGTAATCCCAGCACTTTGGGAGGCCGAGGCGGGCAGATCAGTTGAGGTCAGGAGTTTGAGACCAGTCTGGCCAACATGGTGAAAGCCCGTCTCTACTAAAAATACAAAAGTTAGCTGGGTGTGGTGGCACATGACTATAATCCCAGCTACTCGGGAGGCTGAGGCAGGAGAATCACTTGAACCTGGGAGATGAAGGTTGTAGTGAGCTGAGATCACGCCACTGCACTCTAGCTTGGGTGACAGAGCAAGACTCTGTCTCAGAAAAAAAAAAAAAAAAAAAAAAAAGACATTTGTGCTTAGGAAGATAATTCCAGTGTCTCTGAATAGCCTGGCTTAGGGAAGACAAGAAGGATTTAAGGGAAGTGTGAGGGCAGTGGCCATGGCAGTTGCAATGGGGCATAATTTGATAGAAATCTCAGCAATGACTTCATGATTGGTTTTGGGCATGAGGAAGAGGGGAAGAATTAAAGATGACCTTGAGGTTGAGGCCTAACCAAGACAGAGAACCCCTCAGGTGTTAATGGATGATAATAGTTTTTTACTTTTACTCACTTTTTATTGAGTTCAGTTACATATGAAAATATCTGTCTAGAAATGGAGTTCAGGAGAGGAGGATTCAATGTGTTGAAGAAATCAAAGATCATTGTTTCAAATGCTTAAAATCAGCTAGGAGTGGTGGCACACACCTGTAGTTCCAGCTATTTGGGAGGATTGCTTGAGCCCAGGAGTCCAAGACTAGCCTAGGTGACACAAAGGACCCTGTCTTTAAAAAAAAAAAAAGCTTAGGATCTATAGAGCCATGTAGAGTAAAGCTCTCAACCTTGTTGTCTTCTCACAAGAGATCTTAATGCCATCCTCTTTAACAGCATGAGTTCAAGTCTACATGTCACCGTTTCTGGAGAATACGCTACTGAGCTGGCGTGAGTATGCTTTCAAATATACTCATTCCAGCTTAGTAGCATAATGGGGTGTTCTCAGATGGGACTGAGCACATGAGCTTCCTTTCCCAAAGCATCTGTTCTCTTCCACACCCTGGGACATCCTTTTAACCCCAGGCCTTTATTCATTCGTCTTGTGGTTTGCTCATGTAAACATTTTTAGTTTGGCCTTTCTAGGAACCCACTCTTCCTAATTTGATTCTTTATTTGAATTTTTTTTTTTTTTTTTTTTTTTTTTTGAGACAGAGTGTTGTTCTGTTGCCCAGGCTGGAGTGCAGTGGTGTGAACACGGCTCACTACAACCTCTGCCTCCCGGGTTCAAGTGATTCTCCTGCCTCAGCCTCCTGAGTAGCAGGGATTACAGGCATGCACCACCATGCCTGGCTAATTGTTGTATTTTTAGTAGAGACAGGGTTTCGCCATGTTGGCCAGGGTGGTCTCAAACTCCCGACCTCAAGTGATCTGCCTGTCTCAGCCTCCCAAAGTGCTGGGATTACAGGCATGAGTCACTGCGCCCAGCCTGAATTTTTTTTTTCCTTTTGTTAGATCCCTTTAAAGAAGATAATTGCCTGAAATTTCATTTTTGCTACTTGACTATCCACAAAGGTAGCATTAAAAGTCGTCATTCTAAGGAATTTTTCCACCTGTGTTAGCCACATTAGGTAGCTTATGAGGATCCTATGTGATTTGTGTTGTCTCCTGCTGGTAAATAGAACTTCAGCGCCTTCCTCCTGACCTCCCAGGCCAGCACCTTCTTTTGCAGTACTTGGTCTCAGTGATCAGGACAGGTGGTGGCATTTTGAAGAGCCCTTGCCATTCCAGATTATTCATACCCCATTATTATAGTCCCCCCAAACTTCAGATTCTCCTTTTACTAATTTTCTCCACTAAATCCTCTAGGATTCTGTGTTTTAACAAAGGTTGCATTCCCCATCCAAGTAGATTTTGTTTTTACCGAGAAGACTGAAGCTCAAAGACATCTAATAACTAGCTGTCATATAGCTAGAATGAGGCAGAGCCACACTGAAATCCATCTTTCCCAGCTTCTGTTCTTTCCATTACGATACAGCTGGGAATATCTTCCAAGCACTGTGAGTCTATGGTTTTCTTTCCCAAGCTCAAAGTTGAGATCTCCCTCTCACAGTAGAAAGGAGTATCTTGCAGCCACTCACGGGATACTAGTGCCCAGAAGAGAGTCTTTCTCCTGGCTCCTTTTTGATTTCAGCCAACTTTAATAGACTTAACAGGTGGAGCATTCTCTTTGGGGCTTTCCTCACTTATACTCTTCTTCTGGTTGTGGGTGCCTGAGAGCCACTTCTGAATCCCTTCCATCCTATTCCATCTTAGCAATAAAAACAGCTGCACGCACAGCTTGACCATCGACAAAAGTACAAACACTTCCTTCTCCTCAGTTTTCCTTTCTATGTTTAGTTTTATTTCTATTCTAGGTTTTCTTTGGCTTTATACAGCTGCCATCCTGGTCAGTTGGCCCATGCCCTCAGAAGTGAATGCTGCATTTAAACCCTTTAATTAGAGACCATTCATTCCATCTATATCCCATACTCTCTTTTATCTCATTGCTCCTTGGCTACAGCTGTGGTGGTTATTGTTTTTCTTGCCACAGTGCCTCTCTAGTTGAACTGACTGTTGTATAGCTGAAGCCAATTAGGAAGAGAGGGAAACAGGAACATACAAAGGCCTCTGTGTAGGACAGGTAGGTCATGGAGATTTGGTCACTTATCCAGAGATTATCCAACAAGTCAGATCATTATAATAACATACTCTTCAGCTTTCTGTACTCACTTCTTTCTATTAGCCACCTATTGATATCCCAGTAAGCAGATATGGAGGAAAATTGTTTCCTATAGTGTGTCAGTAACAGCCCTCAAAGGGATGGTAGTAGGAACAGAAAATGTGAAGCCTAGAAGGGACTCAAGATTCACCTCCAAGGCCTTCATAGTTCTCACGGGGAAGCCAGGATCACAGAGACAAGAAAATCCTTTTTAGCCTCTGTGTCCATTTCTTAGCCAGTCTTGTCCAACCTAACTAGAACCAATGGAGCAGAAGGAAAGGCACACAAGAATAACTTGACGGCACAACGGGTTTTGAGCCAATCAGAAGTGATACCAAGGCCAGGTGCAGTGCCTCACACCTATAGTCCCAGCACTTTGGGAGGCTGAGGTGTGCGGATCACTTGAGGTCAGGAGTTCAAGACCAGCCTGGCCAACGTGGTGAAACCTCATCTCTACTAAAAATACAAAAATTAGCCGAGCGTGGTGATGGGTGCCTGGAGTCCCAGCTATTTGGGAAGCTGAGGCAGGAGAATCACTTGAACCCGGGAGGCGGAGGTTCCAGTGAGCTGAGATCGCGCCACTGCACTCCAGCCTGGGTGACAGAGGGAGACTGCATCTCAAAAAAAAAGTGATAGCGAAACCAAGACTGCAGCTGGAGTCTACCTCCTACTGAAATGTGGGGAATCAGTCTTGAGCAGGAGAACCTCTGAAACTTGATTTTACTACTGCTGCAAATAGCTATCACTTGTAAGTACAGATTGTTTGCCAAGCACTGGTCTAAGCATTTTATCTTATTTAAGCCTCATAGCAGTCCTATGAGGAAGGTATAATTACTGTTCCATTTTTACAAATGAGGAAACAAAAGCATAAGTTAATTACTTTGTTCAGGGTCACACAGCCCAGTAAGTGAGGGCCGGGATTCAAACTCAGCCCATCAGCCTCCAAGGCAGACCCCACTGCCTGCCTTTAACCAAGGACATAGTTATACATGCATGACGATGTTTAATTCCATTGTTACTTGGGTTGTTTGTTTTTGTTTTTGTTTTGAGACAATCTTGCTCTGTTGCCCAGGCTGGAGTGCAATACTGCAATCTCAGCTCACTGCAACCTCTGCCTCCTGGGTTCAAGTGATTCTGCCTCAGCCTCCGTAGTAGCTGGAACTACAGGTGCCCACCACCATGCTGGACTGATTTTTTTTCCTTTTTTTATTTTTGAGACAGGGAGGGTCTCTGTCGCCCAGGCTGGAGTGCAGTGGTGGGATCTCGGCTCACTGCAACCTCCACCTCCCAGGCTCAAGCAATTCTCCTCCCTCAGCCTCCTGAGTAGCTGGGATTACAGGCATATGCCACTACCGCCCAGCTAATTTTTGTGTTTTTAGTAGAGATGGGGTTTCACCATGTTGGCCAGGCTGGTCTTGAACTCCTGACTTCAAGGATCCACCCGCCTCAGCCTCCCAAAGTGCTGGGATTACAGGCGTGAGCCACCGTGCCCAGCCTGAGACCTTTCTTCTGTAGATCCAGAGAAACCAGATGTCAAGGGAAATGCAATTTATCAGCTATTAAGTGATAAGAAAATCTCCCCTCCTAAGGATCGTGCCATCTCCCAAGTCTCCAAGAGCTGGGGCAAGTCACTGTAGCCAACTTGAGAATCAAGTTCAGGTATGAGGCCAGGCGTGATGGCTTATGCCTGTAATCCCAGCACTTTGGGAGGCCAAGGCAGGCAGATTGTTTGAGCCCAGGAGTTCAAGACCAGAGTAGACAACATAGGGAAACCCCGTCTCTACCAAAAAAAAAAAAAAAAAAAAAAGCCAGGTGTGGTGGCGTGCACCTGTAGTCCCAGCTCCTCAGGAGGCTGAGGTGCGAGGATCCCTTAAGCCTGGGAAGTCAAGGCTGCCGTGAGCTGTGATCACACCACTGCCCTCCAGCCTGGGAGATAGCGCAAGACCCTGTCTCAGAAAAAAAAAAAAAAAAAAAAAAAAAAAAAGTTCAAGAATGTGACCTCGGTGCCAGGCAAGAATGCTAGCAGTACCCACTACGGCCACTAGATGTCCCCCATGTTCCACTTCTGGCTTACCTAGCTGGACTTGCCAACACAAGACATCATCATTCTTACTTTGTCCTTATTTTGTTACAGGGTCTTTCCCCTAACCCCACTTAAGCTCTACCAAGTGCGGTGATGGAAACAGAAAGAAACTGAAAGCATTGAAACAGTCAGCAGAGAGACAGAAATGAGAATGGGTATTTATTGAGGAGACAGAGAAGGAAAAAAAAACCTCTAAATTTAAGGTCAGAGTTGGGGCCTTGCATCCAGGAATAGTGGCTCGAGTAGCAATGATAAGAACCCGATTGAATGGGAAGTCAACCGAAAGGGAAATCCAGGGGACTGTGAGCCATTGGCAGCCACCCTGGGACACATGCAGCCCTCCCCAGGTGTCATCCTTTGGCTGATCTCAGCACCCGCACTCAGGGCTGGGCCACCCCAGGGCCGACCTGCAAAGTTAGGCAAGCCACTAATGAAGCATGATGACACACTCACAGGGGCATGAGTGGTGTCTCATCACAGCCAGGGCACAGCCCAGACCCACCAGATGACCCTTTTCTTGTGAGGATTCCCAAGTCTATGACTAATGCTAATTAACCCTGACTCACAGTAGCACTGAGCACACAGAGGTCATTATCTCCACTGGAAGGAGTGGGGAAACTGAGGTGTGGAGTGGGGAAGCAGCTTTGCTCCATCAGTGTCACCAGGTCAGGAGTTGATCCTCCCTGCCCTTCTCAAAAGCCCGTGAGGCTGTTCTTGGTAATCAGCAGTAGACACTTCCGGTGGGGCTAAGGGATAGGGCCTTTCCCCACTGCTGTTTCCACGTGAGTCAGAGCCACAGAACTGGAAGCAGAGTTGTAGACTACTTGGTCTAATCCCTGAGGAGTCTGAAGGCCAGAGTGGGGAGTGAAGGCCAAGATCACACAGCAGGTTGTGGCTGAGCCACGCCTAGAATCCTGAGGCTTCTTGCTGAGTCCCCTTCTTGCACTACAGTCATCATGACAGAGCAGAAGAGAGGCAGTACCCTGTGAGAGTTAGGAGCACCAGCTCACTAGCCAGAAGTGGTGGCACGTGCCTATAGTCCCATTATACTAGGGAGGCTGAAGTGGGAGGATCGCTTGAGCCCAGGAGTTCGAGACTGCAGTGAGCTATAATTGCACCACTGAACTCCAGTCTGGGTGGCAGAGCAAGACACCTTGTTTATAAAAAAGAAAAATAAAGGGGGACAAAAAAAAAAACACCAGCTCTAGGTCAGGTAGCTTGGCAGGTGGATCTAGCAGGCTCTAGGTTCCATAGCCTGGGTACAGATCCTGGATTCACTGGTCACCAGCTGTGTGTTTCTGAACCTATGACTCAGCCTCAGCTTCCTCATCTGTAAATTAGGGATAATACTAGTAGCTGTGTCACAGGAATGTTTTGAGAATTCATTGGCATATGTGAAGTGCTTAGAGCAGTGCCTGGCACATGAGAAGTGCTCAGGAAATAGTAGCTGTTTGTTTAAGCTGGCTGTTTAAGCCCAGTTGCCTCTCTGGCCAAGTGTCTCCAGCTTGCCTGGTCTTTTGGGACTCCTGAAGGAAGGGAGCACCAAAACTATAGGTGTTAGGATCATGAGAAAGACACATACCAGTATCTCCTCACCAGACTGTCTGTGGTCTCAGTAGGCCTCTTTCAGCCCAGCGGCCTCCATGCCACCATCAGACAGCACAGGTGCTGGTGGATCAGCGCCAAGCCCAGCTTTAGAAGCATTGGGAAGCACCTTGGCAACAAGACATAAACCAAGATAACCACATTCCTACCAGTCTCCATGGACCCTGGCTCCGGGCCTGGCAAGGCCACCCTCAGGAAATGGCGGTACAATGACGACAGGAAAGCTTATGACAGGCATCACCCTGCTGGGCTGAGAACACTGGCTTGTTTGTCCAGCACAGCTTACCTGAGTCACCCATTGTGGAGTCTGCAGCCACCTGGGCCTGGAGCTAGGCCAGCAGGCTGCTTGGAGTCTGGAACACCTTCTGCGGGCTGAATCTGGCTAGGTCCGGCACTTGCTGCCTGTCCCCTCCTCAGAAAGCAGGTCAAGGCAGTTTGGCTCCGTAGATCTGGCTCCAAACAGTGAAGAGCCTGGTGGGGCCTGACAACAGTTCAGAGACGCAGAGCCTCCTCTGTGGGAAACAGAATGTGAACCGAGGCCTTAGAGTGTTTGGAAAATCAGCTCCACGAATCAGAGATGGACCGGGCAGCAGCTTCTCCCTCTCCTCCATCCCATGCTACACCCGTAGCCACTCTCTGTGCCCCACTGGTCCTCAGGGGGCCCTGGGCTCTCTTGCCAAGTCTCAGCACTGCCCAGGCCCATGCAGCCGGTCAACAGTGACTGGGCTCAACTCCCACTAACTCAACCTGGGGGTTTTCCAAAGTGAAATGAGGAACAAAATAGGTGCTATGTTTCACAGTACCAAGTTTTAAAATACTAATAAAATTAGAAAATACTTTTTCAGGCCGGGAGCAGTGGCTCACGTCTGTAATCCTAGCACTCTGGGAGGCCAGGGTGGGTGGGCCACATGAGGTCAAGAGTTTGAGACCAGCCTGGCCAACATAGTGAAACCCTGTTTCTACTAAAAATACAAAAATTAGCTGGGCATGGTGGCGTGTGCCTGTAATCCCAGCTACTTGGGAGGCTGAGGCAGAAGAATCGCTTGAACCTGGGAGGCAGAGGTTGTAGTGAGCCGAGATTGTGCCACTGCACTCCAACCCGGGCGACAAGGCGAGACTCTGTCTCAAAAAAAAAAAAAAAAAAAAAGAAAATACTTTTTTAAAAGGTGTAAAAAATGAGAATGAAAGTCCCCTGCCCCTTCTGGCCCTTGAGGGGCTTTCTACTGGAGGGACCATTTGTGGCATAGTTGGCAAGGGCACCCAAGAAGGCCAGAAGGGGACGCCCATGGGTGGGGACAGGAGGCACAGGAAGCAGTGTTTTAAGGTAGTGATCCCACAGGCCTAAGAAGGTGGCTCTGTTCCTCCAAGGAGTACTAAAGAGCCATCATAAAACAGTACTGACCGGGCGTGGTGGCTCACACCTGTAATCCTGGGAGGCCAAGGCAAGTAGATCACTTGAGGTCAGGAGTTCGAGACCAGCCTGGCCAACAGAGTGAAACCCCATCTCTACTAAAAATACAAAAATTAGCCAGGCATGGTGGCATGCACCTGTAATCCCAGCTGCTTAGGAGGCTGAGGCAGGAGAATCGCCTGAACCTGGGAGGCGGAGATTGCAGTGAGGCGAAATCGTACCACTGCACTCCAGCCTAAGCAAGAGTGAGATTCTGTCTCAAAAAAAAAAAAAAAGAAGACTGTCCTAGGGGACTTGGGATATGCAAGCTATGTGTGCTCAGTGCTCAGCACGAGGTGGTGACCTGGCGTTGGGGAGGCCCGAGCTGGAATAGGGAGCCTGGCTATCTGGGTGCCCCACCCTGGTAACTGACCTTGGGCAAGTCAGTTTCCATTTCAGTCCCTTTATCTTTGTTTTTGTTTTTTTTTTTTTGTAGAGACAAGGTCTCACCATGTTGCCCAGGCTGGTCTCAAACTCCTGTGCTCAACGATCCGCCCACCTCACCCTCCCAAAGTGCTGGGATTACAGGCATGAGCCACCGCACCTGGCGTTCAGTCTCTTTATCTGTCCAGTGGGGTATTAACAAGTATCTAATGTTCAGAACAACATTAAGACGTTCAGAACATGTCAAAGAACCTTTGGAAGAAGTTTGAAACTCTCTCTCACACCCCCCACATGAGGTATAACTTGGTTTGGGCATGGGGGGGTGCTCCTCCAGGTGGGAAAGGTGGCTGGCACCTGAGTCAAGAACAGGGTAAGAGCAGAAGACAGAGGCAGCATGGAGAGCCAAGGACCACAGAAGAATGCCCTGAGAATCAGGCTGCCAGGCACCTAGGCTGTGGGTTGGAAGCAAGAGGGCCATCGGGTGGTGACAGGCAGAGGAAGTCCTTTCTCTCAGCTGCTGCCATCTTGCCTTCTGCAGTCCTGTGGCCCGCCTGGCCTGCCACCCGAGGAGCAGGAGGTTTAGGCTCCGGCTGTGCCCCATCTCTGAGCTGGAAGTGAGCAGCAGAGCCTGCAGACTGTGCAGGACAGGTCACCGCATCTGAGGCAACGGAGACAAGGCTTTGAGAAAGAAGCCTGATGCTTGCCCCCTTGACTGCCGGAGAGGGAATTTAGTGCCACCCAGGGTCCCCAGATCTTCACCTGTGTCCAAAAGCC